>NC_000012.12:10834650-11459650 GCF_000001405.40 Homo sapiens | reverse complement strand
GCCCAGGATTTTGAGACCAGCCTGGGCAATATAGTAAGACCCCATCTCTAAAAAAAAAAAAAAGAAAGAAATAATGCCCAAAGAAGATGATGATTCCTGCCATAAATGCGGTGGATTATGGGTTATTTATTTATTTATTTATTTTGAGACAAGGTCTTGCTCTGTTACTCAGACTGGAGTGCAGTGGTGTGATCGCAGTTCACTGCAGCCTTGACCTCACTGGCTCAATAGATCCTCCCACCTCAGCCTCCCTAGGGGCTGAAACTATAGGCACATACCATCCATGCCCAGCTAATTTTTGTATTTTTTTGTGGAGACTGGTTTCGCCATGTTGCCCATGCTGGTCTTGGACTCCTGGGCTCAAGCGATCTGCCCACCTTGGTCTCCTAAAATGCTGGGATTACAGGCATGAGCCACTGCACCCAGCCTGGGTTCTTTTTAAATAATGATATACATGGGTACATTTAGCATTGTTGCTTGTGCTCTGAGTCTTTTATAGTCTTTCTGGAACATGGCTTCCTTAGGTTCTTCCCTGTTTCCTCACACATTTGCTTCTGCTTTCTGTTCCTTCCTTTGTAAGGTTCTTTCACCACCCTGACTTATGATTCCCCCACCCTTTTTTTTTTTTTTTTTTTTTTTTTTTTAGTATTTATTGATCATTCTTGGGTGTTTCTCAGAGAGGGGGATGTGGCAGGGTCATAGGATGATAGTGGAGAGAAGGTCAGCAGATAAACAGGTGAACAAAGGTCTCTGGTTTTCCTAGGTAGAGGTCCCTGCGGCCTTCCGCAGTGTTTGTGTCCCTGGGTACTTGAGATTAGGGAATGGTGATGACTCTTAAGGAGCATGCTGCCTTCTAGCATCTGTTTAACAAAGCACATCTTGCACCACCCTTAATCCATTTAACCCTGAGTGGACACAGCACATGTTTCAGAGAGCGCAGGGTTGGGGGTAAGGTTATAGAATAACAGCATCCCAAGGCAGAAGAATTTTTCTTAGTACAGAACAAAATGGTGTCTCCTATGTCAACTTCTTTCTACACAGACACAGTAACAATCTGATCTCTCTTTCTTTTCCTCACATTTCCCCTTTTTCGACAAAACCGCCATCGTCATCATGGCCCGTTCTCAATGGTCGCTATCTCTTCGGAGCTGTTGGGTACACTTCCCAGATGGGGCGGCCGGGCAGAGGCGCACCTCATTTCCCAGATAGGGCGGCCGGGCAGAGGCGCTCCTCACTTCCCAGATGGGGCGGCCGGGCAGAGGTGCACCTCACCTCCCAGACGTATTCCCCCACCCTTTGTGAGCTCATTTAACTTTATCTTCTAGCTTCACTTTGCATTCTGTAAGCTTACCTAAAAATACTTACTGAAAATGCTTACTGAATAAGTTAATCAGCAACGGCCTTAATATTTGCTTCCTGTTGTTGTCTGTATTGTTTTGGGTCTTAGTTCTTTGTGTTAATGTTTAACTACTTGCTTCATCCACAAGGATTGTTTGTGTCTAACCCTTCTCTACGGTTCCAGGATCGGAAAATCAGCTGCGAATATTTTCCTTTTTGACACACCCGTGCTCCTTTCAAGATCCATCTGGGTTCTGGGGCTCATCCCCCACCAACACACTCAGTCCCTATGCCTCTTCACTTCTTTGCTTTTCTTCTTAGCACTTGTGCTGTATAGCACACTATGTATTCTTTACTACTTTGGCCTACTTGTCAGTCCCTGCCTTTACGATGGGATGCTTCATTAGGGCCAGAAACTTTGTTTTGGAAAGTTTGTGCCCTAGCACCTAGAACAGTGCTTGGTTTATCTCACAGGTACTCAAAAGATATTTGTTGAACAAATTGAGTCTGGTAAATTCATATTTGCCTCATGAAACTTTCTGTCTGGTGGCTCTTAATTTTAGTCCTCCTATATTGAGAGAAGACCAAGCAGAAGTACATGAAGAAAATGAACCAAAGCCATTTCCATGCCACTTCAGGGCCTTTGCACTACTGTTCCTGCTGCCTGGAACATTCTTTCTCCAGATAGCATCTGTCTTTCTCCCTCATTTTCTTGAAAACTTTTCTCAGAGAGACCTTCTTGGAGCCCTCATATAAAATAGCATGGGCCCTAGATTCCTCTGGACCTACCACACCAGCCCTGTCAATAAATCTTCCTTGATGGTTTTTCTATACTACTAACCCTATCTATTTTGTTTTTAGAAAATAAAAAATCTCACTCTGTTGCCCATGCTGGTCTCGAACTCCTGGGCTCAAGCACTCCTCCCACCTTGGCTTCCCAAAGTGCTGAGATTACAGGCATGAGCCACCGAGCCTGGCCCCATACTACTAATCCTATCTAATTTATTATATTTGTTTATTTTTATGTCTCTCTTCCTTCACTATGATAGCAGGGACTTCGCCTATTTTATTTCCTACTAGTGCTTAGAACAATGCCTGATACAATACATATTTGTTAAATGACTTAATATACAAGTCAGAACATGTAATAAGGAGTGCAAACATCTATATTTTTTTAAAAAAATTTACTCCTTTTAAAGGCAAATTATGCTCACTCATAACAATTATTACTAAAATAAGTGAGAAAGCTACTTCTTTTCATCCTCTTATCTTCCAACCTAATTTACCATGAATTTTTCCCTTTACCTTCTTCTTTGCCTTCTAATGACTTTATTTAGCCAGTGTTTTCATTTTCCTATCATCTTTACCCTCTCTATCCCCTATTTCCTCAAGTTAGGACAACACATTTTAAAGCCAAAACATAACCTGAACAGCAAATTGGGTTTTGCCAGAACCTATGTATTCCTAGAGTATTATTTACAACTACAGAATACATTTTATATTTTTCTATGTCTGTGGATTTTTTCTAGTTCTGTTGTTCTTTTAGTTTTATTCTCTTAATTTTAATTAAAGGTCATGGTTATAATGATCTTGAATTGTCTCTGATATTTTCTACTTGCTTTTTTGTTTGTTTGTTTTTTACAAATCGTTCCATTATTTTTTTTTTTTTGACAGAATATCGCTGTGTCACCCAGGCTGGAGTGCAGGGGCACAGTCACAGCTCACTGCTTCCTTGACCTCCTGGGCTCACATGATCCTCCTGCCTCAGCCTTCTGAGTAGCTGGGACCACAGGCATGCACCACCATGCCCGGCTACTTTTTAAATTATTTGTAGAGACATGTTGTCCAGGCTGGTCTTGAACTCTTGAACTCAAGTGATCCTCCTTCCTCAGCCTCCCAAAGTGCTAGGATTACAAGTTTGGGCCATTGTTCTAGGCCCATTGAATTATTAAACTGGTCATCTCTGTTCAATCCCAGCAAGAGCTCAATAGATTTTTTTTTTTTTTTTTTTTTTTACTGTGATGGCTGTATTTAATGTGATTCCAAGTTACTTCTCATTTATCATCTTCCGCCTTTTACTTTTCTTTATCCTTAACTTGTTTTAAAAATCTTTGATTTGGCCTTATATAAAATGACTTCCACCCATCCAGCCCCTAGTGACTGTCCCAATGAAATTTAGTGGATAATCTATCAAATCTCTTCCTCCCTTAAGAAGACTTGAAAGTGAGAGAAGGACTAGGGCTTGGTTTTTGCCTTACCTTAGCACGGCTGCCCTCCAGGTACTTCACTGCTTTGTTTCTCCATGCATTTCCCATTGGAAACAGAAGACTGCCCACCATGAGGAAGGTGACTGGTAGCCTCTTCTGCCCGCTCCAAGGGAGTCTAGCACCAACCAACGTAAATCAGGTAACTCAGTTGCTCTCCAGGCCCTGTAAACTCTGCTTTTTGCTGTTCCCTCTGCCCTGGCCAGCTAACTATTCCTCTTCAGCATCTCAGTAATGCTTATCTGGAATTTCCAAGATGTTCATGTCAGAGGGACAGCCCGGTTTCCTGGCTGCTGGCTTTCTCATTCACCTGACTGTCAAGGAAGTCTTCATGAGTCCCATCTAACCTGGGTCTGGCTGAGCTTTTTGATCTGTTTCCCACACCATTAATTATTTCACTCTTATATGAAATGTTTCTTTGAGCATCTGTAATGTATTAGACACAGACTCTGATTAAATAAAGACTGCGAGGATTATGTTGGGGAGAAAATGTCTTGGAAGAAGAAGAGTAGGGGTAACTCAATTAGAAAATATTACCATTAAGTTTGCCATGGAAGTTGTCTCACCTTTGCAGCGGAATCACAGTAAGAGAGGCTGTGAAGATTTGTTTGCCTTCCAAGCCACAGCAAATTCAAGATGTTTGGGACTGTGAAGAATAGTAAGTAATTACATCTGTTCCCCCACGGAGATTAGCATAACAATTCTTTAAAAGAAAAGTGTTATTTTGCGTCCTTCTCCTGAAGAAAACTAGCTTAAAGTCAGTCAGAGGCAAAATCTAGAATGGAGTCTAAGTCCTGAATTTACTTGGATTGTTGGCAATTACCTGACTGCTTTGCTGATGAGAATCTCTGCCCTCTGCCCTTGGATAGGTGGAGAACTGAGAGGTGGAACCTGCTATGATAGACAGAGATAAAGTTCTTGTGGGCATTACCAAGAACTTCTTTTTTTTAAAAATTTAACTTTTATTTTGAGTCCAGGGGTACATGGGCAGGTTTGTTTCATAGGAAACTTGTGTCATGGGGGTTTGTTGTATAGATTTGTTTCATCACCCAGATATTAAGCCTAGTACCCATTAGTTCTTTTTCCTGATCTCCCTCCTTCCACCTTCACCCTCTGATAGGCCCCAGTGTGTGTTGCTCCCCTCTATGTGTCCATGTGTTCTCTCCATTTAGGTCCCACTAATAAGTGAGAACATACGGTATTTGGTTTTCTGTTCCTGCATTAGTTTGCTGAGGATAATGGCCTCCAGCTCTGTCCATGTTGCTGCAAAGGACATGATCTTGCTCTTTTCAATGACTGCATAGCATTCCATGGTGTATATGTACCACATTTTCTTTACCTAGTCTGCTATTGATGAGCATTTAGGTTGATTCCATGTCTGCTATAGTGAATAGTGCTGCAATGAACATATGAGCGCATGTGTCTTTATAACAGCACAATTTATATTTCTTTGGGAATATACCCAGCAATGGGATTGCTAGGTTGAACGGTATTTCTGTTTTTAGATCTTTGAGGAATTACCACACTGTCTTCCATGATGGTTGAACTAATTTACGCTCCCACGAACAGTGTATAAGCATTCCTCTTACTCCACAGCCTTGCCAACATCTGTTATTTTTTGCTTTTTCATGATAGCCATTCTGTCTAGTGTCAGATGTTATCTCATTGTGGTTTTGATTTACATTTCTCTAATGATTAGTGATGTTGAGCTTTTTTTTCATATGATTTTTGGTGATATGTATGTCTTCTTTTGAAAAGTGTCTGTTTATGTCCTTTGCCCACTTTTTAATGGGTGATTTGCTTAAGTTCCTTATAGATGCTGGATATTAGACTTTTGTCAGATGCATAGCTTGCAAAAATTTTCTTCCGTTGTGTAGGTTGTCTGTTAACCTTGTTGATAGTTTCCTTTGCTGAGCAGAAGCTCTTAAGTTAAATCCCATTTGTTAATTTTTGCTTTTGTTGCAATTGCTTTTGGGGTCTTCGTCATGAAGTCTTTGCCTGTTTCTATGTCCAGAATGGTATTGCCTAGATTGTATTCCAGGTTTTCTATAGTTTTGGATTTTACATGTAAGTGTTTAATCTATCTTCACTTAATTTTTGTATATGGTGTAAGGAAGAGGTTCAGTTTTCATCTTCTGCATGTGGCTAACCAGTTATCCCAGCACCATTTATTGAATAGAGATTCCTTTTCCCATTGCTTGTTTTTGTCAGGTTTGTCGAAGATCAGATAGTGAAGGAACACAACTCAATATAATAAGAGCCATCTATAAGAAACCACAGCCAACATCACACTAAATGGGCAAAAACTAGAAGTGTTCCTCTTGAAAACCAGCACAAGACAAGGATGCCCTCTGTCATTACACCTATTCAATGTAATATTGGAAGTCCTGGCCAGGGCAATCAGGCAAGAGAAAGAAATAAAGCATATCCAAATAGGAAGGGAGGAAATCAAACTATTCCTGTCTGCAGATAACATGATCCTATATCTAGAAAATTCCATAGTCTCAGCCCAAAAGCTTCTTAAGCTGTGAACAACTTCAGCAAAGTCTCAGGATACAAAATCAATGCGCAAAAATCACTAGCATTCTTATACATCAACAACAGTCAAACCAAGAGCCAAATCAGGAATGCAATCCCATTCACAATTGCCACAAAAATAATAAAACACTTAGGAATACAGCTAACCAGGGAAGTGAAAGATCTCTACAAGGAGAACTACAAAACACTGCTAAAGGAAATCAGAGAGGACACAAATGGAAAAACATTCCATGCTCGTGGATAGGAAGAATAAATATTGTTAAAGTAGTTATACTGTCCAGAGCAATTTATAGATTTGATGCTCTTCCTTTTAAACTACCATTGACATTCTTCACAGAACTAGAAAAAAACTTTTACAATTCATGTGGAACCAAAGAAGGGCCTGAATAGCCAAGGCAATCCTAAGCAAAAAGAACAAAGCTGGAGGCATCACACTACCCAACTTCAAACTATGCTACAGGGCTACAGTAACCAAAACAGCACGGTACTGATACAAAAACAGACAAATAAACCACTAGAACAGAATAGAGAGCCCAGAAATAAGACCACACACCTACAATCAAAGACTCTTAAATCAAAGAGAGATAAAGAGAAAATGGGCTCGTGAATACATTCTTCTTTAGCTTACTTGGATACCTCACTTGACTGTCTGCTGCCCTTAACTGTTTGTTGTTTTTTTCTTTTCTTTTTTTTTTTAATAAAAAGACATAGTCTTGCTCTGTTACCCAAACTGGAGTGCAGTGGCCCAATCATGGCTCACCGTAGCCTCAAACTCCTGTGCTCAAGCCATCCTCCCACCTCAGCCTCCTGAATAGCTGGGGCTACAGGCACACATCACTAAGCCTGGCTAAGTTTTGAATTTTTTGTAGAGATGGGATCTCACTATGTTGCCTGGACTGGTCTCAAACTCCCAGCCTCAAGTGATCCTCCTTTTGCCTCCCAAAATGCTGGGCTCACAAGCATTGAACCACTGCACCCAGCTCCTTAATATATACTTTTTAAATGAATGATAATTCTTCTAAATGAGAAAGAAATGTGAAAACCCCTGGAAACAGAACAAATGTCTATACCATGACAATGTTCTATACCAGTACTAAGAAAGATTATTCCTACAGTGTTCTTTTTAAATATCAATAATAATAAGGATAAATTAGGATAGTGGCAATCAATTTGGTCTGTGGATAAAGCAGGACCACAAGAACGGTTTTAGGAGAGTGATTCAGGTTGTGTTTGTGCTAGCAAAGTCCCAAATGTCTCTGTTATTTCTATATATTCTTCTTTTTTCTGAGGAAACTCTCATTCCTGACATGGGAAATTAGACTCAACAGGGAGCAGGAAAAAGGGATCTATTCCATAATTTAGAAGCCTGGGCAACATAGTGAGACCCTGTGCATTAGTCCGTTCTCACACTGCTGTAAAGAACTACCCGAGACTGGATAACTTATAAAGAAAAGAGGTTTAATTGACTAAACCCCTAAAGGATGTACAGGAGGCAAGGCTGGGGGAGGACGGCTCAGGAAACTTACAGTCATGGCAGAAGGTGAAGGGGAAGCAAGTACATCTTCATATGGTGACAGGAGAGAGAGAGCAAAGGGGGAAGTGCTGCGTACTTTTAATCAACCAGATCTCGTGAGAACTTCATCATGAAAACAGCAAGGGAGAAGTTCACCCCCATGATTCAATCACCTCCCACCAGGCCCCTCTTTCAACACATGGGGATTACAATTCAACGTGAAATTTGGGTGGGGACACAGAACCAAACCATATCACCCAGTCTCAGAAAAAACCCTCAAAATTAAATAAAATTAAAAATTCAAATGCTCAATAACCACATGTGACTAGTGGCTATGATATTGGACAGCAGTTATAGAGTGTTTCTATCACTGGCGGTGACTGAAAATTGTAGGTGTGCCATCTACTCTCCTGTTTCAGGATGAGAGAGATAGGAGAGACAACAGACATTGATCTGACTGCTTAAATGCTCAGTGTTTTGCTTACATTTGCTTTATGCCTTTTTAAATGTCTTCAGCATTGTCCACAGACCGGGGGATACCAGCAGATAGTTCAGGGAAATTTTGGAACAGGATTCCAGTCAGAAATTCATTGGTGGTTTGACGGAATTATTTGGTGAAGAATTGAGAAAAGAATCCACTGGAAAAGCCAAAGAGAAAAAGCAGTCAGGAGAATATCTCAGGTTCAACCTAGTGAGGACTGCGATTGGAAAGGCAATTCTGATTAGAATTGGGAATATGACATCTAGCAGCCTATTTGGAAATTCAATGGACAAGAAGTTGAGAATGGAACCAGAAGAAGGTTGGCAATTTCTCTTTTGATGACCATTTTAGGGGTCTGGGGGTTTCTCTCTATTTTCAGTATAGTTTTTCTTTTCAGACTCTCCCTACCATCTTTTTGTGAGATTACAGTGTCATTATTGTTCCCTTGGGCTCTGCTCCAGATCAGGGCTCTTCTTGATCAGGAAACAGCTGGAAAATGTGCTCTTTATTCTGCCCTTTCTTCTGGTCCCTAGATCTGAGAAAGGGCCACTGTGGCAGCACTATATAACTCAAGGCACCTCACGTGGCAAGTGGGGGTGAGTGGGATGTATTATAGGAGGATATGGTCAGCAGGTCCAGAATCTGATGTCATTCTCTGGGTTGTCTAATCATGTGGGATCCCAGTGCCTCAGTGGACACATGGGAACTTATGATCATATCATTATGTAAAACAAAGATGAAATTTGAAGCCTCCTCATCCCCATCTGAATGGACTTCTTCCTTGGCCAGGACACTGTAAATTTAATCTGAAAGACTGGTTCAGACCATGAAGGGAAGTGGGGCTTGGACATGCCTTATTATACCCCTGACTGACATCAACACAGACCTTAAGTCTGATAAGAAATACATACAGTCTATTCTCTCTAAAGCCTCCTACTTGGAGGCTTCATCTGCATGACAAAACCTAGGTCTCCATAACCCCTTTTTGTAACCTAGACATTTCTTCTCACTGACAATAACTCTTTCAACCAATTGCCAATCATAATATTTTTAAATCTACCTATGACCTAAAAGCAGCCCCGACCTTCGAGTTGTCCCACCCTTCCAGATGGAACCAATAAATCTTACATGTATTGATTGATGTATTATGTCTCCCTAAAATGTATAAAAGCAAGCTGTACCCCAGTCACACTGGGCACATGTCATCTGGACCTCCGGAGGCCATGTCACTGGTGCATCCTTAACCTTAGCAAAATAAACCTTCTAAACTGATTGAGACTTGTCTCAGATACCTTTTGGTTTACTATTACTTATCTCATGAGTGTTCTACCCCACCTGGGGTCTCCTGTTTTTTTTTAATCAAGCTTTGAAAATGTGCTGTGTTACAGATCTATGGCTAGCTTCTGGGGAGACACAGAAGAGTTAGGCTGAGCTTCTTATTTAGGTGTTTATAGCCTAATATTCTATGACTCTATAGCTACACGTTATTGTAGCAAAGTACTTTTGGATGTCATGGCTGGTTTCTCCTCTGATGTACTTTCTTTAGTGATGAGTCTAGCTGTTTTGGCCCTCTTCAAGTGAAACAGCTATATTTTGTTATATGTCTTATTCCAGAGGTATCTGGCTTTAAGATGGAATCAGCCAATTCTATACTTTACATGGGAGTTTATTTTTCTGTTTGTCTGCAATAACTCTCAGGTATCCAATTTTCTGATTTTTTTTCCTACTCCTTCCTCCCCCATTTTCACATAAAGGTCATTGGTATATTAGCTACTGAAATGAAGAGGGAGAATTATACATTCCTTGACCCTATTACTGTAATTACAATTTTTTCCCCTGTGAACTCATTGTCTAAAATTCTTTGACTGATAAAGAAAGATTTCAGATGAATTGATTGTGCCTTTATTTCGGGCTGTGGTGATGATATTTTGATATCACATGCCTTAGGGTTGCTCTAAATCCAGTTCCTGCTATGCATTTGATGTGGAGATGGAAGAATTTGCTTTTAATGTCTTTGACACCTCAAAGAGGGCAGAAGAGCTCCTCCCACAGAAATTGATAATGTTCTGTGGTGGAAAGAATAATGGGTTTAGAGTCAGATTTCAGTTCCAACTCTTCTATGTGTCCTTGGTAGATGATGATGATGATGATATTAGTAATATCAGCCATTTATTGAGTACTTGCTAAACACTCAGTACTTACTAACTTCAGGGACGTTCCTAATCTTTACGACAGCCACTTCAGGTTGGTATTATGCTCGTATCACATATGGAGAAAATGAGGCAAAGAGGGCTTAAGAAATTTGCCTAGAGGTCATGTTGGGGTTGGAACTCAGACAATTTTACCTAACCTTTCTGAACTTCATTTTTCTTCTCATTAAAATGAAGGCATTGGGCTGGTCTCTACATTTAGTTCTATCCTAATGACCTTAAGTTTATTGATCTCTAAGTTTATAACCTCTATGATCCTGGAGTTTTACAGATAGGGACCCCACCATGACCATTTTAGGGTGTGTAGGTTTCAGGTGGTAATAATGAAAAGTAAGGTCAGGTGTCCTGAAAGCCTGCCTTTATCAGGACTCCAGAAACTTTCCTTTTGGACTCCCTGTTTTTCTTGGTTTTTGTTTTTGGTTTTTGGGGCGTGAAAATGCCATCAACTGAGACAATGAAGCCAATATCTCTTCCCTAAAACATATCAGCATAAAGTCCTGAAGATATTCAATAAAACTGAGATCACTCCTACCCCAACGGATGTTGGGAGGCTCAGATACGATAATGCTTGGAAACGATTACAAAACTTGTCAAATTCTGTACAAATGCAAGACATTATTGGAATTATCCTGGTATTTCACAGTTAAGAAGCTGGTGGGACTAGTTTTCCCATTTGATTTCTATGCAAATTGCATGTAGGAAGCCTTCTCTGGTTAGTGCCTATGCTGATTAAAGGGCAAGATGCTCTCAGCTTTGTTCAAGACACAGCAACCTCCATAAACATACTTCCAGGATGTTTGGTTACTGGCCAGCGTTGCCAGGTGTAGCATGCCATTACATTTCCCGTTAAATTTTCCTGTCTGATTAAAAACTTAAAATGTAGTAGGGCTAAATTCCTTCTGGTTCAATCTAAAATGCTGCTTGAGTTGTGATTTTGAATTCTGTTCTATTCCAGGCTTCTCTTTATCCCCATCCTTATCATCTATATTTATCTTCTTGCATGGAAAAGTAGAATATATTCCTGAATTTCCTGGGCTCCCTTTTCTGGTTTCTTGCATCTTTGGGCTTGTGTAACACATAATGTTCTCATTTTGGAAACATCTATTGCTGGATCACACAGAATTGGTGTCATAAGGTGGCCCACTGAATTGAGAATAGAGAATATCTTTTTTTTTCGTGTTAATCTGTCTCTCTTTTTAAAAAAAATTTATTTTAAGTTCTGGGGTACATGTGCACGATGTGCAGGTTTGTTGCATAGGTAAACTTGTGCCATGGTGGTTTGCTTCATCTATCAACCCATCACCTAGGTATTAAGCCCAGCATGCATTAGCTATTTTTCCTGATGTTCTCCCTCCCTCTCCCCACCTCCACCTGACAGGCCCCACTGTGTGTTGTTCCCCCTCTGTGTCTATGTGGAGAACAGAGAATATCTAAAAAGTTGACTTGAAAAGATTCATTTCTTCTATCTTTTCATTTATTAATTTATTTATGCAGTCAGTATTTTATTGATCTCCCACTATAAGAATACAAATGGAGATAGAGAAAAAGAGATTGATCTCACTGGGTAAGATCCCAGCTAGCAGATGCAAGAGTGCTAAGGAGCAGAATTGAAAAAGGATTATAGTTCCTTGTGCCCATTCTTGCCCTCCATCCTATCAGACTTTGGGAGGTCCCGTGCAGCAGAGAACATGAGGAAGACCACTGGTAAGGCTCCTACTACTCTCCCAAGAAGAAACTGAATATCATACCTAGGCCCAACTCTATAACTAGGCCAGGAGGTAAAAGGCTAACCACAGAAGTAACGTACAACAAAACACCTGGAGTGACCAGAGGGTTGAAATGTAGTAGGTGTGCAATCACTGTTTGTCATGTGATGCGAATGAACTGATAGTAGAAGTGGTGTTAGTAATCTATGAATCAGTCAATATCAAATATAGTTGTGGATGATGGAGAGGGGATGGGAGCAGAAGAACTGGGAGAAGCCCAGGAGAGAATCTACCCAGATTGCTACTAGAAATATCAGGGAATTTCTTATAGAAAGAAGGAGAAATGGGCCAGAACTTTGAGGACCAAGAAGAAGAGTTGGAAATAATTTGATAATTTTTTGGTTCCCTCCCTCCCTCCCTTCTCTCTTTCTTTTTCTTTCTCTTTCTTTTCTTTCTTCTTTCTTTTCTTTTCTTTTCCTCTTTCTTTCTTTCTTTCTTTCTTTCTTTCTTTCTTTCTTTCTTTCTTTCTTTTTCTTTCTTCCTTCCTTCCTTCCTTCCTTCCTCTCTCTCTCTCTGTCTCTTTCTTTCTTTCTTTCTTTCTTTCTTTCTTTCTTTCTTTCTTTCTTTCTTTCTTTCTTTCTTCTTTCCTTCTTTCTCTCTTTCTTCCTTTCTTTCATCTCGCTCTGTCACCCAGACTGGAGGGCAATTGAAGCCATCTTGGCTCACTGCAACCTCCGTCTCCCAGGTTCAAGCGATTTTCATGCTTCAGCCTCCCAAATGGCTGGGATTACAGGCATGCGCCACCACGCCTGGCGAATTTTTGTATTTTTAGTAGAGACGGGGTTTCACCATGTTTGCCAGGCTGGTCTCAAACTCCCAATCTGAAGTGATCCACCCGCCTCGGCCTCCCAAAATGTTTTTTTTTTCTTTTTCTTTTTTTTTTTTTTTGAGACAGATTGGAATGCAGCTAGTCACAGTTGTGGTCAAATCTCACCACAGCCTTGAACATCTGGTCTTGAGTGATCCTCCTGTTTGTCTTCGAAGTAGCTGGGACTATAAGGGCCCACAGAATGCCCAGCAATTTGGTGATTTCATATAGCCCCTGTGTACACTGGGGTTTGATCACTGCAGGTCTCTGGTGGCCCTAGGGGGTTGGAGGACATATAGAAGGTTTTCTTTGTCCTTGATGTTGAGTAACTGCTCATATAAGGCCCCTGTTGAGGCACCTTAATCAAAATCATAAAGCCCTGGGGGGCAAAACAAAACAAAACAAAAAACCCCCACAAGGCCTGCCAGGAACTCCCATGATTAGGCATTTGGTGGATTCTTGCTGTTGTTCTTAAAAAATGTTTTTATGTAAATGTCAAATACTTGTGCCTTAAGCAAGAGAACTTGCAAGCTTACATGCTTCCAGTAGGACTTCCTAGTAAAAACAGAAAAGGAAAGTGAACAAGGCCTTTGCTGTTATGGGCTGCTTTTCATGGAAGCAAAGATTGGAAGAAGTTGAGATTGTATTGATTTTAATTACTTGGAAACAAATTGGAATTTTCTTTGCTTTTTTCCTTTTCCAACTGTCAGTATAAAATAAATTAGGAAAATGTGCTTGTATTTCCTCATAAGTGATGGGGGAGAAAAGTGAGACATTTTGGGTTTCCAACAGAAAAAATGAGGAATTAGATACCTTCTAGTATTTCCAGAGAAACCTTATTGACAGCAAATCCTGTGATGATAGAGGCTCCCCAGAAGTTATTGTCCATGAAGTCTGCTATGCTGTGCTAAAAATTATGAGAGTGTTGTTTTGGAGTCAATTTCCGCACTGGGCCCCTACAGTCCAGACTAAAAATCAAAATGGTGTCCCTTACATTGAAGTTCCATGGCATCCAGTCAAATGGAAACTGAGTTCCTTTCTGACCTGAGAAATCAGGAGAGAGGGATTACAGTCTAATTTCCCAAACAGGCCAGTTTCAACTGGCAGGGTAATAAAGTGTTCTCTGTTTTAATCCTTACCAAAAAGAAAAAGGAAAAAGCAACCTGATATTATACAATCAGTTATTTCTCTATTGTTCTATTTCTTGGTTCCTTCATTAAAAGGAAAACAACTTTGAAATCACCAATCGCTTTTTTTTCTTTCTTTCTGCTTTATTTAGCCATTTTCTGTCTATAAAACCACACTCCTCTGCTTGGCTTATTAGAACACTTATTCTATTTTGTGGAATAAAGTGTTGTCTGATTCTAGAATTGCAAATAAGCCAATTAATATCTTTAAATTGTTAGAATTTTATCTTTTGCCTGTTGAGATGTAGAAAGAATTCTGAAGGCCTTCGTTCTATCTCTTGATGTGCTAACCTTGGGCAAGTCACTTACTACTTTGGGTTTCCATTTTATTTAACATTCAATATTTAACTACCTACTTATGGAGGTGGCAATGTCTTGGGAGATTATTTATAGAATGATATTGATATGCATTCTGTCTATCTCTCAGAAATGGCATAAGAATAAATTTGGATTTGAAAGCCCCGTGAAACATTCATAAATCTCCTGCATCTCAGAACAAAAGGCCACAAATCAAAGAGGGAAGTTCTTGCCTCATTTAAGACTGGACTTATAATAACAAAGCCTTTCATTCAATTAATGGCAAAGTGAAGAAAGATCAGACTGGAGATTTTCATCATAGCAAGCTTGACTTGGTGCAAAGAAATGCAAGAGGTCAAACCTGTGGGTTGATTCAACTAAAGAAAAATCTCTTTCTTGGATTCCTATAGCCTTGCCATAATCTAAAATGTCTCCTTACTGATAGAGGCTTTAGACATCGTTTCCCTCCTCTCCTTCCTTCTTTATGAAGCAACTAATGGAAGCTATGCTAGGTTCTGGGATTAATCTATGCAGATTAGTTTGCGCTACTCAGGATATACTAACAGTGTAGCTCACTAACACTATACTAACACTATACTAACAGTGTCTTGGACAGGATAGAGGTTTATTTCTCTTATTTGTTATGATGGCTTTGTTCTGTGAATCCTTTCGTTATATATTCTCTGCCATCCCTATGGTGTTGCCCTTATGCAAATGGTTCAAGGTGACACACTACCACACCCACATCTCATAAGGCAGAAAAGGAGGAAAGTGGAAGTGAAGGGTATGCCTCTTCCCTCTAGGGACAAAACTTAGAGGTTACACATATTAGTTCTGCTCATATTGCCTGGAGGCTGGGAAATGCATCTTCATATTGGGGAACCATATGCCCAGCTAAACATTAGGGATTCTGTTACTCTGAGAGAGAAGAGGGAATGGGACAACCAAAAACCTGGGATGCTAACAAGAACGACTCTTGGTTCCTTCCTAAAAATTGCTTACTTTAGTGAGAGAAAACAGAAGTCTAAATAGGTAATGAAACATATATTAAATATATATGTGTTTAGAGATGGGGTCTCACTATGTTGCTCAGGCTGGACTTGAACTCCTGGGCTCTAGTTATCCTCCTGTCGTGGCCTCCCAAGTAGCTGGGATTATAGGCGGGTGCCAAGGAGCCTGGCTTGACTTTCTTCTTTCTCTAACTTGTTTCCTTTGCTGACTTTTCCTCTATACCCATAAGAATTTCACTAGACTGGAATTTTGTCTGGTTCAGGTAAGGCCTGCACCTCCTGTCTTTCTACATTTCCCTTGGAATCACGTGCACCATTTTGGTGACAGCAGTTTTAAGCAAATGGCTCATACATCTCTATGCATAAAGCAAAACCATGATTGTTAATCAAAATTCCCTGGATCTCAGTTTCATCTTCTTTTTTTTTTGCCACCTGTGGGGTATTTCCAACAAGGTTCTCTTAAGGTAACTTAATTGCCAGTAGCCAAACTCATCTTGCCTACCCCTTCTGCAAATCTCCTCACCAACATCCTGTTCCTCACAATACCACTCAGAAACTGACTCCTGCTTTGCTTCACTGCAATACATCACTGGAATAATTCAGGCTTCACAAGGTGGAGTTATCTTTTCTTTTCCCTGGACCCTGACTCTCCGTATCATACATTAAATATAAATTGCTGATCATAGTGCTTGCTTTCATTACTGTAATCTTGCTACTCAGTGCCTTGCCTGTGCTATTGTGATGCCCCTCTTCTCTGCTTTAAATTCTTGTTCACTATCTGTCTTCCTACAATATAATTTGATTTGGCTCAATCTGCTAAAAAATCTTCACCAATAGGCTATTATGTATCAATGAGGCAATTCTCTTCGGCCTTCTATTTCCAAGTCGGCTTTTCATAATATGGCCTCAACTTTCCATCATCTCTGCAATATCCTCTTAAGACATATTAGACTAATTGCCATTCCTGGATGTGTTCTCCACTCTCCTATGTCTACCTCTATGTGTATTTACATGACTGTTCCTTCTTCCTGATAACCCTGCCTGTTTTACCCTGATGAAATCTTACCCATTTTTAAGGGCCAATTGAAATACCACATTCTTTATGAAAGTTCCCCTGAACTTCTGTAAGCCAGCAATACATTTGGCGTTAGAGGCAGTAACTAACTTGTCTTCGTGTTGCTAGTGTCTGGCAACCCCTGGGGGTAACCAGCAAGTCTGCTCAAATGTTAGAGCTGATGCTAACATTTGATTTCCTCACAGATTATGTTGTCTAACCTTTCCACTCCCCCCAAATAGATTGTGTGATTCTTGGAGGCAGGGTCCATTCAACTCTGTATCCTCAGTACGTTTTGTCTCACTTAATATTCGCTCAATTAAATATTGGTTTAACAGAATTGTTTCGGTGATGGTAATGGCAGTGATTTTCTTGGAATGAGTAGGGGACAAGCCACTTAGGGGGACTGTAACACTACTCAGAAGAGCCACCATTTCAGACTCTTCCTAAGAAACCAATGATACGTTCTTAAGAAAGAGTCTCTTACTACACTAGTTTTAAGAGAGGGTAGAAGACAATACTGCTTGGAGGAAATTCTAGTGATCGAGAGAGAAAATAGATTTTGTATACAAAAGATTTTGTGATGTTTTTGTGTAGGATTGTCCTGGGGGGTTATCAGATCTAATAATGAGCTCTTCCCTAGCTTCCTTTTTCCATCCTTAAACCTGCATTCAGCTTCACCAAGGTGAGTGTTGGAGTGGTTAAAGAAGAGGCTCATTTGTAAGGAAAATAGTGGTGGATAAAATTCCATAGTGCATTTCTATTAAACCTTTTGGAGAGGTCAGCAAAAGATACATAAACTCTTTTCTGACATTTCCTTATGTGACTCAAAATGCGATAAGAAAAACTGAAGTTTCTTTGATTCACCATCTTCTACCTCTCACCATGGTCCCTATCCCAATTCAGTGATAAGGAAGAAGCAGTTGTTTAGAAATGGGTCATTAGGAGAATGGATGAAACTCCTGGTTCAAATCTTACTTTGATGCAATTCTGTTAAGCTTCAATGTCTGTTTTTAAAACATGTGAGTTAATTTGGTTCAATGATTATGGCCAAGGCATCTGGTTGGATAACATAATGTCATGAAGTTGTATGGCTTTGGCCCCTGCCCTTAAAACTTTTAGTATATTTGAGGCAGAGACATAAGAAAGGGATTAATTCCAAACTAGCAGAGTCATTATTCTTAACACCAGAAGATGGGTAGAGATAAGCCTGAATAGAGAAAAAAAATGGGGCTCTACTCCAAGCCATGCTGCCTGTATTTATTCCTGCCTCTACCTCTTACTTGCTCTGTAACTGGGCAAGTGACCTAATTTCCTTGCGCCTCAGTTTCTTCATTAGTAAATTGATGCTGTTATAATACTTTATATGCTGTTTAGGATTATTGTGAGGGTTAAAATGAGTACATATTTGTAAAGTACTCAGAATTTGTAAAATATTTACAATAGTGCCTGGGACATAGTAATTGCCATTTAGTCATTATTACTTGTTATAACTGCTAAAAATGTTTTTATTGTAGTAAAAAATCCATACCCTTAAATTTACCACTTAACTTCTTTTAAGTGTATAGTTCAGTTGTGTTAAGTATATTCACATTGTTGTGCAACAAATAGAGATCTCTAGAAATTTTTCATCTTGCAAAACTAAAAGTCTACACCCATTGAACAATAATGTCTCCTTCCCCCAGCCCTTGACACCCACCTTTCTACTTTCCATTTTTGTGAGTTTGACTACTTTAGATACCTCACATAAGTGGACTCATGCAGTCTTGGTCTTTTTGTGACTGGCTTCTTCCATCTAGCATAATGTTCTCAAAGTTTATCCATGTAACCATGTTTGTTCATCTGTATGACCTTGTTCATAGCATAGGAAAGGATTCATTCCTTTTTAAAGGCTGAATAATATTCCGTCATATGTGTGTACCACATTTTTAACTTCATTCATCCATAGATGAACATCCGAGTTGCTCTACCTCTTGGCTATTGTGAATAATGCTGCAATAAACAAAGATATGTAAGGATCTTTTCAACATCCTGATTTCTTCTTGGTGCAGTGGCTCATACCTGTAATCCCAGCACTTTGGGAGTCCAAGGCAGGTGGATCACTTGAGACCAGGAGTTTGAGAGCAGCCTGGCCAACATAGTGAAACCCCACCTCAACTAAAAATACAAAAACTAGCCAGGCATTGCGGCAAACACTTGTAATCCCAACTACTCAGGAGGCTGAGGTGTGAGAATCGCTTGAACCAGGGAGGCAGAGGCTGCAGTGAGCCTAGATCGCACCACTGCACTCCAGCCTGGATGACAGAGTGAGACCCTGTTTCAAAAAAACAATCCTGATTTTGAATATTTGTCCAGAAGAGGGATTGATGGATTATTTGGTAACTCTATGTTTAATTTTTCAAGAAACCTCTATATTGTTTTCCATAAAGGCTGCTCCAGTTTACATTCCCAAAGCTGTGTACAGGGACTCTAATTTCTCCACATCCTTGCTAACACTTGTTATTTTCTGTTGTTTTGATAGTGGCCATCCCAATAGGTGTGAGGTGATATCTCATTGTTATAATTTTTGCATTTCTTATCTATCAGCTGATCAAAATCCTGCTCCCCCTGCTGTCCCTCCACCATGGTTTAAAAGAGTCTAACCTAGAGCTTAAAATATCTAAGAGACAAAGACGGGAATCAGTCTCAGAATTGCCCATGAGGATGTGTGCTAAGTCCAAGAGAACACATTGGTCCTAAAACTTCAATTAAATCCACTGAAATCTCTTCATGGTGTACCACAGTGTGTTTTCTTCCTTGTTCATTGACTACCAGGCAAGGCTTTCGGCCAAATCTGAAGAGTTATAATTCTTTTTGTCCTCCCCTCCTTCCTCTTTTCTTTTTATTTTTAGGATAGTGGTTTAAACTCTGAGAATTCATTTCCTAAAAGAGCTAAAATCCTAGAAAGCCAACTTTTTTGAGCATATGTCATGGTGAGGGCACTTTGCCCCACATCTAATCAGTCACCAAGTCCCTTTAATTTCACCTTCATAATGTCTTTAATATCTGTATACTTTTCAGGCCTAGGGCTACCATGCTGCTGAACCCATGGTGGCTCTTGCCTGTGCAGTGCCATTACTGACCTGCTCTCTGTTTGTGCAGGTTTGGCTAGTCTTCCTAAAGCATGGCTTTTACCATGCCAACCATTGACTTCACATTCTCAATGACTCTGTTTTGCCAGCAGAATAATGACTCAACTCTTCAGCTTTTGAAGATCTCCTTGGTATGCTCCCCAGTGTCATTTCAGACGGCCACAACCTCCTCTTCCACTGCCCTCTTTTTGTCACCCTCTCATTGTAGTCTCCAGTCACATACTTTTCTTTAATGAGGGTAATTACTCGGATAGTTTTACTTTATTCTTTAAGGTCCATCTCAAGTTATAATAATGAAGGTGCCAATCATTGATCATTTATTATATGTCATTTACCAATTTACATGGATCAGTTCATTTAATTCTCACAATGACCCTATGAAGGGATTAGTATCATCACCTGCGTTTTGCAAATCAGGAAAACTGGACAGAGTGATTTGGGCAAGTTCAAGGTCTCCCAAGGACCTGGGTTCATGGCCAGACAATCTGAGTCTAGAACCCAAGCTTTTAGCCACTGCTGAAAGGTTGCATTTGACAGTGTCTTCTCACCTAGAATTCAGTACAGATGAATAATCATTTATTTGGCACCAGGGCTCTATAATAGACTTTGTAGAAATAAGGCAACCAAATTTATTACAGTTCACATGACACCTTGAACACTGCTATTCATGCACATTTTTGTCTCCTCCAACGCATTATTCTTGCCCAGGGACCTTTCTGTCTATACCTAGAAACATGTTTACTGAACTCAAGTGAATCCTACTCGTATTTTCATTTGTTGCATTTTTCCCATGGAACTTTCCAGGATCATGCTTCTTCATGTTCCCACCAGAAAACAGTATCATCAAGTTACTAGGGACCTGAGACTTTTTCATCTTCAGCCCGTAATAAAAACAGCTAATGTTTACTGTGACTTTCCCTTATTGTAGGCATTTTGCATGAGTAAATTAACCTCACAACAACCCCAATAAAGTGAAACCTATTTTTATCTCCATTGTATGGATGAGAAAACTGAAGTACCATGACTTCAGTAACTTGCCAAAGGTCACCTAAGTATTACTGGCAGAGGCAGGATTTACAGCCAGGCTGTTGGATCCCAGATCTATGAGGTTAACCTCCCTGCCCAGTGCCTCTTCTGCCTCAGTCATTGCATTTCACAGTGACTTCGCAAACATTTGTTTAAAAAAAAGGCTTTTTTTGTACCACTGGCACATGATTAGATTTCTCAGTATCTTGTTTTGACCTGTCTTTGTATTATATATTTTCTGACTTACTCTGATTCTAACTGCGGTGGCTCATGCCTGTAATCCCAGCACTTTGGGAGGCTGAGGCAGGCGGATCATGAGGTCTGGAGATCGAGACCATCCTGGATAACACAGTGAAACCCTGTCTCTACTAAAAATACAAAAAATTAGTCAGGCGTGGTGGCGGGCACCTGTAGTCCCAGCTACTCAGGAGGCTGAGGCAGGAGAATTGCTTGAACCTGGGAGGGGGAGGTTGCAGTGAGCTGAGATTGTGCCACTGCACTCCAGCCTGGGTGAAAGAGCGAGAATCCACCTTAAAAAAAAAAAAGGCATCAATTTTTGGCCTTCCTTTGAATTTCTCAAGGTACTGAGTGTAATAGCTGGGTCACTGAACAGATACTTGAAACATGCTTGATCTGATACTAGGACACAGGGCTAACCTTTATCCATATCCAATCTGCAGTAGAGGTGGGTGGCCCAGGTCACAGGACTTTTGCCTCATTCTAGGCTCCCTATTCCACGGAGGAGAAATGTGAGTGTTGGTATCTGGAAACTATTCCCTAAGGCAGGATGATAGTTGGGGTTTGGACTGAAAGAAGCACCTTGCTCTGGATCACATGCCTGGAGGCACGCTGGCAGGTGCTGTGCAGCTTGGTTCTTATGGGGGTGGGTGACACAGTGGCAGGATATGCCCCAGCTCAACCCACTTTCCAGAATCTGATCTCACTCTGGAGGAGGTAGATGCAAAAGCTTTTGAGTTTCTTTGGTGCTGTGAAAAAAACCTTCCATACTTTCTGTGAGGCCTACCCATAGTATTCATTACAGATCAATTTAATATAACCTAACTAATACCACATATTTTCCAGAAAGAAGGATGGTGGTAAGTTTATTATTTTTCTGCTGTCACTGGCTCAAACTTGTGATAATTTGGGGGTTTTTATGGTCTGTTTTTCTTTTGCTCTTTTTTTTTTTTTTGAAACAGAGTCTTGCTCTGTCACCTAGGCTAGAGTGCAGTGGTGCAATCTCAGCTCACTGCAGTCTTCACCTCCTGGGCTCAAGTGATCCTCCTGCTTTAGCTTCTGGAGTAGCTTGGACCATAGGTGTGTGCAACCACGTCTGGCTAATTTTATTTTTAAAAGTATTTTAGCTTTTATTTTAGGTTCTGGGTATATACAGGTTTGTTTTATAGGTAAACTCGTGACTCGGGGGTTTGGTGTACAGATTATTTCGTCACCTGGGCACTAAGCATAGTACCTGACAGTTTTAGTTTTTTTTTCCTGAACCCCTCCCTCCTCCCATCCTTCCACTCAAGTAGGCCACAGTATCTGTTATTCCCCTCAATGTGTCCACATGTTCTCATTACTTAGCTCCCACTTATAAGTGAAAATGTGAGTCTTATGGTTTTCTGTTCCCGTGTTAGTTTGCTAAGGATAATGACCTCTACCTCCATTCATGTTCCTGCAAAGGACATAATCTCATTCTTTTTTAAGGCTGCATAGTATTCCATGGTATATATGTACCACATTTTCTTTATCTAGTCTGCCGTTGATGGGCATTTAGGTTGCTTCTATGTCTTTGCTATTGTGAATAGTGCTGCAATGAACATATGCATGCATTGTCTTTACAATAGAACAATTGATACTCCTTTGGGTATATACCCAGCAATGGAATTTCTGGGTTGAATGGTATTTATTTTTTGTAGAGATGGGGTCTCCCTACATTGTCCAGGCTGGTCTTGAACTCCTATGCTCAAGCAATTCTCCTACTTCAGCCTCCCAAAGTGCTGTGATTACAGGCATAAGCCATCCTATCTAGGTGTTTTGTTCTTTTGAGATAGGGTCTTGCTCTGTTGCCCAGGCTGGAGTGTCTGATCATAGCTCACTGTGCCCTCAAACTCCTGAGCTTGAGGGATCCTCCCACCTCACCCTCCCCAGTAGCTGGGACTGCAGGCATGTGTCACTGCATCTGGCTAATTTTTAAATTTTTTTGTAGAGATGGGATCTTGCTTTATTGTGCATGTTGGTCTCGAACTTTTGGCCTCAAGGGATCCACCCACTTTTGCCTAGGATTACAGGTATGAACCACTGCACCTGGCCAATAACTTGTTTTAATTCTAGTGCTTCCTTTATAGAAGACCATATGAGATCACAGACTAGTAACCAGAAGTCTAGTTATTAATTTATCAATAAACATGTTTATCACTTCCTATGTGCCAGACCCTGCTAGATACTGAGGAAACTTCAGAGAAAAAGAAAGGAGCAAACTTGTACCTTTTTTTTTAAGACGGTGAAGAAATTTGAAAATAAAATGATAGCTGCCTTTGACATTTGAAGAGTGAAGAAGGACTTAATTTTATATATATGGCCCCTCAAGAATAAAATTGGGGTAAACAGTTTGAAATTATAAGAAGGCATATTTCAACTATTAGAAAGAATAGTTGTCCAAAGATGAACTATTCCTCTCAATGTACCAAGTTCTCCAACACCGGGCTGACAGCCCACTTGACAGGTATGCTGTATAGGAGGGAAAAACATTCTTCTATTCAACAAAAAGATCTTGCATGTCTGTTGAGCTGGACACAATTTAAGATACCTTCACATCATGAGGTTAAATGATTCTATTATACTTGGTAGCAAATGTGAGACAGCCAAGTGTAGAGAATTCCCCGGAGAAACTCCAGCCCGCCTTTGCACTGGGAGGAGTGTGCACAGGGGTGGAGCCTTGGGAAGTTGGTGCTGTTTTGCAGGGGGTTGGAGCCTGGCCTCTCCTGTTTCGGGGTGTGGTAACCTGGGATTCAACCTGTGAGGCGGGAAAACTGGCTAGCAGGACTCTTGCTGAGAGTCCCCGTTCCCCTTTTTTCCCTTTTTGCCCAATAAATTCCATTTTTCTCACCCTTCAAAGTGTCTGTGAGTCTAATATTTCATGGCCATGTGGCAAGACCAGGCTTAGCTGAACTAAGGAGAAAGTCCTACAACATGTGTAAAAAGCCAAGGAAGTAAAAACAGTATACTAATATAATAACAGAGAACTAACATAATAACTGCAGGCCAGATACAGTGGCTCACACCTGTAATCCCAGCACTTTGGGAGGCTAAGGTGGGTGGATTGCTTGAGCCCAGGGAGTTCAAGACCAGCCTGGGCAACATGGCAAAACTCTGTCTCAACAAAAATAGAAAAATTAGGCAGGCATGGTGGTGTGAGCCTGTAGTCTCAGCTACTAGGGAGGCTGAGGTTGGGGGATTGCTTGAGCCTGGGCGGTGGAGTTTGCAGTGAGCTGAGTTCACACCACTGCACCCCAGCCTGGGCGACAGAGTAAACCCTGTCTCCCCACAAAAATTATTTATATATATTATATATTTAATAACTACAACTTCTTTAAATAAAAACCCTGCAACTGTAACCTTACAGTTTCATTAGCTCTCACCTCAGCAAGGCCAGGTTCCCCTCTGGGACCCACTGTGTCCATTACCTACTGGTGCTCAGCCGGTGAGAAAGAGAAGCACATCTCCATGAGGGGAGAGCAAATTGCTCCCATGTTTCAACATAGGGGTCACCAGGCAGCCATTCTTTCCCTGACTCTGGTTGAAATTGAGGCAATGAGATGGTCCTATGACATTCGGATGGACATCTAAAGCGGTGTTTCTATTTTTAGGTGGTCAGGAAGAAGTCAAATCTTCTAGAGGAGGTAGGTCACTCCTGCCCCTTAACGCCTCAGTCCAGCTCTCCTCTAGGACCTCAGAGACTCCACTTCGCCCATTTGCCAGTCAGTTCTTGCACTTTTCCACGGTGGAAAATATTCTTATATTGCTGCCAGTGCAGGTAAAATTCTCCCTTTTTCCACTGGCCTATAACTTAGTGCATTATTATCTCATTTGAGTCCTATGTTTGCTGTGTTATTGTCTGCAGATTTTTTTTTATCAGCTTCTTGCTTCCCAAGCTCCTGACTATTGTGTTTGGGTTACACTTAATTGTACAGGGCTTGCCAAGGAAACTGAGTTTACAGAAAAACAAAATGTTCTCTAGTGTGTGTCCATTTTCCCCTTCCTTTAGGGCAAAGCCCTGTGCAGTGCCACGTTTCACAGGTCAAAGACAGCAGTGAGGAGAACAGAGAGATAACTAGGTTGGAAGGACAAATAGAGTGATTGAGAGCTTAGGCTCTAGGGATCTGGGTTCAGTGGCTCCCTCCTGTAATCCTAGCCTTTTGAGAGGCCAAGGCAGGAGGATCACCTGAGCTCAGGAGTTCGAGACCAGCCTGGGCAACATAGCAAGACCCTTGTCTCTACAAAACATAAAATAACTAGCCAGGTGCAATGGCATGCACTTGTAGTCCCAGCTCCTCAGGAGGCTGAAGTGGGAGGATCACTTGAGGCCAGGAGTGTAAGGCTGCAGTGAGCTATGATTCTGCCACTGTATGCAGCCTGGGCAACAGAGTGAGATTCTGTCTCTAAAAGCAAAGAAACAAACAAACAAACAAACAAATAAAAGAAGAAGGCATAGTCTAGTTTCAGACTGCCAGTAGGTTTATTTCCTTATTGTATGACATTTACTGAGTGACTTCTCATAAATTAACGACCCTCTCTCTCTGGGACATGGTTTCCTGATCTAGAAAAGGGGAATAATAAGATTACCATAGGTTTGGTATTAGGTATTTGGTATCAATAAATGTTGGGTATTATTATTATTACTGAGAGGTTTCTCTCAATATGATATTGTCAATCTTGTGGTTACTGAGGAGAAGGAATTTGCTGCAACCTTCTAAGAAAACTAAGATTTAAAGGGAGTTTGACCCTGTGATGGGATTCATGCACATTTGTTAAAGACTTAATTGAGAGCTGAGGCTGACCAGGCGAGCTGGTCCCTTGCCCTTGCCTGTTTTCTCCTGCCTAAAGTGCTACAGCCAGGGACATATCTCAGCTTGATACTGGCCCCAGGAGGACTGAGAAAGTCTGGAGCAGAAGCCAGGTCCACAGAGCCAGAAAGCACTTAATGTTAATGACACCCCAGAGAGTGACTATCTTTAGGGAAATCTGGAGTCACTTAATCTCTCAGCCTCAAGGTTCGTCACCAGAAAAATAGGGATAATGATGCCTACTGCATGGGATCGTGGTGAGAATCAAGTAAGATGGTAGCATGCGTGGAATCACATAACATGTGATTGCTAGGAGTAGTAACGTTGTAGTAGTTATCACGATCAGCTACAATTCTCTTTCAGGGATCCCCCAGGGTTAGGATATGGTTTGCATTAGAGTGTTCCCTTACAGTCAAAGTAGCCAGCAGGCTCTCACTGGGATACTTAGTCTTGTCCTCTGACACAAAGTAGGGTTTTGGAGGCTCAGTTAAACAATTTCTGGTTCCAGCCTAGATGACAATCTTGCAAGCTTGGGCCAGGAGGTAGGGGTCATCTCAGATATCTGGTGGAGACAGAATTTCTCCTCTGCCCCTCAGAGAAGCAGATAAACAGGGCTCATGGTAATGGAGCAATGCAACCTAATTTAGAAAGGGACCTTACCAGAGTTTTCCTCCTAACATCCTTCCTGCTTCTCCCTTCCCCCAGTTCCCTTTTCTTGCCCTTGTTCCTTGGACATTCTCATTGTGTGAGCAAGAATTGTTTTTTTTAATAACCACCTGGGAATGCCTCCTTCAGGGACAAGGGGCTGAGGGTTCTATAAAAGGCCAGCAGAGCTCTCTAGCTCTTACCCGTACACACCACAGCTCCAGGGCCTGCCCACCTGCCTGCTCTGCCTACCTGCCTGCTCACCTTCCCAGCCTTCTACCCTCCCTGCTTACACCATGCTCAGGAAGGCCCTGATCTTCTCAGCCTTGTGGGTCCTGGCTGTGACATTTCCCACACTCCCCCCAGGTAAGTGGGCCATGGGAGGTCTTTTGGAGAATGGGGCTAAAATTATTTGTGTGCATGTGTATACAGAAAGAGAGAAGGGGATTGGGTAGAGAGAGAGAGAGAGGCCTGCTGTGAAAGTTGTAAAGCTGAATTGGGTAAGAATCATATGGATTTGGTCTTAAGATGGGATGGGTGGCTGAGCTCGGAGGGTTTGAGTAATTGAGTGGCTAAGATAAGATTTGTGTTGTGTTTGAACTGACCTCATAAACTTAATGGGCTGGGCCTGCTGCCATTAGGGCACCTGATTAGAGAACTTCTGAGGTTTATCTGTGGTCTCACTCCCTATTGGGTGCTGAAAAGGCATTATTCTATTTCTCTCAGGTTAAAAAGTCCCAGGAGGTATCCTCATTTGATGGTGAAGTGCAGAAAATTTCAGAGCACTTTATTATCTCGCTTGGTCACAGGCAATGGAAATGAGTGGGTCTGAAATGGAAACTTGTAAATCATGTTGAGAAAAGAAAGAAACAGCTGTCTTCATGAAACTTTCAGCTAAAAGCATTCTTTCCTGGCTCTTCCTGAATGCAGGTCGATTTCTCAGGAGGAGAGGTGCTCATTCATTTGTATTGAAAAGATTACTTTCCCCTCCTCTTCCTCTGGCTCTCCTCCTGGTAGCTCTCAGTGTGGGAGATGCTGGGTGTAGCTTGTTTGCTGATATATCAGCTTGTTTGCTGATATAAACTATGATAAAGCAAACTGTCTACATTATAGAGCAGGTGATTCTGGCCTCCTGGGCCCATGACCCGCTGCAATGCCCCTGCGTGTGATCCATCACTGTAGCCTAAAGGGAGCCTGGTTGTTGCTCAACAGACCCACAAGTTTATGATGCTGATATGGTTAGCAAGCCCCAGAACGCCTGGCTTGTGCATTCTGAGAGACAGGGTGGAAAATAAAGACCTAGACACTGTCCATTAAATGAAAAAATTATAGGAGTGGCCCATTTAGCGTCTATTTCATTCTTGCTCCACTCCTTAGAAATAGCTGGCTTCCTTGATCCTTAACCCCTTTTGGTTTTTGTTTTTTGCTTTCAGGAACCTGGAAGAAGTATAAAGGGGAGTCTTGGACTTTTTCTTCCAGTCTGACCAATACACATTTAGAGGCACAATATTGAATGCTCCTTCCTAAACCGAACCCTTGAAAAGAGGGTGGGTGGGGGGCTTTGAGCACCCTCCCAGGCAGCAGTTAGTCCACTGGACTTTCCAGCGGGTGGCAGAAGAGAGGCTTGTGGTGAGACCACGTTTGATGTGGTCTGCCACATTATGTTCCATGTTTCCCCAGAAAAAGATCTACCTAAGAGTGAAAATTCTCACTGGAAAGTACTTGCGCTGTTCTTTTCTTTTTGGCTCCTGTAGAATCAACCACTGACCTACCAGAATCCACCATGGACCTGGAGTCACCCACAGATGTGTACCTGGAGAACACCCAGGCTTTCCGTGAGTGAGGGTCTGGCTTCGCAGGAGGCCTGGGCAGGGGATGGGCTCCCATCTTTTGCATTCCTGAGGGAAGGCCTGCTTTCCTCCAGCAGACTGGATTCCTACCATAGATTTTTCTTGAGAAGGATTCGAGGACAGACTCAAGAAGTGGACTCTGGTACTCTGCCCCCATTATATGCCTTTCTCACCTGGGCGTCATGTTTGCTAGCACATGAGGATAGGTCTAGTTCACCTGCTACACTTAGGAACTTCTAAGTGTGAGTGAAGGCCATGCCTTTAACCCAGTCCTTCTCATGGAATGCATTTGCATTCCATTTCCATAGTAGGATTTGAGTCCTGGTGGAGTACCTTGAAGATTAGGAGAAAGAGGGTTTTGGTGCCACAGACTCAGTGGAATCCTACATTTACTAACACTATTGGAGGCTCATAACAGAATGGTAGACATGTGGTGAATGAGTCTTACTGACCATGAATAAGAAACATTTCTTTACTTAATTGAAGACCAGCCCAGCACCTTCAGAGAAGACTCTTGGAGTTCACCTCAGTGAAGTTTTGTAAGATTCTCCTCTTTTACCTTTAATACTTTACTGATGATTTGATACCATTTTCAATGCTAGTTTAAATTCACTGGTAAAAATTCCAAACTTAAAACTTCCCAGATGCTGAGATCAACTACAAAATGTAACATGGAGGTTAAAGACAATCTCTTTCCTCCCTGGAGGAAAGAGAGCCCAGTTATTTGGATTTTCAGTAACTAAATAGGGATAAGATTAACAAGGACTCTTTCCTTCAAAAGAGTTTTGAAGGGAACATGGAGTAAAATGGATGCCTGGACAGTGTGTAAATATCTCACATTAGGGAGAAGACAAGGGAGGGAGGATAAAAAATTACACCCTAAAGAAATTAAGTTTCATGCCCAGGGAAAGGGTGAAAAGATGGGGCTGATCTTTTGAGCCCTGGTTCTCTTGTTTCTCTTGATAACTCCCGTTTTTTGTTTGTTTTTGTTTTCAAATTTAGAAAATGAAGCAAATTCTCCATTAGCTGTGATGATCACTGCTATCCACTACTTTCTAAGAAGATTCTATGCTTTTGAGCATGCCTACCACTACACTATAGGAGATCTATTGTAGAAGACTAGAAAAACATAGGATGTGCCCAGCTGAGGCATTGATCCTGGCTGGGTAGGGGGAATTGTTCAGGGATGGGGAAGGGGCACTTCTTAGCTGTGTCTCATCGAGTACGGGCTCAATAAATAATTGAATTTTGAGAGTGGTTCTTATTTTATGAGAGAAGAATTGCTTAATTGTATTAAGACCTATGATAAATTTATTTCTCTCTGATACTTTATAAACAGGCATCAATACTTTACAGGGGCCACAGGAAAACATGAAATGAGTTTGTGGGAAGTAAGTTAGTTTTTCTATTGCTGTGATAATAGATTACCACAAACTTAGTGGCTTAAATGAGCACGAATTTATTAACTTAGTTTTGTGGTTCACATGTCTGAAATGAGTCTCACAGGATTAGATCCTTGTATCAATGCTGAGCTGCATTCTAGAAGCTTTAGAGAAGAATTCCATTTTTTCATTCATATTCCTTGACCTCTTTCCAGCAATGGCCAGATGAGCCTCCCGTCACATCACATTGTCTGGTACTGACTCGTCTGCCTCCATCTTCCACATTTAAGGACCTTTTAATTAATTACATTGGGTCCATCTGGATAATCCAGGATAATTTCTCTATGTTAAAGTCAGTTGATTGGCAAATGTAATTCCTCTTCCCATATAATTCAACATATTCAGTGGTTCTGGGAATTAGTTGTGTGTCTTTGAGAGGCCATTATTCTTCATAGCACACACAAGGTAGACATCTTAATCCTCTAGAACTGGTTTGGTTCAAGTAGTGGGTAGACACAGCTTTTTTTTTTTTAGGTTTATACACTAGATTTTTGCAAAAGGGTATGAGTTGGTATCGCACATATTCATACTTTGCAGTACGTATATGCGAACATGTAAATGAAAAACTAAAATGGCAGAAATTTTGTTTGAATTTGCCTGCATTTATAAATTGGGAGTGATGAATTTTTAGAGTAGGATGTGGACTCGGGAGTGGGGAGGAATGCTTTCTAATTGTAGTCTCTCATTGTGGTCACTTATGAACTCCACCTTCCTCTTAGAAAATGAGGCAGTTATACCAATTCGATTTGAAAGTTTTTTTTTGTTCTTTAATATATATCCTCAAATAAATACACCGATGTTTGCAATCATTAACTTTCAGAGTTATTAATTTATTAGCTTGTCTCAGGTAGAAATATTCTATGTTCACTGGTGGTTTTTATATAATATGCAATAAGTCCTTCACTCTTATGATGAACTCGCACCAGAGCACATCAGATTTTGGGATTCTTTATCTTGGTTCCATCAAGCCCCTTGTCTCAGGCTTCTAAATAGAAAGTAGTTCCAAGCCCTCCCCGATCTCTTTTAAAACTAAAATACGATCTCTCTCCCACTAGTCACTAGTTTTTCTTTTCCTCTTCCCATTTTATTTTTAATTTTCAGAAGATTTCAGCATGGAGTTTTGTAATGGACCCTTAGGACAACTTACACATGTACCCAGGGAAGAAGGCTAGTGGACTCATCATAGGCACTCATTGGTATCTACTCAGGATAAAAAGATGTTTTATTTCAAGTTCTAACAGATCAATTAAAAGCAGCTGCCCAGGGAATAATGATTTGGGTGCCTAACCAGGAGAGTTGTGGCACTTGTGCCATGCAAGTAGCTGACCCTGGTATAAGTGATAGTTGAAACCATGGGCTTAGATGAGGCCACTTAGGAATAGTGCAGGTATAAGGAGGGGCAAAACTCTGAGGCACTGGTGTGGGAAGTTGACACCTGGAGCAAGCAAGTGACAAGGAGTCCCACCCAGTGGCTGTCCTCACAATAGTAGCTCTCATTGAAGGCTACTCTGTGCCAGGCAGGGACAGAGCTGAGAGCTTTGCATGGGTTTTTATGATATGCAAATGTTTTACACAGTATTTGTATAAAATATTAATAATATTTAATATAAAATTTGTATAGTTTATATACCAATATAAATTATTGAGTAAATTTTGATAATGGTACAGGCTAGTCTGTTTCTGTAATCCCAAAACCTCTTAATTTTCAAGCATTTAGTTTACATCACTTACATTTAACATAATTATTAATATATTGAGTAATAAGTCTGTCATTTTACTCTAGGTTTTGTGCTTATCTTGTGTTTTTTCTCTGTTTTCTATGTGCTACCTTCCTGTGTGTTACTTGAATATTTTGTTTTGAATTCCATTTTGGCTTATATGTAGTATTTTTGAGTGCGTTTGTACAGTTATTTATTTTTTTACTGATACTGTAGGTTTCACATTACATATATATATGACATCTTTTATATAAGTTATGTATCTTATAACCATCATTTTAGCTTAAAGTCTAAGGCAGTGCTATCTAATATAAATTTCTGTGATGATACATGTGTTGTATATCTACTATTCCACAGATATGGCTGCTTTTAAATGTAAAATTTTATATTTTATTTATATTTTATATTTTTAACATTTTTAATTTTAATTAATTAAATGTAAGCAGCTACATGTGACTTGCAGCTACCATATCGGACAGTAGAGATAGAGACAAGTGGATGGAGATGAGACATATTTAGAAAATTAGAACAGGAGAGAGAAACTGGTGGTAGACTTTTTATGTGGAATGAGACACAGTCAAAGCTATAGATTTTATGTTGCATGAATGGTTGGACAATGTTCACTAGAGTTGGGATTACCAGATCTAGTTTTGTTTTGGAAATACTGAGTGGCAACTTTAAAATATTCAAATGGGGATGTCAAATAGATAAAGGCGTGAAGCTCAGAGTAGGAGTCTTGGCAAGAGATTTAACTTTGTGCCTTTGGTACATAGATAATAATTAAAGCTGTTGGCAAGGATGACTTTTTCTAGGGAGATGATATTATATATAGTGACAAGAGGCAAGAGACAAAAAATAGAGGAATTTCATAATTTCACAGCTAGATGGAAACAGATGCATCTGCAAAGGACACACAAGGTGTCAGCTCCTGAATGGTGGGGACCATGATTTTGTATTCATCATTGCATTCTAAACTCCTAGCAAAATTCCTGGCATACAGAAGGCACTCAATATATATTTGATAAATGAAAGAAGTAATGAGTGGAGCAACCAGAGAGTTCAACGTAAAACAAATGCATATAAGTATCATGGAATCAAAGGAAGAGAATATTTTAAGTAAGACAGATTACAAACGATGCCCATCACTGCTGAGAAAGTTAAGATGAAGACTGAAAAAGTCCATTGATTTTAGCAAGCTGGAGGTCACTGGTACCGTGATGTCAGCTGTTTAAGTGGAATGATGGAAACAGAAGACTTGTTTTATAAGCTTCTGTCAGACTTTTTGTTAGATTCCTTAGCATATTGGCAAATTGCTTTCCTAAATTATAACTGAGGGTGACATAGTTTCAGTAGTAAAGGCATTTCTTAACTCTTTCTTCTCAAAGACCATCCCCACACAATAATATCAGGAAACAAGAAAGCAAATTTCATCTTTGATAAATCTTATAGGGCAAATATAAGCAACAATATATGAAGACTAAGTACAGGCAGAGCCATAGTTCCTGGCATAGTGGAAAGGAAGAGGGTTGTATTCAAGCACCTGTGAAGTTCTTGTTATTGGAAAGTGGCACCAAATAAATGTATGTTAATTGGTCTCATAGCACCCTTGTAAGACTGCAGGGCTGCGGACAGCAGGACCTCTGAGGATTATGTTGTAGGAGGGAAGGTGATGGTGAGACAGGTGGCAGGAAACTGTTGGGGTTCACATCCCCCTTTGTTCCAGCAAGAGGGAGTAGGTTTATTTAGAAAAACTGAACCAGAGAGGCAATGGACTTGGGGACAACTTGGCGTTACTAAAGAGGGCATGAGTGAAATTCTACTCTGAAAACAAGCCAATCAAGTGAAAGCCCGTTAAATAAATGGAGGATATCCAACCTCATATCCTGGCCAGCTTCAAGGTCCTGGCAGTGAGGATGATGTTTGCAGGTTAGGAGACAGGAGGATTCTTCGAAAGGATCAGCACTTTCTCAGAGAAAGCAGCTGTAGGTCTACACAAAATACCAGGGCATCCAGCCTCCCTCCTGTGAGGACCTGATTCTACATAATTCTTGCAATGCACATAGAGTTTTCTGATAATCTTAGCGTCTAACTCTAATGTATGAATAGAAAAAAAGTTCATCAGCTATTTGAAGAAAATCTCCATCAAATAAGACTCAAAGAAACAGAAAAAGAGGAATTGGAAGGAGACAGAAACAAGATAAAAAGCAGGATAAACCTTTCAGAAATGGTAATATGTTTCAAGAAATAAGAATAGACACTACATCTTTTTTGTTTGTTTGAGGCAGAGTCTCGCTCTGTCACCTGGCTGGAGTGCAGTGGCACAATCTCAGCTCACTGTAACCTCCGCCTCCTGGGTTCAAGCGATTCTCTTCCCTCAGCCTCCCGAGTAGCTAGGACTACAGGCATGCGCCACCATGCCCAGCCAATTTTTGTATTTTTAGTAGAGACGGGGTTTCATCATGTTGGCCAGGATGGTCTCGATCTCTTAACCTCGTGATCCACCCCGCCTCGGCCTCCCAAAGAGCTGGGATTACAGGCGTGAGCCACTGCGCCCAGCCGACACTGCATTTTTGAAACAAGAATAGGATGTTATTAAATAAAGGAATGACTGGAAAACAAAAAGAAATATTGGCAATTATAAATTCAGTTGATGATAAGCGCAGTAGAAGATAAAGTTAAGGAACTCTCCCATAAGATAGAATGAAAAGAGATGATCCATGGGTGAGAAAAAAAAATTCAACCAACATTAGACAAAGAAAACAGAGACTATATGGGAAAGAAATAGTCAATGAAACACTAGATTTCCCAGAACTTAAGGTGTATTCTCCATATTGAAAGGGCCCAATGTTGATCCGCAGGCCCACACTTAACCATTTGCAGTGCCCAGTGCAGGAATACAAATGGAGCCCCACCTACTTTATAGCCCCTACTCTATAAGTTATAAAGTGTCTAGACCCTAGATTCATGTCAGGTTCCACATAAGTCCTGCAGTCTGTCTCTTGGAAACTGCCTTTCTCAACTAGCCAGGAGGCTAAAGGAACATGTGTTTCCCTGCATTAACCCTGACTGCAAGCTGGGAGGTGGGAGGATGGAGAGGGGTAGGGCTGTCTGCTGGAGCAGCAGGGTGGAAGCTGGGTGGGGGCCAAGCATTGACCTGGCCAAGCTTTTGTGGGAGCCTGCTAGGCAAGCGATGCTCTCTGCCCTGCCTCACTTCTGATTTGGGTTTCCCAGGAGGTTCTAAGCAGCTCCCCAAATGATATTACTGACCACAGGAGTAGTAGAGAGTGCATTTATGGAGGGAGAGTGGGTGAACCTGTCTGCCCAGATGTGCTCTTTGGTCTTTTTAAGCTGAAAAACATTAAGCAAAAGCATTCATTTTTTTCTCTGGTGTCCCAGAGCAGAAGCTGTGAATTTATTCTCATTGTACCTTCTCAATTCTGCATCCTCAGGACTTGAGGACCACAGTTCTGCCTGTGCCCCTCTCCCACAATTCCTGTTTTTTATTTATTTGCTGGACTTTTAAAATATTTTCCAAGGAGAGTGAAAGGAATTAAACCATGCGTTTGGTTTTGGGGTGTGTGGAGACCAATCTAAAATGTAGGGCCCAGCACAGCCCCTGCAACACCCGGAATAGAATACTGAGTGCCCAGCACAATAAATGGAAAGAGATCCATATCAACTTAAATCTAATTAAATTTTAGGGATAAAAGGATGATCCTCAAGATTCCAGTGGAGGAAAAAAACAGTTTTACACTAAGGATTGAGAATTAGAGTGAAAATGGAAGGGTAAAAGTTAGAAGATGGTGTCAGAAAGATTCTGAGCAAAAGTCATTTTCAACCTAGTGTCCTATATTTGGCCAGATTATCAGTCAAGTGTGAGGCCAGACTAAGCACATTCTTAGACATGAATGATCTTGAAATGTTTCCCCTCTCATGTGGCTCATTTGCAACAAGCTATGGAAGAATGGGTTTCACCAAAGAAGAAGGCTGAGAAAGAGGGAGGCATTAACTCAGGATATGCATCACCCTATTTGAGAGAAGAAAATAAAATTTCCAGGACAAAGGCAAATTATCTGAGAAGTGTCAGTGAGGAAAATTGTATGAAGAGGGATTTTACAAGTCCGTTGGAAGTGTCAGGAAGACTTAGATGTTTAAAGAAAACCAAATAAGTGAGAAAAAGGAGGTAATTATTAACTCCAGGAAAAACAAAAGGTTTTGTAAGGAAGGAAATATAAGCGTAATTAATAGGTACAGGGTAGTGATGATATTGGTGAACAAAAGGCAAATAATATTTCCTCATTCTAAAAATGAAATCACAACCAAAAAGTCATCAGTACTTGAAACTGACACCTCACTTCCTAGCAGGGCCTACTAGAAGGAAGCCAATGCATCCCTATCATTCACCCCACTGTGTCCACATTAGACACAATTTGGGCAGAGTGAAATTGTTATAGAGATCAAGTGGGGACTGAGAGATTGAGGGTGGGAAACTTTTCCTTCTCATCCCCTCTAGGTGCTTGCTTCACTGTGAAGTCAAATGAAGGAGACGCCTAGAGATTCACTTGGAAAGGATGGCCTCTCCATAAAGCTATTGGACATGGCTGCTGGTCTTTCCCAAAGTAAAAGATGTGAGAAAGGGAAAGAGAGAAAGAGAGAGATCAAGACAGTGAGACAAAGAGACAGACAGAGTGAAGTTGCCAAAAAAAAAAAAAAAATGAAGCCACAGTTTCTTTTATAACATGATCTCAGGGGTATTAATATATACTAACACTTTCCTCATATTCTATGGGTCACACAGACCAATCCTGATATATTAAGGTGGGAACCACACAAGCATGTGAATATCAGGAGGAAGGAATCTTGGGTATCAGCTGTCTCCTAATGACAACAATTTTGATACAAAAATAAGCAAGTTAAGGGGATTGAGGATTTTTGTGTATTCAAAGAAGGCTTCAAAATGGTGACATTTGAACAGATTTGAATAAAGGGACAAAACATGCTTGATAAAGATATAAGCAAGCTTGGTATATTGGCATAGTGTTAAGAGGCCAGTGTGGCTAAATTAGTGAAGTAAATTAGTTATAGAGAAGTCAATAAGTTCAAAGATAGGAGATAGGCAGGGGACCAATTATGCAGAACCTTGGCTTTAGAAACAGATTTGGATTTCATTATTATGAAAATGATGGAAGTGGTGAGTACAAAAGCCCCTATAGAGTGTGTGGAAGAGAAAATGGGAGGTGAGAACATGGCGAACAATAACTATAACATTCTTTTCAAAGATTTTTGCAATAAAGATGTCAGACAAATTGTGTGGTAAATGGAGAGGCATTAAATATGTAGAGAGAGCTTTGTAAAAATGGGAGATATTACAGCACATTTGTCATAAAGAAGAACAAATTGAAGATGCAGGGAGAAATGGAACATAATTACGGAAGCAAAATCCTTGATTAGGTAATACGGTATGGAATCTAGCATGAAGGTAAAAGATAGGGCCAAGGAACTTCACTTACCATCATGAGAGAAGCCAGAGAATATGTAGGTTTGAGTTCTGTGTGGGTTGGTCAATGTGGTGGTAGTTATGGTGAGATCCTTCTTTCCTGATTTCTTTGAACTTAGTGAAGTTTCTGAGGCCATTGATAGGGTGTGTCCAAATTCCTTACTGAACCATCCTTGACATATTCTTTCAACATGGTGTATTTTTTTTTTTAATCACAATGTTGACTTGTTTATATACTATTGAGTATTTTTCCTAATGGAATATTTCTGCAGATCTGTATTAGTCTGTTCTCGCATTGCTGTAAATAACTACCTGACACTGGGTAATTTATAAATGAAAGAGATTTAATTTACTTGCAGTTCTGCAGACTGTACAGAAAGCAAGGCTAAGGCCAGCCTGGTCTTGAACTCTTGACTTCAAGTGATCCAACTGCCTCAGCCTCCCAAAGTGTTGGAATTACAGGCATGAGCCATGGCACCCAGCCAGATGGAAGTTTAAGAAGACTTTGCATTTCAACTTCAAAATGTCGTGAATTAAACTTTCATATTAAATGTGCACCAGTATACACAACAGACTGGCAGGCACTTACTAATAAAATTTTTAAAAAAATATTATGACTAAAAGACAGAAAATGATAAATAAAAATATATACAAAGTGATACTTTTTTCTTTTTTTCTTATTATACTTTTTTAGGGTACATGTGCACAATGTGCAGTTTAGTTACATATGGATACATGTGCCATGTTGGTGTGCTGCACCCATTAACTCATCATTTAGCATTAGGTATATCTCCCAATGCTATCCCTCCCCCCTACCCCCACCCCACAACATGCCCTGGTGTGTGATGTTCCCCTTCCTGTGTCCATGTGTTCTCATTGTTCAATTCCCACCTATGAGTGAGAACATGAGGTGTTTGGTTTTTTGTCCTTGCGATCATTTGCTGAGAATGATGGTTTCCAATTTCATCCATGTCCCTACAAAGGACATGAACTCATCATTTTTTATGGCTGCATAATATTCCATGGTGTATATGTGCCACATTTTCTTAATCCAGTCTATCATTGTTGGACACTTGGGTTGGTTCCAAGTCTTTGCTATTGTGAATAGTGCCGCAATAAACATACGTGTGCATGTGTCTTTATAGCAGCATGATTTATAATCCTTTGGGTATATACCCAGTAATGGGATTGCTAGGTCAAATGGTATTTCTAGTTCTAGATCCCTGAGGAATCGCCACACTGACTTCCACAATGGTTGAACTAGTTTACAGTCCCACCAACAGTGTAAAAGTGTTCCTATTTCTCCATATCCTCTCCAGCACCTGTTGTTTCCTGACTTTTTAATGATTACCATTCTAACTGGTGTGAGATGGTATCTCATTGTGGTTTTGATTTGCATTTCTCTGATGGCCAGTGATGATGAGCATTTTTTCATGTGTGTTTTGGCTGCATAAATATCTTCTTTTGAAAAGTGTCTGTTCATATCCTTCACCCACTTGTTGATGGGGTTGTTTGTTTTTTTCTTGTAAATCTGTTGGAGTTCATTGTAGATTCTGAATATCAGCCCCTTTGCCAGATGAGTAGATTGCAAACATTTTCTCCCATTCTGTAGGTTGCCTATATACTCTGATGGTAGTTTCTTTTGCTGTGTAGAAGCTCTTTAGTTTAATGAGATCCCATTTGTCAATTTTGGCTTTTGTTGCTATTGCTTTTGGTGTTTTAGACATGAAGTCCTTGCCCAAGCCTATGTCCTGAATGGTATTGCCTAGGTTTTCTTCTAGGGTTTTTATGGTTTTAGGTCTAACATTTAAGTCTTTAATCCATCTTGACTTAATTTTTGTATAAGGTGTAAGGAAGGGATCCAGTTTCAGCTTTCTACATATGGCTAGCCTGTTTTCCCAGCACCATTTATTAAATAGTTTTCTCAGGTAGCGTGATGACTCCAGCTTTGTTCTTTTGGTTTAGGATTGACTTGGCAATGCAGACTCTTGTTTGGTTCCATATGAACTTTAAAGTAGTTTTTTCCAATTCTGTGAAGAAAGTCATTTGTAGCTTGATGGGGATGGCATTGAATCTATAAATTACCTTGGGCAGTATGGCCATTTTCATGATATTGATTCTTCCTACCCATGACATGGAATGTTCTTCCATTTGTTTGTATCCTCTTTTATTTCATTGAGCAGTGGTTTGTAATTCTCCTTGAAGAGGTCCTTCCCCTTCCTTCGTAAGTTGGATCCCTAGGTATTTTATTCTCTTTGAAGCAATTGTGAATGGGAGTTCACTCATAATTTGGCTCTCTGTCTGTTATTGGTGTTTAAGAATCCTTCTGATTTTTGCACATTGATTTTGTATCCTGAGACTTTGCTGAAGTTGCCTATCAGCTTAAGGAGATTTTGGGCTGAGACAGTGGGGTTTTCTAGATATACAATCATGTCATCTGCAAACAGGGACAATTTGACTTCCTCTTTTCCTAATTGAATACCCTTTATTTCTTTCTCCTGTCTGATTGCCCTGGCCAGAACTTCCAACACTATGTTGAATAGGAGTGGTGAGAGAGGGCATCCCTGTCTTGTGCCACTTTTCAAAGGGAATGCTCCCAGTTTTTGCCCATTCAATATGATATTGGCTGTGGGTTTGTCATAGATAGCTCTTATTATTTTGAGATATGTCCCATCAATACCTAATTTATTGAGAGTTTTTAGCATGAAGGTTGTTGAATTTTGTCGAAGTCCTTTTCTGCATCTATTGAGGTAATCATATGGTTTTTGTCCTTGGTTCTGCTTATAGGCTGGATTATGTTTATTGATTTGCGTATGTTGAACCAGCCTTGCATCCCAGGGATGAAGCCCACTTGATCGTGGTGGATAAGCTTTTTGATGTGCTGCTGGATTCAGTTTGCCAGTATTTTATTGAGGATTTTTGCATCGATGTTCATCAGGGATATTGGTCTAAAATTCTCTTTCTTTGTTGTGTCTCTGCCAGGCTTTAGTATCAGGATGATGCTGGCCTCATAAAATGAGTGAGGGAGGATTCCCTCTTTTTCTGTTGATTGGAATAGTTTCAGAAGGAATGGTACCAGCTCCTCCTTGTAACTCTGGTAGAATTTGGCTGTGAATCCATCTGGTCCTGGACTTTTTTTGGTTGGTAAGCTATTAATTATTGCCTCAATTTCAGAGTCTGTTATTGGTCTATTCAGAGATTCAACATCTTCCTAGTTTAATCTTGGGAGGGTGTATGTGTTGAGGAATTTATCCATTTCTTCTAGATTTTCTAGTTTTTTTGTGTAGAGATGTTTATATTATTCTCTGATAGTAGTTTGTATTTCTGTGGGATCGGTGGTGATATCCCCTTTGTCATTTTTTATTGGGTCTATTTGATTCTTCTCTCTTTACTTTTTTATTAGTCTTGTTAGCAGTCTATCAATTTTTTTGATATTTTCAAAAAACCAACTCCCGATTCATTGATTTTTTGAAGGGTTTTTTGTGTCTGTATTTCCTTCAGTTCTGCTCTGATCTCAGTTATTTCTTACCTTCTGCTGGCTTTTGAATGTGTTTGCTCTTGCTTCTCTAGTTCTTTTAATTGTGATGTTAGGGTGTCAATTTTAGATCTTTCCTGCTTTCTCTTGTGGGCATTTAGTGCTATAACTTTCCCTCTACACACTGCTTTGAATGTATCCCAGAGATTCTGGTATGTTGTGTCTTTGTTCTCATTGGTTTCAAAGAACATCTTTATTTCTGCCTTCATTTCGTTATGTACCCAGTAGTCATTCAGGAGCAAGTTGTTCAGTTTCCATGTAGTTGAGCGGTTTTGAGTGAGTTTCTTAATCCTGAGTTCTAGTTTGATTGCACTGTAGTCTGAGAGACAGTTTGTTATAATTTCTGTTCTTTTACATTTGCTGAGGAGTGCTTTACTTCCAACTATGTGGTCAATTTTGGAATAGGTGTGGTGTGGTGCTGAAAAGAATGTATTTTCTGTTGATTTGGGGTGGAGAGTTCTGCAGATGTCTATTAGATCTGCTTGGTGCAGAGCTGAGTTCAATTCCTGGATATCCTTGTTAACTTTCTGTCTCGTTGATCTGTCTAATGTTGACAGTGGGGTGTTAAAGTCTACCATTATTATTGTGTGGGAGTCTTAAGTCTCTTTGTAGGTCTCTAAGGACTGGCTTTATGAATCTGGGTGCTCCTGTATTGGGTGCATATATATTTAGGATAGTTAGCTCTACTTGTCGAATCGATCCCTTTACCATTATGTAATGGCCTTCTTTGTCTCTTTTGGTCTTTGTTGGTTTAAATCTGTTTTATCAGAGACTAGGATTGCAACCGCTGCCTTTTTGTGTTTTCCATTTGCTTGGTAGATCTTCCTCCATCCCTTTATTTTGAGCCTATGTGTGTCTCTGCATGTGAGATGGGTTTCCTGAATACAGCACACTGATGGGTCTTGACTCTTAATCCAATTTGCCAGTCTGTGTCTTTTAACTGGAGCATTTAGCCCATTTACATTTAAGGTTAATATTGTTATGTGTGAATTTGATCCTCCCATTATGATGTTAGCTGGTTATTTTGCTTGTTAGTTGATGCAGTTTCTTCCTAGCCTCAGTGGTCTTTACAATTTGGCATGTTTTTACAGTGGCTGGTACCGGTTGTTCCTTTCAATGTTTAATGCTTCCTTCAGGAGCTCTTTTAGGGCAGGCCTGGTGGTGACAAAATCCTCAGCATTTGCTTGTCTGTAAAGTATTTTATTTCTCCTTCACTTATGAAGCTTAGTTTGGCTGGATATGAAATTCTGGTTGAAAATTCTTGTCTTTAAGAATGTTGAATATTGGTCTCCACTCTCTTCTGGCTTATAGAGTTTCTGCTGAGAGATCAGCTGTTAGTGTGATGGGCTTCCCTTTGTGGGTAACCAGACCTTTCTCTCTGGCTGTGCTTAACATTTTCTCCTTCATTTCAACTTTGGTGAATCTAACAATTATGTGTGTTGGAGTTGCTCTTCTCCAGGAATATCTTTGTGGCATTCTCTGTATTTCCTGAATTTGAATGTTGGCCTGCCTTGCTAGATTGGGGAAGTTCTCCTGGATAATATCCTGCAGAGTGTTCTCCAACTTGGTTCCATTCTCCCCTTCACTTTCAGGTATACCAATCAGATGTAGATTTGGTCTTTTCACATAGTCCCATATTTCTTGGAGGCTTTGTTCATTTCTTTTTATTCTTTTCTCTCTAAACTTCTCTTTTTGCTTCATTTCATTCATTTGATCTTCCATCACTGATACCCTTTCTTCCAGTTGATTGAATCAGCTACTGGGCTTGTGCTTTCATCATGTAGTTCTTGTGCCGTGGTTTTCAGCTCCATCGGGTCCTTTAAGGACTTCTGTGCATTGGTTATTCTAGTTAGCCATTCATCTAATCTTTTTTCAAGGTTTTTAACTCCTTTGCCATGGGTTCGAACTTCCTCCTTTAGCTCCAAGTAGTTTGATCGTCTGAAGCCTTCTTCTCTCATCTCGTCAAAGTCATTCTCCATTGAGCTTTGTTCTGTTGCTGGTGAGGCACTGCATTCTTTAGAAGAGGAGATGCACTCTGATTTTTAGAATTTTCAGTTTTTCTGCTCTGTTTTTTCCCCATCTTTGTGGTTTTATCTACCTTTGGTCTTTGATGATGGTGACGTACAGATGGGTTTTGGTGTGGATGTCCTTTCTGTTTGTTAGTTTTCCTTCTAACAGTCAGGACCCTCAGCTGCAGGTCTGTTGGAGTTTGCTGGAGGTCCACTCCAGACCCTGTTTGCCTGGGTATCAGCTGTGGAGGCTGCAGAATAGTGAATATTTATGGACAGGAAATGTTGCTGCCTGATCCTTCCTCTGCAAGTTTTGTTTCAGAGGGGTACCCGGCCATGTGTGGTGTCAGTCTGCCCCTACTGGGGGGTCCCTCCTAATTAGACTACTCAGAGGTCAGGGACCCACTTGAGGAGGCAGACTCTCCATTCTCAGATCTCAAGCTGTGTGCTGGGAGAACCACTACTGTCTTCCAATCTGTCAGACAGGGCCATTTAAGTCTGCAGAGGTTTCTGCTACCTTTTGTTTGGCTATGCCCTGCCCCCAGAGGTGGAGTCTACAGAGGCAGGCAGGCCCCCTTGAGCTGCAGTGGGCTCCACCCAGTTCGAGCTTCCCAGCTGCTTTGTTTACCAGCTCAAGCCTCAGCAATGGTGGGTGCCCCTCCCCCAGCCTCACTGCCATCTTGCAGTTTGAACTCAGACTGCTGTGCTAGCAATAAGCGAGGCTCCTTGGGTGTAGGACCCTCCGAGCCATGCACGGGATATAATCTCCTGATGTGCCATTTGCTAAGACCATCAGAAAATCACAGTATTAGGGTGTGAGTGACCCGATTTTCCAGGTGCCATCTGTCACCCCTTTCCTTGGCTAGGAAAGGGAATTCCCTGACCCCTTGCACTTCCCGGGTGAGGCGATGCCTCACCCTGCTTCGGCTCATGCTTGGTGCACTGCACCCACTGTCCGACAATCCCCAGTGAGATGAACCAGTACCTCTGTTGGAAATGCAGAAATCATTCATCTCTTGCATTGCTTATGCTGGGAGCTGTAGACTGGAGCTGTTCCTCAGACTTCTTTTTTTTTCTAAGATAAAAATACTTTAATGTGTATGCTGTTTTCTTCAGTTAGTAATGTGAAAAGACTGTATTTATATGGTGAAATTCTCAGGACCCTCAATTGTTTATAGATAGGCTAAATTATTTGTGTCATTACTTGCAAACCTTCTTGAATGCGGTGGAGGTTATGTTAAGAAATAAAGTTTATATAATGTCTAATTTCATATTGTAATTGCATTCTTCCACAAACCTTTTGAAATCCCTTGTATTTCAAACCCATCTGGAAGAGCAGGATCAGATTCTAATGTGTACAACACAGGATCCTCTCATCGAAATGATCAAGTGGCCTGTGTTTAGGATTTCCAGTGGCAGCCCCACACACAATACCTCTAATGAGGCATCCTGAAGTTATCACTATCCTTGAGCAAAAACTGAATGATGTCTCAGGAGTATTCGAGGCCTGAAATGATAAGTGGCAGCTGTTAATACTGACTAACCTGTACTTTCCATAAAAAGATGAAATGATGGGCAGGAACTACTTGATATAACAGAGAAGTCAGCAGACGAAAAGAGAGCTACCAACACAAACTCAGTAAAAAGACTTTGGAAATACAGTATATTGATCTAAATTTTAAAAACAAACATAAAATGAAAGGAGTAAGAAGAATTATAGATTCTTACTTAGTACATTTGATTTAAAAAAATTCCAAAAATTTATTTAAGAAGAAGCCAGATATAAGATGAAAAATAAACACAGGGAAGATTATTTAGAACAGGAAATGTCAACAAATACATTTTAGAAAGAGAGTGGGGAGAAAATACTTTCAGAATAATGCAAAAATAAAAAAAATTTCTGTGTGGAAGAACAATCTGGGAGACAGCACATGTACTAAGAAATAGATCAGTGCAATACCCTTGAGGCTTTTATGTGGGTTCCTGACTATCTCATTGGAATATATAATTGTGGTCACTCATTATAAGTGGGAGTGATTAAAAATTTTTCCTAGAAGAACAACTGAATGTGGCGACTCATGCCTGTTATCCCAGGACTTTGGGAGGGTGAGTTGGATGGATCCCTTGAGGCCAGGAGTTTAAGACCAGCCTGAGCAACAAATTGTGGATCCATCTCTTCAAAAAATTTTTAAATAAATTAAAAAATAATAAACGGGCATGGTGGGTGTCATGAACCTGTAATTCAAGCAACTCAAGTGGTTGAAGTGGGGGGAATCCTCAGAGCATAGGAGTTCAAGGATGCTGGAAGCCATGATCAGGACACCACACTCCAGCCTGGCTGACAGAGCAAGAGCCTATATTTACATATATATAATCCTGTAAGACATAAAGCCCAAACTGCATCTGATCAAACATTCTAATAAAGGGGAAGAGCAAGAAAAAATTCTTAAAGACATGAAGTAGGATGGCTCATTCAAGGACGTGTATTCATTTTGTTCATTTCTAGAAACCTCTGGTAGTTTTTGTGTCCAACTTTGTTTTAACCTCTCCATGAATATTAATAATAGAATACGTTAAGACTCCTGTATCCTACAACACCAAGACTTTTCTGATTGGAGCCAGATCCAAGGAATATTGGACAATCTGTGTGGGTCCAACCAGGCTGAGAGCCAACCTTCTGTCAGCCATGAATGGCCAGGTTTGTGTTGTCTGCACACAGCTCAAAGTTCCAAAGAAATAATCTCTACATAATCAAATGTTTAGGGAAATATGATAGGCATAGGTATAGAAAACTCCACAGCCAACATGTTGTTCCTTAGAATATGATTGTGTTTAGAAAACAGCCCTAAGAAGAGGTGATCAAGCTAAAATGAGGGAGTTTCAGTGGAACTAAATCCAATAAGATGAGTGTCCTTAGAAGAAGTGGAAATTCCTTATAAGAACTGGAAATTTGCACACAGAGAGACACAATAAGTACATAGGCACAGACGCAGCCCCATGGGAGGACACAGCAAGAAGGTGATATCTAGATGCCAAGTAGACAGGGCCCAGAAGAACTGAACCTGCTGACACCTTCATCATGGAACTTGAGCATCCAGAAGGGTTGAAAAGTAATTTCTGTTGCTTAAGAATGTTAGTCTGTGATATTTTGTTTTGATGGCTATTATAAAGAAATTCAGGGGAGAGCAGGTTTTAGGAGGTACAAATCAAGAGTCCTGCTTGGCACATGGTAAGTTTACATTATTTTAAATGGCAAGTGGATTGCTGAGGTCCTTGACTCATGGACAAGTGCCTAAGCTTTTGTTGCAGCCTTGCTCCTTGCTTTTACCCCATCCTAAATCAGTGACACTGTCTCCATCAGTTCTTTGGTAACCTCTATTTTGCTTGTCTCTGGTAGCTTGATATCTGATATTTACTCCTTCCTGATATGCTAATCTCTTTCACTCATTTCTGACATAGGAGAAGGACAGGTTGTGAGCTGAGTGATATTTGGAAGCATCACCTCTTGTCTTGCTGTACTCAGCAGACAAGGAGAAGTCTGTCTCCAACCAGGACTGCAACTTCCCCACTGACTCCCACAAGGAGTCACATCTGCCTGGCTCTCCCCTCTGCTTCTTCTCTCTTGCGTTTCTTTCCTTCCTGATGGGCCACCATAAGCTACCTAGGCCAGACTGCCCATCAACAGCTTCCTTTTCAAACAATGTTTGGTGAAACCAGAGAAAATCATTCAATAACATCAGGACACCAGACTGGCCCAAGTACTCTCTCTCTCTCTTAAAGAATGTGAATCTCAGTTACAAATGTTAAACTTTCTGTGTAACTGGAGAATATTTGGCCACTGGTATTATATTCCATCTTCAGAAAACATCCCTATTTATCCTAGGAGATAAACAAGAAACCAATCTGCCTAGTCAGCTGGAAAATTCTGAGTTACCTCTAGTAGAGCTTATTGTATCAGGACACCTTCCTATATGCAGTGGGTTGTTATAATGTTGAAGGAAAATGTATATCCTATTAAGAAACACCATGAATGGATTCCAATGTTTTGGCACCAAAATAAAATCATAATCTTTTGCTATAACATGTCTGAACAGGAGCTAGTTTGAGGCATGAAGGAAAATAAGAAAGCAGTTTCAAAAGACCCCTAAAAGAGCAACATGAATTCTTCTAAAATTAAAGTGAGTAGGAGCATCAAATGTACTGTGAAGCTTGGGTGGAAGAAGGTAAAATCATTGATGGTGTCCAAAGAGTTGTCCTACTTGACACATGGTAAGTTGACATTGGTAGAAGAAGTCAGCAGTTCACAAATTCAATGAGAAGTTCCTCATTTCAAGAAGGAATGAGGCAATGTTGAACCTAAAGCTTACAGTGACAGATGATTCACATCACATTGCAAGGAATAAATTCATCTTCTTTAAACCCAGGAGAAGAGGTGTGATGATTAGTAGCACACACAATAACCAACACTGCAGACTTCTCAGTTGGTTCAATTTACATGAATCTAACTGAATGATTAAAGTTTAGTAAGCTTTTCACTTAATGGATGCCCAAACTGTGTCACCAAGATCAAGTACAGACAAGAGCAGAAGTTTCCCTAAAAATTTAAATAGGAACAATGAAGACCATAAGCATTTCTTCAGTGAATTATAAGAGGAGATAACAAGTGACTTTACCAGTAAAATCTGGAAAACAAATACAATCAAAGCAATGGCTATCAAGAGGTGGAAAAGTCCAGTCAAAACAAAAGTGGATGAGGAGAGCACAAAGGTCATGGCAAGAGTTTATTGGAAAGCTCAAGTCATTTTGCTGGTTGACTTTCTGGAGAATGACAATAACTGCTTATTCTGAGAATATTTTGAGAAAGCCAAAGCTTTAGTATAGGAATCCTTGGGAAAGCTTCAGCAGAGTCCTTCAACACAACCTTCACAACCTTGCTTCTGCTCATTTCTCTTATCAAACAGGGTAATTATAAGACAGTTCTGATGGAAAATCATTAGGCTTTCACATTGGTGAGAAGTGAAGCCAAGTGGACTTCCCGGGTCGAGTGGGGAGTTGGAAAACTTTTCTGTCTAGCTAGATGATTGTAAATGCACCAATCATTGCTCTGTGTCTAGCAAAAGGATTGTAAATGTACCATTCAGCACTCTATAAAAATGCTCCAATCAGCACTCTGTGTCTAGCAAAAGGATTGTACATGCACCAATCAGCACTCTATAAAAATGCACCAATCAGTGCTCTCTGTCTAGCTAAAGGATTGTGAATGCACAAATCAGCACTCTGTAAAAATGCACCAATCAGGACTCTGTGTCTAGCTAAAGGATTACAAATGCACCAATCAGCACCCTGTAAAATGGACAAATCAGCACTCTGTAAAATGGACCAATCAGCGCTCTGTAAAATGTACCAATCAGCGGGATGTGGGCAGGGCCAAATATGGGAATAAAAGCTGGCCAACTGAGCCAGCAGTGGTAACTTGTTTGGGTCCCCTTCCATGCTGTGGAAGCTTTGTTCTTTTGCCCTTCACAACAAATCTTGCTGCTGCTCACTCTTTGGGTCTGCACTACCTTTATGAGCTGTAACACACACGAGAGGGTCTGCGGCTTCATTCCTGAAGTCACTGAGACCACCAACCCACCAGGAAGAAAAAACAACTTTGGACACGGCCTTAAGAGCTGTAACAATCACTGCAAAAGTCTGTGGCCTCACTCCTGAAGTCAGTGAGAACAAGAACCCACCGGAAGGAAGAAACTCCAGACACATCTGAACATCTGAAGGAACAAACTATGGACACACCATCTTTAAGAACTGTAACACTCACTGCAAGCATCCGCAGCTTCATTCTTGAAGTCAGCGAGACCAAGAACCAACTGGAAGAAACCAATTCTGGACACATTACAACCCTAATTTGGTTTCTTTTGTTTTCTTTTTGTTTTGTGTTCTTATAACGTTTGTAAAAGGCATCCATTTTTCTTCAGTTGATAATGTAAAAAATACATATCAATAGCTGGCATGTTGACCAAAATGTATGACAAGTGGTCAATAATTTGTCTCCTTTTATATAGCTCATTAACAAGAAGGATTGGGAAATGGTTGTAAACTGAGTACCAGGTGGTAGAATTGAAGGAAACTTCCCATGTAAAACTTTCAGTTTTTGCTCCATTCCAAAGATAACAGGAGGTAAAGGGTTAAAGATGCCCCAAAGCTGTTGCAAACATTTGGGGAGACTTAAAATTCACGTGTTTATTCAGTTGAGTCTTAGGCTGTGGCTACAATGCTTGAATTAGACAGTAAATGTGTCTTACTTGCATGAAGACACTTTGTTCACATCTCTCATCACTTCTTTTCCTCTACTCTGATCTCAGTTCCTTTCAGGATTTGGGTTGGGCCTGAGAAGACCCTGACACAAGAAGGACTAAGGGCCCTACATACCCATCTCCAAATATTGAAAAAATATCAAAGAGGGTAGAAACATAGATATTTATAGCTCTATTGCCTATACTTGCTCAATTCACCGTTGTACTTGATTCTGTCGGAGTGGGGGAAGGCATGCTGAGGATACAGGATAGAGCTACAGTGGCATATAAGGGGAAAGAAAGGAAGAGACTGGAAGTCTGTTGAATCCATAGACACTGGAGATGCATTTAAAGGAGGTAGACCCTGGGGCTAGAAGCCAGGGTGGGGGAAAAAAAGCTTTTCAGTTGCAGTAGTCATTTATTGTTATTATTGTTATTATTAGTATTATTATTTCTTTTTAGAGACAGGGACTTGTTCTCTCACTTAAGCTGGAGTACAGTGGTGCAATCATGGCTCACTGCAGTCTTGAACTCCTGGGATCAAGCAATTCTTCCAGATCACCCTCTGAATTAGATGGGACTACAGGTGCCCATCACCATGCAAGGTTGATTTTGTAAATTTTGTTGTATACATGGGGAGATCTTGCTATATTGTTAGGCTGATCTTGAATTCCTGACATCAACAATCCTCCAATCTCAGCCTCCAAAAGTAGTGGGATTACAGTCATGAGCCATTATGCTGGGTGTATAGTCACTCTTTCTACCTCAGCCTCATTTTCCTGCATTCTGTAAATCCCCAGTCAGAAGAGAGCAGGGCTGCCTGGCTACTGGGATAGCCTCTAAGAAGCAAATGTTAAACTCTGTGGTTCTTGTAGAGGAAAAGAGAAAAGAAGTGCTTGTGTTCATTTGAGCTTTGAGAAAATGGGGTACAAAACATGAAAAGTTAGGAAGACATAGTGGATAAGGCCTTTGGGACCCATTCAGCGCACTTTTCTGTTGTTTTTAATTTTATAAGTGTGTACTATATGAAATGCTTATACTCTTATCTCATAAGAGCCAAGGAGAATCATCCACATAGAAGTTCCAAGTAGAATAATGTCAGTGGGATTAACCCTTCTGCCAGTGGAGCCAGTGGGTGGATCACGATGTAGCCTGAGTGCCTCCACCCTTCAATGTCCAAAGCTTGCCTTGTTGAATTTTTTGTGTATTGTAAACACAGAAAAATGCCCATGTGAGGCATAAAATAGAAAATTACTCAATATACTTTTACAAACCGTAAACAATTGACCAATTCTTAATGAAGGGTATAATCAAGATATAACAGCCTTGAAACCACTTCGATATGGAAATGATCAGACTTTAAAGCAGCTCTTATAGTCAACTTTTCTGAGGTAAATGTGAACACTCTCAAAGTAAATGGGAAAAAGCTTCTCAGCAGAAAAAGGAACTATAGAAAATAATAAAATAGAAATTTCAGAACTGACATATATAAGTCTAAAATTTGAAAAAAGACCTTGTAGACTGTGAAAGTTTTTCAGAAAGTAAATGATCGAGGTGTTTGAGGACAAAAAAACTAAATTAGCCAAGTCAAATCCAAGAAGAGACATCTTAGAAGAAATGAACCTGTTAACACCTTGATCATGGAATGTGAGCCTCAGAAAATCAATTTCTGTTGTTCAAATTACACAGTGTGTTTTGGTTTTTTTTAGGGCAGACATAACAAACTACGTCAAGGGAGAGCCGTTTAAGATGCAGAAATCAAGGATCTTTTTTGGGACATATTATGTTTGCATCCATATTAGAAGGCAAGTGGATTGCTGAGAGCTTCAACTGACCAAAAGGTGCCAGGGCTCCTGCTGCAGACCTGCTCCTTGCTTTGACCCCATCCTTACTCACTGACAGGGCCTCATTCAGCTCTTCTGTCATCTCTGTTTTATTTGTGTGTGGAGATTTTGTAGTTAATATTTATTCTTCCCTAATAAACTAATCTCTTTCACTCATTGCTGACATTGGACAATGTCAGAGAAAGGGCCTGAGCTGAGTGATATTTGAAGGCAATGCCTGCTGTCTTCCTGTACTCATCAAGCCAAGGGGGAGTCTTTTTACACCAGGACTACCACTTCTACAGCAACCTATGCAATGAGGCAAGTCTGCGAAGCACTCCCCTCTGCTCCTTCCCTCGGATCTTCCTTTCCCACTAAAAGGTCTACCGTAAGTCATTAGGCAGGACCATTCTTCTCCAGTTTCCCTGTCCAATTAGTGTGTGTAGAAACCAATCACAGTCACCCTGGTATCATTAGGGCACGTGCTAGGACAAGCAACTGCTTTATGCCCCACCCCCCCAAGCACATAAAGCCAAACTACAACGGTTTTCTTACTGCGTAGCCAAAGAAGAATTGCTAGCTGGTAATATATTTCCTCTTTAGCAAACATCCCTAATATTCCAGAAGGGGTGAGGGAGGAAAACAACAATCTATCTGATCACCAGCCAATGGCAGAGTAATCTGCAGCAACCCTCGTTTTATGAGGAAGGCTTCCAATAATATAAGACATCTTCAAACTGTTTGTAGAAAATACATATGATGTTTAAAAATTATGCATGGATATAAACATTTTTTGTATCAAAATACATTTGTACTAACTTGTTACAACATGTCTGAACAGGATCTCGTTCAGTCACTAACATGGTTGAGAAACCGGTTTGAAAACAGCCTCTATCAGAGCAGCAAATATTCTACTAAAATTGTAGGAAAAACAAATTCGAGTTTATGTTGAAGCTTGGGTGGAGGGATGGTGACATCACTGATGCATTAGGACATATTTGTGCGCATGTAAATCAGCCCTTCACAGAATGGATAACTCACTTTTAGAATCGATGAGATAATGGTGAAAGTAAACATTGCAGCAGCAGACCATACACATCAACTTATGGGCAAAAACTTTATCTTCTTTTGGCCTAATTGAAGAGGTCTGACAATTAACAACAGAAACAAGAGCTTAAACTTGAGCAAACTATCCACTTGATGAGGGCCAAAACTGCTGTACCCAAGTCAGCTACAGACAAGAACAGAACATTCAATGAAAAATTAAAGAAGTAGGAAGGAGAAGAAAAGAAAAGATCCTAAGCATGTCTTTGAAGAGCTGTAACAGGAGATCAAATGTGGCTTTACCAGTGCCACTCAAAGGGAAAAACACAATCAAAGCAATGGGTACCAAGAGGTGGAAGTGGTCTAGTCTAAGTAAATGCGACAAAAACAAATATTATGCCAACAGTGTGTTCGGATGCCCAAGGTATTTTGGTTGATAACTTTGGGGAGGGTCAAGGAATGACAACATCGACTGGAAAATTGCTCCTCTTTCATGAGGGGAATGAGCAGGAGCTTTGTTGTGATGGAGAAGGACTCTGCTAAAGCCTTTCTGGGCATTCATCTGCTAAAGTTTTGCCTAACTTTCTCCAATCTTTCATAAGTCGATATCATCATTCTAAGTGAAGTAACTTAGGACTGGAAAACCAAATATCGTATGTTCTCACTCATGAATGGGAGCTAAACTATGAGGATGCAAAGGCTTAAGAATGACACAGTGGACTTTGGGAACTCAGGGGGAAAGAGTCAGAAAGAGGTGAGGGATAAAAGACTATAAATTGGGTGCAGTGAGTACTGCCCAGGTGATGGGTGCAACAAAATCTCACAAATCACCACTCAAGAACTTATATACATAACCAAACACCACCTGTTCCCCAACCTATGAAAATAAAACAGAAAAGAAAAAAAAGAAAATCACTAGGCATCCAATTTACAGTACTGATGCAGTATCTTTGAATTTCTTTTTCTCTAATATTAAAATATCTTTAACGTGTATTCTGTTTTCTTCAGTTAATAGTGTGAAAAGACTACATTTATATGGTGAAATTCCCAGGGTCCCCAATTCTTTGTAGATAGGCTAAATTTCTTGTATCATTACTTGCCAAACTTCTTGAATGTGATGGAGATAATGTTAAGAAATAAAGTTTATATTGTCTACTTTCATATTGTGATTACGTTCTTCCAAAAAATTTTTGAAATCCCCTTGTATTCTCAGACCCTTCTGGAAGAGTAGGAACAGATTCTTATGTGTACAACACAGGATCCTCTCATCCAACTGATCAAGTGGCCTGTCTTTAGGATGTCCAGTCACATCCCCACACACAATACCTCTAACAAGGTCATCTGAAGTTATCACTATCCTTGAGAAAAAACTGAATGACAGTACAAGACTTATTCGAGGCCTGAAATGGTAAGTGGCAGCTGTTGATACTGACTCACCTATACTTTCCATGAAAAGGGTGGAACGATGGGCAGGAACTACTTGATATAATAGAAAAGTCAGCAGATGAAAAGAGAGCTACTAACACAAACTCAGTAAAAAGACCTTGGAAACACAGTATGTTGATCTAAATTTTAAAAACAAAAATGAAAAGAAAGGAGTAAGAAGAATTATAGATGCTTATCTAGAAGATTAGATTTAAAAAATTTTATCAAATTTTATTTAAAAAGAAGCCAGAGGTAAGATGAAAAATAAACACAGGGAAATTTGATTTAGAACACAAAATGTCAACAAATACATTTTAGAAAGAGAGTCTGGAGAAATTCGTTTCAGAATATTGCAAAAATGAAAAAAATTTATTTGTGGAAGAACAATCTGGGAGAGAGATAGCACAGGTACTAAGAAATAGATCAATGCGATATGCTTGAGGCTTTTATGTGGGTACCAGACTATCTTATTGGAATACATAATTGTGGCCACTCATTATAAGTGGGAGTGATTAAAAATTTTTCCTAGAAGAAGGACTGAATGTGGGTACTCATGCCCATTATCTCAGGACTTTGGAAGAGTGAGGTGGGAGGATCCCTTGTGGCCAGGAGTTCAAGACCAGCCTGAGCAACAAAGTGAGGCTCCATCTCTTCAAAAATTAAAAATAAATAAATAAATAAATGGGCATGGTGGGTGTCATGAACCTGTAATCAAACAACTTAAGAGGCTGAAGCTGGGGGAATCCCCTGAGCACACGATTTCAAGGATGGTGTAAGCCAGGATCATGACACCACACTCCAGCCTGGGTGACAGAGCAAGAGTCTGTATAAAAAAAAATTCCTAGAAGATGTAAAGCCCAACTAAATCTGATCAAACATTCTAACAAAGGGGTAGAGCAAGGAAAAAATTTTGAAGTCATGAAATAGGGTGTCTCATTCAAGAACTGTGTATTCTTTCTGTTCATTTCTAGAACCCCTTGGTAGTTTTCATGGCCAACGTTTTTTTTAACCTCCCCATGTATATTAATGATAGAATGCATGAAGACACCTGTATCCTACACCAAGAGTTTTCTGACTAGACCCAGAGCCAGAGAATATTAGACAATCTGTGTGGGTCTGACCAGGCTGAGGGCCAACCTTCTGTCAGCCATGAATGGCCAGGTTTGTGTTGTCTTCACCCAGCTCAAAATTCCAAAGAAATGATATCTATATAATCAAATATTTAGTGAAATATGATAGGCATAGGTATACAAAACTCCACAGCCAACCTCTTGTTCCTTAGAATATCATTGTGTTTAGAAAACAGCCCTAAGAAGAGGTGATCAAGATAAAATGGGGGAGTTTCAGTGGAACTAAATCTAATAAGATTGCTGTCCTTATAAGAAGTGGAAATTCCTTATAAGAACTAGAAATTTGCACACGGAGAGACACAAAAATTATGTATGTATAGAAGCAGACCTACGGGAAACACAGCAAGAAGGCAGATATGTAGATGGCAAGCAGGCAGGGCCCAGAAGAACTGAACCTGCTGACAGCTTCATCATGGAACTTGAGCATCCAGAAGTGTTGGAAAGGAATTTCTGTTGTTGAAGAAAACCTAGTCTGTGATATTTTGTTTTGACAGTCATAATGAGGAAACTCAGGGGAGAGCAGGTTTTAGGAGGTAGAAATCAAGAGTCCTGCTTGGCACATAGTAAGTTTACATTTATTTTAAATGGCAAGTTGATTGCTGAGGTCCTTGACTCATGGACAAGTGCCTAAGCTCCTGTTGCAGTCCTGCTCCTTGTTTTGATCTCATCCTGAGTGACACTGTCTCCTTCAGTTCTTTGGTAACCTCTGTTTTGGTTGTCTCTGGTAGCTTGATACCTGATATTTACTCCTTCCTGATTTTCTAGTCTCTTTCATGCATTTCTGACATAGGGGAAGGTCAGGAATAGGGCATTAGCTGAGTGATACTTGGAAGTATCACCTCTTGTCTTCCTGTACTCAGCAGATGAGGAGTAGCCTGCCTCTAACCAAGACTGCAGCTTCCCCAGTGACTCCCACAAGTAGGCACTCCCCGCTGCTTCTTCTCTCTTGCATTTCTTCCCTACCTGACAAGCCACCATAAGCTACCTAAGCCAGACTGCTCATCGCCAGCTTCTCTTTCCAAATAATGTTTGGTGAAACCAGAGAAAATCATTCAATAACATCAGAATAGCCGCTAGGCCCAAGCACTCTGTGTCTCTCTTGAAGCATGTGAATCTCAGTTACAAATGTTACACTTTCCATGTAGCTGGAGAATATTTGGCGACTGGTATTATATCCCATCTTCAGAAAACATTCCTATGTATGCTAAAAGAAAAACAAGAAACTAATCTGCCTAGTCAGCTGGAAAAGTCTATGTTACCTCCAGTAGATCTTCTTGTGTTAGGATGCCTTCCTATATGGAGTGGGTTGTTAAAATGTTGGCGGAGAATGTATATTCTATTAAGAAATACCATGAATGGGCCAGGCGCAGTGGCTCACGCCTGTAATCCCAGCACTTTGGGAGGCCAAAGTGGGTGGATCATGAGTTCAGGAGATCAAGACCATCCTTGAAACCCCGTCTCTACTAAAAATACAAAAAAATTAGCCAGGCGTGGTGGTGGGTGCCTGCAGTCCCAGCTACTCGGGAAGCTGAGACAGGAGAATGGCATGAACCCAGGAGGCAGAGCTTGCAGTGAGCAGAGACCGCGCCACTGCTCTGCAGCCTGGGCCACAGAGCAAGACTCCGTCTCAAAAAAAAAAAAAAAAAAAAAAAAGAAATACCATGAATGGATTCCAAATTTTTTGGCACCAAATGAAATTAGAATATCTTGCTATAAGATGTCTCAACAGGAGCTAGTTTGAGGAATTAAGAAAAATAAGATAGCAGTTTCAAAATAGTCCCTAGAAGAGCAACATGAATTCTTCTAAAGTTAGAGTTACAAACATCAAATTTATTGTGAAGCTTGGGTGGAAGAAGATGAAGTCACTGACGGTGTCCAAAAAGTTGTCCTACTTGCCACATGGTAAGTTGACATTGGTTGAAGAAGTCAGCAGTTCACAAATTCAATGAGGAGTTCCTCATTTCAAGAAGGAATGAGGCAATGTTGAACCTAAAGCCTACAGTGACAGATGAACCATGTCATATTGCAAGGTATACATTCATCTTCTTTATACCCTAAGAGAAGATGTGTGACGATTAGCACCACACACAATAGCCAACACCGCAGACTTCTCAGTTGGTTCAGTTTACATGATTCTAACTGAATGATCAAAGTTTAGTAAGCTTTTCACTTAATGGATGCCCAAACTGTGTCACCAAGATCAAGTACAGACAAGAGCAGAAGTTTCCCTAAAAATTTAAATACAAGCAATGAAGACCGTAAGCACACCTTCAATGATTTATAACAGGAGACAACACAAGACTTTACCAGTAAAATCTGGAAAACAAATACAATCAAAGCAATGGCTACCAAGAGGTGGAAAAGTCCAGTCAAAACAAAGGTGGATGAGGAGAGCACAAAGGTCATGGCAAGAGTTTATTGGAAAGCTCAAGTCATTTTGCTGGTTGACTTTCTGGAGAATGACAATAACTGCTTATTCTGAGAATATTTTGAGAAAGCCAAAGCTTTAGTATAGGAATCCTTGGGAAAGCTTCAGCAGAGTCCTTCACCACGACCTTGCTCCTGCTCATTTCTCTTATCAAACAGGGCATTTATATGAGAGTTCTGATGGAAAATCATTAGGCTTCCACATTACAACCCTAATTTGGTTCCTTTGGATGTATTTGTGTTTTGTAATCTTATAACGTTTGTAAAAGGCATCCATTTTTCTTCAGTTAATAATGTAAAAAATACATATCAATAACTGACATGTTGACCAAAATGTATGACAAATGGTCAATAAATCTTCTCCTTTTATATAACTCATTAAGAAGTAGGATTGGGAAATGCTTGTAAACTGAGTACCAGGTGGTAGAATTGAAACAAACTTCCCATGTAACACTTTTAGTTTTTGCTCCATTCCAAAGATAACAGGAGGTAAATGGTTAAAGATCCCCCAAAGCTGTTGCACACCTTTAGGGAGACTTAGATTTCAGGTGTTTATTCAGTTGAGTCTTAGGCTGTGGAAGCAAACTGGACGTGTCCTCATGAGCTACCACCATATTCTCTCTTCTTCCCAAGAGTGTACTCAGCTAAGCGAACAAGATGCCTGGGGGAGAAGGGTACAAAATAGGGGCAGAGTTTCAGAGTCTCACTTAGTAAGTCTGTTGTAGAATCCCTCCCAAGGAAAACCAAAGAGCCTGAATAAAGAAAGAATACAAAAATCTGTGGCCTTCCCTGATGTTCCAGTCATGGACTCTTCAGAATAAACAACAGTGGTATGTCCCAGAAATCAGGGAAGGAATGTCTTCATTTAAAGAGAAAACCTCTGGGGAAATCACTCTTCCTATTAAAAATCAAAGAACCTCCATGAATTGGTAATTGCCACAGTCAGCACCATCTCTGGATACACAGATGTGGAGATAGATGGATCCAGGACACCAGCAGAAATGCCCAAATGGATTAGGGCCATGAAGCTGCCCTTGCTTTTATAGTCAAACATGAGAATTGTCCTTACCCCGCCGTAAATTGTAAAGAAAAGAAAACATTGCTAACATTGACCATTCCTTCCATGCTTAAAGGTAGAAACACTACAAATACTAAGGGAAGGTGCCATTGTGCAGGGAGTATGTTCTTCAAGGGAAAAACTAGTGGAAGAGCAAGAATCTATAGCTGTACCTCATTTCAATAGGCCCTTCAGTCACCACTACAGTACACTCTTTAGATTCCTCCATGTATAATCTGCAATGGCACAGTACATTTACAGCAGTGCAGGAAGATAGCCATTATTTGTAGACATAAGAATCAGATTATTTAGAAATTTGCTTCTATAGGTATTCCCAAGTCTTCTTTTCAGAAAAAAATTCAGATATCCCTCAAATGATTGGAGTTTGTTTTAGGGAGGAGAAGGTCTTGAAATCTTATGATCCCCATGGGTCAGTGGAAGACAGAAAAATACATAAAGGCTTGAGTAAAGGAGTCGGCATAAAGAAGACCACTGCTATTTCATGAACCTTCTAAATCTCTGTATTCTGTTCACTCTAAACAGGATCTTGGGAAGGGCCTGTGCACATGAAGGACCCCAAAGTTCAAGCTTCAGAAGCTTTGTAGATCATTCCAATCTGACAAAAACCGTATGTCAATGTTGTTAGGTTGACTAGTTAAATAAGCCTTTAATTGCTCAATAAAAATGTACAAAGGCATGTTTCCATCAAGAAAATTCAAATATAGACAAAAGCTTAGCTAAAAAGTAAGGTTAGCAAAAATGTAAGATAAATACAAACTCTTTTATGTATCATATCATAAAATTCTGTTTCTATGTCTGTTTACTAGAAGGCACAAAAGTTTTTTTTTTTTTTTTTTAATAATATGGAGAGATTTGCTTTGGCAATTCCAAAGATGGATAAGTAATAGACTTGAAACAATGTACATTTGTTTTTAAAAAATTATATTTGTTAGTATATTAGAGTATAAAAATGTATTCAATATTTAAGATTGTTGCCAGATGTTTACTCAATAATGTTGTAAAAAATAACCATGTGATTATCAAGTCATGGTCATGTTACATTTAATGCAGCCAGGAAAGAAAAGACAGTGGCATATTCTTCTGATAAAATTAGGAACACAGGTAACAGCAGTCTGCCTTGTAAAGTCACTTGAATACACTTATATAGAAAGAGTCATAAACAAAAAGATCATCTGTAGAACCTGCTATAAACTGTGATAAGGAATTTATCTCTATACTCAGGGTATTGGAATGCACAGTGCATTGAACACATGGACTGATTTCTGCCCTTTCCCAATGTCCCAACAAAATTACAATAAAGAAGCACAGCAGAAATTAATACCCAAGATTGAGGAGAATGAAAGAAGAGATGACAATAAACAACAAATGTAAACAAAACTGTGGAATTGGAATGACAAATAGAAAAATAACAGAGTTTGTGATTGAGCAAAGCCAAAATCAGACATGAAGAGGGGACTGTTGTGCAATTTTTGCCAGAACACCTGGAAAATTTGTCCTATTTGAATATAGCATTTTCATGTGCAGAAATTTACATGTATGTACATTTTAGTGCATATTCTGCATCAAAGTTTGATCATTCTTCTTCAACTGAATCCTGTGCATTTCTTGCTATTTGATCCTAGGTATTTTACATTGTTCTCATGAATAAGGTCATTGTCTCATTTCTCTCTCTCTGTCTCTCTCTCTGTCTGTCTCCTTCATTTCTTTTTCTTATGCTGTTCCCTATGAAGTGTATGTGTTAGGGAAAGTCACTCAATCACATTAAGATTTTATCTCTAACTTTGAAAAGTGAACATAAATGCAAAAAATCCTCAAAGTGCTATTGTAAGTACTAGAAGAGCTAAGGCATCAGAAACATCACTATGCAAGATAGAAAGGAATGATCCATATATCTTTAGCTATGTAGCCATGCATGTGTTGAAATATAATATACGATATAGGTAGCAAATGGGTCACTGAAACAAACTCGGTTATTGAATATTGTTTAGAGACAGTTTTGATCCAATCATTTTTAAAATGAATGTTCTATCTCTGTCTCACAGCATGGACATCCTCACAGCATGTGTCAGGTTCCATAAAGAACAATTTGGAATTGCATGGCATTTCTATGATACAGACTCAAAAGTCACAAAGTATCACTTCTGATATAATCTACTGGTCATGGCAGTAATGAAGTTCTACCCAAGCTCCAAGGAGGTAAAAGCAGACCTCAGCCCTTCAAGAGAGGAGATCAAGGTACCATTGTAAGAAGAAAACATTGGATGAATGATTCTGTCGTGATCATATTTTAAAAACAATTTCCAAGATGATAAATATGCATACATGTGGACTTCAAAATCAATGAAATACAGTAATAATTCGTGGTTCTTAAGCAGAGGAGACAACATCTTTTGAAAGAGATAGGTACAGGTTTATGGGTTTAATAAATGAGTCATTGATTAATCACTTTAATGAAATTCCTATCATCTTACCGACTTTGTACATGATCAGAAAAATATGAGGGTGACATACATTGCTTTGTATTTCTTATGAGATAAGTTGTGATTGTACTTCTCTATGAACTGATAGGATGTTTAACTGAAAGCTGAAGAATACACTCTGACATTGTGATAACAGTGGTGTGATGAGGCTACAGACACTTGACCTTAGGCTGATGACCAATGCCTTCTATGGCCCCAATCACTGAGGGTGGAACACCAGCTCTGGGGCCAGGACACAGGTGACATCTTCATGCAGAAGACTGAAAGTTATGTAAGTGGTATATAGTTTATCCTTTCTTAGACAACTCTCTGACCAGGCTCCCTCTTGGATTTCTAGAATTTTAGATCCATTGTGATTAGAAGGATCAAATTTAGTCAATTTAAAAGGGCATACACAAATTTTGTCAATGCTAATACGCCACCCAAGAAAAATGCATGTAGCATGGATTAAGGAAGGACATACAGGATCTACATTGACAGGGTTTTGTAATTAGAAAAAAAAAGGAATTAATTCCTCTGAGTGTCTTTATATAAATGCAAGCGGTAAAGCGGAAGACTAGAATATGTTTAAATGGGATTATGATTTCAAACAAACATGTTTACTCAGGAAAATATATTTTTAGTCACATTAGCTGTTAACGTCTCAGGAAAATTTAACCTTGACAATATTCTAAGAGAAACTTGTTTTTGTTCTCTGAATCTCATTTCCTTTCACTTTCTTTTAGAGAAATGAATGAATGAAGAGCAAGTAACCACTGGAGCACAGTAGGCAAGAACTCAGATCTGAGAACTGACTGCCTTCCATTCCACTTACTACCTTTATATGAACCTAGACACGCACCTAAATTACCTCATCTACAAAATTAAGATAATAATAATCATCACACCTCCCTAATATGATGGTTCTGAACATTGAATATCATATAGTAAATGCTGAAGAAATGTTTTCTATTATAATCAGCCTTTGCTAGGATAAATGGAAAGAATATAAATATGCTCAAATAATTGTGAAATATATATATATTAGAGAGCATCAACATCAAATAAAAATGTAAAGATGAAGATCCTACTAGTGTAACCAAAGTTTTTAGAAAAGTCAAAGCAACGCTGAATTCTCAAACACAACTGTGTTATCAGAATGGTTGGTTTACCCAATGAACACAGTAAGTTGAGGAGGATTTGGCTTTCTGTTCCATTCACAGAGCTTCCGCGTCTTCAAAAAGAGGGAGATGTGTGGGTGTGAGAGAGCTGAGGCATGAAGTTTGGATCTTATTACAAGTGCAGAAGAAAATCCTAAGAGCATTTGAAGCACAAAAGTGTTATGATCTAATTCCTACTTTTCAATGATCACTGTGACTGATGTGAGGGGAATGGATATGGGATGTGCTGGGGTAGGAATGTTACCAAGAGCAGCTGAGGATATTAAACTTCTTCAGGAGAGAGCATCATGGCCTGAACTATCACCTTCTAGTAAAGATTATGCAAGTTGTTGTATTTGGGATGAGTGTTGAAAGTGGAAGCAACTCGATTTGCTAAAGGGCAGTGCCTGAAGGGAGTGAGGAGTTTTGAACCACTGAACACTTGACTTAGAAAAGGTTGGGAGCTGTTATGAGAGCTGAACTGTGTTCCTAAAATTTCATATGTTGAAGACTGTTCCTTCTGGACCTGAGAATATGAACATGGATATTAGAAGGCAAGTGGAGTGCTGAGGGCTGCCACTCACATATAGGTGCCCAAGCTCCTGCTGCAGTCCTGCTTCTCTCTTCCACCCACATTCAGTCACAGACGGTATCCCTTTCCACATTTCCATCACCTCTTTTTTGTTTTGTCTGGTGAGTGCATAGCTTATATTTATGCTTTCCTGAAAAACTTTACTCATTGCTGACACTGGAGAAGACCAGGGAAAGGGCCTGAAATGAGTGACCTTTAGGGGCATTTCTGTTCTCTTCCTGTACTCTCCTGCCAAGGGGAAGTCTGTCTTGCATCAGGCTGTAGCAACCTCAGTTGGTGACATAATCAGGCAATGTCATCCGTGCCTCTTTGTTGCTCCTTGTCTCTGACATTCCTTTGCTACCTGATGGTCTAGCTTAAGCCAGCTAGGCAGGATTGTTCATTTCCATTTCCTATGGAAAACAGTGTCTGTGAGACCAGAGACACAAATCTCAACAAAGCACTGGGATCTGCTGGGACCAAGCAACTACTCCCTGCCTAAGATAAAACTCATGAAGCTCAGCTAGAACCAATCCACTTTCCATAGAGCCAGAAAGAACTGCCAATTAGTAATGTATTCCCCTTTGAAGTATGTCTATATTTATGCCAGGGAAAATACCAATCTGCCTGGTTCCCCTGCAAGGGCAAAGTTATGCATAGCAAAGCCTTTTGTATTAGGAAGTCTCCCTGTACTAATATCCGCAACTCTTCAGAAGGGCCAGACCAGACCCTCATGTGCACAGCACAGGATCCACTCATCCACAACGGTCAAGAGGCCTGTCTTTAGGATTTACTGTCACATACCCTCTCTACCCCCATCATACCTCCCACCAATCTGTTCTCAAATTAACACCAGCCATGCACAAAATGTGAACAATTACACAAGACACACAGAAGGTCTAAGTGGTAAATGGCAGCTGTTGATACTGACTAACCTGTATATTCCATGAACTGATGAGCAGGGATTTACCAGATATAAGAGAAGAACCAGCAGCTAAAAGAAGTGCTAACAATGCAGGACTCTGAGAGGGCTTTTTGGAAACACAACATTTATTGTGAAATTACACAGACAGGAATGAAAAAAGATGGTGAGGAGTATATATCCTATTACTTAAAAGATTAAATAAAGGAAATCTCACCAAATTCATGGGGAAAAGCCAGCTACATAATAAAAGATACACATAATGAGCTTGACTCAGAAAATAAAATATGTAAAAGAAGTACTAGAAAGAACGTGGGGAGGAATGCATATCAGAATATTGTAGAAAAATACTCGTGGAAGAAGAATCTGAGAAAACAGGTAACACAAATACTGACTAAACCAATAAAACCAATAGAATGCAATTGAGGGTTTGATGGTGGTATCTGATTATCTTATTTGAATGTAGAATTGTGGCCACTTAATTATCAGTGGTAAGAATTCGATATAATTCCTAAAAGAAATGAAGCAGTGGGTGAATTTTATAGAATATTCTAGAGAAAGGGAAGAGCATGAAGGAAATTTTAGCAACATGACATCGCATGGCTCCCTCACAGAACTATGTATTCAGTTTTCTCAGGTCTAGAAATTTCCTGGTGGTTTCTGTGTCCATTTTGCGTTAATAACCTCTAAAATTACTTTAGAATACAAAATTTTAGACTTCCTGTGTTGTACAGGACCAAGCCTTGCCTCAGCTGAGTGAGATCCACAGAAACTTGAACAATAGCCCTATCCTGAGCAGGCTGCGGGGCAGCTTTCTGTCATCTATGTGTGCACAGAAGTGTGCTGTCCTCACACATCTCATAGATAGCAGAAACCATCTCTATCACATCAAAAATTGAGCTAAATATGAAAATATCTGTACACACACATCACAAGAGATGGAAATAGGGCATAATAATATCCAGAGATATTGACCATCTTCACTGCTGGTTGTAGCATCGCTGCTCACACACACATAAACAGAAATAAATAGCACAGTGGAAAGTGGATGATAGTCTTACCTAAAAGATTGAAACTCTAATGATATCTAAAGTTCAGTGATGACACAGTGCTGATGGCTTGGACACAGTTCCTTCAAAACCATTGTTCAAGTCATAGTTGTACCTTTTGGAAATAAGACACTAACAACATATCCTATCCAACTCATCTCTCTGGGCTAGAGTCTCAAAGAAAAATAAAGGAAACACCTGACCTGCAGTGAGCAAAGCAGAAGCCAGTCTCTGAGGTGGTGAGGCCCACCCAGTGTGGAGCTCAAAGGTGCCATTGTTCTTCTCCTCTTTATAAAGGGAGTTGCCACGTTCCTCCCAGCACAGAGTTGGGAGTGACTCCAGAGCCTCCTGCAAGATGCTGTTGATTCTGCTGTCAGTGGCCTTGCTGGCCCTGAGCTCAGCTCAGAACTTAAATGAAGGTAAAACAGAAGGGGGAGAAGATGTGGTGACTCTGCTTGGGGCTTAGGAGGTGATAATGGTAATTACGGGGAAGAGAGGAGAATGAAAACACAGATGGGGCTGCAGAGTTTTCATGCCTAGGATCAGGAGACTTGTTGTGCCCTCATTCCACAATAAGAGTTTCTAATTTATTTAATGTACAATGAAATCCAATAAAGAATTTGTTCCAGGGGAATGAGAAGGTAAGATTTGCATTTATAGATAGAACTGTGCTGTGAAGGATGCAGTAGAGAATGCAAGGCAGATTCATGGAAGTCCAGCTGTGAAGATCCTAAACTGATCTCAGTAAGTACACAGGGATGATGGTGGCCTTGCTGTACAGTGCATCAGCATCGATGACGGCGATAGACACACACAGTATCAGAGATACTGCAGAGACAGAGAATTGGATGGAACACTTGTCTCTGTTTAACTAGAGATACAGAAATATCAGAGCCAATCATTGTCATTTTTCTCTCCCTTACACGCAGTATTTCAATGTGCTGGGAGTGGTATGGGTAAGATTGTATTGAAATGATTACTTCTGGTTACCCCAATTGAGAAAGCATGTGTACATAAGCAATGTATTTATAGGAGATGGAGGGCATAAGAACACCAAAATATCACATTGAAGTACCTGGCATTTGTGAACTAAATTAGCATTAAGTCTTGAGGGATGCTAGGGAGGGAAAAAAGGGGCTCTTCTATGTTGAGTTCATGGCTGTTGCTCTGTCATAACAACCCTGCCTCCCCTTACACCTTCCTCCCCTTCCAGCAGCTTCACAGATGGTGGCTGATGAGTTAACTTAGGGGATGCATGGGGTGTGGTGAGAAGTCTGTTTTCCCTGTAGAACACTTGTGAGTCTTGTAAGGTTCAAGATGTAACTGTTCCCATCATCCTGTGCTTCTCTTCTAGATGTCAGCCAGGAAGAATCTCCCTCCCTAATAGCAGGTAAATCCCGATTCATTCTCAATCTGTTCTGACTGTCTTTTTCTGCTTATGAATGGATCAGTTCTCCAGTGTCTTCTTATCAAAACTTTCCTTTCGGGAATTGATTAATGTTAGTGCTCCTAATAATATAGGCACTCTTCATGCAACCTTGATTCTGGGCATCATGAGCAGGCCACCAAATTGAACGGCAGAGATGCTTGGCTTAGATGACAGCAGGAGTGGGTTACCTCATCCCCCTGGCCAGGAGTGCCTGCTGGGAGATGACAGACAAATGGGCAGCATCCTCATTCTGTCTCCTCTTTATAATGAGAGGCCCTCAACTGCTTTGTTCTTCCCTGGCGCTCCACTCCAGAGTTCTATGTCTTCACTGAAATGCAAAGAAATTAATGTCTTGGTCTCATTTTTGTGTGTTTCCCCACTCAGCTTGTTACCCAAACTGATAAAAATTTACTGCAACTATTCAGGGAATCTTGTATGGGCTTTTACTCTGTCTTTCTCTTCTCTCTTTGTTCTCCAGGAAATCCACAAGGAGCACCCCCACAAGGAGGCAACAAACCTCAAGGTCCCCCATCTCCTCCAGGAAAGCCACAAGGACCACCCCCACAAGGAGGCAACCAGCCTCAAGGTCCCCCACCTCCTCCAGGAAAGCCACAAGGACCACCCCCACAAGGAGGCAACAAACCTCAAGGTCCCCCACCTCCAGGAAAGCCACAAGGACCACCCCCACAAGGAGACAAGTCCCGAAGTCCCCGATCTCCTCCAGGAAAGCCACAAGGACCACCCCCACAAGGAGGCAACCAGCCTCAAGGTCCTCCACCTCCTCCAGGAAAGCCACAAGGACCACCCCCACAAGGAGGCAACAAACCTCAAGGTCCCCCACCTCCAGGAAAGCCACAAGGACCACCCCCACAAGGAGACAACAAGTCCCGAAGTTCTCGATCTCCTCCAGGAAAGCCACAAGGACCACCCCCACAAGGAGGCAACCAGCCCCAAGGTCCCCCACCTCCTCCAGGAAAGCCACAAGGACCACCCCCACAAGGAGGCAACAAACCTCAAGGTCCCCCACCTCCAGGAAAGCCACAAGGACCACCCCCACAAGGAGACAACAAGTCCCAAAGTGCCCGATCTCCTCCAGGAAAGCCACAAGGACCACCCCCACAAGGAGGCAACCAGCCCCAAGGTCCCCCACCTCCTCCAGGAAAGCCACAAGGACCACCCCCACAAGGAGGCAACAAACCTCAAGGTCCCCCACCTCCAGGAAAGCCACAAGGACCACCCCCACAAGGAGGCAGCAAGTCCCGAAGTTCTCGATCTCCTCCAGGAAAGCCACAAGGACCACCCCCACAAGGAGGCAACCAGCCTCAAGGTCCCCCACCTCCTCCAGGAAAGCCACAAGGACCACCCCCACAAGGAGGCAACAAACCTCAAGGTCCCCCACCTCCAGGAAAGCCACAAGGACCACCCCCACAAGGAGGCAGCAAGTCCCGAAGTGCCCGATCTCCTCCAGGAAAGCCACAAGGACCACCCCAACAAGAAGGCAACAATCCTCAAGGTCCCCCACCTCCAGCAGGAGGCAATCCCCAGCAGCCTCAGGCACCTCCTGCTGGACAGCCCCAGGGACCACCACGCCCTCCTCAAGGGGGCAGACCTTCCAGACCTCCCCAGTGACAGCCTCCCCAGTCATCTAGGATTCAATGACAGGTATGATTCCAGTTTATTCTTCACCAAGTGCTCTAATTGCTACAGCTCTCCAGCTTTATTGTGCCAATGAATCAGCTAAAAGCCCATTGGCATTGTATAGTCCCAGATCCCATTTCTAAAGATTTGTATTGACATATTCTGGAAATGGGTAACAAGATCCTATATTTGTAACAAACTCTTTAAGGAATTCTGATGTTGAGAAACAAAATTCCAAATAATCTGTCTTAAGTTGTGTTGGCAACAAGGAAGTAGTACCATGTTCTCTCTGGCGCTCTGTTTTCTGTGCACAAACTGAGAGACCTCCCATTTAAAGTTTTCACCTGAGCACTGTTTGCTCAGTCCTGCCTCACACCAGCCTCTTGAGTCCAGTATTCCTGCCAAGTGGTCCCTGAACTTTCAGCAGCTAAATGGTGTCTCATTTTTCAAATTCTTACTGTTCAATAAGTACATGATTAAGCTAACAAAAAATATCTAATGCAATGGAAAAATATGAATCTAAATTTAAAGGCATGACTCATCCTACCTGCCTCCCCTCCTTCAGAAAACTGCCACTGTTAACTTTATGGCATCTTCTGTTTGAAATATTTATGTGTACATAGACTACTAGAATATTTTTCCCCCAGAACTAATACCATAATTTATATTCAGGTACATATGTTAGTCATTTAAAAAATACATTTCTTTGAAAATTTCCACATACGTCTATGAAGCTAAGTAGATCTCTTCAGTGGTTATCTGTTTGTTTTTACCATTTTATACTACTCCATTATGTGGCTGCACCGTGATTTCTTTAACCAATCTGTGTCACTGGACACTGAGGGTGGTTTCAGCTTCTCACTGTTATAAAATATGTTCCAGTTCCCATCTGTGTAAATATATCTGTGAACAAATTCAGCAGCAAGTAATAATAAGCTAAGAATGATCTTCTGTCTTCATCACGTAAGGAACAATTTGGAGCACATTTTGTGCAAGGGCATCCAAAGAGTGAACACACAAAAAATTAGGGAGGAAACACAGGAGGTAGAAGGGATAGGGGGAGAGAGGATGGGCTCTCATGTACTGTAGTGCAGTAAGACCAGTGAGGAATTCGACATTTCCTGCCATGTCAAGTCTGGTCTATGAACTTCCTTGTTTGTTTGTTTCAGGAAGTGAATAAGAAGATGAGAGTGATTCAAATGATTCAAATGCCATGACATTGGAAAAAGGTCATCATAGCTCTAACTTCTGTATACCAATAAAATAATTAGCTTGCAATTTCTGATTGTGGTGTCTGTTTCTCAATATTTGTGAATGTGGGATCTGAGGACCAAGAGAAGACATTACACGAATATCTAGGAACCCTTTTCCTTGATGCTCCGGGAAGTTTCCCTCCTCCTTAATCCTAATTTAGCCAGCTGCCATGCAAAAAGGTTTTACTGTTTCTCTACTTCCCTGACTTCTATTTTTTTTCCTCCAAGATGGAGCTTTTTTCACCCAGGCTGGAGTGCAGTGGCACGATCTCGGCTCACTGCCTTCTGCATCTCCTGGGTTCAAGCTATTCTCCTGCCTCAGCCTTCTAAGTATCTGTGATTATAGATGCCCACCATCATGCACAGCTAATTTTTGTATTTTTAGTAGAAACGGGGTTTCACCATGTTGGCCAGGCTAGTCTCCAACTCCTGACCTCAGGTGATCCGCTTTCCTCGGCCTCTGAAACTTCCAGGATTATAGGTGCGAGCCACCATGCCTGGCCCTTCCATGACTTCTACAGCATAAATTGAAATTTTAAAATTATTTTCTGATTGTTTACTGATATTCCAGTGATCTTAAGGACAGAAAACACAACAAATGCAAAAAAGTCACAGAAGCTGAAAGAGATCCTTATAATTTCTAAGAAGCTGAGTTTGGTTTCAAGGGAATGAATATGGGTCTATGCTTCTTATCCCCAGAACCCTCTCTATCTCATTGACCCTATTTTAACAGTGATCACTTCTCTCCCTTCCTATTTTCCTCATCTTTCTTCAACGAAACCTGAATGGACTTCATTAAAGAGACAGCATGATTTTAAGAAGCAAAAATTTTGGACACTCTCAGGTTTTAATTAAGACCTAACTGTTTTTCTTACTATCTCTGGAGTCTTAAAAGTTTACTTAGACTCTCAGGGCTTCAAATTCCTCATCTAAAATGAGAATAATCATAACAACTACCTTAGAGTATGGAAACTAATGAGATAACATATATACCAAAAACATTGCAGAGACTGGCATGTCTGCTTCTCAAGCAAGGAAGGTTCAATATTAGAAAACTGCCCCTGTGCCCACCGATAGCCTCAGATAATTCACTAAGAAGTCGGAAAAATCCGAACAGAATGATCTCACCATAACCACCACTAAGTTGAGCAACCCAGTTGCAGCCCTGGTCTCTGGCTTCTCTCCTATTATCATAGGTGAAGCATTCCTACCCCTATCTCTCACCTTCCCACTTGATTCTGAACCACATTGCCCAATCAAGGATTTTGCTTCTGCATGTGACCCTTTTGTCTTGTGATTGTTACATCTATGCTCTATGGGATTACTTCAATCAGCAAAAGCCTGCTGAAACATCACCCATTTCCACAGAAGTCTTCCTAAGACTCTTAGTGCTTCTTTCCCACCATATTATTTGCCTGCCATTTTTATTGGAAAAGTTCTTGAAACGTATGTATGTGATTATTTCCCCATTCCCCCACCTCCAAATTTTTCATATGTACACGTTATAGATGCTTTTGTTCTTTTCACTTCAAGTCTGTAAAGATCATCTACTGCCTCCATTCTACTCATTTCAGGAATCAACTCTCAGTCCCGCATCTCCTGTGACCCCTCAGCAGTTTAACACCACTGATCCTACCCTTCTTTTGGGAACACTCTATCAATCTTTCCAGGAGCCTCCCCCTCTCTCCTAGGGTTTCTCCTATCTCTGCCTCTTCCCTCCTACAGCTACAAAGTTCTTCCTCTTCCAGCTCTTTTTGGTCTTGGTAAAGAATTCATTTAATTAATTAAGCAAACTAGGATTTATTCTTGACTCTTCTCTTTTCCTCTTTCATCACATTACATCTAGTCAAATCAGCTATGTTATCTTTGTGACGTTCAAGCTTCAAAATAATTTCCTACTGCAGCCAGTTTCATCACTTTCATCTCTATCAGCCCCTCTAAGCAAGCCTCACCTGCAGTTTACACCAAATAGTTCTATTTATTTCCCAACAGTCAATTACCCACCTTGGCCATTTAAAAATTATATTACTTTTCTATGTTTTCCAGTTGATTGCCACCACTTTTACTCTATAAGAACCAGACAGTATTTTTTTTTTTTAGACAGAGTCTTCCTCTGTTTCCCAGGCTGGAGTGCAGTGGCAAGTTCTCAGCTCACTACAACCTCTGCCTCCTGGGTTCAAGTGATTCTACTGCCTCAGCCTCCTGAATAGCTGGGATTACAGGTGTGCGCAACCACACCCAGCTAAATTTTTGTATTTTTAGTTGAGTAGGGGTTTCACTAAGTTAGCCAGGCTTGTCTTGAACTCCTGACCTTGGGAACCACCTGCCTCATACTCCCACAGCACTGGGATTACAGAGGTGAGCCAGTGCGCCCACCTGCTAATTTTTACCTATGCTAAAGTCCGATGTATTCAGTCCTAACTCTCTGTGGAATTGGGGGATGCTCTACACCTAATTCATTCTGCTATGGCCACGCTGGTCATTGTCTTTTTTTTATGGTGGGGTATGGAAGCAGTATGCTTAGATTTTCTGTTAATTAAAAAAATATTTTTGAACAAATACAAGTTTTGATTTTGTTACATAGATTACATAGTACTTAAGTCACAGCATTAGGGTATTCCTCACTCAAATAACAAACACTACATTTATTAATACCTCACTATACAACCGCTCTGCCTCCCATACTCCCAAGTGTTCTTTGTCTATCATTTCACTCTCTACATCCATGCAGACACATTCTTTAGCAACCACTTAACAGTGAGAACGTGTTATATTTGATTTTCTGTATCTAGCCTCTTTGGCTTAAGAAAATGACTCCCAGTTCCATCCATATTGTCACAATATGTGTGATTTCATTCTCTCTTTGTAATTGAGTAGTATGGTATTGTGTATATATATTTACATTTTTTAATCCAATCATTCATTGACAGATACATTGGTAGATTCAATATCTTTGTTACTGTGAATGTTGCTACAATAAACATACAGATAAATGTATATATTTGATACATTGACTACTTTTCCTTTGAGGAGATACCCAGTAGTAGGATTGCTCAATGGAAATGTAGTTCTAGTTTTAGTTCTTTGAGAAATCATACTGTTTTCCATAGAAGCTGTACTAATGTATATTCTCACCAAGGGTGTTTAAGAGTTCTCCTTTCTCCCTATCCTTGCCAACAGCTGTTATTTTTCACCCTTTTAATAATAGTCATTATGACTGAGGTAAGATGATATCTCATTGTGGTTTTCATTCACATTACTCTAATGATTAGAGATGTTGAACATGTTTTCATTTACTGTTGGCTGTTTGTATGTATTCTTTTGAAACACATCTATTCATGTCCTTTGTCTATTTTTAATTGATTTTTTGTTGTTGTTGCTGAGTAGTTTGAGTTCCTTGTATACTCTGCATATTAGTTCCCTGTATGATGCATAGTTTACAAATATTTTCCCTCTGCATGTTGCCTGTTGACACTGTTGATTTATTTTGCTTGTAAAATATTTTAGATAAATTAAGTGCCATTTGTCCAATTTGATTTTTGTTGCCTGTGCTTTGACGTCTTAGTCATAAGTTCTTTTCTCAGCCAATGTCCAGAAGTTTTCTTCTTGTATTAATATATGCCCACATTTTACATTTAAGTCTTTAATCCATCCTGAGTTATTTTTCTATATGAGAGATGTGAGAGATAGTGTTCCAGTTTCATTCTTCTGCATATGGCAATCCAATTTTCTCAGCATCATTTATTGAAATGAGTGATGTTTCCCAAGTGTGCGTTCTTGTCTGCTTTGTCAAAGATCAGTTGCCTGCAAATATGTTGCTTTATTTCTGGATCTTTTACTCTGTTCCATTGATCTATGTGCCTATTTTTAGACCAGTCATATCCTGTTTTCATTACTGCAGTCTTGTCGTATAATTTGAATTCAGGCAATGCGACACTTCCAAATTTGTTTATTTTGCCTAGGATTGCTTTGGGTCTTTTGGCTCTTATGTTTTCCTTCTGTAAGTAATGTTGGATTATTTTTTACCAATTCTGTGAAAAATGACATTGATATTTTGATAAAGATTGAATCTGTTGATTTCTTTGGACACTACAGTTGGCCTTGTTAACATTCTTTCAACATACTAAGTTTGTTCCTAACTTTATCAAGCATGTGTTTGCATTTTATTCAAGTATGCTCACATCTTCCCACATTAAAGTCTTCTTTGAATACACAGAACCCCTTATTCTCTTAAACTTTCTTTAATGATTTATCAAATCATTGTCACTTTGAGATAGTCATATGCAATATTCCTACTATCTAATATTAGCACTCTTATGTAGTCCCCACCACATTATATCAGGATTGGTTTCTGTGACCAGCAAAATATGGCAGAAATGGTGGTATGTTACCACTGAGATTAAGTTAAAATTGAAACTGTGGCTTCATCTTTTATTTTTCAATTCGCCCCTTCTCTCTGTCTCTTTCTCTTCCTCTGTCTCCTTCTCTCAGACAGCACTTGCACTGGGAACACCCAGCTGCCATGTGAAGCAGCTCTATGGAGTGAATCTCTAAACATCTCTCCCCTTGGGGGCAACAGAGGAGTAGACACCTACAGAGAAGAAGGAAAAGTCTCCCACCTCCAATTCTTCAGTCTGCACCTGACCTCTATAACAAGCTCACTGTTCTAGAGTTGATTTCTATATGGAGACCAGAGTGGTGAGTGACAGGCATGGTTCTTCTGCCTCCTACTTAGCCTTGCTAGAAAGTCAGATGACAGCTCCAACTACTGAGGTCCCTTCACTAGTGATTTTTTTTCCTTTTTTTTAGAATGAGGAGGCTTTCTTTGTGTTGTGTTCATGATTGTTCTCTACTGTCACCAATGTCAACACTACTCTGTGCCTGAATTTACATGTTAATTACATTTATCTTTCTGTCCTTGCAAAACTTACATGCCCAACAACAAATTTAGTAATTACCTGTTTTCTCAATCATTTGCTTTGTTTTAAAAACATCTAAGTCTTCCTTCAACTTCCAACGGACCTGCAAAATCCCACCTAGCACAATTTTCCTCACTCTCAAATGTCAGATAATTGGCTTTTGTCCTGGAAATTCCCATTTCTCCCTTTTAAGTAGGATAATGCATATCCTGAGTTACTGTCTTCCTGTTTCTTGGTTTTCTTCTTCTGTGAAACATATGCTAGCATAGCTTCAGCATATGAGAAGTAAACTATTTCAAGGTTTTTCGTGTTGCCAGATGTGTTATGTGACCTTCACACTTAAGTGATTACCTGAATGGATATAGGATTCTAGTTTGATTGCTATTTTTACCTAGAGTTTTTAAACCTTTATTCCACCACAGCAACAAGGAACCATCTTGGAAGCAAACAGAAGCCCTCACCAAACACTGAATCTGTTGATGCCTTAATCTTAGACTTCCTAGCCTACGGAACATTGGGAAACAAATTTCTATTCTTTAATCATGACCCAGTCTACAGTCTTGTTGTTACAGTAGAAATGGACTAACACACAACCCCATCTGAGGTCTAATTAGTAAACATACATCTAAAAGCAAAACCAAAAGAAACAACAGCAAAAAAACACGGTTGGGCTGTCTTCTGACTTCTATTTTTCCATGTAGTTTCTGATACTCAATATCTTCTCTATGACTGCTTTTTCAGGGCATGTTTTACCTTACCCATTATCTATCACTTGTATCTGAGTTTATTTTCTGGACCTGGTTTCTTCTGACGTTCTTGGAAGTGAATAAATGTAGAAGTAAATAGCAAGAAAGTGGTGGAGTACAGTAAGCAAGAACATAGGCTCTGATGACTGACTGCCATCTCTACCACTTATTACTATTTTAGCAACTTTGGCTTGTGCCCACTCAGCTCACCTATAAAATTGAGATGGTAGTATGCAGGATTCTTACCTGATAAGCTGGTTCTGAAGATTAAATGGCATACAGTAAATGCTTAAGAAATATTTTTACTATAATCAGCCATGGCTACAATATGTTCATAGAATATGAATACCGCAAAATAATTGTGAAATATGTGTTTTTAAGACAAAACATAATATAAAAATATATGAACCAGTATCATAATTGTGTAACCAGGATTCCTCTGATACACATGAACCCCTCCCAGACCATAGGGACTTCATGCAATTTACTCGATCACATCACAAGTCCATCCACTCTGTTAATGTTCATCTCTCCTGGTAGACAACCCTCTTGTGTTGCAGTCAAGCTAGTTCAAGATGAAGTTGAGGAAGATTCTGCTTTCTGTCCTATTCAAAGAATCACCCACTTTTCAATAAAGAGAAAGTCATATAGGTATGAAGGAGCTGGCATATGAAATCCAAATCTGATTACCAGTGTAATAAAAAACTGTGATGGATGTGATGTACAAATGCGATATGGTCTAATTTTCTTTTCTTTTTTTATTATACTTTAAGTTCTAGGGTATATGTGCACAGGGTTTGTTACATATGTATACATGTGCCATGTTGGTGTGCTGCACCTATTAACTCATCATTTCCATTGGGTATATCTCCTAATGTTATCCCTCCCCCCTCCCCCCAACCCATGGCAGGCCCCAGTGTGTGATGTTCCCCTTCCTGTGTCCAAGTTTTCTCATTGTTCAATTCCCACCTATGAGTGAGAACATGCAGTGTTTGGTTTTTTGTCCCCGTGATACTTTGCTGAGAATGATGGTTTCCAGCTTCATCCATGTCCCTACAAAGGACATGAACTCATCATTTTTTATGGCTGCATAGTATTCCATGGTGTGTGTGTGCCACGTTTTCTTAATCCAGTCTATCATTGATGGACATTTGGGTTGGTTCCAAGTCTTTGCTATCGTGAATAGTGCCGCAATAAACATACGTGTGCATGTGTCTTTATAGCAGCATGATTTATAATCCTTTGGGTATATACCCAGTAATGGGATTGCTGGGTCAAATGGTATTTCTAGTTCTAGATCCTTGAAGAATCACCACACTGTCTTCCACAGTGGTTGAACCAGTTTACAGTCTCACCAACGTGTAAAAGTGTTCCTATTTCTCCATTATTATTATTAAAGTATAATAATAAAAAAGATAAAGATCTTGACATTAAAAAAAAAGAAGTGTTGAAATGATGGTGAAGGTGAACCTTGCAGCAGTAGTCCCTTCACATTAACTTACGGACAAAAATTGTATCTTCTTGTGGCCTAATTGAAGAGGTCTGACAATCAACAGCAGAAAAAAGAGCTAGCACAAGAAGAACAATTGATTCAGATTACATAATTTTTTCTGTCTAAAAAACTAAATACGAACAAACTAGCCACTTGATGAGGGCCAAAACTGCTGTACCTGTCAGCTACAGACAAGAAGAGAACGTTCTGTGACAAATTAAACAAGTAGGAAGGAAAAGAAAAGAAAAAAAAATCCTAAAGCATTTCTTTGAAGAGTTGTAACAGGAAATAAAACATGGCTTTACCAGTGGCATTCAAAGGGACAAACACAATGAAAGCAATGGCTACCAAGAGGTGGAAGTGGTCTAGTCTAAGTAAATGCAACAAAAGCAAATATCATGCCAACAGTGTTTTTGGATGCTAAAGGTTTTCTGGTTGTTAACTTTCTGGAGGGCCAAAGAATGGTAAAAACCACTTATGAGACAGTTTGGAGTTTGGAGAGATTTAGTCAAATCTTTAGCAGAAAAATGGATGAGATTGGATGCCTAGGGATTTTCCATCAAAAGTCTGGTAAAATTGCCCTTGTTTCAAGAGAGGAATGAGCAGGAGCATTGTTGTGATGGACAAGGACCCTCTGCTGAAGCTTTTCTGGGCATTTATCTGCTCAAGTTTTGGCTGTTTCCAAAGTGTCTCAGAAGTTGATCTTATCATTCTAAGTGATGTAACTTAGGAATGGAAAACCAAACATCGTATGTTCTCAGTCATAAATGGGAGCTAATCTATGAGGATGCAAAGGCATAAGAATGACACAATGGACTTTGGGAACTTAGAGGAAATGCTGAGAAGGGGGTGATGAATAAAAGGCTACAAATTGGGTGCAGTGTAAACCCCCGGGTGGTGGGTGCACCAAAATCTCACAAATCACCACTAAAGAATGTATTCATGTAACCAAACACCACCTGTTCCTCAATCTATGGAAGCAAAAAAGAAAAGAAAAAAAAGAAGAAAGAAAAAAAAAAGAGAAAATCCCTGGGCATCCAACTTACGGTATTGATGCAGTATCTTTGGACTTCTTTTTTTCTTTTTTTCTTTTTTTTTTTTTATTATACTTTAAGTTTTAGGGTACATGTGAACAACGTGCAGGTTTGTTACATATGTATACATGTGCCATGTTGGTGTGCTGCACCCATTAACTCGTCATTTAACATTAGGTATATCTCCAAATGCTATCTCTCTCACTCCCCCCACCCCACAACAGGCCCCAGTGTGTGATGTTCCCCTTCCTGTGTCCATGTGTTCTCATTGTTCAATTCCCACCTATGAGTGAGAACATGAGGTGTTTGGTTTTTTGTCCTTGCGACAGTTTGCTGAGAATGATGGTTTCCAGCTTCATCCATGTCCCTAAAAAGGACATGAACTCATCATTTTTTTATGGCTGCATTGTATTCCATGGTGTATATGTGCCACATTTTCTTAATCCAGTCTATCATTGTTGGACATTTGGGTTGGTTCCAAGTCTTTGCTATTGTGAATAGTGCCGCAATAAACATATGTGTGCATGTGTCTTTATAGCAGCATGATTTATAATCCTTTGGGTATATACCCTGTAATGGGATTGCTGGGTCAAATGGTATTTCTAGTTCTGGATCCCTGAGGAATCACCACACTGACTTCCACAATGGTTGAACTAGTTTATAGTCCCACCAACAGTGTAAAAGTGTTCCTATTTCTCCACATCCTCTCCAGCACCTGTTGTTTCCTGACTTTTTAATGATTGCCATTCTAACTGGTGTGAGATGGTGTCTCATTGTGGTTTTGATTTGCATTTCTCTGATGACCAGTGATGATGAGCATTTTTTCATGTGTGTTTTGGCTGCATAAATGTCTTCTTTTGAAAAGTGTCTGTTCATATCCTTCGCCCACTTTTTGATGGGGTTGTTTGTTTTTTTCTTATAAATTTGTTTGAGTTCATTGTAGATTCTGGATATTAGCCCCTTTGCCAGATGAGTAGATTGCAAAAATTTTCTCCCATTCTGTAGGTTGCCTGTTCACTCTGATGGTAGTTTCTTTTGCTGTGCAGAAGCTCTTTAGTTTAATGAGATCCCATTTGTCAATTTTGGCTTTTGTTGCCATTGCTTTTGGTGTTTCAGAGATGAAGTCTTTGCCCATGCCTATGTCCTGAATGGTATTACTTAGGTTTTCTTCTAGGGTTTTTATGGTTTTAGGTCTAACATTTAAGTCTTTAATCGATATTGAATTAATTTTTGTATAAGGTGTAAGGAAGGGATCCAGTTTCAGCTTTCTACATATGACTAGCCAGTTTTCCCAGCACCATTTATTAAATAGGGAATCATTTTCCTATTTCTTGTTTTTGTCAGGTTTGTCAAAGATCAGATGGTTGTAGATATGCAGCAGTATTTCTGAGGGCTCTGTTCTGTTCCACTGGTCTATATCTCTGTTTTGGTACCAATACCGTGCTGTTTTGGTTACTGTAGCCTTGTAGTATAGTTTGAAGTTAGGTAGCGGGAGCCCTCCAGCTTTGTTCTTTTGGCTTAGGATTGACTTGGCAAAGCAGGCTCTTGTTTGTTTCCATATGAACTTTGAAGTAGTTTTTTCCAGTTCTGTGAAGAAAGTCATTGGTAGCTTGATGGGGATGGCATTAAATCTATAAATTACCTTGGGCAGTATGGCCATATTCACGATATTGATTCTTCCTGCCCATGAGCATGGAATGTTCTTCCATTTGTTTGTATCCTCTTTTATTTCATTGAGCAGTGGTTTGTAGTTATCCTTGAAGAGGTCCTTCACATCCCTTGTAAATTGGATTCCTAGGTATTTTATTCTGTTTGAAGCAATTGTGAATGGGAGTTCACTCATGATTTGGCTCTCTGTTTGTCTGTTATTGGTGTATAAGAATGCTTGTGATTTTTGCACATTGATTTTGTATCCTGAGACTTTGCTGAAGTTGCTTATCAGCTTGAGGTTTTGGGCTGAGAAGATGGGGTTTTCTAGATATACAATCATGTCATCTGCAAACAGGGACAATTTGACTTCCTCTTTTCCTAATTGAATATGCCTTATTTCCTTCTCCTGCCTGATTGCCCTGGCCAGAACTTCCAACACTATGTTGAATAGGAGTGGTGAGAAAGGGCATCCCTGTCTTGTGCCTGTTTTCAAAGGGAATACTTCCAGTTTTTGCCCATTCAGTATGATATTGGCTGTGGGTTTGTCATAGATAGCTCTTATTATTTTGAGATATGTCCCATCAATACCTAATTTATTGCGAATTTTTAGCATGAAGTGTTGTTGAATTTTGTCAAAGGCCTTTTCTGCATCTATTGAGATAATCATGTGTTTTCTGTCATTAGTTCTGTTTATATGCTGGATTACATTTATTGATTTGCATATGGTGAACCCGCCTTGCATCCCAGGGATGAAGCCCACCTGATCATGGTGGATAAGCTTTTTGATGTGCTGCTGGATTCAGTTTGCCAGTATTTTATTGAGGATTTTTGCATCGATGTTCATCAGGGATCTTGGTCTAAAATTCTCTTTCTTTGTTGTGTCTCTGCCAGGCTTTGGTATCAGGATGATGCTGGCCTCATAAAATGAGTTAGGGAGGATTCCCTCTTTTTCTATTGATTGGAACAGTTTCAGAAGGAATGATACCAGCTGCTCCTTGTACCTCTGGTAGAATTTGGCTGTGAATCCATCTGGTCCTGGACTTTTTTTGGTTGGTAAACTATTAATTATTGCCTCAATTTCAGAGTCTGTTATTGGTCTATTCAGAGATTCAATTTCTTCCTGGTTTAGTCTTGGGAGGGTGTCTGTGTTGAGGAATTTATCCATTTCTTCTAGATTTTCTACTTTGTTTTTGTAGAGGTGTTTATATTATTCTCTGATGGTAGTTTGTATTTCTGTGGGATTGGTGGTGATATCCCCTTTATCATTTTTTATTGCATCTATTTGTTTTTTCTCTCTTTTCTTCTTTATTAGTCTTGCTAGCGGTCTATCAATTTTGTTGATTTTTTTCGAAAAACCAGCTCCTGGATTCATTGATTTTTTGAAGGTTTTTTTTTGTCTGTATTTCCTTCAGTTCTGCTCTGATCTTAGTTATTTCTTGCCTTCTGCTAGCTTTTGAATGTGTTTGCTCTTGCTTCTCTAGTTCTTTTAATTGTGATGTTAGGGTGTTGATTGGAGATCTTTCCTACTTTCTCTTGTGGGCATTTAGTGCTATAAATTTCCCTCTACACACGGCTTTGTATGTGTCCCAGAGATTCTGGTATGTTGTGTCTTTGTTCTCATTGGTTTCAAAGAACATCTTTATTTCTGCCTTCATTTTGTTGTGTACCCAGTAGTCACTCAGAGCAGGTTGTTCAGTTTCCATGTAGTTGAGAGGTTTTGAGTGAGTTTCTTAATCCTGAGTTCTAGTTTGATTGTACTGTGGTCTGAGAGACAGTTTGTTATAATTTCTGTTCTTTTACATTTGCTAAGGAGTGCTTTACTTCCAACTATGTGGTCAATTTTGGAATAGGTGTGGTGTGGTGCTGAAAAGAATGTATATTCTGTTGATTTGGGGTGGAGAGTTCTGTAGATGTCTATTACGTCCGCTTGCTGCAGAGCTGAGTTGAATTCCTGGATATCCTTGTTAACTTTCTGTCTCGTTGATCTGTCTAATGTTGACAGTGGGGTGTTAAAGTCTCCCATTATTATGGTGTGGGAATCTAAGTCTCTTTGTAGGAGTCTAAGGACTTGCTTTATGAATCTGGGTGCTCCTGTGTTGGGTGCATGTATATTTAGGATAATTAGCTCTTCTTGTTGAATTGATCCCTTTACCATTATGTAATGGCCTTCTTTGTCTCTTTCGATCTTTGTTGGTTTAAAGTCTGTTTTATCAGAGACTAGGATTGCAACCCCTGTCTTTTTTTGTTTTCCATTTGCTTGGTAGATCTTACTGCATCCCTTTATTTTGAGCCTATGTGTGTCTCTGCACATGAGATGGGTTTCCTGAATACAGCACACTGATGGGTCTTGACTCTTTATCCAATTTGCCAGTCTGTGTCTTTTAATAGGAGCATTTAGCCCATTTACATTTAAAGTTAATATTGTTATGTGTGAATTTGATCCTGTCATTATGATGTTAGCTGGTTATTTTGCTTGTTAGTTGATGCAGTTTCTTCCTTGCCTCGATGGTCTTTACAATTTGGCATGTTTTTGCAGTGGCTGGTACTGGTTGTTCCTTTCCATGTTTAATGCTGCCTACAGCAGCTCTTTTAGGGCAGGCCTGATGGTGACAAAATCTCTCAGCATTTGCTTGTCTGTAAAGGATTTTATTTCTCCTTCACTTATGAAGCTTAGTTTGGCTGGGTATGAAATTCTGGGTTGAAAATTCTTGTCTTTAGGAATGTTGAATATTGGCCCCCACTCTCTTCTGGCTTGTAGAGTTTCTGCTGAGAGATCAGCTGTTAGTCTAATGGGCTTCTGTTTGTGGGTAATCCGACCTTTCTCTCTGGCTGCCCTTAACATTTTTCCCTTCATTTCAACTTTGGTGAATCTGACAATTACGTGTCTTCGAGTTGCTCTTCTCAAGGGGTATTTTTGTGGCATTCTCTGTATTTCCTGCATTTGAATGTTGGCCTGTCTTGCTAGATTGGGGAAGTTCTCCTGAGTAATATCCTGCAGAGTGTTTTCCAACTTGGTTCCATTCTCCCCATCACTTTCAGGTACACCAATCAGATGTAGATTTGGTCTTTTCACATAGTCTCATATTTCTTGCAGGCTTTGTTCATTTCTTTTTATTTTTTTTTCTCTAAACTTCTCTTCTTGCTTCATTTCATTCATTTGATCTTCCATCACTGTTACCCTTTCTTGTAATTGATCAAATTGGCTACTGAGGCTTGTGCATTCATCATGTAGTTCTCCTGCCATGGTTTTCAGCTGCATCAGGTCCTTTAAGGACTTCTCTGCATTGATTATTCTAGTTAGCCATTTATCTCATCTTTTTTCAAGGTTTTATCTTCTTTGCCTTGGGTTTGAACTTCCTCCTTTAGCTTGGAGTAGTTTCATTGTCTGAAGCCCTCTTCTCTCAACTCTTCAAAGTCATTCTCTGTCCAGCTTTGTTCCACTGGTGGCAAGGCACTCCATTCCTTTGGAGGAGGAGAGGCACTCTGATATTTAGAATTTTTATTTTTTGTGCTCTGTTTTTTCCCCATTTTTGTGGTTTTATCTACCTTTGGTCTTTAACGATGGTGACGTACGGATGGGGTTTTGGTGTGTATGTCATTTCTGTTTGTTAGTTTTCCTTCTAACAGTCAGGACCCTCAGCTGCAGGTCTGTTGGAGTTTGCTGGAGGTCCACTCCAGACCGTGTTTACTTGGGTATCAGCAGTGGAGGCTGCAGAACAGCGGATATTGGTGGACAGCAAATGTTGCTGCCTGATCCTTCCTCTGGAAGTTTTGTCTCAGAGGAGTACCTGGCTATGTGAGGTGTCAGCTTGCCCCTACTGGGAGATGCCTCCCAGTTAGGCTACTTGGGGGTCAGGGACCCACTTGAGGAGGCAGTCTGTATGTTCTCAGATCTCAAGCTGCATGCTGGGAGAACCACTACTCTTTTCAAAGCTGTCAGACATGAACATTTAAGTCTGCAGAGGTTTCTGCTGCCTTTTGTTTGGCTATGCCCTGCCCCCAGAGGTGGGGTCTACAGAGACAGGCAGGCTTCCTTGAGTTGCGGTGGGCTCCACCCAGTTCGAGCTTCCTGGCCGCTTTGTTTACCTACTCAAGCCTTGGCAATGGTGGGAGCTCCTCCCCCAGCCTCACTGCTGCCTGGCAGTTTGATCTCAGACTGCTTTGCTAGCAATGAGCAAGGTTCCATGGGCATAGGACCCTGTGAGCCAGGTGTGGGATACAACCTCCTGGTGTGCTGTTTGCTAAGACCATTGGAAAAGCACAGTATTAGGGTGTGAGTGACCTGATAATCCAGGTGCCATCCATCACCCCTTTCCTTGGCTAGGAAAGGGAATTCCCTGACCCCTTGCACTTCCCGGGTGAGGCAATGCCTTGCCCTGCTTCAGCTCATGCTTGGTGGGCTGCACCCACTGTCCTGCCCCCACTGTCTGACAATCCCCAGTGAGACTAACCTGTTACCTCAGTTGGAAATGCAGAAATCATTTGTCTTCTGCATCGCTCACGCTGGGAGCTGTAGACTGGAGCTGTTCCTCAGACTTGTTTTTTTTCTAAGATAAAAATACTTTAATGTGTATGCTGTTTTCTTCAGTTAATAATTTGAAAAGACTGCATTTATATGGTGAAATTCTCAGGACCCTCAATTCTTTATAGATAGGCTAAATTATTTGTATCATTACTTGCAAACCTTCTTGAATGTGGTGGAGGTTATGTTAAGAAATAAAGTTTATATAATGTCTAATTTCATATTGTAATTGCATTCTTCCACAAAGTTTTTGAAATCCCTTGTATTTCAAACCCATCTGGAAGAGCAGGATCAGATTCTAATGTGTACAACACAGGATCCTCTCATCAAAATGATCAAGTGGCCTGTGTTTAGGATTTCCAGTGGCAGACCCACACACAATGCCTTTAACGAGGTATCCTGAAGTTATCACTATCCCTGAGCCAAAACTGAATGATGTCACAAAAGTTATTCGAGGCCTGAAATGATAAGTGGCAGCTGTTAATACTGACTAACCTGCATTTTCCATAAAAAGATGAAATGATGGGCAGAAACTACTTGATATAACAGAGAAGTCAGTGGATGAAAAGAGAGCTACCAACACAAACTCAGTAAAAATACTTTGGAAATACAGTATATTGATCCAAATTTTAAAAACAAACATAAAATGAAAGGAGTAAGAAGAATTATAGATGCTTACTTAGAAGAGTCGATTTAAGAAAATTCCCAAAATGTATTTATAAAGAAGCCAGACATAAGATGAAAAATAAACACAGGGAAGATTATTTAGAACAGAAAATGTCAACAAATACATTTTAGAAAGCGAGTCTTGAGAAATTAGTTTCAGAATATTGCAAAAATAAAAAAAATTTCTGTTTGGAAGAAGAATCTGGGAGACAGCACATGTACTAAGAAATAGATCAGTGCAATACCCTTGAGGCTTTTATGTGGGTTCCTGACTATCTTATTGGGATATATAATTGTGGCCACTCATTGTAAGTGGGAGTGATTAAAAATTTTTCCTAGAAGAATAACTGAATGTAGTGACTCATGTCTGTTATCCCAGGACTTTGGGAGGGTGAGTTGGATGGATCCCTTGAGGCCAGGAGTTTAAGACCAGCCTGAGCAACAAATTGTGGATCCATCTCTTCAAAAAATTTTTAAATAAATTAAAAAATAATAAACGGGCATGGTGGGTGTCATGAACCTGTAATTCAAGCTACTCAAGTGGTTGAAGTGGGGGGAATCCCAAGAGCACAGGAGTTCTAGGATGCTGGAATCCATGATCAGGACACCACCCTCCAGCTTGGGTGACAGAGCGAGAGCCTATATTTATATATATATAATCTTGTAAGACATAAAGTCCAAACTGTATCTGATCAAACATTCTAATAAAGGGGAAGAGCAAGAAAAAATTCTTAAAGACATGAAGTAGGATGGCTCATTCAAGAACTTCTATTCATTCTGTTCATTTCTAGAAACCTCTGGTAGATTTTGTGTCCAACTTTGTTTTAACCTCTCCACGAATATTAATAATAGAATTCGTTAAGACACCTGTATCCTAAAACACCGAGACTTTTCTGATCGGAGCCAGATCCAAGGAATATTGGACAATCTGTGTGGGTCCGACCGGGCTGAGGGCCAACCTTCTGTCAGCCATGAATGGCCAGGTTTGTGTTGTCTGCACATAGCTCAAAGTTCTAAAGACATAACCTCTATATAATCAAATATTTAGCGAAATATGATAGGCATAGGTATACAAAACTCCACAGCCAACCTACCTCTTGTTCCTTAGAATATGATTGTGTTCAGAAAATAGCCCTAAGAAGAGGTGATCAAGCTAAAATGAGGGAGTTTCAGTGGAACTAAATCCAATAAGATGAATGTCCTTAGAAAAAGTGGAAATTCCTTATAAGAACTGGAAATTTGCACACAGAGAGACACAAGAAGTACGTAGGCACAGACGCAGCCCCATGGGAGGACACAGCAAGAAGGTGATATCTAGATGCCAAGTAGACAGGGCCAAGAAGAACTGGACCTGCTGACACATTCACCGTGGAACTTGAGCATCCAGAAGTGTCGGAAAATAATTTCTGTTGCTTAAGAATATTAGTCTGTGATATTTTGCTTGGACAGGTATAATGAAGAAATTCAGGGGAGAGCAGGTTTTAGGAGGCAGAAATTAAGAGTCCTGCTTAGTGCAGGAGTGTAATGTAAACGGTATGGTTACATTATTTTAAATGGCAAGTGGATTGCTGACGTCCTTGACTCATGGACAAATGCCTAAGCTTTTGTTGCCATCTTGCTCCTTGCTTTTACCCCATCCTAAATCAGTGACACTGTCTCCATCAGTTCTTTGGTAACCTCTATTTTGCTTGTCTCTGGTAGCTTGATATCTGATATTTAGTCCTTCCTGATATGCTAATCTCTTTCACTCATTTCTGACATAGGAGAAGGTCAGGGCATGAGTTGAGTGATATTTGGAAGGATCACCTCTTGCCTTGCTGTACTCAGCAGACAAGGAGAAGTCTGTCTCTAACCAGGACTGCAGCTTCCCCACTGATTCCCACAAGGAGTCACATCTGCCTGGCTCTCCCCTCTGCTTCTTCTCTCTTGCGTTTCTTTCCTTCCTGATGGGCCACCATAAGCTACCTAGGCCAGACTGCCCATCAACAGCTTCCTTTTCAAACAATGTTTGGTGAAACCAGAGAAAATCATTCAATAACATCAGGACACCAGATTGGCCCAAGCACTCTGTGTCTCTCTGAAAGAATGTGAATCTCAGTTACAAATGTTAAACTTTCTATGTAACTGGAGAATATTTGGCCACTGGTATTATATTCCATCTTCAGAAAACATCCCTATTTATCCTAAGAGAAAAACAAGACAGCAATCTGCCTAGTCAGCTGCAAAATTCTAAGTTACCTCTAGTAGAGCTTATTGTATCAGGATGCCTTCCTATATGCAGTGGGTTGTTCAAATGTTGAAGGAAAAGGTATATCCTATTAAGAAACACCATGAATGGATTCCAATGTTTTGGCACCAAAATGAAATCATAATCTTTTGCTATAACATGTCTGAACAGGAGCTAGTATGAGGCATCAAGAAAAATAAGAGCAGTTTCAAAAGAGCCCCTAGAAGACCAACATGAATTTTTCTAAAATTAAAGTGAGTATAAACATCAAATTTATGGTGAAGCTTGGGTGGAGGAAGGCAAAATCATTGATGGTGTCCAAAGAGTTGTCCTACTTGACACGTGGTAAGTTGACATTGGTTGAAGAAGTCAGCAGTTCACAAATTCAATGAGGAGTTCATTTCAAGAAGGAATGAGGCAATGTTGAACCTAAAGCTTATCGTGACAGATGATTCACATCATATTGCAAGGAATAAATTCATCTTCTTTATACCCAGGAGAAGAGGTGTGATGATTAGCAGCTCACACAATAACCAACACTGCAGACTTCTCAGTTGGTTCAGTTTACATGAATCTAACTGAATGATTAAAGTTTAGTAAGCTTTTCACTTAATGGATGCCCAAACTGTGTCACCAAGATCAAGTACAGACAAGAGCAGAACTTTCCCTAAAAATTTAAATAGGAAGAACGAAGACCATAAGCATTTCTTCAATGAATTATAAGAGGAGATAACACATGACTTTACCAGTAAAATCCAGAAAACAAATACAATCAAAGCAATGGCTACCAAGAGGCGGAAATGTCCAGTCAAAACAAAAGTGGATGAGGAGAGCACAAAGATCTTGGCAAGAGTTTATTGGAAAGCTCAAGTCATTTTGCTGGTTGACTTTCTGGAGAATGACAGTATCTCCTTATTCTGAGAATATTTTGAGAAAGTCAAAGCTTTACTAGATGAATCCCTGGGAAAGCTTCAGCAGAGTCCTTCACCACAACCTTCCTCCTGCTCATTTCTCTTATCAAACAGGGCAATTATATGAGAGTTCTCATGGTAAATCATTAGGCTTTCACATTACTGAGAAGTGATGCCAGGTGGACTTCCTGGGTCCACTGTGGACTTGGAGAACTTTTCTGACTAGCTAGATGATTGTAAATGCACCAATCAGTGCTCTGGGTCTAGTTAAAGGACTGTAAATGCACCAATCCACACTCTGTAACAATGCACCCATGAGCCCTCTGTGTCTAGCTAAAGGATTGTACATGCACCAATCAGCACTCTATAAAAATGCTCCAATCAGTGCTCTCTGTCTAGCTAAAGGATTGTGAATGCACAAATCAGCACTCTGTAAAAATGAACCAATCAGCACTCTGTGTCTAACTAAAAGATTGCAAACGCACCAATCAGCAGCCTGTAAAATGGACAAATCAGCACTCTGCAAAATGGACCAATCAGCACTCTGCAAAATATACCAATCATCGGGATGTGGGCAGGGCCAAATAAGGGAATAAAAGCTGGCCAACTGAGCCAGCAGTGGTAACTTGTTTGGGTCCCCTTCCATGCTGTGGAAGCTTTGTTCTTTTGCCCTTCACAACAAATCTTGCTGCTGCTCAGTCTTTGGGTCTGCACTACCTTCATGAGCTGTAACACCCACGAGAGGGTCTGCGGCTTCATTCCTGAAGTCAGTGAGACCATCAACCCACTAGGAGGAACAAACAACTTTGGACACAGCTTTAAGAGCTGTAACACTCACTGAAAAGGTCTGCAGCCTCACCCCTGAAGTCAGTGAGAACAAGAACCCACTGGAAGGAAGAAACTCCAGACACATCTGCACATCTGAAGGAACAAACTATGGACACATCATCTTTAAGAACTGTAACACTCACTGCAAGCATCCGCAGCTTCATTCTTGAAGTCAGCGAGACCAAGAACCAACTGGAAGAAAACAATTTTGGACATATTACAACCCTAATTTGGTTTCTTTCATTTTTTTTTGTTTTGTAATCTTATAACATTTGTAAAAGGCATCCATTTTCCTTCAGTTAATAATGTAAAAAATACATATCAATAGCTGGCATGTTGACCAAAATGTATGACAAGTGGTCAATAATTTGTGTCTTTTTATATAGCTCATTAACAAGTAGGATTGGGAAATGGTTGTAAACTGAGTACCAGGTGGTAGAATTGAAGGAAACTTCCCATGTAACACTTTAGTTTTTGCTCTATTCCAAAGACAACAGGAGGTAAAGGGTTAAAGATGCCCCAAAGCTGTTGCACACCTTTGGGGAGACTTAAAATTCACGTGTTTATTCAGTTGAGTCTTAGGCTGTGACTACAATGCTTGAATTAGACAGTAAATGTGTCTTACTTACTTGCATGAAGACACTTTGTTCACATCTCTCTTATCACTTCTTTTCCTCTACTCGGATCTCAGTTCCTTTAAGGATTCGGGCTGGGCCTGAGATGACCTGGCTCAAAAAGGACTAAAGGCCCTACGTACTCATCTCCAAATCTTGCAAAAATATCAAGGAGGGTAGAAACATAAGTATTTATAGCTCTATTGCCTATACTTGCTCAATTCACCATTGTACTTGATTCTGTCAGAGTAGGGGAAGGTGTGCTGAGGATACAGGAAAGAGCTACAGTGGCATATAAGGGGAAAGAAAGGAAGAGACTGCAAGTCTGTTGAATCCATAGACACTGGAGTTGTGTTTAAACGAGGTAGACCCTGGGGCTAGAAGCCAAGGTGGGGGGAAAAAAGCTTTTCAGTTGCAGTAGTCATTTATTATTATTATTGTTATTATTAGTATTATTATTTCTTTTTAGAGACAGGGACTTGTTCTCTCACTTAAGCTGGAGTACAGTGGTGCAATCATGGCTCACTGCAGTCTTGAACTCCTGGGATCAAGCAATTCTTCCAGATCACCCTCTGAATTAGATGGCACTACAAGTGCCAATCGCCATGCGAGGTTGATTTTGTAAATTTTGTTGTATACATGGGGAGATCTTGCTATATTGTTCAGGCTGATCTTGAATTCCTGACATCAACAATCCTCCAATCTCAGCCTCCAAAAGTAGTGGGATTACAGTCATGAGCCAGCATGCTGGGTGTATAGTCACTCTTTCTACCTCAGCCTCATTTTCCTGCATTCTGTAAATCCCCATCAGAAGAGAGCAGGGCTGCCTGGCTACTGGGATAGCCTCTAAGAAGCCAATGTTAAACTCTGTGGTTCTTGTAGAGGAAAAGAAAAAAGAAGTCCTTGAGTTCAATTGAGCTTTGAGAAAATGGGGTACAAAACATGAAAAGTTAGGAAGACATTGTGGATAAGGCCCTTGGGACCCATTCAGCACACTTTTCTGTGTTTTTAATTTTATAAGTGTGTATTATGTGAAATACTTACACTCTTATCTCATAAGAGCCAAGGAGAATCATCCACATAGAAGCTTCAAGCAGAATAACGTCAGTGGGATTAACTCTTCTGCCAGTGGAGCCAGTGGGTGGATCACGATGCAGCCTGAGTGCCTCCACCCTTCAATGTCCAAAGCTTGCCTTGTTGAACTTTTTGTGTATTGTAAACACAGAAAAATGCCCATGTGAGGCATAAAATTGAAAATTACTCAATATACTTTTACAAACCGTAAACAATTGACCAACTGTTAATGAAGGGTATAATCAAGATACGACAACCTTGAAACAACTTGGATATGGAAATGATCAGACTTTAAAGCAGCTCTTATAGCCAACTTTTCTGAGGTAAATGTGAACACTCTCAAAATAAATGGGAAAAAGCTTCTCAGCAGAAAAAGGAACTATAGAAAATAATAAAATAGAAATTTCAGAACTAACATATATAAGTCTAAAATTTGAAAAAAGACCTTATAGACTGTGAAAGTTTTTCAGAAAGTAAATGATCAAGGTGTTTGAAGACAAAAAACTAAATTAACCAAGTCAAATCCAAGAAGAGACATCTTAGAAGAAATGAACCTGTTAACACCTTGATCATGGAATGTGAGCCTCCAGAACTGTGAGAAAATTAATTTCTGTTGTTCAAATTACACAGTGTGTTTTGTTTTTTTTAAGGGCAGAGATAACAAACTACATCAGGGGAGAGCAGTTTAGGATGCAGAAATCAAGGATCTTATTTGGGACATGTTATGTTTGCATCCATATTAGAAGGCAAGTGGATTGCTGAGAGCTTCAACTGACCAAAAGGTGCCTGAGCTCCTGCTGCAGGCCTGCTCCTTGCTTTGACCCCATCCTTACTCCCTGACAGGGCCTCTTTCAGCTCCTCTGTCATCTCTGTTTTATTTGTGTGTGGAGATTTCATAGTTAATATTTATTCTTCCCTAATAAACTAATCTCTTTCACTCATTGCTGACATTGGACAATGTCAGAGAAAGGGCCTGAGAGGAGTGATATTTGAAGGCAATGCCTGCTGTCTTCCTGTACTCACCAAGCCAAGGGGGAGCCTTTCTTTCACCAGGACTATGACTTCTACAGCAACCTATGCAATGAGGCAAGTCTGCAAGGCACTCCCCTCTGCTCCTTCCCTCGGATCTTCCTTTCCCACTAAAAGGTCTACCATAAGTCACTAGGCAGGACCATTCATCTCCAGTTTCCCTGTCTAATCAGTGTGTGTGGAAACCAATGATAGTCATCCCAATATCATTAGGGCACCCGCTAGGACAAGCAACTACTTTATGCCCACCCCTAAAGCACATAAAGCCAAACTACACATGTTTTATTATTGCATAGCCAAAGAAGAATTGCTAACTGGTAATATATTTCCTCTTTAGCAAACATCCCTAATATTCCAGAAGGGGTGAGGGAGGAAAACAACAGTCTGTCTAATCACCAGCCAATGGCAGAGTAATCTGCAACAACCCTCCTTGTATGAGGAAGGCTTCCAATAATATAAGGGATTTTCAAACTGTTTCTAGAAAATACTTATGACTTTTTAAAATTATGAGTGGATATAATCATTTTTTGTATCAAAATACATTTGTACTAACTTGTTACAACATGTCTGAACAGGATCTTGTTCAGTCACTAACATGGTTGAGAAAGCGGTTTGAAAACAGCCTCTATCAGAGCAGCAAAAATTCTACTAAAATTGTAGGAAAAACAAATTCAAGTTTATGGTGAAGCTTGGGTGGAGGGATGGTGACATCACTGATGCATTAGGACATATGTGTGCACAAGTAAATCAGCCCTTCAGAAAATGGATAATTCACTTTAAGAATCGATGAGATGATGGTGAAGGTAAAACTTGCAGCAGCAGAACATACACATCAACTTATGGGCAAAAATTTTATCTTCTTTTGGCCTAATTGGAAAGTTCTGACAATTAACAACAGAAACAAGAGCTAGCACAAGAACAAGATCAATTGGTTCAGATTACATAATTTTTTCTGATTGAGAAATTAAACTTGAGCAAACTATCCACTTGATGAAGGCCAAAACTGCTGTAACCAAGTCAGCTACAGACGAGAACAGAATATTCAATGAAAAATTAAAGAAGTAGGAAAGAGAAGAAAAGAAAAGAAAAGAAAAGATCCTAAGCATGTCTTTGAAGAGTTGTAACGGGAGATCAAATGTGGCTTTACCAGTGCCACTCGAAGGCAAAAACACAATCAAAGCAATGGCTACCAAGAGGTGGAAGTCATCTAGTCTAAGTAAATGTGACAAAAGCAAATATTATGCCAACAGTGTGTTTGGATGCCCAAGGTATTTTGGTTGATAACTTTTGGGAGGGCCAAGGTATGATAACATCGACTTATGAAAGAATTTGGAATCTGAAGAAAGCCAAATCTTTAGCAGATAAATGGATGAGATTGAATGCCTAGTGATTTCCATAAAAAGTCTGGCAAATTGCCCCTGTTTCATGAGGGGAATGAGCAAGAGCTTTGTTGTGATGGAGAAGGACTCTGCTAAAGCCTTTCTGAGCATTTATCTGCTAAAGTTTTGCCTAACTTTCCCCAATCTTTCATAAGTCGATGTTATCATTCTAAGTGAAGTAACTTAGGACTGGAAAACCAAACATCATATGTTCTCACTCATAAATGGGAGCTGAACTATGAGGATGCAAAGGCATAAGAATGACACCATGGACTTTGGGAACTCAGGGGGAAAGAGTCGGAAAGAGGTGAGGGATAAAAGACTACAAATTGGGTGCAGTGTATACTGCCCAGGTGATGGGTGCACCAAAATCTAGCAAATCACCACTCAAGAACTTATATACATAACCAAACACCACCTGTTCCCCAACCTATGAAAATAAAACAGAAAAGAAAAAAAAGAAAATCACTAGGCATCCAACTTACAGTACTGATGCAGTATCTTTGAACTTTTTTCTAATATTAAAATATCTTTAAATTGTACTCTGTTTTCTTCAGCTAATAATGTGAAAAGACTGCATTTATATGGTGAAATTCCCAGGGCCCTCAATTCTTTGTAGATAGGCTAAATTTCTTGTATCATTACTTGCCAAACTTCTTGAATGTGATGGAGATAATGTTAAGAAATAAAGTTTATATTGTCTACTTTCATATTGTAATTATGTTCTTCCACAAACTTTTTGAAATCCCCTTGTATTCTCAAACCCTTCTGGAAGAGTAGGAACAGATTCTTATGTGTACAACACAGGATCCTCTCATCCAACTGATCAAGTGGCCTGTCTTTAGGATGTCCAGTCACAACCCCACACACAATACCTCTAACAAGGTCATCCTGAAGTTATCACTATCCCTGAGCAAAAACTGAATGACAGTACAAGACTTATTCGAGGCCTGAGATGATAAGAGGCAGCTGTTGATACTGACTCACTTAAACTTTCCATGAAAAGGGTAGAAGGATGGGCAGGAACTACTTCATGTAACAGAAAAGTCAGCAGATGAAAAGAGAGCTACTAACACAAACTCAGTAAAAAGACCTTGGAAACACATTATGTTGATCTAAATTTTGAAAACAAAAATGAAAAGAAAGGAGTAAGAAGAATTATAGATGCTTACCTAGAAGATTAGATTTAAAAAATTTTACCAAATTTTATTTAAAAAGATGCCAGATGTAAGATGAAAAATAAACACAGGGAAGATTATTTAGAACACAAAATGTCTACAAATACATTTTAGAAAGAGAGTCGGGAGAAATTAGTTTCAGAATGTTGCAAAAATGAAAAAAATTTCTGTGTGGAAGAGCAATCTGGGAGAGAGATAGCACAGGTACTAAGAAATAGATCAATGCAATATGCTTGAGGCTTTTATGTGGGTACCAGACTATCTTATTGGAATATATAATTGTGGCCACTCATTATAAGTGGGAGTGATTAAAATTTTTTCCTAGATGACTGAACATGGTGACTCATGCCTGTTATCCAAGGACTTTGGAAGAGTGAGGTGGGAGGATCCCTTGAGGCCACGAGCTCAAGACCAGCCTGAGCAGCAAAGTGAGGCTCCATCTCTTCAAAAGTAAATAAATAAATAAATTTAAAAAATAAATGGGCATGGTCAGTGTCATGAACCTGTAATTCAAGCAACTTAAGAGGCTGAAGCCGGGGGAATCCCCTGAGCACAGGAGTTCAAGGATGCTGTAAGCCAGGATCATGACACCACAGTCCAGCCTGGGTGACAGAGCAAGAGTCTGTATATAAAAAAAAATTCCTAAAATATGTAAATCCCAAACTAAATCTGATCAAACATTCTAACAAAGCGGTACAGCAAGGAAAAAATTTTGACGATATGAAATCGGGTGTCTCATTCAAGAACTGTGTATTCATTCTGTTCATTTCTAGAACCCCTTGGTAGGTTTCATGGCCAACTCTGTTTTAACCTCCCCATGAGTATTAATGATAGAATTCATGAAGACACCTGTATTCTACAACACCAAGACTTTTCTGACTAGAGCCAGAGCCAGAGAAAATTAGACAATCTGTGTGGGTCTGACCAGGCTGAGGGCCAACCTTTTGTCAGCCATGAATGGCCAGGTTTGTGTTGTCTTCACACAGCTCAGAGTTCCAAAGAAATGATATCTATATAATCAAATATTTAGTGAAATATGATAGGCATAGGTATACAAAACTCCACAGCCAACCTCTTGTTCCTTAGAATAAGATTGTTTAGAAAACAGCCCTAAGAAGAGGTGATCAAGCTAAAATGGTGAGTTTCAGTGGAACTAAATCTAATAAGATTGCTCTCCTTATAAGAAGTGGAAATTCCTTATAAGAACTAGAAATTTGCACACGGAGAGACACAAGAATTATGTATGTATAGAAGCAGTCCCATGGGAAACACAGCAAGAAGGCAGGTATGTAGATGGCAAGCAGGCAGGGCCCAGAAGAACTGAACATGCTGACACCTTCATCGTGGAACTTGAGCATCCAGAAGTGCTGAAAAGGAATTTCTGTTGTTGAAGAATAGTTAGTCTGTGATATTTTTTTTGACAGCCATAATGAAGAAAGCTAGGGGAGAGCAGGTTTTAGGAGGTAGAAATCAAGAGTCCTGCTTGGCACATAGTAAGTTTATATTTATTTTAAATGGCAAGTGGATTGCTGAGGTTCTTGACTCATGGACAAGTGCCTAAGCTCCTGCTGCAGTCCTGCACCTTGTTTTGACCTCATCCTAAGTGACACTGTCTCCTTCAGTTCTTTGGTAACCTCTGTTTTGGTTGTCTCTGGTAGCTTGATACCTGATATTTACTCCTTCCTGATATGCTAATCTCTTTTCATGCATTTCTGACATAGGGGAAGGTCAGGAATAGGGCATGAGCTGAGTGATATTTGGAAGTATCACCTCTTGTCTTCCTGTACTCAGCAGATGAGAAGTAGCCTGCCACTAACTGGGACTGCAGCTTCCCCAGTGACTCCCACAAGTAGGCACATCTGCCTGGCACTCCCCTCTGCTTCTTCTCTCTTGCATTTCTTCCCTACTTGACAAGCCACCATAAGCTACCTAGGCCAGACTGCTCATAACCACCTTCTCTTTCCAAATAATGTTTGGTGAAACCAGAGAAAATCATTCAATAACATCAGAATAGCCGCTGGGCCCAAGCACTCTGTGTCTCTCTTGAAGCATGTGAATCTCAGTTACAAATGTTACACTTTCCATGTAGCTGGAGAATATTTGGCCACAGGTATTATATCCCATCTTCAGAAAACATTCCTATTTATGCTAAAAGAAAAACAAGAAACCAATCGGCCTAGTCAGCTGGAAAAGTCTAAATTACCTCTAGTAGACCTTCTTGTGTTAGGATGCCTTCCTATATGGAGTGGGTTGTTAAAATGCTGACGAAGAATGTACATTCTATTAAGAAATACCATGAATGAGCTGGGTGCGGTAGCTCACGCCTGTAATCCCAGCAATTTGGGAGGCCAAAGCAGGTGGATCACGAGTTCAGGAGATCAAGACCATCCTTGAAATCCTGTCTCTACTAAAAATACAAAAAATTAGCCAGGCGTGGTGGCGGGTGCCTGTAGTCCCAGCTACTCGGGAGGCTGAGGCAGGAGAATGGCATGAACCCAGCAGGCGGTGCTTGCAGTGAGCAGAGACCGCACCACTGCACTGCAGCCTGGGCTCCAGGCTGGGTGACAGAGCAAGACTCCATCTCAAAAAAAAAAAAAAGAAAGAAAGAAAGAAAGAAATACCATGAATGGATTCCAAATTTTTTGGCACCAAATGAAATTAGAATATCTTGCTATAACAAGTCTCAACAGGAGCTAGTTTGAGGCTTCAAGAAAAATAAGATAGCAGTTTCAAAAGAGTCCCTAGAAGAGCAACATGAATTCTTCTAAAATTAGAGTACAAACATCAAATTTATGGTGAAGCTTGGGTGGAAGAAGATGAAATCACTGACGGTGTCCAAAAAGTTGTCCTACTTGCCACATGGTAAGTTGACATTGGTTGAAGAAGTCAGCAGTTCACAAATTCAATGAGGAGTTCCTCATTTCAAGAAGGAATGAGACAATGTTGAACCTAAAGCCTACAGTGACAGATGAACCATGTCATATTGCAAGGTATACATTCATCTTCTTTATACCCTAAGAGAAGATGTGTGACAATTAGCACCACACACAATAGCCAACACTGCAGACTTCTCAGTTGGTTCAGTTTACATGATTCTAACTGAATGATCAAAGTTTAGTAAACTTTTCACTTAATGGATGCCCAACCTGTGTCACCAAGATCAAGTACAGAGATGAGCAGAACTTTCCCTAAAAATTTTAAATATGAGCAATGAAGACCGTAAGCAAATCTTCAATGAGTTATAACAGGAGACAACACGTGACTTTACCAGTAAAACCCAGAAAACAAATACAATCAAAGGAATGGCTACCAGGAGGTGGAAAAGTCCAGTCAAAACAAAGGTGGATGAGGAGAGCACAAAGGTCATGGCAAGAGTTTATTGGAGAGCTGAAGTCATTTTGCTGGTTGACTTTCTGGAGAATGACAATATCTGCTTATTCCGAGAATATTTTGAGAAGGCCAAAGCTTTAGTAGAGGAATCACTGGGAAAGCTTCAGCAGAGTCCTTCACCACGACCTTGCTCCTGCTCATTTCTCTTACCAAACAGGGCATTTATGTGAGAAAATCATTAGGCTTCCACAGTACAACCCTAATTTGGTTCCTTTGGATGTATTTCTGTTTTGTAATCTTATAAACAGTTTGTAAAAGGCATCCATTTTTCTTCAGTTAATAATGTAAAAAATACATATCAATAGCTGACATGTTGACCAAAATGTATGACAAACGGTCAATAAATCTTCTCCTTTTATATAGCTCATTAAGAAGCAGGATTGGGAAATGGTTGTAAACTGAGTACCAGATGGTAGAATTGAAACAAACTTCCCATGTAACACTTTTAGTTTTTCCTCCATTCCAAAGATAGCAGGAGGTAAATGGTTAAAGATCCCCCAAAGCTGTTGCACACATTTAGGGAGACTTAAAGTTCAGGAGTTTATTCAGTTGAGTCGTAGGCTGTGAATGAAAACTGGATGTGTCCTCATGAGCTACCACCATATTCTCTCTTCTCCCCAAGAGTGTACTCAGCTAAGTGAACAAGATGCCTGGGGGAGAAGGGTACAAAATGGGGGCAGAGTTGCAGAGTCTCACTTAGTAAGTCTGTCGTAGAATCCCTCCCAAGGAAAACCAAAGAGCCGGAACAAAGATAGAATACAAAAATCTATGGCCTTACATGGTGTTCCAGTCATGGACTCTTCGGAATAAACAACAGTGGTATGCCCTAGAAATCAGGCAAGGAATGTCTTCATTTACAGAGAAAACCTCTGGGGAAATCACTCTTCCTATTAAAAATCAAAGAACATCCATGAGTTGGTAATTGCCACAGTCAGCACCATCTCTGGAAACACCGGTGTGGAGACTGATGGATCCAGGACACTAGCAGAAATGCCCAAATGGATTAGGGCCATGAAGCTGCGCTTGCTTTTGTAGTCAAACATGAGAATTGTCCTTACCCCGCCGTAAGTTGTAGAGGAAAGACAGCATTGCTAACATTGACCATTCCTTCCATGCTTAAAGGTAGAAACACTACAAATACTAAGGGAAGGTGCCATTCTGCAGGGAGTATGTTCTTCAAGGGAAAAACTAGTGGAAGAGCAAGAATCTATAGCCATACATCGTTTCAATAGGCCCTTCAGTCACCACTACAGTACACTCTTTAGATACCTCCATGTATAATCTGCAGTCCCACAGTACATTTACAGCAGTGCAGGAAGATAGCCATTATTTGTAGACATAAGAATCAGATTATTTAGAAATTTGTTTCTATAGGCATTCCCCAGTCTTCTTTTCAGAAAAAATTCAGATATCCCTCAAATGATTGGAGTTTGTTTTAGGGAGGAGAAGGTCCTGAAATCTTATGATCCCCATGGGTCAGTGGAAGACAGAAAAATACATAAAGGCTTGAGTAAAGGAGTTGGCATAAAGAAGACCACTGCTAGTTCATGAACCTTCTAAATGTCTGTATTCTATTCACTCTAAACAGGGTCTTGGAAAGGGCCTGTGCACATGAAGGACCCCAAAGTTCAAGCTTCAGAAGCTTTGTAGATCATTCCAATCTGAGAAAAGCCATATGTCAATGTTGTTAGGTTGACTAGTTAAAAAAGCCTTTAATTGCTCAATACAAATGTACAAAGGCATGTTTCAATCAAGAATATGCAAATATAGACAAAAGCTTAGCTAAAAAATAAAGTTAGTAAAAATGTAAGATAAATGCAAACTCTTTTATGTATCATATCATAAACTTCTGTTTCTATGTCTGTTTACTAGAAGTCACAAAAGTTTTTTTTTTATAATATGGAGAGATTTGCTTTGGCAGTTCCAAAGATGGATAAGTAATAGACTTGAAACAATGTACATTTGTTTTTAAAAAATTACATTTGTTAGAGTATTAGAGTATAAAAATGTATTCAACATTTAAAATTGTTTCTAGATGTTTACTCAATAACGTTGTAAAAAATAACCATGTGATTATCAAGTCATTGTCATGTTACATTTAATGCAGCCAGGGAAGAAAAGACAGCAGCATATTCTTCAGATAAAATTAGGAACACAGGTAATAGCAGTCTGCCTTGTAAAGTCACTTGAACACACTTATATTGAAAGAGGCATAAACTAAAAGATCATCTGTAGGACCTGTTATAAACTGTGATAAGGAATTTGTCTCCATACTAAGGGTATTGGAATGCACAGTGTATTGAACACATGGACTGATTTCTGCTCTTTCCCAATGTCCCAACAAAATTACAATAAAGAAGCAGAGAGGAAATTAATACCAAAGGATGGGGAGAATGAAAGAAGAGATGACAATAAACAATAAATGTAAACAAAACTGTGGAATTGGAATGACAAATAGAAAAATAATAGAGTTTGTGAATGAGCAAAGCCAAAATCAGACATGAAGAGGGGACTGTTGTGCAATTTTCACCAGAACAGCTGGAAAATTAGTCCTATTTGAATATGGCATTTTCATGTGCAGAAATTTACATGTATATACATTTTAGTGCATATTCTGCATCAAAGTTTGATCATTCTTCTTCAACTGAATCCTGTGCATTTCTTGCTATTTGATCCTAGGTATTTTATATTGTTCTCATGAATAAGGTCATTCACTCATTTCTCTCTCTCTGTCTCTCTCTCTGTCTGTCTCTTTCCTTTCTTTGTCTTATGCTGTTCCCTATGATGTGCATGTCTTAGGGAAAGTCAATCACATTAAGATTTTATTTCTACCTTTGAAAAGTGAACATAAATGCAAAAAATCCTCAAAGTGCTATTGTAAGTACTAGAAGAGCTAAGGCATCAGAAACATCACTATGCAAGGTAGAAAGGAATAATCCATAAATCTTTAGCTATGTAGCCATGCATGTGTAGAAATATAATATATGATATAGGTAGCAATTGGGTCACTGAAACAAAGTCAGTTATTGAATATTGTTTAGAGACAATTTTGTATCCAATCATTTTTAAAATGAATGTTCTATCTCTGTCACACAGCATGGACTTCCTCACAGCATGTGTCAGGTTCCATAAAGAACAATTTGGAATTGCATGGCATTTCTATGATACAGACTCAAAAGTCACAAAGTATCACTTCTGATATAATCTACTGGTCATGGCAGTAATGCAGTTCTACCCAAGCTCCAAGGGGGTAAAAACAGACCTCATCCCTTCAAGAGAGGATGTCAAGGTACCATTGTAAGAAGAAAACATTAGATGAATGATTCTGTTGTGATCACATTTTAAAAACAATTTCCAAGATGATAAATATGCATACATGTGGACTTCAAAATCAATGAGATAGAATAATAATTTGTGGTTCTTACGCAGAAAAGACAACATCTTTTGTATGACATAGGGAAAGGTTTATGTGTTTAATAAGTGAGTCATTGATTAGTCACTTTAGTGAAATTCCTATCAGCTTACTGACTTTGTACATGATCAGAAAAACATGAGGGTGACATACATTGCTTTGTATTTCTTATAAGTTGTGATTGTACTTCTCTATGAACTGATAGGATGTTTAACTGAAAGCTGAAGAATACACTCTGACATTGTGTGATGAGGCTACAGACACTTGACCTTAGGCTGATGACCAATGCCTTCTATGGCCCCAATCACTGAGGATGGTACACCGGCTCTGGGGCCAGGACACAGGTGACATCTTCATGCAGAAGACTGAAAGTTATGTAAGTGGTATATAGTTTATCCTTTCTTAGACAACTCTCTGATCAGACTCCCTCTTGGATTTCTAGAATTTTAGATCCATTGTGATTAGAAGGATCAAATTTAGTCAATTTAAAAGGGCATACACAAATTTTGTCAATGCTAATATGCCACCCAAGAAAAATGCATGTAGCATGGATTAAGGAAGTACATAGAGGATCTACATTGACAGGGTTTTGTAATTAGAAAAAAAAAGGAATTAATTCCTCTGAGTGTCTTTATATAAATACAAGGGGTAAAGCAGAATACTAGAATATGTTTAAATGGGATTATGATTTCAAACAAACATGTTTACTCAGGAAAATATATTTTCAGTCACCTCAGCTCTTAACGTCTCAGGAAAATTTAACCTTGAAAATATTCTAAGAGAAACTTGCTTTTGTTCTCTGAATCTCATTTCCTTTCACTTTCTTTTAGAGAAATGAATGAATGAAGAGCAAGTAACCAATGGAGCACAGTAGGCAAGAACTCAGCTCTGAGAACTGAATGCCTTCCATTCCACTTACTACCTTTATAGGAACCTAGGCACGCACCTAAGTCACCTCATCTACAAAATTAAGATAATAATAATCACACCTCCCTAATACGATGGTTCTGAAGATTGAATATCATATAGTAAATGCTGAAGAAATGTTTTCTATTATAATCAGCCTTTGCTAGGATAAATGGAAAGAATATAAATAAGCTCAAATAATTGTGAAATATATATATATTAGAGAGCATCAACATCAAATAAAAATGTAAAGATGAAGATCCTACTAATGTAACCAAAGTTTTTAGAAAAGTCCAAGCAACGCTGAATTCTTGAACACGACTGTATTATCAGAATAGTTGGTTTACTCAATGAACACAGTAAGTTGAGGAAGATTCTGTTTTCTGTTCCATTCACAGAGCTTTCACGTCTTCAAAAAGAGGGAGATGTGTGGGTGTGAGGGAGCTGAGGCATGAAACTTTTATCTTATTACAACTGCAGAAGAAAATCCTAAGAGCATTTGAAGCATAAAAGTGTTATGATCTAATTCCTAGGTTTTTAAAAAAATTTTATTATTATTATACTTTAAGTTTTAGGGTACATGTGCACAACGTGCAGGTTTGTTACATATGTATACATGTGCCATGTTGGTGTGCTGCACCCATTAACTCGTCATTTAGCATTAGGTATATCTCCTAATGCTATCCCTCCCTGCTCCCCCACCCCACAACAGTCCCTGGTGTGTGATGTTCCCCTTCCTGTGTCCATGTGTTCTCATTGTTCAATTCCCATCTATGAGTGAGAACATGTGGTGTTTGGTTTTTTGTCCTTGTGATAGTTTGCTGAGAATGATGGTTTCCAGTTTCATCCATGTCCCTACAAAGGACATGAACTCATCATTTTTTATGGCTGCATAGTATTCCATCCTGTATATGTGCCACATTTTCTTAATCCAGTCTATAGTTGTTGTACATTTGGGTTGGTTCCAAGTCTTTGCTATTGTGAATAGTGCTGCAATAAACATACATGTGAATTTGTCTTTATAGCAGCATGATTTATAATCCTTTGGGTATATACCCGGTAATGGGATGGCTGGGTCAAATGGTATTTCTAGTTCTAGAACCCTGAGGAATCACCACACTGACTTCCACAATGGTTGAACTAGTTTACAGTCCCACTAACAGTGTAAAAGTGTTCCTATTTCACCACATCCCCTACAGCACCTGTTGTTTCCTGACTTTTTAATGATTGCCATTCTAACTGGTGTGAGATGGTATCTCATTGTGGTTTTGATTTGCATTTCTCTGATGGCCAGTGATGATGAGCATTTTTTCATGTGTTTTTTGGCTGCATAAATGTCTTCTCTGACTGATATGAGGGGAACGGATATGGGATGTGCTGGGGCAGGAATGTTACCAAGAGCAGCTGAGGATATTAAAGTCCTACAGGAGAGAGTATCACGGCCTGAACTATCACCTTCTAGTAAAGATTATGCAAGTGGTTGTATTTGGGATGAGTGTTGAAAGTGGAGGCAACTCGATTTGCTAAAGGGCAGTGCCTGAAGGGAGTGAGGAGTTTTGAACCACTGAACACTCGACTTAGAAAAGGTTGGGAGCTGTTATGAGAGCTGAATTGCATCTCCTAAAATTTCATAGGTTGAAGACTGTTCCTTCAGGACCTGAGAATGTGAACATGGATATTAGAAGGCAAGTGGAGTGCTAAGGGCTGCAACTCATGTCTAGGTGCCCAAGTTCCTGCTGCAGGACTGCTTGTCTCTTCCACCCACCCTCACTCACAGAGAGTGTCCCTTTCCACATTTCCATCACCTCTTTTTTGTTTTGTCTGGTGAGTGCATAGCTGATATTTATGCTTTCCTGAAAAACTTTACTCATTGCTGACATTGGAGAAGAACAGGGAAAGAGCCTGAAATGAGTGACCTTTAGGGGCATTTCTGTTCTCTTCCTGTACTCTCCTGCCAAGGGGAAGTCTGTCTTGCATCAGGCTGCAGCAACCTTGGTTGGTGACATAAACAGGCAATGTCATCCTTGCCTCTTTGTTGCTCCTTTTCTCTGACATTCCTTTGTTACCTGATGGTCTAACTTAAGCCACCTAGGCAGGATTGCTCATTTCCAGTTCCTATGGAAAACAGGGTCTGTGAGACAAGAGACACAAATCTCAACAATACAGTGGGATCTGCTGGGACCAAACAACTACTCTCTGCCTAAGATAAAACTCATGAAGCTCAGCTAGAACCAATCCACTTTCCATAGAGCCAGAAAGAATTGCCAATTAGTAATGTATTCCCCTTTGAAGTACATCTGTATTTATGCCAGGGAAAATACCAATCTGTCTGGTTCCCTTGCAAGGGCAAAATTATCCATAGCAAAGCCTTTTGTATTAGGAAGTCTCCCTGTACTAATATCCGCAACTCTTCAGAAGGGCCAGACCAGACCCTCATGTGCACAGCACAGGATCCACTCATCCCCAATGGCCAAGAGGCCTGTCTTTAGAATTTACTGTCACATACCCTCTCTACCCCCATCATACCTCCCACCAAGCTGTCCTCAGATTACCACCAGCCATGCACAAAATGTGAAGAATTACACAAGACACATGGAAGGTCTAAGTGGTAAATGGCAGCTGTTGATACTGACTAACCTGTATATTCCACGAACTGATGAGCAGGGATTTACCAGATATAAGAGAAGAACCAGCAGCTAAAAGAAGTGCTAACAGTGCAGGACTCTGAGAGGGCTTTTTGGAAACACAACATTTATTGTGAAATTACACAGACAGGAATGAAAAAAAGAGGTTAGGAGTACTATATCTTATTCTGTAGAAGATTAAATAAAGTAAATCTCACTAAATTCATGGGGAAAAGCCAGCTACATAATAAAAAATACACATAATGAGCTTGACTCAGAAAATAAAATATGAACAAAGAAGTACTAGAAAGAACGTGGGGAGGAATGCATATCAGAATATTGTAGAAAAAATACTCCTTGTGGAAGAAGAATCTGAGAAAACAGGTAACACAAATACTGACTAAACAAAGAAAACCAATACAATGCAACTGAGGGTTTGATGGCGGTATCTGATTATCTCATTTGAATGTAGAATTGTGGCCACTTAATTAACAGTGGTAAGAATTTGATACAATTCCTAAAAGAAATGAAGCAGTGGGTGAATTTTATAGAATATTCTAGAGAAAGGGAAGAGCATGAAGGAAATTTTAGCGACCTGACATTGCATGGCTCCCTCAAAGAACTATGTATTCAGTTTTCTCAGGTCTAGAAATTTCCTGGTGGTTTCTGTGTCTACTTTGCATTAATAACCCCTAAAAATACTTTAGAATACAAAATTTTAGACTTCCTGTGTTGTACAGGACCAAGCCTTGCCTCAGCTGAGTGAGATCCACAGAAACTTGAACAATAGCCCTATCCTGAGCAGGCTGCGGGGCAGCTTTCTGTCATCTATGTGTGCACAGAAGTGTGCTGTCCTCACACATCTCATAGATAGCAGAAACCATCTCTATCACATCAAAAATTGAGCTAAATATGAAAATATCTGTACACACACATCACAAGAGATGGAAATAGGGCATAAAAAGATGCAGAGATATTGACCATTTTCACTGCTGGCTGTAGCATCGCTGCTCACACACACATAAACAGAAATAAATAGCACAGTGGAAAGTGGATGATAGTCTTACCTAAAAGATTGAAACTCTAATGATATCTAAAGTTCAGTGATGACACAGTGCTGATGGCTTGGACACAGTTCCTTCAAAACCATTGTTCAAGTCATAGTTGTACCTTTTGGAAATAAGACACTAACAACATATCCTATCCAACTCATCTCTCTGGGCTAGAGTCTCAAAGAAAAATAAGGGATACACCTGACCTGCAGTGAGCAAAGCAGAAGCCAGTCTCTGAGGTGGTGAGGCCCACCCAGTGTGGAGCTCAAAGGTGCCATTGTTCTTCTCCTCTTTATAAAGGGAGTTGCCACGTTCCTCCCAGCACAGAGTTGGGAGTGACTCCAGAGCCTCCTGCAAGATGCTGTTGATTCTGCTGTCAGTGGCCTTGCTGGCCCTGAGCTCAGCTCAGAACTTAAATGAAGGTAAAACAGAAGAGGGAAAAGATGTGGTGACTCTGCTTGGGGCTTAGGAGGTGATAATGGTAATTACGGGGAGGAGAGGAGAATGAAAACACAGATGGGGCTGCAGAGTTTTCATGCCTAGGATCAGGAGACCTGTTGTACCCTCATTCCACACTAAGGGTTTCTAATTTATTTAATGTACAATGAAATCCAATAAAGAATTTGTTCCAGGGGAATGAGAAGGTAAGATTTGCATTTATAGATAGAACTGTGCTGTGAAGGATGCAGTAGAGAATGCAAGGCAGATTCATGGAAGTCCAGCTGTGAAGATCCTAAACTGATCTCAGTAAGTACACAGGGATGATGGTGGCCTTGCTGTACAGTGCATCAGCATCGATGATGGCGATAAACACACACAGTATCAGAGATACTGCAGAGACAGAGAATTGGATGGAACACTTGTCTCTGTTTAACTAGAGATACAGAAATATCAGAGCCAATCATTGTCATTTTTCTCTCCCTTACACGCAGTATTTCAATGTGCTGGGAGTGGTATGGGTAAGATTGTATTGAAGTGATTACTTCTGGTTACCCCAATTGAGAAAGCATGTGTACATAAGCAATGTATTTATAGGAAATGGAGGGCATAAGAACACCAAAGTATCACATTGAAGTACCTGGCATGTGTGAACTAAATTAGCATTAAGTCTTGAGGGATGCTAGGGAGGGAAAAAAGGGGCTCTTCTATGTTGAGTTCATGGCTGTTGCTCTGTCATAACAACCCTGTCTCCCCTTACACCTTCCTCCCCTTCCAGCAGCTTCACAGATGGTGGCTGACTAGTTAACTTAGGGGATGCATGGGGTGTCATGAGAAGACCCTTTTCCCTGTAGAACACTTGTGAGTCTTGAAAGGTTCAAGATGTAACTTTTCCCATCATCCTGTGCTTCTCTTCTAGATGTCAGCCAGGAAGAATCTCCCTCCCTAATAGCAGGTAAAGCCTGATTCGTTCTCAATCTGTTTTGACTGTCTTTTTCTGCTTATGAGTGGATCAGTTCTCCAGTGTCTTCTTATCAAAACTTTCCTTTCAGGAGTTGATTAATGTTAGTGCCCCTAACAATATAGGCACTCTTCGTGCAACCTTGATTCTGGGCATCATGAGCAGGCCACCAAATTGAATGGCAGAGATGCTTGGCTTAGATGACAACAGGAGTGTGTTGCCTCATCCCCCCGGCCAGGAATGCCTGCTGGGAGATGACAGAAATGGGCAGCATCCTCATTCTGTCTCCTCTTTATACTGAGAGGCCCTCAACTGCTTTGTTCTTCCCCAGCTTTCCACTCCAGAGTTCTATGTCTTCACTGAAAATGCAAATAAATTAATGTCTTTGTTCCATTTTTGTGTATTTCCCCACTCAGCTTGTTACCCAAGCTGATAAAAATTTACTGCAACTATTCAGTGAATCTTGTGTGGGCTTTTACTCTGTCTTTCTCTTCTCTCTTTGTCCTCCAGGAAATCCACAAGGACCATCCCCACAAGGAGGCAACAAGCCCCAGGGCCCCCCACCTCCTCCAGGAAAGCCACAAGGACCACCCCCACAAGGAGGCAACAAACCTCAAGGTCCCCCACCTCCAGGAAAGCCACAAGGACCACCCCCACAAGGGGACAAGTCCCGAAGTCCCCGATCTCCTCCAGGAAAACCACAAGGACCACCCCCACAAGGAGGTAACCAGCCCCAAGGTCCCCCACCTCCTCCAGGAAAGCCACAAGGACCACCCCCACAAGGAGGCAACAGACCTCAAGGTCCCCCACCTCCAGGAAAGCCACAAGGACCACCCCCACAAGGAGACAAGTCCCGAAGTCCCTGATCTCCTCCAGGAAAGCCACAAGGACCACCCCCACAAGGAGGTAACCAACCCCAAGGTCCCCCACCTCCTCCAGGAAAGCCACAAGGACCACCCCCACAAGGAGGCAAGAAACCTCAGGGTCCCCCACCTCCAGGAAAGCCACAAGGACCACCCCCACAAGGAGACAAGTCCCGAAGTTCCCAATCTCCTCCAGGAAAGCCACAAGGACCACCCCCACAAGGAGGCAACCAGCCCCAAGGTCCCCCACCTCCTCCAGGAAAGCCACAAGGACCACCCCCACAAGGAGGCAACAAACCTCAAGGTCCCCCACCTCCAGGAAAGCCACAAGGACCACCCGCACAAGGAGGCAGCAAGTCCCAAAGTGCCCGATCTCCTCCAGGAAAGCCACAAGGACCACCCCAACAAGAAGGCAACAATCCTCAAGGTCCCCCACCTCCAGCAGGAGGCAATCCCCAGCAGCCTCAGGCACCTCCTGCTGGACAGCCCCAGGGACCACCACGCCCTCCTCAAGGGGGCAGACCTTCCAGACCTCCCCAGTGACAGCCTCCCCAGTCATCTAGGATTCAATGACAGGTATGATTCCAGTTTATTCTTCACCAAGTGCTCTAATTGCTACAGCTCTCCAGCTTTATTGTGCCAATGAATCAGCTAAAAGCCCATTGGCATTGTATAGTCCCAGATCCCATTTCTAAAGATTTGTATTGACATATTCTGGAAATGGGTAACAAGATCCTATATTTGTAACAAACTCTTTAAGGAATTCTGATGTTGAGAAACAAAATTCCAAATAATCTGTCTTAAGTTGTGTTGGCAACAAGGAAGTAGTACCATGTTCTCTCTGGCGCTCTGTTTTCTGTGCACAAACTGAGAGACCTCCCATTTAAAGTTTTCACCTGAGCACTGTTTGCTCAGTCCTGCCTCACACCAGCCTCTTGAGTCCAGTATTCCTGCCAAGTGGTCCCTGAACTTTCAGCAGCTAAATGGTGTCTCATTTTTCAAATTCTTACTGTTCAATAAGTACATGATTAAGCTAACAAAAAATATCTAATGCAATGGAAAAATATGAATCTAAATTTAAAGGCATGACTCATCCTACCTGCCTCCCCTCCTTCAGAAAACTGCCACTGTTAACTTTATGGCATCTTCTGTTTGAAATATTTATGTGTACATAGACTACTAGAATATTTTTCCCCCAGAACTAATACCATAATTTATATTCAGGTACATATGTTAGTCATTTAAAAAATACATTTCTTTGAAAATTTCCACATACGTCTATGAAGCTAAGTAGATCTCTTCAGTGGTTATCTGTTTGTTTTTACCATTTTATACTACTCCATTATGTGGCTGCACCGTGATTTCTTTAACCAATCTGTGTCACTGGACACTGAGGGTGGTTTCAGCTTCTCACTGTTATAAAATATGTTCCAGTTCCCATCTGTGTAAATATATCTGTGAACAAATTCAGCAGCAAGTAATAATAAGCTAAGAATGATCTTCTGTCTTCATCACGTAAGGAACAATTTGGAGCACATTTTGTGCAAGGGCATCCAAAGAGTGAACACACAAAAAATTAGGGAGGAAACACAGGAGGTAGAAGGGATGGGGGAGAGAGGATGGGCTCTCATGTACTGTAGTGCAGTAAGACCAGTGAGGAATTCGACATTTCCTGCCATGTCAAGTCTGGTCTATGAACTTCCTTCTTTGTTTGTTTCAGGAAGTGAATAAGAAGATGAGAGTGATTCAAATGATTCAAATTCCATGACATTGGAAAAAGGTCATCATAGCTCTAACTTCAATATACCAATAAAATAATCAGCTTGCAATTTCTGATTGTGGTGTCTGTTTCTCAATATTTGTGAATGTGGGATCTGAGGACCAAGAAGACTGTATAAGAACATGTAGGAACCCTCCTCCTTGATGCTCCAGGAAACTTCTCTCCTCCTTAATCCTAATTTACCCAGGTGCCATGAAAAAATATTTTACTGTTTCTCTACTTCCCTGACTTCTATTTCCCCCCCCACCCAAGATGGAGTCTTGGTCTATCACCCAGGCTGGAGTGCAGTGGCAGGATCTCGGCTCACTGCCCCCTGCATCTCCTGGGTTCAAGCTATTCTCCTGCCTCAGCCTTCCAAGTATCTGAGATCATAGGTGCTCACCATCATGCTTGGCTAATTTTTGTATTTTTAGTAGAAATGAGGTTTCCCCATGTTGGCCAGGCTGGTCTCCATCCCCTGACCTCTGGTGGTCTGCTTGCCTCGGCCTCTGAAATTGCTGGGTTTATAGGTGTGAGCCACCATGCCTGGCCCTTCCCTGACTTCTATAGCATAAATTGAAATTTTAAAATTATTTTCAGATTGTTTACTGATATTCCAGTGATCTTAAGGACAAAAAACACAACAAATGCAACAAAGTCACAGAAGCTGAATGAAATCCTTATAATTTCTAAGAAACTGAGTTTGGTTTCAAGGGAATGAATATGGCTCTATGCTTCTTATCCCCAGAACCCTGTCTATCTCATTGACCCTATTTTAACAGTGATCACTTCTCTCCCTTCCTGTGTTACTCACCATTCTTTAATGGAACTTGAATGGATTTCATGAAGGAGGCAGCACGATTTTAAGGAGCAAAGAATTTGGACACTCTCAGGTTTTAATTAAGACCTAATTCTTTTTCTTAATATCTCTGGATTCTTAAAAGGCTACTTGGCTTCTCAGGGCTTCAATTTCCTCATCTAAAATGAGCATAATCATAACAACTACCTTAGAGTATGGAGACTAATGAGATAACATACATACCAAAAACCTTGCAGAGACTGGCATGTCTGCTTCTCAAGCAAGGAAGGTTCAATATTAGAAACTGCCTCTCTGCCCACTGATAGTCTCAGATAATTCAGTAAGAAGTCAGAAAAATCAGAACAGAATGATCTCACCATAACCACCACTAAGTTGAGCAACCCATGTTCAGTTGAAACCCAGGTCTCTGGCTTCCCTCCTATTATCATAGGTGAAGCCTTCCTACCCCTATATCTTAACTTCCCACTTTATTCTGAACCACATTGCGTGGTCAGGGATTTTGCCTCTGCATGTGACCCGTTTGTCTCCTGATTCTTACATCTATGCTCTATGGGATTATTTCAATCAGCAAAAGCCTGCTGAAACATCACCCATTTCTATAGAAGTCTTCCTAAGACTGTTAGTGCTTCTTTCCTATCATATTATTTGTCTGCCATTTTTATTGGAAAAGTTCTTGAAACGTATGTATGTGATTATTTCCCCATCCCCCCACCTCCAAATTTTTCTTATGCACACGTTATAGATGCTTTTGTTCTGCCTAGTCACCTGGAAATCACAAAGATATCTATAGCGAACTTTATTGTATTAGGAAATCTTTCTGTAATACATTGGGTCCTAAAAAGATCATGAAAAATGCATATTGCATTTAAAAAGCTCTGCATGGATTCCAAAATTTTTCGAACCAAAATGAACTCAGACGGTATTGTCACAACATGTGTGAACAGGATCTACCTCGCAGCATCAAGAAGTCTAAGACAGTATTTTGAAAAGAGCCTCTATGACAGCAACATGTACTCTGATCAAACTATAGTGACTGCAAACATCTAATTTATGGTGAAGCCTGGGTAGAAGAATGGTGAAATAATTGATGCTTTTCAAAAAGTTTAAGAGGCCAATGGCCAAGAAAATCAGAAGCTCACAGATAGATAACTCACTTTAAGCAGGGATGATATGATTTTGAACATAAAGCCTACAGCGGCTGACCACTCATATTAATTTGCAAAGAAAAAATTCATCTTGTTGATACCATAATATAAGAGGATTAGTGATTAACAGTACAAACAATAGCCAACACTGCAGACTTCTCCATTGGTTCAGCTGACATGATTCTAACTGGATAATGAAAGTAGAGGATACATTTCCACCCGATGGATGTCAAAACTCTTGCACCAAGATCAGCTACAAACAAGAACTGAAGTTTCTTGAAAATTCAAAAAAATGGTATCAAGATCCTGAAGAATTTGTTCAAAGAATTGTAACAGGAATTGAAACATGGCTTGATCTGTACAATCTGCAACCAAACACAATCAAAGTAATGGCTACGGAGAGGTGGAAGTTAAAGCAAGAGTGGATGGGCAAAGGGCAAACGTCAGGGCAAAATTTATTTTTAAATCTCTCGGTGTTTTGCTTGTTGACTTTCTGGAGGGCCAAAGAATGACAATAACTGCTTATTATGACAATATTCTGAGATGCAGTCAGCTATAAAATCTAACATGGAAGTTAAAGGCAATCTCTTTTCTCCCTGTTGTTGTTGTTAAGTTGTTAACTTAGAAAATGAAGCAATATTTTTTTATTAGCCATGAGTGTCCACCTGGTATCTCCTATTTTCTAAGAAGGTTCTGAGCTATAGCACAAGTTCACCACTAAATTACAGAAGATGGAATAATTTTAGAAATCTAGAGAAGCATAGGATATTTCCAAAGGAGGCATAGATCCTGGCTGAGGGGAGGAAATTGTTTAAGGATGAGGGAAGGACAATTATTAGCTGTTCTCCATTGAATATGGGCTCAACAATTATTCATTGGAATGAAATTTTGAGAGTGGTTTTTACTTTATGAGGAAAGATGTTGCTTAATTGCCCTGTGTTAATAGCCATGATAATTTCATTCCTCTCTAATATTTTATAAAGTGGCACAAACACATTAGAGCGGCCACAAAAAAGTATGAAATGAATGTTTGGAAAGTATATTAGCTTTCCTATTGCTGCAATAAATAATACATTACCGCAAAGTGAGTGGATTTGTAGCTCAGAAGTCAGAAATGGGTCTCACTGGCTTAAATCCATGTGGAAAGGCTGTTTCATGCTGGAGTCTCCAGGGCAGAACCCATTTACTTGCCCACATTCCTTGGCCCTCTTCCATCTTCAATGCCAGCAGTAGCCAGATAAGCCTCCCATCACATCACATCACATCATGACACATCACGCCACGTCACGTCACGTCACGTCACGTCACGTCACGTCACGTCACATCACATCACCCTGGCACTGACTCTTCTGCCTCCCCATTCAACATTTAAGTATGTTGTGATTACATTGCTTGTACTTGGATGATCCCATAAAGTCTCTCTATATTCAGGTCAATTGATTAGCAAACTTAGTACCCCTTTGTCATGTAAGTTAACATATACACTGATTCTGGGAACTAGGAAGGGTGTGTCTCTGGGAGGCCATTAATCTTCATAGCACAGATGGGACGGACATCTTTCTCCCCTGGAACTGGTTTGATTCAGGGCAGGTGGAGAGAATTGCCCAGGCATCTTCCAGATGTTCGCATGAGAATATGAATGAGTTTATGTAAAATTAGTTGTAATGCTAATATTTGTACTTGAAGTATATATATATACAATAGTGTAAGTCACAAACTGAAATGGCAGAAATTTACTTTCAATAACCATTTTCATTTCATGTAATTGTTAATAATTTACAGCCATTTTGTTTACTTTATATTTATACTCATTTTGATTGTTTTCTTTCTTTCTATCTTCTGTGGATTCCTTGAAAAGGTTTTTTGATTCCATTTACGTTGATCTGCAATGTTTTTGAGTGTCATTCTGTATACAGCATTTTTAGTGGTTGCTCTGGGTATTACATTACACATACATAGTTTGTCACAGTCTAGTGGTGTGCTCTTTTTACCCTCCGGGGGCGAAATATGAAAACTTTATATCCCTGTTATTTACCGACCTCTGTTTGTAATATAATCATCTTAAATATATCTCTACGTGCATTTAGCAAAAACAGTACGTTTTATAATTTTTGCTTCAACATGACATTATTGTCTTTCAGTTTTGTAGCTCAGGATTCTGAATCGGGTCTCACTTGGTTAAATCCATGTGTCAAGGCTGAGTTTATTTCTAGGGGCACCAGAGAAGAATGTTATTTTTTGCCTCATTCCCTAGATCTCTTTCCTCCTTAATATTAGCAATAGCCAGTTGAGCAATTTGAAACTCCTGCAGAAAATTTGAGAAAAAAAGGAAAATGTTTTGTGTTTACTTACTTTTTCCCCATTTTCTGTTGCTTTTTTTCTTTTCTTTTTTTGCTTCATTCTTGCTGTTCCAGAAATTCCTCTTCTATACTTTTTTTCTGTTTAGAGTACTTGCTTGAGCCATTTTAAAAAAATTGGTTTGTTGGAAACAAATTCTGTTAGGATTTTTCTTTTCATTCTTCTGAGAATGACTGGATTTCTTTCTCCTTATTGAAGGATAGTTTTATTGGACATAAACCTCTGGTTGGCAATTTTTTTCTTTCAGCACTTCAAATATTTGAGCTACATTCTTCTGTTGTTTTCTGCTTTCTGGTAGTAACGCCACAGATATTCACATTGTGTTTTTCCTATACGCATGGTATTATTTCTTTCTATCTGCCTTTAAAACATTTTCTTTGTTTTAATTTTCAGAAATTTGACTACAATGTTGCTGGGCATAGATTTCCTTGGATATATTTTGGTTGGGATTTGCTCAATTTCTTGCATCTGCAGGTTTATGCCCATTGCAAGTTTGGGGGGTTCAGCCTTTCTCTTTGAGTCCTTTTTCAATACCATCCTCGTTTTTCTCTTTTTCTGAAACTCAGACTGCATGATTATCACATCATTTGTTACAGCCTTTCTTATTTGTGACACAAACAAAATTTTTTTTGACTATTTAATCCTGTGTTGTTCAGAGTATATAATTCCTATTAATGCAAACTCAAGAACGCTATGTCCTCCATCATTTTCTTTCTGCTGTTGATCACACATAATGAATTTTAAAAAATTTATACATTATATATCACAGTTCTAAAATTTCTATTTTATCTTATATGCTTTATTTTTCTCTGCTGAGAAGTTTTTTCTTTTATTTTGAGAGTGTACACATTGACCTCTTAAAGGATGGCTATAACAGCTGCTTTAAAGTCTCATCATTTCAATATCCAATTTGCTTCGAAGTTGTTGTCTCTTGATTGTTTCATTCCTTAATAATTGTTCAATTGTTTCTGGTTTTTTAAAGTATATTGGGTGATTTTCTATTTTGTCTTGCACATATGCATTTCCTCTGTTTGCAATACAGAAAAGTTTCAAAAAGGCAAGCTTTGGACATTGGAGGGAAGAGACACTAGTGCTACATTGTAATCCACTGGGTGGTTCAAATGCCAGAAGGGTTTGTCCCACTAACATTTTTCTACTTGGAGCTTGTGCCTGGAGGTTTCTCTCTGTCTCTAATGAGGTAATGTTATAAATATTTAATATCATACCATACATTCAAATGTAAAAACTACAAAAAACTGTGCGAATGTGTCCCAAGAGCCCAATTTACAAAGTCTTTCTGTCTTTTTTCTTTTGTGTACTGTTGACTCAAACCACATCAGTTGGTCAGGTACTTCTTTTTTCTTTTCTTCCTACAGGAACACCAGAGGTTGACACCTGCTTATTAGAAGCTATCACAGTAGTCAGGTGGCTCTGCTGTCTTCTGATTGGGGATTGACGGAGTGCAGGACAATGAGGCTTAGGTAAAAAGAATATCTACTAGCCTGGCATGGTGGCTCATGCCTCTAATTCCACTACTTTTGAAGGCTGAGGTGTGAGAACTTCTTGATGCCAAGAATCCCAGATCAGCTTGGGCAACATAGTAAGACCCTCTGTCTTTACAAAAAATTACCAATTTATCGTATCTCAGTGGGTGTGCCTGTAGTCCTAGCGACTTAGGATGGTTAGATGGAAGGATTACTTGAGCCCAGGAGATTGAGGCTGCAGTGAGCCAGGATTGTGCCACTGCACTCTAGCTTAAGCTATAGAGCAAGTCCCAGTATTTAAAAAGAAAAAGAAAAAAAAGAATGACTAGAGCTACCAAAAAGGCTTTTCTTCCTTAGCTTTTTCCCAGATTCACCGTTCTTTAAAGTGCATCTCCCAGTGTCTAGAGAGGACACAGATTTGGTTTCTCTTCCTTTCTTTCTTCTCACATGCTCCTGTGGCTACATCCTGTGGCTCTCGGTATGCCTTCCCCACTCTCAAAGAACCAAGTACAGTGGTGGTTTGAGCAGTTATAAGCAATTTGAGTCCTTACCCTACTTGATATCTTGCAATATGTTGGGATGAGTGTATAGGACCTTTGGTCCTCCTTGGGTCAGTGAGATCTCAGGCCCAGCCTGAATGCTTAACAGAATTGAGATCGGAGTAGGGGAAAAGAAGTAATAAAGGAGATATGGACTAAGTGTCTTCATGCAAGTAAGCAAGACACATTTGCTTTCAAATTCAAGTAGTGCAGACACTGCTCAAGGCTCAGCTGAATAAACATCAGAATTATACATTTCCCCAATGAACTGTAACAGCTTTGGGGGATCTTTGATCTTTCTATCTCTTGTTATCTGTGGAAGAGAGTCAAAATTAAAGTCTCATTTGTGAAGTGTGTTTTAATTCTAACACCTGATACTCAGGTTTCAACCATTTCCCAATCCCAATCATTAATGAGCAACATAAAGGGAGAATATTGAGAATATTTATTGACCAATCTTCATACGTTTTTGTCAGCATGGCCGGTATTTGTATGTCTTTTTTACATTATTAACTGAAGAATACTGGATGCCCTTTACAGACATTATGACATCATGAAATGAAAAGAAAACCAAGGGAACCAAATTAGGATTGTAATGTGAATCATTAATGATTTTCCATCAGAACTCTCACACAATGGCCCTGTTTGATGAGAGAAATGAGCAGGAGCACTGTTGTGGTGAAGGACTCTGCTGAAGCTTCCCCAGGCATTTCTCTACTAAAGCTTGGGCTTTCTGACCCTATTCTCAGAATAAGCAGATATTGTCATTCTTTTGCCCTCCAGAAAGTCAACCAGCAAAATGCCTCGTGCTTCCCAATAAACTCTTGCCATGACATGACCTTTGCACTTTTCTTATCCACTTTTGCCTTGACTGGACTTTCCACCTCTTGATAGCTATTGCTTTGACGTATTTGTTTTCAGGATTGTACTGGTAAAGACAGGTTGCATCTCCTGTTAGAATTCCTTGAAGAAATGCTTCAAGATCTTCATCCCCCTTATTTAAAATTTCATGGAAAGGTCTGCTCCTGTCTGTAGCTTATATTTTTGCTATAGTTTTGGCATCCATTGAGTGAAAAATTTACTCAACATTAATTACTCAATTCGAATCAGGTAAGGGGAACCAATTGAGAATTTTGTAGTGTTGGCTCTTGTTTGTACCGAGAATTATTGGTACAAAAATTCATCTTGTACCAATTTTATCCATGCAATTTGATATGAATCCTCTGTGTCTATGGGCTTTAGGTTCAACCTTGTCTTATCCCTTCTTGAAATGAGTTACCTACTTGTGAACTGCCAATTTTTAGGGCCATTATCCCTACCAGTGTTTCAGAAAGCATCATTGATTTCACCTTCTTGTACCCAAGCTTCACCATGAAGTTCACGTTTATACTCTTTTTAATTTTAGAAGAATTCATGATGCTCTCATAGGGGAACTTTTGAACTTGCTCTTATTTTTCTTGATGACTCAAGTAGCTCCTGTTCAGACATGTTAGAGCATGTCAATATGAGTTTATTTTGGTGCAAAAATTGGAATCTATTCTTTTTTAAATATAACATACTTTTTCCATGAACATTTTACAGTCCCAATGCATTACAGAAAGGCTTTCTAATACAATAAAATTTGCTACACATAAATTTGATTTTTCCAGGTGACTCGGTACATTGATTTTTTGTTTTTTTCCTGGCATATACAGGGTGAGGAATTCTTTTTGTTTGGATTTCTTGTGAGATATGAATAAAAATGTTGGTCACTTTAAATGGTATCCACAGTTTAGCCAATGTCTCCTGAGAAAAGTGTGTGTAAGCATGCATAAAAAGCACTTCATGATCCTGATTGCCAGTGATTTTTTCATTTATAAAAAAGAAGAAAGTGGCTGGGGGTGGTGGCTCATGCCTGTAATCCCAGCACTTTGGGAGGCTAAGGCGGGTGTATCACGAGGTCAGGAGTTCAAGATCAGCTAGGCCAAGATGGTGAAACCTGTCTCTGCTAAAACTAAAAAAATGAGCCAGGCCTAGTGACAGGTGCCTGTAATCCAAGCTACTTAGGAGGCTGAGGCAAGAGAATCGCTTGAAACCAGGTGGCAGAAGTTGCAGTGAACAGAGACTGTGCCACTGCACTGCAGCCTGGGTGACAGAGGGAGACTTCAGAAAAAAAAAAAAAAAAAAGAAGAAGAAGAAATTAATCATGTGCATGACTAAATACACAAAGATGAAGAAAAGGGGAATGTAGAAGCCTGTGTAATGTGCTTATGATTTAGAAACAACTTTAAGAAAATAGTTTTGTTTGTTTTTTTTTTTCACTTCACCTGGTCATGTCTTAAGAAAAGCTTTACTTCAAGCAGGTCCTAAAACCAGTACCTGAGTTTCTTGTCTGGATCTAATTTCTTCTCACTTTCTTGAAAATAAACAAATATGTTCATAAATGCAAAGAGCAGTGGAGCAAAGGAGGCAAGAACTGAGGCTCTGGAGACTACCGCCATCTACACCACTTACTAACTTTATAACTATCTTGGCATGTGCTTCCATCATCTCATCTATAAAATGAAGCTTGTAATAAAAATTATTACTACCTGAAAAGATGGTTCTGAAGATTATATGGCACATAGTCAATGCTTGGTAAATATTTCCTATTATAGTCTATCATGTTACAATAGGCTTGTAGAATATGAATGTGCTAATATAATTGTGAAAGTTATGTTTATGAAGACTCTACTGTAAGTCAGCATATGAGAACCACTATCATAATAGGGTAGCCAGAATTTTTAGAAAAACCTAAGCAAAGTACACTTCTCAGAGACAATTGTGTTGAATTGTTAACTGTATCATCATAATGCTTAGTTGATTAAATGGGCACACAGAGGAACTCCCCTCAGACCACAGGGACTAAATGCAATTCACTCACTATCAGCACAACTCTGTCCATGTTCAACTTCTGGGCAAACCACTCTTTAGTTGTTCTAGACAAACCAGCGCATTGTAAAGTTGAAGAAAATTCTTCTTTCAGTTCCATGCATAGAGCTTCCCAGTCTTTGAGAATGACACGTGAGTACGAAGAAACTTAGGTGTGAACTTTACAAGATCTTACTAAAAGGAAAATCAGGAAAACTTAGAGGATATGAAGGAAGAAGGTAATATTTAATATTTATTATTAAAAGATCACACTGGCTATTGTGAGGAGAAGTGATATGGAATGTGGTGGGAGCAGGAAGGTTACAAGGGCAGCTAGGGGCTGTTCTAGTCCTCCAGGAGAGAGGGTCATGCCCCCACTAGAGCCTTATATTAGAGATTATGGAAAGGGTCATCTTGGGATGTGTTTTATAGTGGAGCCCACTGTATTTGCTTATATGCAGTGCTTGGTGTGGAGTGAAAAGTAAAAAGTGACTCCTATGTTCTTGAGAACTCTGTAAAAAATGTTATTGTTTTAGTAAAGATTAGGAGGTATCATGGGCTGCATTGTTTTTACCCAAATTTGTATGTTGAAATCCTATCCCTGTACCTCAGAATATGATTGTGTTTGGAAAGAATTTCTTTTTATAGAGGTACCTAAATGAAAATTAGGCTATTAAGATGGTCCCAATCTAATCAGACTCCTGTTGTTATAAGAAAGGAACTTTTGGTCACATGGAGGGACACCAGGGGTGCATGTGTACAGAGAAACCCATGTGTGAAGACAAAACAAAAAAATAGCCAAGTCAAAGGGAAGAAGAGACATCTTAGAAGAACTGAACCTGTTAACACCTTGATCATGGGCTGTGAGTCCCCAGAACTGTGAGAAAATCAATTTCTGTTGTTAAATTACACAATGTGTGGTATTTTTTCAGGAGAGACATAACAAATTATGTCAGGGGAGAGCAGTTTTAAGACGCAGAAATCAAGACTCTTGTTTGAGACAATATATGTTTGCATCCATACTAGAAGGCAAGTGGATTGTTGAGAGCTTCAGCTGACTGAAACATGCCTGAGCTCTTGCTGCAGACCTGCTCCTTTCTTTGACCCACCCTCACTCACTGATAGAGTCTCTTTCGGCTCTTCTGTCACCTCCGTTTATTTGTATGTGAAGAGTTCATAGCTGATATTTATTCTTCCCTAATACACTAATCTCTTTCACTCATTGCTGACCTAGGAAAATGTCAGAGAAAGGGCCTGAGCTGAGTGATATTTGAAGGCAATGCCTCCTGTCTTCCTGTACTCACCAAGCCAAGGCAGAGTCTTTCTTTCACCAGGACTACCACTTCTACAGCAACCTATGCAATGAGGGAAGGCTGCAAAGCACTCCCGTCTGCTCCTTCCCTCTGATCATCCTTTCCTACTTGAAGGTCTACTGTAAGTCACTAGGCAGGACCATTTATCTCCAGTTTCTCTGTCCAAATGGAGTGTGTAGAAACCAATGACCATCATTCCAATAACATTAGCATGCCTGCTAGGCCAAGCAAATACTCTATGTCCCCCATAAAGCATATAAAGTCAAACTGCAACTGTTTTATTATTGGATAGCCAAAGAAGAATTTCTAACTGGTAATATATTTCCTCTTTAGCAAACATCCCTAATATTCTAGAGGAGTGGGGGAGGAAAACAACAATCTGCCTGATCACCAGCCGATGGCAGAGAAATCTGCAACAAACTTCATTGTATGAGGAGGCCTTCCAATAATATAAGGGGTATCCAAACTGTTTTTGGAAAATACATATTATTTTTTAAAAGTTTGCATTGATATAAACATTTTTTGTACAAAAGTACATTTGTACTAACTTGTTACATGTCTGAACAAGATCTAGTTCAGTTACTAACATGATTGAGAAAGCAGTTTGAAAACAGCTTCTATCAGAGCAACAAAAATTCCACTAAAATTTTAGGAAGAACAAATATCAAGTTTATGGTGAAGCTTGGGTGGAGAGATGGTGACATCACTGATGCATTAGGAAATATTTGTGGCCAAGTAAATCGGACCTTCACAAATGGATAACTCACTTTAAGAAGCAATGAGAGGAGATCCTTCCAAGATGGCCGAATAGGAACAACTCCAGTCTACAGCTCCCAGTGTGAGTGACGCAGAAGACAGGTGATTTCTGCATTTCCAACTAAGGCACCAAGTTCATCTCACTGGGACTGGTTAGACAGTGGGTGCAGCCCATAGAGTGTGAGCTGAAGCAGGGCGGGGCATTGCCTCACCAGGGAAGTGCAAGGGGTCAGGGAATTCCCTTTCCTAGCCAAGGGAAGCCATGAGAGACAGTACCTGGAAAATTGGGACACTATTGCCCTAATACTGCGCTTTTACATGGTCTTAGCCAACGGCACACCAGGAGATTATATCTTGTGTCTGGCTCAGTGGGTCCCATGCCCACAGAGCCTTGCTCACTGCTAGCACAGCAGTCCTAGATCAAACTGGGAGGTGGCAGTGAGGCTGGGGGATGGGCAGCCACCATTGCTGAGGCTTGACTAGGTAAACAAAGAGGCTCGGAAGCTCAAACGGGGTGGAGCCCACTGCAGCTCAATGAGGCCTGCCTGCCTCTGTAGACTCCACTTCTGGGAGCAAGGCACAGGTGAACAAAAGGCAGGAGAAACTTCTGAAGTCTTAAATGTCCCTGTCTGACAGCTTTGAAGAGAGTAGTTGTTCTCCCAGCACAGAGTTCGAGGGCTCAGAATGGACACATTGCCTCCTCCAGTGGGTCCCTGACCACCGAGTAGCCTAACTGGGAGACATCTCCCAGTAGGGGCCGACTGACACTTCATACAACCAGGTGCCCATCTGGGACAAAGCTTCCAGTGGAAGGATCAGGCAGCAACATTTGCTGTTCTGCAATATTTGCTGCTCTGCAGCCTCTGCTGGTGATACCCAGGCAAACAGGGTCTGGAGTGGACCTCCATCAAACTCCAGTAGAACTGCAGCTCAGGGTCCTGACTGTGAGAAGGAAAACTAACAAACAGAATGGAATAGCATCAACATCAACAAAAACAACATCTGCACCAAAACCCCATCTGTACATCACCATCATCAAAGACCAAAGGTAGATAAAACCACAAAGATGGGGAGAAACCAGAGAAGAAAAGCTGAAAATTCTAAAAACCGAGCATCTCTTCTCCTCCAAAGGATCGCAGCTCCTTGCCAGCAATGGAACAAAGCTGGACAGAAAATGACTTTGACAAGTTGACAGAAGTAGGCTTCAGAAGAATGGTAATAACAAACTTCCCTGAGCTAAAGGAGGATGTTTGAACCCATCACAATGAAGCTAAAAACCTTGAAAAAAGATGAGAAGAATGGCTACCTAGAATAAACAGCATAGAGAAGACCTTAAATGAACTGATGGAGCTGAAAACCATGGCACGAGAACTACATGACACATCCACAAGCTTCAGTGGCTGATTTGATCAAGTGGAAGAAAGGTTATCAGTGATGGAAGACCAAATGGAAGAAATGAAGTGAGAAGAAAGCTTAGAGAAAAAAGAGTAAAAAGAAACAAAGCCTCCAAGAAATATGGGACTATGTGAAAAGACCAAATCTACATTTGATTGGTGTATCCGAAAGTGATGGGGAGAATGGAACCAAGTTGAAAAACACTCTGCAGGATATTATCCAGGAGAACTTCCTCAACATAGTAAGGCAGGCCAATATTCAAATTCAGGAAATACAGAGAACGCCACAGAGATACCCCTCGAGAAGAGCAACCCCAAGACACATAATTGTCAGATTCACCAAGGTTGAAATGAAAGAAAAAATGTTAAGGGCAGCCAGAGAGAAAGGTCAGGTTACCCACAAAGGGAAGCCCATCAGACTAACAGCTGATCTCTCGGCAGGAATTCTACAAGCCAGAAGAGAGTGGGGACCAATATTCAACATTCTTAAAGAGAAGGATTTTCAACCCAGAATTTCATATCCAGCCAAACTAAGCTTCATAAGTGAAGGAGAAATAAAATCCTTTACAGGCAAGCAAATGCTGAGAGATTTTGTCACCACCAGGCTTGCCTTACAAGAGCTCTTGAAGGAAGCACTAAACATGGAAAGGAACAACCGGTACCAGCAACAGCAAAAACATGCCAAATTGTAAAGACTATCATTACCAGGAAGAAACTGCATCAACTAATGTGCAAAATAACCAGCTAACATCATAATGACAGGATCAAATTCACACATAACAATATTAACCTTAAATGTAAATGGGATAAATGCTGCAATTAAAAGACACAGACTGGCAAATTGGATAGAGTCAAGACCCATCAATGTGCTGTATTCAGGAGACCCATCTCATGTGCAGACACACATAGGTTCAAAATAAAGGGATGGAGGAAGATCTACCAAGTAAATGGAAAACAAAAAACGCAGGGGTTGCAATCCTAGTCTCTGATAAAACAGACTTTAACCAACAAAGATCAAAAGAAACAAAGAAGGCCATTACATAATGGTAAAGGGATCAATTCAACAAGAAGAGCTAACTATCTTAAATATGTATGCACCCAATACAGGAGCACTCAGATTCATAAAGCAAGTCCTTAGAGACCTACAAAGAGACTTAAACTCCCACACAATAATAATAGGAGACTTAACACCCCTCTGTCAACATTAGACAGATCAACAAGACAGAAAGTTAACAAGGATATCCAGGACTTGACCTCAACTCTGCACCAAGCAGGCCTAATAGACATCTACAGATCTTTCCACCCTAAATCAACAGAATATACATTCTTCTCAGCACCACACCACACTTATTCCAAAATTGACCACATAGTTGGAGGTAAAGCACTCCTCAGCAAATGTAAAAGAACAGAAATCATAAAAAACTGTCTCTCAGACCACAGTGCAATCAAATTAGAACTCAGGATAAAAAACTCACTCAAAACCACACAACTACACGCAAACTGAACAACCTGTTCCTGAATGATTACTGGGTACATAACGAAATGAAGGCAGAAATAATGATGTTCTTTGAAGCCAATGAGAACGAAGACACACTGTACCAGAATCTCTGGGACACATTTAAAGCAGTGTGGAGAGGGCAATTTATAGCACTAAATCACAGGAGAAAGCAGGAAAGATCTAAAATCCGTACCCTGACATCACAATGAAAAGAAATAGAGAAGCAAGAGCAAACACATTCAAAAGCTAGCAGAAGGCAAGAAGTAACTAAGATCAGAGCAGAACTGAAGGAGATAGAGACAGAAAAAACCCTTCAAAAAATAGTTGAATCCAGGAGCTGGTTTTTTGAAAAGATCAACAAAATTGACAGACTGCTAGCAAGACTAATAAAGAAGAAAAGAGAAGAATCAAATAGATGCAATAAAAAATGATAAAGGGGATATCACCACCGATCCCACAGAAATACAAACTACCATCAGAGAATACTATAAACACCTCTATGAAAATAAACTAGAACATCTAGAAGAAATGGATAAATTCCTGGACACATACACCCTCTCAAGACTAAACCAGGAAGGAGTTGAATCCTGAATAGACCAATAACAGGCTCTGAAATTGAGGTAATAATTAATAGCCTACCAACCAGAAAGAAGTCCAGGGCCAGATGGATTCCCAGCCGAATTCTATGAGAGTTACAAACAGGAGCTGGTCCCATTCCTTCTGAAACTATTCCAATCAATAGAAAAAGAGGGAATTCTCCTTAACTCATTTTTTTGAGGCTAGTATCATCCTGATACCAAAGCCTGGGAGAGGCGAAACAAAAAAGGAAATTTTAGACGAATATCCCTGATGAACATAGAAGCAAAAATCCTCAATAAAATACTGGCAAACCGAATGCAGCAGCACATCAAAAAGCTTATCCACCATGATCAAGAGGGCTTCATCCCTGGGATGCAAGGCCGGTTCAACATACTCAAATCAATAAACATAATCCATCATATAAACAGAACCAAAGATAAAAACCACATGATTATCTCAATAGATGCAGAAAAGGCCTTTGACAAAATTCAGCAGCCCTTCATGCTAAAAACTCTCAATAAACCAGGTATTGATGGGGTGTATCTCAAAATAATGAGTTATTTATGACAAACCCACAGCCAATATCATACTGAATGGGCAAAAACTGGAAGTATTCCCTTTGAAAACTGGCACAAGACAGGGATGCCCTTTCTCACCACTCCTATTTAATATGGTGTTGGAAGTTCTGGCCAGGGCAATCAGGCAGGAGAAAGAAATAAAGGGTATTCCACTAGGAAAAGAGGAAGTCAAATTGTCCCTGTTTGCAGATGACATGATTGTATATTTAGAAAACCCCATCGTCTCAGCCCAAAATCTCCTTAAGCTGATAAGCAACTTTAGCAAAGTCTCAGGATACAAAATCAATGTGCAAAAATCACAAGCATTCCTATACACCAATAACAGACAAACAGAGAGCCAAATCATGAGTGAATTCCCCTTCACAATTGCTTCAGAGAATAAAATCCCTAGGAATCCAACTTACAAGGGATGTGAAGGACCTCTTCAAGGATAACTACAAACCACTGCTCAACAAAATAAAAGAGGACACAAATAAATGGAAGAACATTTCATGCTCATGGATAGGAAGAATCAATATTGTGAAAATGGCCATGCTGCCCAAGGTAATTTATAGATTCAATGCCATCCCCATCAAGCTACCAATGACTTTCTTCACAGAATTGGAAAAAACTACTTTAAAGTTCATATGGAAAAAAAATGAGCCCACATTGCCAAGAGAATCCTAAGGCAAAAGAACAAAGCTGGAGGCATCACACTACCTGACCTCAAACTATACTACAAGGCTACAGTAACCAAAACAGCATGGTACTGGTACCAAAACAGAGATATAGACCAATGGAACAGAACAGAGCCCTCAGAAATAATACCAGACATCTACAACCATCTGATCTTTGACAAACCTGATGAAAACAAGAAATAGGGATAGGATTCCCTATTTAATAAATGGTGCTGGGAAAACAGGCTAGCCATATGTAGAAAGCTGAAACTGGATCCCTTCCTTACACCTTGTACAAAAATTAATTCAAGATGTTTTAAAGACTTAAATGTTAGACCTAAAACCATAAAAACCCTAGAAAAAAACCTAGGCAATACAATTCAGGACATAGGCATGGGTAAAGACTTCATGTCTAAAACACCAAAAGAAACAGCAACAAAAGCCAAAAATGACAAATGGGATCTAATTAAGGTAAAGAGCTCTGCACAGCAAAAGAAACTACCATCAGAGTGAAGAGGCAACCTCCAGAATGGAAAAAAATTTTTGCAATCTACCCATCTGACAAATGGATAATACCCAGAATCTGCAAATAACTTAAACAAATTTACAAGAAAAAAATCAAACAACCCCATCAAAACGTGAGTGAAGGATATGAACAGACACTTCTCAAAAGAAGACATTTATGCAGCCAACAGACGCATGAAAAAATGCTCATCATCACTGGCCATTAGAGAAATGGAAATCAAAACCACAATAAGATACCATCTCACACCAGTTAGAATGGCAATCATTAAAAAGTCAGGAAACAACAGGTGCTGGAGAGGATGTGGAGAAACAGGAACACTTTTACACTGTTGGTGGAAGTGTAAACTAGTTCAACCATTGTGGAAGACAGTGTGGCAATTCCTCAAGGATCTAGAACTAGAAGTACCATTTGACCTAGTGATCCCATTACTGGGTATATTCCCAAAGGATTAAAAATCATGCTACTATAAATACACATGCACATGTATGTTTATTGCAGCAGTGTTCACAATAGCAAAGACTTGGAGCCAACCCAAATGTCCATCAATGATAGACTGGATTAAGAAAATGTGGCACATGTACACCATGGAATACTATGCAGCCATAAAAAGGGATGAGTTCATATCCTTTGTTGGGATATAGATGAAGTTGGAAACCATCATTCTGAGCAAACTATCGCAAGGACAGAAAACCAAACATGGCATATTCTTACTCATAGTTGGGAATTGAACAATGAGAACACTTGGACACAGGGTGGGGAACATCACACACCGGGGCCTGTAATGGGGTGGGAGGATGGGGGATGGATAGCATTAGGAGAAATACCTAATGTAAATGATGAGTTAGTGGGTGCAGCACACCAACATTGAACATGTATACATATGTAACAAACCTGCACGTTGTGCTCATGTACCCTATAAATTAAAGTATAATAATAAAAAAAGATAAAGGTCTTGACATTAAAAAAAAAAAAGAAGCGATGAGGTGATGGTGAAGGTGAACCTTGCAGCAGCAGACCATTCACATAAACTTACGGGGAAAAATTTTATCTTCTTTTGGCCTAATTGAAGAGGTCTGACAATGAACAGCAGAAACAAGAGCCAGCAGCAGAAGAAGATCAATTGGTTCAGATTACATAATTTTTCTGTCTGAAAAACTAAAGTTGAGCAAACCATCCACTTGATGAGGGCCAAAACTGCTGTACCTAAGTCAGCTACAGACAAGAACAGAAAGTTCTGTGACAAATTAAACAAGTAGGAAGGAAAAGAAAAGAAAAGATCCTAAAGCATTTATTTGAAGAGTTGTAATAGGAAATCAAACGTGGCTTTACCAGTGGCATTCGAAGGGACAAACGTAATCAAAGCAATGGCTATCAAGAGGTGGAAGTGGTCTAGTCTAAGTAAATGCGACAAAAGCATATCATGCCAACAGTGTTTTTTGGATGCTCAAGGTATTTTGGTTGTTAACTTTCTGTAAGGTCAAAGCATGGTAACAACCACTTATAAGAGAGTTTGGAGGTTGGAGAGATTTATCAAATCTTTAGCAGAAAAATGGATGAGATTGGATGCCTAGTGATTTTCCATCAAAAGTCTGGTAAAATTGCCCTTATTTCATAAGAGGAATGAGCAGGAGCATTGTTGTGATGGACAAGGAACCTCTGCTGAAGCTTTTCTGGGCATTTATCTGCTAAAGTTTTGGCTGTCTCTGAAGTGTCTCAGAAGTTGATGTTGTCAGTCTAAGAGATGTAACTTAGAAATGGAAAACCAAACATCATATGTACTCAGTCATAAATGGGAGCTAATCTATGAGGATGCAAAGGCATAAGAATGACACAATGGACTTAGGGAACTCAGAGGGAAATGCTGAGAAGGAGGTGATGAATAAAAGACTACAAATTGGGTGCAATGTCTACCCCTCGGGTGGTGGGCGCACCAAAATCTCACAAATCAGCACTAAAGAACTTATTCAAGTAACCAAACACCACCTGTTTCCCAAACTATGGAAGTAAAAAAGAAAAGAAAAAAGAAAAAAAAGAAAATCACTGGGCATCCAACTTACATTTACTGATGCAGTATCTTTGGACTTCTTTTCTTTTACTAAGATTAAAATATCTTTAATGTGTATGCTGTTTTCTTCAGTTATCAATGTGAAAAGACAGCCTTTATATGGGGAAATTCCCAGGACCCTCAATTCTTTATAGATAGGCTAAATTACTTGTGTCATTACTTGCAAACCTTCTTGAATGCGGTGGAGCTTATATTAAGAAATAAAGTTTATATAATGTCTAATTTCATATTGTAATTGCATTCTTCCACAAACTTTTTGAAATCCCTTGTATTTCAAACCCATCTGGAAGAGCAGGATCAGATTCTAATGTGTACAACACAGGATCCTCTCATCCAACTGATCAAGTGGCCTGTCTTTAGGATTTCCAGTCACATCCCCACACACAATACCTCTAAGAAGGTATCCTGAAGTTATCACTATCCCTGACCAAAAACTGAATGATGGCACAAGACTTATTCAAGGCCTGAAATGATAAGTGGCAGCTGTTAATACTGACTAACCTATACTTTCCATGAAAAAGATGAAATGATGGGCAGGAACTACTTGATATAACAGAAAAGTCAGCAGATTAAAAGAGAGCGACCAACACAAACTCAGTTAAAAGACTTTGGAAAGACAGTATATTGATCCAAATTAAAAAAAAAAAATGAAAGGAGTAAACAGAATTATAGATGCTTACTTAGAAGATTAGATTTCAAAAATTTCCCAAATTTATTTAAAAAGAAGCCAGATATAAGATGAAAAATAAACACAGGGAAGATTATTTAGAACACAAAATGTGAGCAAATACGTTTTAGAAAGAGAGTGGTGAGAAATTAGTTTCAGAATATTGCAAAAATGAAAAAAATTTCTGTGTGGAAGAACAATCTGGGAGACACATAGCACAGGTACTAAGAAATAGATCAATGCAATACCCTTGAGGCTTTTATGTGGGTTCCAGGCTGTCTTACTGGAATATATAATTGTGGCCACTCATTATAAGTGGGAGTGATGAAAAATTTTTCCTAGAAGAACTGAATGTGGTGACTCATGCCTGTTATCCCAGGACTTTGGGAGGGTGAGGTGAGTGGATCCCTTGAGGCCAGGAGTTCAAGACCAGCCTGAGCAACAAATTTTGGCTCCATCTCTTCAAAAAAATTTTAAAATAAATTAAAAAAAAATGGGCATGGTGGGTGTCATGAACCTGTAATTCAAGCAACTCAAGAGGCTGAAGTAGGGGGAATCCCCTGAGCATAGGAGCTCAAGGATGCTCTAAGCCATGATCACAACACCAACTCCAGCCTGGGTGACAGAGAGAGAGCCTGTATATATATGTGTGTGTGTGTGTGTGTGTGTGTGTGTGTGTGTGTGTGTATGCTCACATATATAGGTGTATATATATATATGCTCACATATATATGTGTATATATATATGCTCACATATATGTGTATATATATATGCTCACATATATATGTGTGTATATATATATGCTCACATATATATGTGAGCATATATATATGCTCGCATATATATGTGTGTGTATATATATATATATGCTCGCATATATATGTGTGTATATATATAAAATCCTGTAAGACGTAAAGCCCAAACTGAATCTGATCAAACATTCTAATAAAGGGATAAAGAGGTAGAGCAAGGAAAAATTCTTAAAGACATGTAATAGGATGGCTCATTCAAGAGCTTGTATTCATTCTGTTCATTTCTAGAAACCTCTGGTAGTTTTTGTGTCCAACTTTGTTTTAACCTCTCCATGAATTTTAATAATAGAATACGTTAAGACACCTGTATTCTACAACACCAAGACTTTTCTGACTAGAGCCAGATCCAAAGAATATTGGACAATCTGTGTGGGTCTGACCAGGCTGAGGGCAACCTTCTGTCAGCCATGAATGGCTAGGTTTGTGTTGTCTGCACACAGCTCAAAGTTCCAAAGAAATAATCTCTATATAATCAAATATTTAGTGAAATATGATAGGCATAGGTATACAAAACTCCACAGCCAACATCTTGTTCCTTAGAATATGATTGTGTTTAGAAAACAGCCCTAAGAAGAGGTGATCAAGCTAAAATGAGGGAGTTTCAGTGGAACTAAATCCAGTAAGATGAGTGTCCTTAGAAGGAGTGGAAATTCCTTCTGAGAACTGGAAATGTGCACACAGAGAGACACAAGAAGTATGTAGGCACAGACGCAGCCCCATGGGAGAACCCAGCAAGAAGGCAGATATCTAGATGCCAAGCAAACAGGGCCCAGAAGAACTGAACCTGCTGACACCTTCATCATGGAACTTGAGAATCCAGAAGTGTTGAAAAGTAATTTCTGTTGCTTAAGAATATTAGTCTGTGATATTTTGTTTGGACAGCTATTATAAAGAAATTCAGGGGAGAGCAGGTTTTAGGAGGTAGAAATCAAGAGTCCTGCTTGGCACATGGTAAATTTACATTATTTTAAATGGCAAGTGGATTGCTGAGGTCCTTGACTCATGGACAAGTGCCTAAGCTTTTGTTGCAGTCTTGCTCCTTGCTTTGACCCCATCCTAAATCAGTGACACTGTCTCCTTCAGTTCTTTGGTAACCTCTGTTTTGGTTGTCTCTGGTAGCTTGATATCTGAAATTTACTCCTTCCTGATACACTAATCTCTTTCACTCATTTCTGACATAGGAGAAGGTCAGGGTGTGAGCTGAGTGACATTTGGAAGCATCACCTCTTCCCTTGCTGTACTCAGCAAAAAGAAGTGCTTGAGTTCAATTGAACTTTGAGCAAATGGGGAGCAAAAGATGAAAAGTTAGGAAGACGTTGTGGATAAGTCCCTTGGGACCCACTCAGTGAACTTTTCTGTTGTTTTTTAATTTTGTAAGTGTGTATTATGTGAAATACTTATACTCTTATAAGAGCCAAGGAGAATCATCCACGTAGAAGCTCCAAGTAGAATAATGTCAACGGGACAAACCCATCTGCCAGTGGAGCCAGGGGTGGATCATGATGTAGCCTGAGTGCCTCCACCCTTCAATGTCCAAAGCTCACCTTGTTGAACTTTATGTGTATTGTAAACAGAGAAAAATGCCTATTGAGGCATAAAATAGAAAATTACTCAATATACTTTTACAAACCATAAACAATTGACTAATTCTTAATGAAGGGTATAATCAAAATATGACAACCTTGAAACAACTTGGATATGGAAATGATCAGACTTTAAAGCAGCTCTTATAGCCATCTTTTTTGAGGTAAATGTGAGCATGCTCAAAATAAATGGGAAAGAACTTCTCAGCAGAAGAAGGAACTATAAAAAATAATAAAATAGAAATTTCAGAACTGACATATATAATGACTAAAATTTGAAAAAAGACCGTATAGACTGTGAAAATTTTTCAGAAAGTAAATGATTGAGGTGTGTGAAGACAGAAAAACTAAATTAGCCAAGTCAAATCCAAGAAGAGACATCTTAGAACTCAACCTGTTAACACCTTCCTCATGGACTGTGAACCTCCAGAACTGTGAGAAAATCAATTTCTGTTGTTCAAATTACACAGTGTGTGGTATTTTTTTTAGGGCAGACATAACAAACTACATCAGGGGAGAGGAGTTTTGGATGCAGAAATCAAGACTCTGTTTTGGGACATGTTATGTTTGCATCCATATTAGAAGGCAAGTGGATTGCTGAGAGCTTCAACTGACCAAAAGGTGCCAGAGCTCCTGCTGCAGACCTGCTCCCTGCTTTAACCCCATCCTCACTGACTGACAGGGCCTCTTTCAGCTCTTCTGTCATCTCTGTTTTATTTGTGTGTGGAGAGTTCATAGCTAATATTTATTCTTCCCTAATACACGAATCTCTTTCACTCATTGCTGACATTGGACAATGTCAGAGAAAGGGCCTGAGCTGAGTGATATTTGAAGGCAATGCCTGCTGTCTTCCTGTACTCACCAAGCCAAGGGGGAGTCTTTTTTTCACCAGGACTACCACTTCTACAGCAAACTATGCAATGAGGCAAGTCTGTGAGGCACTCCCCTCGGTGCCTTCCCTCTGATCTTCCTTTCCTACTTGAAGGTCTACCATAAGTCACTAAGCAGTACCATTCATCTCCAGTTTCCCTGTGCAATTAGTGTGTGTAGTGTGTGTAGAAAGCAATGACAGTCATCCCAATATCATTAGGGCACCTGCTAGGCCAAGCAACTACTTTATGCCCACCCAAAGCACATAAACCCAAACTACAACTGTTTTATTATTGCATAGCCAAAGCAGAATTACTAACTGGTAATATATTTCCTCTTTAGCAAACATCCCTAATATTCCAGAAGGGGTAGGGGAGGAAAACAGCAATCTGCCTGATCACCAGCCAATGGCAGAGTAATCTGTAACAAACCTCGTTGTATGAGGGAGGCTTCTAATAATATAAGGCATCTTCAAAATGTTAGTGGAAAAAACATATTTTTTAAAAATTATGCATGGATATAAATATTTTTTGTACCAAAACACATTTGTACTAACTTGTTACAACATGTCTGAACAGGATCTTGTTCAGTCACTAATATGGTTGAGAAAGTAGTTTGAAAACAGCCTCTATCAGAGCAGTAAATATTCTACTAAAATTTTAGGAAGAACAAATATCAAGTTTATGGTGAAGCTTGGGTGGAGAAATGGTGACATCACTAATGCATTAGGACATATGTGTGCACAAGTAAATCAGCCCTTCACAAATGGATAACTCACTTTAAGAACTGATGAGATAATGGTCAAGTTAAACCTTGCAGCATCAGACCATACACACCAACTTATGGGCAAAACTTTTTTCTTCTTTTGGCCTAATTGAAGAGGCCTGACAATTAAAAACAGGAACAAGAGCTAGCACAAGAAGATCAATTGGTTCAGGTTACATAACTTTTTCTGATTGAAAAATTAAACTTGAGCAAACTATCCACTTGGTGAGGGCCAAAACTACTGTACCTAAGGCAGCTACAGACAAGAACAGAACGTTCAATGAAAAATTAAGCAAGTAGGAAGGAGAAGAAAAGAAAAGAAAAGATCCTAAGCATGTCTTTGAGGAGTTCTAACAGGAAATCAAAAGTGGCTTTACCAGTGCCACTCGAAGGGAAAAACACAGTCAAAGCAATGGCTACGAAGAGGTGGAAGTGATCTAGTCTAAGTAAATGTGACAAAAGCAAATATCATGCCACAGTGTTCTTGGATGCTCAAGGTATTTTGGTTGTTAACTTTCGGGAGGGACCAAGAATGATAACACCGACTTATGAAAGAGTTTGGTATTTGGAGAAAGTTAGCCAAAACTTTAGCAGATATATGGATGAAATTGAATGCCTAGTGATTTCCATCAAAAATCTGGCAAATTGCCCCTGTTTCATGAAAGGAATGAGCAGAAGCATTATTGTGATGGACAAGGAGTCTGCTAAGGCCTTTCTGGGCATTTATCTGCTAAAGTTTTGCCTAACTTTCTCCAATCTTTTGATGTTATCATTCTAAGTGAAGAAACTTAGGACTGGAAAACCAAACATCATATGTTCTCACTCATAAATGGGAGCTGAACTATGAGGATGCAAAGGCATAAGAATGACATAATAGACTTTGGGAACTCAGGGGGAAAGAGTCGGAAAGAGGTGAGGGATAAAAGACTATAAATTGGGTGCGGTGTATACTGCCCAGATGATGGGTGCAACAAAATCTCACAAATCACCACTCAAGAACTTATATACATAACCAAACACCACCTGTTCCCCAACCTATGTAAATAAAACAGAAAAGAAAAAAAAGAAAATCACTAGGCATCCAACTTACAGTACTGATGCAGTACCTTTGAACTTCTTTTTTTCTAATATTAAAATATCTTTAAAGTGTACTCTGTTTTCTTCAGTTAATAATGTGAAAAGACTGCATTAATATGGTGAAATTCCCAGGTCCCTCTATTCTTTGTAGATAGGCTAAATTTCTTGTGTCATTACTTGCAACACTTCTTGAATGTGATGGAGCTTATGTTAAGAAATAAAGTTTATATTGTCTACTTTCATATTGTAATTACATTCTTCCACAAATTTTTTGAAATCCCCTTGTATTCTCAAACCCTTCTGGAAGAGCAGGAACAGATTCTTATGTGTACAACACAGGATCCTCTCATCCAACTGATCAAGTGGCCTGTCTTTAGGATGTCCAGTCACATCCCCACACACAATACCTCTAACAAGGTCATCTGAAATTATCACTATCCTTGAACAAAAACTGAATGACAGTATGAGACTTATTCAAGGCCTGAAATGATAAGTGGCAGCTGTTGATACTGACTCACCTATACCTTCCATGAAAAGGGTGAAAGAATGGGCAGGAACTACTTGATATAACAGAAAAGTCAGCAGATGAAAAGAGAGCTACTAAAACAAACTCAGTAAGAAGACCTTGGAAACACAGTATGTTGATCCAAATTTAAAAAAAAAATGAAAAGAAAGGAGTAAGAAGAATTGTAGATGCTCACTTAGAGATTAGATTTAAAAAATTTTCCCAAATTTTATTTAAAAAGAAGCCAGATGTAAGATGAAAAATAAACACAGGGAAATTTGATTTAGAACACAAAATGTCAACAAATACATTTTAGAAAGAGAGTCTGGAGAAATTCGTTTCAGAATATTGCAAAAATGAAAAAAATTTCTTTGTGGAAGAACAATCTGGGAGACAGATAGCACAGGTACTAAGAAATAGATCAATGCAATACTCTTGAGGCTTTTATGTGGGTACCCCCAGACTATCTTATTGGAATATATAATTGTGGCAACTCATTATAAGTGGGAGTTACTAAAAACATTTCCTGGAAGAATGACTGAACATGGTGACTCATGCCTGTTATCCCAGGACTTTGGAAGAGTGAGGTGGGAGGATCCCTTGAGGCCACGAGTTCAAGACCAGCCTGAGCAACAAAGTGAGGCTCCATCTCTTCAAAAAAAAAAAAAATTAAAATAAAAAAATGGGCATTGTGGGTGTCATGAACCTGTAATTCAAGCCACTCAAGAGTCTGAAGCTGGGGGAATCCCCTGACCACAGGGGTTCAAGGATGCTGTGAGCCATGATTGAGATACCACACTCCAGCCTGGGTGACAGAGCAAGCGTCTGTATATATATAAAAAAAATCCTAAAAGATGTAAAGCCCAAACTAAATCTGATCTAACATTCTAACAAAGGGGTAGAGCAAGGAAAAAATTTTAAAGGCATGAAATAGGATGTCTCATTAAAGAACTGTGTATTCATTCTGTTCATTTTTAGAACCCCTTGGTAGATTTTGTGGCCAACTTTGTTTTAACCTCCCCATGAGTATTAATAATGGAATGCATGAAGACACCTGTATCCTACAACACCAAGACTTTGCTGACTAGAGCCAGATCCAAAGAATATTACACAATCTGTGTGGGCCTGAGCAGGGTTAGGGCCAACCTTCTGTCAGCCATGAATGGCCAGGTTTGTGTTGTCTTCACACAGCTCAAAGTTCCAAAGAAATGTCTCTATATAATCAAACATTTAGCGAAATATGATAGGCATGGGTATACAAAAATCCATAGCCAACCTCTTGTTCCTTAGAATATCATTGTGTTTAAAAAACAGCCCTAAGAAGAGGTGATCAAGCTAAAATGAGGGAGTTTCAGTGGAACTAAATCTAATAAGATTGCTGCCCTTATAAGAAGTGGAATTTCCTTATAAGAGCTGGAAACTTGCACAAGGAGAGACACAAGAATTATGTATGTATAGAAGCAGCCCCATGGGAAACACAGCAAGAAGGCAGATATGTAGATGGCAAGAAGGCAGGGCCCAGAAGAACTGAACCTGCTGACACCTTCATCGTGGAACTTGAGCATCCAGAAGTGCTGAAAAGGAATTTCTGTTGTTGAAGAATACTTAGTCTGTGATATTTTGTTTTGACAGCCATAATGAAGAAAGGCAGGGGAGAGCAGGTTTTAGGAGGTAGAAATCAAGAGTCTTTCTTGGCACATAGTAAGTTTACATTTATTTTAAATGGCAAGTGGGCTGCTGAAGTCCTTGACTCATGGACAAGTGCCTAAGTTCTTGTTGGCAGTCCTTCTCCTTGCTTTGACCTCATCCTAAGTGACACTGTCTCCTTCAGTTCTTTGGTAACCTCTGTTTTGGTTGTCTCTGGTAGCTTGATACCTGATATATACTCCTTCCTGATATGCTAATCTCTTTCACGCATTTCTGACATAGGAGAAGGCCAGGAATAAAGCATGAGCTGAGTGATATTTGGAAGCATCATGTCTTGTCTTCCTATACTCTGCAGATGAGGAGTAGCCTGCCTCTAACCAGGACTGCAGCTTCCCCAGTGACTCCCACAAGTAGGCACATTTGCCTGGCACTCCCCTCTGCTTCTCTCTTGCATTTGTTCCCTACCTGACAGGCCACCATAAGCTAGCTAGGACAGACTGCACAACGCCAGCTTCTCTTTCCAAATAATGTTTGGTGAAACCAGAGAAAATCACTCAATAACATCAGAACACCCGCTAGGCCCAAGCACTCTGTGTCTCTCTTGAAGCATGTAAATCTCAGTTACAAATGTTACACTTTCCATGTAGCTGGAGAATATTTGGTCACTGGTATTATATTCTGTCTTCAGAAAACATTCTTAGTTATTCTAATAGAAAAACAAGAAACCAATTTGCCTAGTCAGCTGGAAAAGTCTAAGTTACCTCTAGTAGACCTTCTTGTGTTAGGATGCCTTCCTATATGCAGTGGGTTGTTAAAATGTTGATGAAAAATGTATGTCCTATTAAGAAATACCTTGAATGGGCCAGGCGCAGTGGCTCAAGCCTGTAATCCTAGCACTTTGGGAGGCGGAGGTTGGTGGAACATGAGGTCAGGAGAACGAGATCATCCTTGAAATCCTGTCTCTACTAAAAATACAAAAAATTAGCCAGGCCTGGTTGCCGGCACCTGTAGTCCCAGCTACTCAGGAAGCAGAGGCAGGAGAATGGTGTGAACCCAGGAGGTGGAGCTTGCAGTGAGCAGAGAGACCTTGCCACTGCACTCCAGTCTGGGCGACAGAGTGAGACTCCATCTCAAAATAAAAAAAAAAAAAAAAAGAAAAAGAAATACCATGAATAGATTCCAAGTTTTTTTGGCCCGAAATGAAATCAGAATGTTTCGCTATAACATGTCTGAACAGGAGCTAGTTTGAGGCATCAAGAAAAATAAGGTAGCAGTTTCAAAAGAGTCCCTAGAAAAGCAACATGAATTCTTCTAAAATTAGAGTTCAAACATCAAATTTATGGTGAAGCTTGGGTGGAAGAAGATGAAATCATTGATGGTGTCCAAAAAGTTGTCCTACTTGGCACATGGTAAGTTGACATTGGTTGAAGAAGTCAGCAGTTCACAAATTCAATGAGGAGTTCCTCATTTCAAGAAGGAATGAGGCAATGTTGAACCTAAAACCTACAGTGACAGATGTCCCATGTCATGCTGCAAGGTATACATTCATCTTCTTTATACCCTAAGAGAAGATGTCCGATGATTAGCAGCACACACAATAGCTAACATTGCAGACTTCTCAGTTGGTTCAGTTTACATCATTCTAACTGAATGATTAAATTTTAGTAAACTTTTCACTTAATGGATACCCAACCTGTCTCACCAAGATCAAGTACAGAGAAGAGCAGAACTTTCCCTAAAAATCTAAATATGAGCAATGAAGACTGTAAGCACATCTTCGATGAGTTATAACAGGAGACAACACGTGACTTTACCAGTAAAACCCAGAAAACAAATACAATCAAAGCAATGGCTACCAGGAGGTGGAAAAGTCCAGTCAAAGCAACAGTGGATGAGGAGAGCACAAAGGTCATGGCAAGAGTTTATTGGAAACCTCAAGTCATTTTGCTGGTTCACTTTCTGGAGAATGACAGTATCTGCTTATTCTGAGAATATTTTGAGAAAGCCAAAGCTTTAGTAGATGAATCCCAGGGAAAGCGTCAGCAGAGACCTTCAGCATGACCTTGCTCCTGCTGGTTTCTCTTATCAAACAGGGAAATTATATGAGTGTTCTGATGGAAAGTCATTAGGCTTGCACATTACAACCCTAATTTGATTCTTTTGGATTTCTTTTTGTTTTGTAATCTTATAACGTTTGTAAAAGGCATCCATTTTTCTTCAGTTAATCATGTAAAAAATACATATCAATAGCTGGAATGTTGACCAAAATGTATAACAAGTGGTCAATAAATCTTCTAATTTTATATAACTCATTAACAAGTAGGGTTGGGAAATGGTTGTAAACTGAGTACCAGGTGGTAGAATTGAAACAAACTTTCCATGTAACACTTTTAGTTTTTCCTCCATTCCAAAGATAACAGGAGGTAAAGCGTTAAAGATCCCCCAAAGCTGTTGCACACATTTGGGGAGTCTTAAAATTCAGGTGTTTATTCAGTTGAGTCTTAGGCTGTGGCTGCAAACTGGACCTGTCCTCATGAGCTACCACCATATTCTCTCTTGTCCCCAAGAGTGGACGCGGCTAAGCAAACATGATGCCTGGGTGAGAAGGGTACAAAATGGGAGCAGAGTTCCAGAGTCTTGCTTAGTAAGTCTGTTGTAGAATCCCTCCCAAGGAAAACCAAAGAGCAGGTATAAAGAAAGAATACAAAAATCTGTGGCCTTCCCTGGTGTTCCAGTCATGGACTCTTCAGAATAAACAACAGTGGTATGTCCTATAAATCAGGGAAGGAGTGTTTTCATTTAAAGAGAAAACCTCTGGGGAAATAAATGACTCTTCCTATTAAAAATCAAAGAAACTCCATGTGTTGGTAATTGCCACAGTCAGCACCATCTCTGGATACACAGGTGTGGAGACAGATGGGCCCAGGACACTAGCAGAAATGCCCAAATGGATTAGGGTCATGAAACTGCCCTTGCTTTTATAGTCAAACATGCGAATTGTCCTTACCCCACTGTAAGTTGTAAAGGAAAGATCACATTGCTAACATTGACCATTCCTTCCATGCTTAGACGTAGAAACACTACAAATACTAAGTGAAGGCACCATTCTGCAGGGAGTGTGTTCTTCAAAGGAAAAACTAGTGGAAGAGCAAGAATCTAAAGGCATACCTCATTTCAATTGGTCCCTCAGTCACCACTAAAGTACATTCTTTAGATTCCACCATGTACAATCTGCAATTCCACAGTACATTTATAGCAGTGCTGGAAGATAGCCATTATTTGTAGACATAAGAATCAGATTATTTAGAAATTTGCTTCTATAGCATTTCCCAAGTCTTCTTTTCAGAAAAAAATTCAGATATCCCTCAAACAATTGGAGTTTGTTTTAGGGAGAAGGTGGTCTTGAAATCTTATAATCCCCATGGGTAAGTGCAAGACATAAAAATACATAAAAGCTTGAGTAAAGGAGTTGGTACAAAGAAGACCACTGCTAGTTTACATCTCTTTTTATTCTGTTCACTCTAAACAGGGTCGTGTAAAGGGTCTGTGCACATGAAGGACCCCAAAGTTCAAGCTTCAGAAGCTTTGTAAATCATCCCAATCTGACAAAAGCCATATGTCAATCTTGTTGGGATGACTAGTTAAATAAGCCTTTAATTGCTGAACAAAAATGCACATGGGCATGTTTCAATCAAGAAAATGTGAATATAGACCAAAGTTTAGCTAAAAAATAAGGTTAGTAAAAATGTAAGATAAATTCGAACTCTTCATGTATCATGTCATAAACTTCTGTTTCTGACTATGTCTGTTTATGAAAAGGCACAAAAGGTTTTTTTTATAATATGGAGAGATTTGCTTTGGCAGTTCTAAAGATGGATAAGTAATAGACTTGAAACAACATACATTTGTTATTAAAAAATTACATTTGTTAGACTATTAGAGTGTAAAAATGTATTCATCATTTAAAATTGTTGCTAGATGTTTACTCAATAACGTTGTAAAAAATAAACATGTGATTATCAAGTCATGGTCCTGTTACATTTAATGCAGCCAGGGAAGAAAAGACAGCAGCAGATTCTTCTGATAAAATGAGGAACACAGGTAATAGCAATCTGCCTTGTAGATTCACTTGAATACACTTAAATAGAAAGAGACATAAACAAAAAGGTCATCTGTAGAACCTGCTATAAACTGTGATAAGGAATTTGTCTCTAGACTCAGGGTACTGGAATGCACAGTGCATTGAACACATGGACTGATTTCTGCTCTTTCCCAATGTCCTAATAAAATTAAAATAAAGAAGCACAGAGGAAATTAATACCCAAGGATGAAGAGAATGAAAGAAGAGATGACAATAAACAATAAATTTAAACAAAACTGTGGAATTGGAATGACAAATAGAAAAATAACAGAGTTTGTAAATCAGCAAAGCTGAAATCAGACATGAAGAGGGGACCGTGGTGCAATTTTCACCAGAACACCTGGAAAACTAGTCCTATTTGAATATTGCATTTCACTGTGCTGAAATTTACATGTACATACATTTTAGTGCATATTCTGCATCAAAGTTTGATCAATCCTCTTCAACTGAATCCTGTGCATTTCTTGCTATTTGTTCCTAGGTATTTTATATTGTTCTCATGAATGAGGTCATTCTCTAATTTCTCTCTCTCTCTCTGTCCTTGCATTGTTTTATGCTGTTACCTATGAAGTGTATGTCTTAGGGAAGTCACTCAATCACATTCAGATTTTATTTCTACCTTTGAAAAGTGAACATGAATGCAAAAAATCCTCAAAGTGCTATTGTAAGTACAAGAAGAGCTAAGGCATCTGAAACATCACTATGCAAGGTAGATAGGAATAATCCATAAATCTTTAGCTATTTAGCCATGCATGTGTAGAAATAAATGATTAGATAGCAATTGGGTCACTGAAACAAACTTGGTTATTGAATATTGTTTAGAGACGATTTTGTATCTGATCTTTTTCTTTATTATTATTATTACACTTTAAGTTTTAGGGTACATGTGCACAATGTGCAGGTTTGTTACATATGTATAGATGTGCCATGTTGATGTGCTGCACCCATTAACTTGTCATTTAGCATCAGGTATATCTCCTAATGCTATCCCTCCCCCATCTCCCCACCCCACAGCATGCCCAGGTGTGTGATGTTCCCCTTCCTGTGTCCATGTGTTCTCATTGTTCAGTTCTCACCTATGCGTGAGAACATGTGGTATTTGGTTTTTTGTCCTTGTGATAGTTTGCAGAGAACGATGGTTTCCAGATTCATCCATGTCCCTACAAAGGACATGAACTCATCATTTTTTATGGCTGCATAGTATTCCATGGTGTATATGTGCCACATTTTCTTAATCCAGTCTATCATTGTTGGACATTTGGGTTGGTTCCAAGTCTTTGCTATTGTGAATAGTGCCGCAATAAACATACGTGTGCATGTGTCTTTATAGCAGCATGATTTATAATCCTTTGGGTATATACCCAGTAATGGGATGGCTGGGTCAAATGGTATTTCTAGTTCTAGATCCCTGAGGAATCGCCACACTGACTTCCACAATGGTTGAACTAGTTTACAGTCCCACCAACAGTGTAAAAGTGTTCCTATTTCTCCACATCCTCTCCAGCACCTGTTGTTTCCTGACTTTTTAATGATTGCCATTCTAACTGGTGTGAGATGGTATCTCATTTTGGTTTTGATTTGCATTTCTCTGATGGCCAGTGATGGTGAGCATTTTTTCATGTGTTTTTTGGCTGCATAAATGTCTTCTTTTGAGAAGTGTCTGTTCATATCCTTCACCCACTTTTTGATGGGGTTGTTTGTCTTTTTCTTGTAAATTTGTTTGAGTTCATTGTAGATTCTGGATATTAGCCCTTTGTCAGATGAGTAGGTTGCAAAAATTTTCTTACATTCTGTAGGTTGCCTGTTCACTCTGATGGTAGTTTATTTTGCTGTGCAGAAGCTCTTGAGTTTAATTAGATCCCATTTGTCAATTTCAGCTTTTGTTGCCATTGCTTTTGGTGTTTTAGACATGAAGTCCTTGCCCATGCCTATGTCCTGAATGGTAATGCCTAGGTTTTCTTCTAGTTTTTTTATGGTTTTAGGTCTAACATTGAAGTCTTTAATCCATCTTGAATTAATTTTTGTATAAGGTGTAAGGAAAGGATCCAGTTTCAGCTTTCTACATATGGCTAGCCTGTTTTCCCAGCACCATTTATTAAATAGGGAATCCTTTCCCCATTGCTTGTTTTTCTCAGGTTTGTCAAAGATCAGATAGTTGTAGATATGTGGCATTATTTCTGAGGGCTCTGTTCTGTTCCATTGGTCTATATCTCTGTTTTTGTACCAGTACCATGCTGTTTTGGTTACTGTAGCCTTGTAGTATAGTTTGAAGTCAGGTAGCATGATGCCTCTAGCTTTGTTCTTTTGGTTTAGGATTGACTTGGCACTGTGGTCTCTTTTGTGGTTCCACATGAACTTTAAAGTAGTTTTTTTCCAATTCTGTGAAGAAAGTCATTGGTAGCTTGATGGGGATGGCATTGAATCTATAAATTACCTTGGGCAGTATGGCCATTTTAACGATATTGATTCTTCCTGCCCATGAGCATGGAATGTTCTTCCATTTGTTTGTATCCTCTTTTATTTCACTGAGCAGTGGTTTGTAGTTCTCCTTGAAGAGGTCCTTCACATCCCTTGTAAGTTGGATTCCTATGTATTTTATTCTCTTTGAAGCAATTGTGAATGGGAGTTCACTCATGATTTGGCTCTCTGTTTGTCTGTTATTGGTGTATAAGAATGCTTGTGATTTTTGTACATTGATTTTGAATCCTGAGACTTTGCTGAAGTTGCTTATCAGCTTGAGGAGATTTTGAGCTGAGACGATGGGGATTTCTAGATATACAATCATGTCATCTGCAAACAGGGACAATTTGACTTCCTCTTTTCCTAGTTGAATGCTCTTTATTTCCTTCTCCTGCCTCATTGCCCTGGCCAGAACTTCCAACACTATGTTCAATAGGAGGGGTGAGAGAGGGCATCCTTGTCTTCTGCCCGTTTTCAAAGGGAATGCTTCCAGTTTTTGCCCATTCAGTATGATATTGGCTGTGGGTGTGTCATAGATAGCTCTTATTATTTTGAGATATGTCCCATCATTACCTAATTTATTGAGAGTTTTTAGCATGAAGGAAGTTGTTGAACCTTGTCAAAGGCTTTTTCTGTGTCTATTGAGATAATCATGTGGTTTTTGCCTTTGGTTCTGTTTATATGCTGGATTACATTTATTGATTTGTGTATGTTGAACCATCCTTGCATCCCAGGGATGACGCCCACTTGATCATGGTGGATAAGCTTTTTGATGTGCTGCTGGATTCGGTTTGCCAGTATTTTATTGAGGATTTTTGCATCAATGTTCATCAAGGATATTGGTCTAAAATTCTCTTTTTTGGTTGTGTCTCTGCCAGGCTTTGGTATCAGGATGATGCTGGCCTCATAAAATGAGTTAGGGAGGATTCCCTCTTTTTCTATTGATTGGAATAGTTTCAGAAGGAATGGTACCAGCTCCTCTTTGCACCTCTGGTAGAATTTGGCTGTGAATCTATCTGGTCCTGGACTTTTTTTGTTTGGTAAGCTATTGATTATTGCCTCAATTTCAGAGCCTGTTATTGGTCTATTCAGAGATTCAACTTCTTACTGGTTTAGTCTTGGGAAGATGTATGTGTCGAGGAATTTATCCATTTCTTCTAGATTTTCTAGTTTATTTGCATAGAGCTGTTTATAGTACTCTCTGATGGTAGTTTGTATTTCTGTGGGATCAGTGGTGATATCCCCTTTGCCATTTTTATTGCGTCTATTTGATTCTTCTCTGTTTTCTTCTATATTAGTCTTGCTAGCGGTCTATCAATTTTGTTGATATTTTCACAAAACCAGCTCCTGGATTTATTAATTTTTTTGAAGGGTTTTTTGTGTCTGTATTTCCTTCAGTTCTGCTCTGATGTTAGTTATTTCTTGCCTTCTGCTAGCCTTTTGAATATGTTTGCTCTTGCTTTTCTAGTTCTTTTACTTGTGATGTTAGAGTGTCAATTTTAGATCTTTCCTGCTTTCTCCTGTGGGCAGTCAGTGCTATAAATTTCCCTCTACACACTGCTTTGAATGTGCCCCAGAGATTCTGGTATGTTGTGTCTTTGTTCTCGGTGGTTTCAAAGAACATCTTTATTTCTGCCTTCATTTCGTTATGTACCCAGTAGTCATTCAGGAGTAGGTTGTTCAGTTTCCATGTATTTGAGCGGTTTTGAGTGAGTTTCTTAATCCTGGGTTCTCGTTTGATTGCACTGTGGTCTGAGAGGCAGTTTGTTATAATTTCTATTCTTTTACATTTGCTGAGGAGTGCTTTACTTCCAACTATGTGGTCAATTTTGGAGTAGGTGTGGTGTGGTGCTGAAAAGAATGTATATTCTGTTGATTTGGGGTGGAGAGTTCTGTAGATGTCTATTAGGTCCGCTTGGTGCAGAGCTGAGTTCAATTCCTGGGTATCCTTGTTAACTTTCTGTCTCGTTGATCTGTCTAATGTTGACAGTGGGGTGTTAAAGTCTCCCATTATTATTGTGTGGGAGTCTAAGTCTCTTTGTAGGTCATTAAGGACTTGCTTCATGAATCTGAGTGCTCCTGTATTGGGTGCATATATATTTAGGATAGTTAGCTCTTCTTGTTGAATTGAACCCTTTACCATTATATAATGGCCTTCTTTGTCTCTTTTGATCTTTGTTGGTTTAAAGTCTGTTTTATCAGAGACTAGAATTGCAACCCCTGCCTTTTTTTGTTTTCCATTTTCATGGTAGATCTTCCTCCATCCCTTTATTTTGAGCCTATGTGTGTCTCTGCATGTGAGATGGGTTTCCTGAATACAGCACACTGATGGGTCTTGACTCTATTCAATTTGCCAGTCTGTGTCTTTTAATTGGAGCATTTAGGTCATTTACCTTTTTAGTTAATATTGTTATGTGTGAATTTTGATCCTGTCATTATGATGTTAGCTGGTTATTTTGCTTGTTAGTTGATGCAGTTTCTTCCTAGCCTTGATGGTCTTTAAAATTTGGCATGTTTTTGCAGTGGCTGGTACCGGTTGTTCCTTTCCATATTTAGTGCTTCCTTCAGGAGCTCTTTTAGGGCAGGCCTGGTGGTGACAAAATCTCTCAGCATTTGCTTGTCTGTAAAGTATTTTATTTCTCCTTCACTTATGAAGCTTAGTTTGGCTGGATATGAAATGCCGGACTAAAAATTCTTGTCTTTAAGAATGTTGAATATTGGTCCCCACTCTCTTCTGGCTTGTAGAGTTTCTGCCAAGAGATCAGCTGTTGGTTGGATGGGCTTCCCTTTGTGGGTAACCTGACCTTTCTCTCTGGCTGCCCTTAACATTTTTTCCTTCATTTCAACTTTCGTGAATCTGACAATTATGTGTCTTGGATTTGCTCTTCTTGAGGAGTATCTTCGTGGTGTTCTCTGTATTTCCTGAATTTGAATGTTGGCCTGCCTTGCTAGATTGGGGAAGTTCTCCTGGATGATATCCTGCAGAGTTTTTTCCAACTTGGTTCCATTCTCCCTGTCACTTTCAGGTACACCAATCAGATGTAGATTTAGTCTTTTCACATAGTCCCATATTTCTTGGAGGCTTTGTTTGTTTCTTTTTATTCTTTTTTCTCTAAACTTCTCTTCTCACTTCATTTCATTCATTTCATCTTCCATCACTGATACCCTTTCTTCCAGTTGATTGCATTGGCTACAGAGGCTTCTGCATTCATCATGTAGCTCTCGTGCCTTGGTTTTCAGCTCCATCAGGTCCTTTAAGGAGTTCTCTGTATTGGTTATTGTGGTTATCCATTCATCTAATTTCTTTTCAAAGCTTTTAACTTGTTTGCCATTGGTTCGAATTTCCTCCTGTAGCTCGCAGTAGTTTGATCGTCTGAAGCCTTCTTCTCTCAACTCGTCAAAGTCATTGTCCGTCCAGCTTTGTTCCATTGCTGGTGAGGAGCTGCGTTCCTTTGGAGGAGGAGAGGCACTCTGATTTTTAGAGTTTCCAGTTTTCCTGCTCTGTTTTTTTCCCATCTTTGTGGTTTTATCTACCTTTGCTCTTTGATGTTGGTGATGTACAGATGGGTTTTTGGTGTGGATGTCCTTTCTGTTTGTTAGTTTTCCTTCTAACAGACAGGACCCTCAGCTGCAGGTCTGTTGGAGTTTGCTAGAGGTCCACTCCAGACCCTGTTTGCCTGGGTATCAGCAGTGGTGGCTGGAGAACAGCAGATATTGGTGAACCGCAAATGCTGCTGTCTGATCGTTCCTCTGGAAGTTTTGTCTCAGAAGAGTACCTGGCCGTGTGAGGTGTCAGTTGGCCCCTACTGGGGGATGCCTCCCAGTTAGTCTACTCGGGGATCAGGGACCCACTTGAGGAGGCAGTCTACCTGTTCTCAGATCTCAAGCTGCGTGCTGGAAGAACCACTACTCTCTTCAAAGCTCAGTTGGAAATGCAGAAATCACCCATCTTCTGCGTCGCTCATGCTGGGAGCTGTAGACTGGAGCTGTTCCTATTCGGCCATCTTGGCTCCTCCTCCAATCATTTTTTAAATGAATGTTCTATCTCTGTCTCACAGCATGGGCTTCCTCACAGCATGTGGCAGGTTCCATAAATAATAATTTGGAATTGCATGGCATTTCTATGATCTAGACTCAAAAGTCACAAAGTATCACTTCTGATATAATCTACTGGTCATGGCAGTAACGAAGTTCTACCCCAATTAAAGGGGGTAAGAAGACCTCACCCCTTCAAGAAAGGATGTCAAGGTACCATTGTAAGAAGAAAATATTAGATGAATGATTCTGTCATGATCATTATTTTAAAAACAATTTCCAAGATGATAAATATGCTCACATGTGGACTTCAAAATCAATGAAATAAACAATAATTTGTGGTTCTTAAGCAGAAGAGACAACATCTTTTGTAAGAGATAGGTACAGGTTTATCTGTTTAATAAGTGAGTCATTGATTAATCACTTTAATGAAATTCCTGTTTTAAATGTATCAGCTTACGGACTTGGTACATCATCAGAAAAGTATGAGGGTGATATACATTGCTTTGTATTTCTTATGAGATAAGTTGTGATTGTACTTCTCTATGAACTGCTAGGAAGTGTAACTGAAAGGTGAAGAATACACTCTGACATTGTGATAACAGTGGTGAGCTGAGGCTGCAGACACTTGACCTTAGGCTGATGACCAATGCCTTCTGTGGCCCCAACCACTCAGGACAGTACACCAGCTCTGGGGCCAGGACACAGGAGATATCTTCATGCAGAAGACTGAAAGCTGTGTAAGTGGTATACAATTTATCCTTTCTTAGAGAACTCTCTGAACAGACTCCCTCTTGGATTTCTAGAATTTTAGAATCATTGTGATTAGAAGGATCAAATTTAGTAAATTTAAAAGGGCATACACATATTTTGCCAATGCCAATATGTCACCCAAGAAAAATGCACGTATCATGGATTAAGGAAGTACATACAGGATCTATATTGGCAGGGTTTTGTAATTAGAAAAAAAGGAATTAATTCCTCTGAGTGTCTTTATATAAATCCAAGGGGTAAAACAGAATACTGGAAGATGTTTAAATGTGATTATGATTTTAAACAAACATGTTTACTCAGGAAAATATATTTTTCCTCACCTCAGCTGTTTATGTCTCAGGAAAACATAACCTTGAAAATATTGTAAGAGAAACTTGTTTTTATTCTCTGAATCTCCTTTCCTTTCACATTCTTGTAAAGAAATGAATGAAGACCAAGTAACCAGTGGAGCACAATAGGCAAGAACTCAGCTATGAGAACTAACTGCCTTCCAGTCCACTTACTACCTTTATATGATCCTAGGCATGCACCTAAGTCACCTCATCTACAAAATTAAGATAATAATAATCATCACATCTCCCTCATATGATGGTTCTGAAGATTGAATATCATATAGTAAATGCTGAAGAAATGTTTTCTATTATAATCAGCCTTTGCTAGGATAAATGGAAAGAATATAAATATGCTCAAATAGTTGTGAAATATACATATTAGAGAGCATCAACATCAAATAAAAATATAAAGATGACCATCCTACCAATGTAACCGAAGTTTTTAGAAAAGTCAACACAAATCTGAATTCTCACACACAACTGTATTACCAGAATGGTTGGTTTATGCAATGAACACAGTAAGTTGAGGAAGATTTTGCTTTCTGTTCCATTCACAGAGCTTCCAAGTCTTCAAAAAGAGAGAGATGTGTGAGTGTGAGAGAGCTGAGGCATGAAGTTTGGATCTTATTACAAGTGCAGAAGAAAATCCTAAGAGCATTGGAAGCACAAAAGTGTTATGATCTAATTCCTACTTTTCAATGATCACCCTGACTGATATGAGGGGAATGGATATGGGATGTGCTGGGGTAGGAATGTTACCAAGAGCACTGAGGATATTAAACTTCTTCAGGAGAGAGCATCATGGCCTGAACTATCACCTTCTAGTAAATATTATGCAAGTGGTTGTATTTGGGATGAGTGTTGAAAGTGGAGGAAACTGGATTTGCTAAAGGGCAGTGCCTGAAGGGAGTGAGGAGTTTTGAACCACTGAACACTTGACTTAGAAAAGGTTGGGAGCTGTTATGAGAGCTGAATTGTGTTTCCTAAAATTTCATATGTTGAAGGCTGTTCCTTCAGGACCTGAGAATATGAACATGGATATTAGAAGGCAAGTGGAGTGCTCAGGGCTTCCACTCACGTCTAGGTGCCCAAGTTCCTGCTGCAGTCCTGCTTCTCTCTTCCACCCACCCTCACCCACAGAGAGTGTCCCTTTCCGCATTTCCATCACCTCTTTTTTGTTTTGTCTGGTGAGTGCATAGCTGATATTTATGCTTTCCTGATAAACTTTACTCATTGCTGACATTGGAGAAGGTCAGGAAAGGGCCTGAAATGAGTGATCTTTAGGGGGGTTTTCATTCTCTTCCTGTACCTTCCTGCCAAGGGGAAGTCGGTCTTGCATCAGGCTGCAGCAACCTCAGTTGGTGACAATATCAGGCAATGTCAGCCTGGCCTCTGCTGCTCCTTTTCTCTGACATTCCTTTGTTACCTGATGGTCTAACTTAAGCCACCTAAGCAGGATTGCTCATCTCCAGTTGTATTCCCATTTCAAGTACGTGTATATTTTTGTCAGGGAAAATACCAATCTTCGTGGTTCCCTTGCAAGGGCAAAGTTATCTGTAGCAAAGCCTTTTTTATTAGGAAGTCTGCTTGTACTATTACCTGCAACTCTTCAGAAGGGCCACCCAGATTCTCATCTGCAAAGCCCAGGATCTACTCATCCACAATGTTCAAGAGGCCTGTCTTTAGGATTTACTGTCACATACCCTCTCTACCTCCATCATACCTCCAACCAAGGTGTTCTCAAATTAATACCAGCCATGCACAAAATGTGAACAATTACACAAGACACATGGAAGGTCTAAGTGGTAAATGGCAGCTGTTGATACTGAGTAACCTGTATATTCCATGAACTGATAAGCAGGTATTTATCAGATATAACGAAGAATCAGTAGCTGAAAGAAGTGCTAACAATGCAGGTCTCTGATAGGGCTTTTTGGAAACACAACACGTATTATGAAATTACACAGACAAGAATGAAACAAAGATGGTAAGTACTATATCCTAATACTTAGAAGATTAAATAAAGGAAATCTCACCAAATTCATGGGGAAAAAAGCCAGATACATAAAGAAAAATACACATAATGGGCTTGACTCAGAAAATAAAATATGAACAAAGAAGAACCAGAAAGAAGGTGGGGAGGAATGCATATCAGAATATTATAGAAAAATACTCTTTGTGGAAGAACAATCTGAGAAAACAGGTAACACAAATACTGACTAAACCAAGAATACCAATATAATGCAATTTAGGCTTTAACGAGGGTATCTGATTATCCTATTTGAATGTAGAATTGTAGCCACTTAATTATAAGTGGTAGGAATTCAATACAATTATTAAAAGAAATGAAGCAGAGGGTGAATATTATAGAATATTCTGGACAAAGGGAAGAGCATGAAGGAAGTTTTGGCAACATGATATCGCATGGCTCCCGCAAGGAATTATGTATTCAGTTTTCTCAGATCTAGAAATTTCCTTATGGTTTCTGTGTACATTTTGCATTAATAACCCCTAAAGGTACTTTAAAATACACAATTTTGGCCTTCCTGTGTGGCACAACAACAAGCCTTGCCTGAGCTGAGTCAGATCCACAGAAGCTTGAACAATAGTTGTAGCCCGAGCAGGCTGTGGGGCAGCTTTCTGTCATCTATGTGTGCCCAGGAGTGTGTTGTCTTCACACCATCACACAGGTAACAGAAACCATCTCTATCGCATCAAAACTTTAGCCAATTGTGATACTATCTGTACACACACATCACAAGAGATGGAAATAGGCTCTATAAAGAGCCAGAGAAATTGACCATCTTCACTGCTGGCTGTAGCTTCACTGCCCCCACAAATATTACACAGAAATAAATAGTAGAGTGGAAAGCAGACATAGTCTTACCAAAAGGATTGAAACTCTAATGATGTCTGAAGTTCAATTATGACACAGTGCTGATAGCTTGGACACAGTTCCTTTAGAACCTTTATTCAAGTCATAGTCGTACCTTTTAGAAATAAGGCACAAACAACATCCAACCCACCCCATCCCTCTGGGCTAGAGTCCCAAAGAGAAATAAGGGATACACCTGACCTGCAGTAAGGAAAGCAGAACCCAGTCTCTGAGGTGGTGAGGCCCACCCAGGGCTCAAAGGTGCCATTGTTTTGCTCCTCTTTATAAAGGGAGTTGCCACGTTCCTCCCAGCACAGAGTTGGGAGTGACTCCAGAGCCTCCAGCGAGATGCTGCTGATTCTGCTGTCAGTGGCCCTGCTGGCCCTGAGCTCAGCTGAGAGTTCAAGTGAAGGTAAAACAGAAGGGGGAAAAGATGCGGTGACTGCTTGGGACTTAGGAGGTGACAGTGGTAATTATGGGGAAGAGAGGAGAATGAAAACACAGATGGGGCTGCAGAGTTTTCATGCCTAGGATCAGGAGACCTGTTGTGCCCTCATTCCACAATAAGGACTTCTAATTTATTTAATGTACAATGAAATCCAATAACGAATTTGTTCCAGGGGAATGAGAAGGTAAGATTTGAATTTATAGAGATAGAACTGTGCTGTGAAGGCTGCAGTGGAGAGTGCAAGGCAGATTCAGGGAAGTCCAGCTGTGAAGATCCTATACTGATCCCAGTAAGTACACAGGGATGATGGTGGCCTTGCTGTACAGACAGTCGGCATTGATGATAGAGATACATACACATCAGAGATACTGCAGAGACAGAACTGGATAGAACACTTGTCTCTGTCTAACTAAAGATGTAGAAATATCAGAGCCAATCATTACAATTTTTCTCTCCCCTACATGCAGTATTTCAATGTGCTGGGAGTGGAATGGGTTAGATTGTATTGAAATGATTACTTCTGGTTACCCCTATTGAGAAAACATGTGTATGTATGCAATATATTAACAGGAGATGGAGGGCATAAGAACACCAAAATATCACATTGAAGTACCTGGCATGCATAAACTAAATAAGCATTAAGTCTTGAGGGATGCTAGGGAGGAAAAAAAGGGGCTGTTCTATGTTGAACTCATTGCTGTTGCTCTGTGTGGTAACAACCCTGCCTCCTCTTACACCTTCCACCCCTTCCAGCACCTTCACAGATGGTGGCTGATGAGTTAACCTAGGGGATGCATGGGGTGTGGTGAGAAGACAATTTTCCCTGTAGAACACTTGTGAGTCTTGAAGATTTGAGATGTAACATTTCCCATCATCCTGTGCTTCTCTTCTAGATGTCAGCCAGGAAGAATCTCTCTTCCTAATATCAGGTAAATCCCAATTCATTCTCAATCTGTTTTGACTCCCTTTTTCTGCTTACAAATGGATCATTTCTCCAGTGTCTTCTTATCAACACTTTCCTTTCAGGAATTGATTAATGTTATTGCCCCTAATGATATAGGCAATCTTCATGCAAACTTGATTCTGGGGACCATGAGCAGGCCACCAAATGGAATGTCAGAGATGCTTGGCTTAGATGACAACAGGAGTGGGTTGACATCCCCCTGGCCAGGAGTGCCTCCTGGGAGATGACAGACAAATGGCCAGTGTCCTTATTCTGACTCCTCCTTAGACTGAGAGCCCCTCAACTTCTCCCTTTTCCCCCAGCGTTCCACTCCAGAGTTCTAGGGCTTCACTGAAAATGCAAAGAAATTAGTATCTGGGTCTCATTTTTGTGCATTTCCCCATTTAGCTCCATTACTGTAAAAATTTGTGGCAACTATTCAGTGAATGCCGTATGTCCCCCACCTCCTCCAGGAAAGCCAGAAGGACGACGCCCACAAGGAGGAAACCAGCCCCAACGTCCCCCACCTCCTCCAGGAAAGCCACAAGGACCACCCCCACAAGGAGGAAACCAGTCCCAAGGTCCCCCACCTCCTCCAGGAAAGCCAGAAGGACGACCCCCACAAGGAGGCAACCAGTCCCAAGGTCCCCCACCTCATCCAGGAAAGCCAGAAAGACCACCCCCACAAGGAGGAAACCAGTCCCAAGGTACCCCACCTCCTCCAGGAAAGCCAGAAAGACCACCCCCACAAGGAGGCAACCAGTCCCACCGTCCCCCACCTCCTCCAGGAAAGCCAGAAAGACCACCCCCACAAGGAGGTAACCAGTCCCAAGGTCCCCCACCTCATCCAGGAAAGCCAGAAGGACCACCCCCACAGGAAGGAAACAAGTCCCGAAGTGCCCGATCTCCTCCAGGAAAGCCACAAGGACCACCCCAACAAGAAGGCAACAAGCCTCAAGGTCCCCCACCTCCTGGAAAGCCACAAGGCCCACCCCCAGCAGGAGGCAATCCCCAGCAGCCTCAGGCACCTCCTGCTGGAAAGCCCCAGGGGCCACCTCCACCTCCTCAAGGGGGCAGGCCACCCAGACCTGCCCAGGGACAACAGCCTCCCCAGTAATCTAGGATTCAATGACAGGTATGATTCCACTTTATTATTCATCAGGACTCTAATTGCTACAGTTCTCCAACTTTATTGTGCCAATGAATCAACTAAAACCCATTGACATTGTATTGTCCTAGAACCCATTTCTAAAAATTTGTATTCAGATACTCTGGAATAGGGTAAGGGGACCCTGTATTTCTAACAAAATCTTTAAGGAATTCTGATGTTGAGAAACAACATACCATATGATCTGTCTTAAATTGTGTTGGCAATGAGGAGGTAGTACCATGTTCATTCTTGGCGTTCTGTTTTCTATCCACTAACTCAGAGACCTCCCATTTAAAGTTTTCACCTGAGCACCATTTGCTCAGTCCTGCCTCACACCAGCCTCTCGAGTCCAGTATTCCTGCCAAATGGTCCCTGATCTTTCAGCAGCTAAATGGCGTGTCACTTTTTAGATACTTAACTTTTCAATACGTACATGATTAAGCTAACAAAAAATATCTAATGGAATGGAAAAATATGAAGCTAATTTTAAAGGCATAACACATCCTACCCACCTTCCTTCCTTCAAAAAGCTCCCACTGTTAACCTTATGGGATCTTTTCTTTGAAATATTTATGTGTGCATAGACATATAGCATTCTTTTACCCTACCACTAATGCCATAACTTATATGCAGGTATATATGTTAGTCATTTAAAAAATACATTTTTTTAAAATTTCCACATCAGTTTATGAAGGTCACTACATATCTTCAGTGGTTTTCTGTTTGCTTTTACATTTTTATACTACTCTATTGTGTAGCTGTGCCATGATTTCGTTAACCAATCCCTGTCACTGGACACTGAGGGTGGTTTTAGCTTCTCAGTATTATAGAATATGTTCCAGTTACCATCTGTGTAAATATATCCCTGAACAAATTCAACAGCAATGAGTCACAGCAACCTAAGGATGGTCTTTTCTCTTCATCTTCTAAGCCACAATTTGGAGCACATTGTGTGCAAGGGCATCAAAAGAGTGAATCTATGAACTTGCTTGTTTGTTTATTTCAGGAAGTGAATAAGAAGATATCAGTGAATTCAAATAATTCAATTGCTACAAATGCCGTGACATTGGAACAAGGTCATCATAGCTCTAACTTTAATATACCAATAAAATAATCAGCTTGCAATTTCTGATTGTGGTGTTCTTTCTCAGTGTTTGTGAATGTGGAATGTGAGGACCAAGAACACATTATAAGAACATCTAGGACCCCTTCTGTCTGATGCTTCCAGGGAGTTTCCCTTCTCTTTAATCCTAACTTAGCCAGCTGCCATGAAAAATGTTTTGCTGTTTATCTCTTTCCCTGACTTCAATTTTTTTTTCTTTTTCTGAGATGGAGTCTTGCTCTATCACCTAGGTTGGAATGCAGTGGCGTGATCTTGGCTAACTGCAACCTGCACCTCCTGGGTTCAAGCTATTCTCCTGCCTCACCCTTCACAGTAGCTGGGATTACAGGTTCCCACCATCACACCTGGGTAATTTTTGTAATTTTAGTTGAGATGCGTTTTCACCCTGTTGGCCAGGCTAGGCTAGAAATTCTGACTTCAGGTCATCCGCTTGCCTTGGCCTCCAAATGTGTTGGGATTACAGGCATGAGCCACCACACCTGGCTCCTCCCTGACTTCTACAGCACAAATTGAAAATCTAAAATTATTTTCAGATTGTTTACTGATATTCCAGTAATTTTAAGGACAAAAACCACAACAAATGGAAAATAAGTCACAGAAACTAAAAGAAATCCTTATAATTTCTAAGAAACTGAGTTTGGTTTCAAGGGAACAAACAGGGTTCTATGCTTCTTATTCCCAGAGCCCTCTCTATCCCATTGACCCTATTTTAACAGTGATCACTTCCCTCCCTCCCTATGTTCCTCACCTTTCTTTAATGAAACCTGAATGGATTTCATCAAGGAGGCAGCATGACTTTTAGGAGCAAAGAATTGGGACACTCTCAGATTTTAGTTAAGACATAACTCTTTCTTGCTAGCCTGAACTCTTAAAAAGCTACTTGGTCTCTCAGAGCTTCAATTTCCTCATCTACAATGAGAAGAATCAAAACAACTACCTTAGAATATGGAGACTATTCAGATAACATATGTACCAAAAACCTTGCAGAGATTGGCATGTCTGCTTCTCAAGCAAGGAAGGTTCAATATTAGAAAACTGCCCCTGTGCCCACCGATAGCCTCAGATAATTCACTATGAATTTCAGAAATTTCAGAATAGAAGGATCTCACTGTAACCATCACCAAGTTGAGCAACCCACATTCAGTTCAATCCCAGTTCTCTGACTTCTCTCCTATTATCATAGTTGAAGGCTCCCTACCCCTATCTCTTATCTTTCCTCTTGATTCTGAACCACATTACCCAGTCAAGGATTTTGCTTCTGTATGTGACCCTTTTGTCTCCTGATTCTTACATCTATGCTCTATGGGATTACCTCAATCAGCAAAAGCCTGCTGAAACATCACCCATTTTTACAGAGGTTTTGCTAAGACTCTTAGTGTTTCTTTCCTACCCTATTATTTGTCTGCCATTTTTATTGCAAAAGTTCTTGAAACATATGTATGTGATTATTTCCCCATCCCCTCCCTTCCATTTTCTTTTTAAACACACATTAAAGATGCTTTTGTTCTTTCCACTCCAAGTCTGTCAAGGTCATCTACTGCCTGCATTCCACTCATTTCAGGAATCGATTATCAGTCCTGCATCTCCTGTGACCCCTTGGCAGTTTAACACCATTGATCCTACAATTCTTTTGGGAACACTCTATCAATCTTTCCGGGAACCTCCCACTCTCTCCTCGGGTTTCTCCTACCTCTGCCTCTTCCCTCCTGTAACTACAAAGTTACTCCTCTTCCAACTCTATTTGGTCTTGGTAAATTATTCATCTAATTAATTAAGGAAACTAGGATTTATTCTAGACTCTTCTCTTTTCCTCTTACATCACATTACATCTAGTCAAATCAGCTATGTTATCATTGTGAAATTCAAGCTTCAAAACAATTTCCTACTGCAGCCAGTTTCATCATTTTCATCTCTATCAGCCCATCTAAGCAAGCCTCATCTGCAGTTTACACCAAATAGTTCTATTTATTTCCCAACAATCAATTACCCACCTTGGCCATTTAAAAATTATATTACTTTTCTATGTTTTCCAGTTGATGGCCACACTTTTACTCTCTAAGAACAAAATGCTAATTATTTAACTATGCTGAAGTCCTATGTATTGAGCCCTAACTATCTCTGGAATTGGTGGCTGCTCTATACCTAGTTCATTCTGCTGTGGCCACACTGGTCATTGCCTCTTCTTTTTAATGGTGAGGATGGGGGAGCAGTATGCCTAGAGTTTCTGTTAATTTTAAAAAATGTTTATTTGCACAAATGTATGTATTACAAGTTTGGTTTTGTTAAATAGATTACATAGTGCTTAAGCCATGACATTAGAGTATTCATTATTCAATAACAAAATCTGCATTTATTAATTAATATCCTACTGCTCAACTGCTCAAGTGTGGCAAGTGCCTCCCCAACTTCCCAGTCTTCATTGTGTATTATTTCACTCTCTTCATCTGTGCAAACACATTCTTTAGCAACCACTTACAAGTGAGAGCGTGTTATATTTCATTTTCTGTATCTAGCCTGTTTTGCTTAAGAAAATGACCCCCAGTTCCATCCATATTGCCACAAAATATGTGATTTCATTCTCTCTTTATGATTGAGTGATATGGCATTGGGTATACATAATTACATTTTTAATCAAATCATTCATTAATGGACACTTAGGTTGATTCAATATCTTTGTTCCTGTGAATGTTGCTACAATAAACATACAGGTCAAGGTATGTGTTTGATACATTGACTACTTTTCCTTTGGGGAGATACCCAGTTGTAGGATTGCTCAATGGAAATATAGTTCTAGTTTTAGTTCTTTGAGAAATCACACTGTTTTCTATAGAAGCTGTACTAATTAACATTCCCACCAGGGGTGTATAAGAGTTCTCCTTTCTCCATATCCTTGCCAACAGCTGTTATTTTTCACGCTTTTAATCATAGTCATTCTGACTGAGGTAAGATGGTATTTCTTTGTGGCTTTCCTTTCTTTTCTTTTTTATTATACTTTAAGTTCTGGGATACATGTGCAGAAGGTGCAGGTTTGTTACATAGGTATACATGTGCCATGGTGGTTTGCTGCACCCATCAACCCATCATCTAGGTTTTCAGCCTGGCATGCATTAGGTATTTCTCCTAATGCTATCCCTCCCCTTGCCTCCTGCTCCCCGACATCCCCTGGTGTGTGATGTTCCCCTCCCTGTGTCCCTGTGTTCTCATTGTTCAACTCCCACTTATGAGTAAGAACATGTGGTGTTTGGTTTTCTGTTCCTGTGTTACTTTGCTGAGAATCATGGTTTCCAGATTCATCCATGTCCCTGCAAAGAACACGAACTCATCCTTTTTTATAGCTGCATAGTATTCCAAGGTGTATATGTGCCACATTTTTTTTTCTTTTTTTTTAAATTATTTATTTATTTTTTTTAATTATACTTTAAGTTTTAGGGTACATGTGCACAATGTGCAGGTTAGTTACATATGTATACATGTGCCATGCTGGTGTGCTGCACCCACTAACTCGTCATCTAGCATTAGGTATATCTCCCAAAGCTATCCCTCCCCCCTCCCCCCTCCCCACCACAGTCCCCAGAGTGTGATATTCCCCTTCCTGTGTCCATGTGATCTCATTGTTCAATTCCCACCTATGAGTGAGAATATGCGGTGTTTGGTTTTTTGTTCTTGCAATAGTTTACTGAGAATGATGGTTTCCAATTTCATCCATCTCCCTACAAAGGACATGAACTCATCATTTTTTATGGCTGCATAGTATTCCATGGTGTATATGTGCCACATTTTCTTAATCCAGTCTATCATTGTTGGACATTTGGGTTGGTTCCAAGTCTTTGCTATTGTGAATAGTGCCGCAATAAACATACGTGTGCATGTGTCTTTATAGCAGCATGATTTATAGTCATTTGGGTATATACCCAGTAATGGGATGGCTGGGTCAAATGGTATTTCTAGTTCTAGATCCCTGAGAAATCGCCACACTGACTTCCACAATGGTTGAACTAGTTTACAGTCCCACCAACAGTGTAAAAGTGTTCCTATTTCTCCACATCCTCTCCAGCACCTGTTGTTTCCTGACTTTTTAATGATTGCCATTCTAACTGGTGTGAGATGATATCTCATAGTGGTTTTGATTTGCATTTCTCTGATGGCCAGTGATGATGAGCATTTTTTCATGTGTTTTTTGGCTGCATAAATGTCTTCTTTTGAGAAGTGTCTTTTCATATCCCTCGCCCACTTTTTGATGGGGTTGTTTGTTTTTTTCTTGTAAATTTGTTTGAGTTCATTGTAGATTCTGGATATTAGCCCTTTGTCAGATGAGTAGGTTGTGAAAATTTTCTCCCATTCTGTAGGTTGCCTGTTCACTCTGATGGTAGTTTATTTTGCTGTGCAGAAGCTCTTGAGTTTAATTAGATCCCATTTGTCAATTTTGGCTTTGGTTGCCATTGCTTTTGGTGTTTTGGACATGAAGTCCTTGCCCATGCCTAGGTCCTGAATGGTAATGTCTAGGTTTTCTTCTAGGGTTTTTATGGTTTTAGGTCTAACGTTTAAGTCTTTAATCCATCTTGAATTGATTTTTGTATAAGGTGTAAGGAAGGGATCCAGTTTCAGCTTTCTACATATGGCTAGCCAGTTTTCCCAGCACCATTTATTAAATAGGGAATCCTTTCCCCATTGCTTGTTTTTCTCAGGTTTGTCAAAGATCAGATAGTTGTAGGTATGCGGTGTTATTTCTGAGGGCTCTGTTCTGTTCCATTGATCTATATCTCTGTTTTGGTACCAGTACCATGCTGTTTTGGTTACTGTAGCCTTGTAGTATAGTTTGAAGTCAGGTAGTGTGATGCCTCCAGCTTTGTTTTTTTGGCTTAGGATTGACTTGGCGATGTGGGCTCTTTTTTGGTTCCATATGAACTTTAAAGTAGTTTTTTCCAATTCTGTGAAGAAAGTCATTGGTAGCTTGATGGGGATGGCATTGAATCTGTAAATTACCTTGGGCAGTATGGCCATTTTCACGATATTGATTCTTCCTACCCATGAGCATGGAATGTTCTTCCATTTGTTTGTATCCTCTTTTATTTCATTGAGCAGTGGTTTGTAGTTCTCCTTGAAGAGGTCCTTCACATCCCTTGTAAGTTGGATTCCTAGGTATTTTATTCTCTTTGAAGCAATTGTGAATGGGAGTTCACTCATGATTTGGCTCTCTGTTTGTCTGTTGTTGGTGTATAGGAATGCTTGTGATTTTTGTACATTGATTTTGTATCCTGAGACTTTGAGGAAGTTGCTTATCAGCTTAAGGAGATTTTGGGCTGAGACAATGGGGTTTTCTAGATAAACAATCATGTCATCTGCAAACAGGGACAATTTGACTTCCTCTTTTCCTAATTGAATACCCTTTATTTCCTTCTCCTGCCTGATTGCCCTGGCCAGAACTTCCAACACTATGTTGAATAGGAGCGGTGAGAGAGGGCATCCCTGTCTTGTGCCAGTTTTCAAAGGGAATGCTTCCAGTTTTTGCCCATTCAGTCTGATATTGGCTGTGGGTGTGTCATAGATAGCGCTTATTATTTTGAAATACGTCCCATCAATACCTAATTTATTGAGAGTTTTTAGCATGAAGGGTTGTTGAATTTTGTCAAAGGCTTTTTTTGCATCTATTGAGATAATCATGTGGTTTTTGTCTTTGGCTCTGTTTATATGCTGGATTACATTTATTGATTTGCGTATATTGAACCAGCCTTGCATCCCAGGGATGAAGCCCACTTGATCATGGTGGTTAAGCTTTTTGATGTGCTGCTGGATTCGGTTTGCCAGTATTTTATTGAGGATTTTTGCATCAATGTTCATCAAGGATATTGGTCTAAAATTCTCTTTTTTGGTTGTGTCTCTGCCCGGCTTTGGTATCAGAATGATGCTGGCCTCATAAAATGAGTTAGGGAGGATTCCCTCTTTTTCTATTGATTGGAATAGTTTCAGAAGTAATGGTACCAGTTCCTCCTTGTACCTCTGGTAGAATTCGGCTGTGAATCCATCTGGTCCTGGACTCTTTTTGGTTGGTAAACTATTGATTATTGCCACAATTTCAGCTCCTGTTATTGGTCTATTCAGATTCAACTTCTTCCTGGTTTAGTCTTGGGAGAGTGTATGTGTCGAGGAATGTATCCATTTCTTCTAGATTTTCTAGTTTATTTGCATAGAGGTGTTTGTAGTATTCTCTGATGGTAGTTTGTATTTCTGTGGGATCGGTGGTGATATCCCCTTTATCATTTTTTATTGTGTCTATTTGATTCTTCTCTCTTTTTTTCTTTATTAGTCTTGCTAGCGGTCTATCAATTTTGTTGATCCTTTCAAGAAACCAGCTCCCGGATTCATTGATTTTTTGAAGGGTTTTTTGTGTCTCTATTTCCTTCAGTTCTGCTCTGATTTTAGTTATTTCTTGCCTTCTGCTAGCTTTTGAATGTGTTTGCTCTTGCTTTTCTAGTTCTTTTAATTGTGATGTTAGGGTGTCAATTTTGGATCTTTCCTGCTTTCTTTTGTGGGCATTTAGTGCTATAAATTTCCCTCTACACACTGCTTTGAATGTGTCCCAGAGATTCTGGTATGTTGTGTCTTTGTTCTCGTTGGTTTCAAAGAACATCTTTATTTCTGCCTTCATTTCGTTATGTACCCAGTAGTCATTCAGGAGCAGGTTGTTCAGTTTCCAAGTAGTTGAGCGGCTTTGAGTGAGATTCTTAATCCTGAGTTCTAGTTTGATTGCACTGTGGTCTGAGAGATAGTTTGTTATAATTTCTGTTCTTTTACATTTGCTGAGGAGAGCTTTACTTCCAACTATGTGGTCAATTTTGGAATAGGTGTGGTGTGGTGCTGAAAAAAATGTATATTCTGTTGATTTGGGGTGGAGAGTTCTGTAGATGTCTATTAGGTCCGCTTGGTGCAGAGCTGAGTTCAATTCCTGGGTATCCTTGTTGACTTTCTGTCTCATTGATCTGTCTAATGTTGACAGTGGGGTGTTAAAGTCTCCCATTATTAATGTGTGGGAGTCTAAGTCTCTTTGTAGGTCACTCAGGACTTGCTTTATGAATCTGGGTGCTCCTGTATTGGGTGCATATATATTTAGGATAGTTAGCTCCTCTTGTTGAATTGATCCCTTTACCATTATGTAATGGCCTTCTTTGTCTCTTTTGATCTTTGTTGGTTTAAAGTCTGTTTTATCAGAGACTAGGATTGCAACCCCTGCCTTTTTTTGTTTTCCATTTGCCTGGTAGATCTTCCTCTATCCTTTTATTTTGAGCCTATGTGTGTCTCTGCACGTGAGATGGGTTTCCTGAATACAGCACACTGATGGGTCTTGACTCTTTATCCAACTTGCCAGTCTGTGTCTTTTAATTGGAGAACTTAGTCCATTTACATTTAAAGTTAATATTGTTATGTGTGAATTTGATCCTGTCATTATGATGTTAGCTGGTGATTTTGCTCGTTAGTTGATGCAGTTTCTTCCTAGTCTCAATGGTCTTTACATTTTGGCATGATTTTGCAGCGGCTGGTACCGGTTGTTCCTTTCCATGTTTAGTGCTTCCTTCAGGAGCTCTTTTAGGGCAGGCCTGGTGGTGACAAAATCTCTCAGCATTTGCTTGTCTGTAAAGTATTTTATTTCTCCTTCACTTATGAAGCTTAGTTTGGCTGGATATGAAATTCTGGGTTGAAAATTCTTTTCTTTAAGGATGTTGAATATTGGCCCCCACTCTCTTCTGGCTTGTAGGGTTTCTGCCGAGAGATCCGCTGTTAGTCTGATGGGCTTCCCTTTGAGGGTAACCCGACCTTTCTCTCTGGCTGCCCTTAACATTTTTTCCTTCATTTCAACTTTGGTGAATCTGACAATTATGTGTCTTGGAGTTGCTCTTCTCGAGGAGTATCTTTGTGGCATTCTCTGTATTTCCTCAATCTGAACGTTGGCCTGCCTTGCTAGATTGGGGAAGTTCTCCTGGATAATATCCTGCAGAGTGTTTTCCAACTTGGTTCCATTCTCCCTGTCACTTTCAGGTACACCAATCAGACATAGATTTGGTCTTTTCACATAGTCCCATATTTCTTGGAGGCTTTGCTCATTTCTTTTTATTCTTTTTTCTCTAAACTTCCCTTCTCACTTCATTTCATTCATTTCATCTTCCATTGCTGATACCCTTTCTTACAGTTGATCGCATCGGCTCCTGAGGCTTCTGCATTCTTCACGTAGTTCTCGAGCCTTGGTTTTCAGCTCCATCAGCTCCTTTAAGCACTTCTCTGTATTGGTTATTCTAGTTATACATTCTTCTAAACTTTTTTCAAAGTTTTCAACTTCTTTGCCTTTGGTTTGAATGTCCTCCTGTAGCTCAGAGTAATTTGATCGTCTGAAGCCTTCCTCTCTCAGCTCATCAAAATCATTCTCCATCCAGCTTTTTTCCGTTGCTGGTGAGGAACTGCTTTCCTTTGGAGGAGGAGAGGCGCTCTACATTTTAGAGTTTCCAGTTTTTCTGTTCTGTTTTTTCCCCATCTTTGTGGTTTTATCTACTTTTGGTCTTTGATGATGGTGATGTACAGATGGGTTTTTGGTGTGGATGTCCTTTCTGTTTGTTAGTTTTCCTTCTAACAGACAGGACCCTCAGCTGCAGGTCTGTTGGAATACCCTGCTGTGTGAGGTGTCAGTGTGCCCTTGCTGGGGGGTGCCTCCCAGTTAGGCTGCTCGGGGGTCAGGGGTCAGGGACCCACTTGAGGAGGCAGTCTGCCCATTCTCAGATCTCCAGCTGCGTGCTGGGAGAACCACTGCTCTCTTCAAAGCTGTCAGACAGGGACATTTAAGTCTGCAGAGGTTACTGCTGTCTTTTTGTTTGTCTGTGCCCTGCCCGCAGAGGTGGAGCCTACAGAGGCAGGCAGGCCTCCTTGAGCTGTGGTGGGCTCCACCCAGTTTGAGCTTCCCGGCTGCTTTGTTTACCTAAGCAAGCCTGGGCAATGGCGGGCGCCCCTCCCCCAGCCTCGCTGCCGCCTTGCAGTTTGATCTCAGACTGCTGTGCTAGCAATCAGTGAGATTCCGTGGGTGTAGGACCCTCCGAGCCAGGTGTGGGATATAGTCTCGTGGTGCACCGTTTTTTAAGCTGGTCTGAAAAGCGCAATATTCGGGTGGGAGTGACCCGATTTTCCAGGTGCGTCCGTCACCCCTTTCTTTGACTCAGAAAGGGAACTCCCTGACCCCTTGCGCTTCCCAGGTGAGGCAATGCCTCGCCCTGCTTTGGCTCGCGCACGGTGCGCGCACCCACTGGCCTGCGCCCACTGTCTGGCACTCCCTAGTGAGATGAACCCGGTACTTCAGATGGAAATGCAGAAATCACCCGTCTTCTGTGTCGCTCACGCTGGGAGCTGTAGACCGGAGCTGTTCCTATTCGGCCATCTTGGCTCCTCCCCGCCAAATACCCACATTTTTTTTATCCAGTCTATCATTGATGGGCATTTCGCTGGTTCCAAGTCTTTGGTCTTGTAAATAGTGCTGCAATAAATATACGCGTGCATGTGTCTTTATAGTAGAGAGATTTATAATCATTTGGGTATATACCCAGTAATGGGATTGCTGGGTCAAATAATATTTCTGATTTTAGATCCTTGAGGAATTGCCACACAGTCTTCCACAATGGTTGAACTAATTTACACTCCCACCAGCAGTGTAAGACTGTTCCTATTTCTCCACATTCTCTCCAGCATCTGTTGTTTTCTGACTTTTTTTTTGTTTGTTTGTTTTGGAGACAGAGTCTGGCTCTGTCACCCAGACTGGAGTGCAGTGGCCCGATCTCAGCTCACTGCAACCTCTGCCTCCTGGGTTCAAGTGAGTCTCCTGCTTCGGCCTCCTGAGTAGCTGGGATTACAGGTGCGTACTACCATGACTGGCTAATTTTTGTGTATATATATATATTTTTTTTTTGACAGAGTTTTGTTCTTTGTTGCCCAGGCTGGAGTGCAATTGTGGGATCTGGGTTCACTGCAACCTCTGCCTCACGGGTTCCAGTGATACTCAGTCTCCTGAGTAGCTGGGATTACACTCATGCACCAACATGCCCAGCTAATGTTGTATTTTTAGTAGAGACAGGGTTTCACCATGTGGGTCAGGCTGGTCTCAAACTCCTGACTTCAAGTGATCTGCCCACCTCGGCCTCCCAAAATGCTGGGATTACAGGCATCAGCCACTGTGCCCAGTCTGTTTCCTGACTTTTTAATAATCACCATTCTAACTGGCATGAGATGGTATCTCATTGCGTTTTTGATTTACATTTCTGTAATGATCAGTGATGATGAGCTTTTTTTCATGTTTGTTGGACACATAAATGTCTTTTTTTGAGATATGTCTGTTCATATCCTTCACCCACTTTTTGATATGGTTGTTTGTTATTTTCTTGTAAATTTGTTTAAGTTACTTGTAGATTCTGGATATTAGATTTCGTCAGATGGATAGATTGCAAAATTTTTCTCCCATTCTGTTGGTTGCCTGTTCACTCTAATGATAGTGTCTTTTACTGTGCAGAAGCTCTTTAGTTTAATTAGATTCCATTTGTCAATTTTGGCTTTTCTTGCAATTGCTTTTGGTGTTTTAGTCATAAAGTTTTGCCCATGCCCATGTCCTGAATGATATTGTCTAGGTATTCTTCCAGGGATTTTATGGATTTGGTCTTACATTTAAGTCTTTAATCCATCTTGAGTTAATTTCTTAAATTATTATACTTTAAGTTCTAGGGTACATGTGCACAATGTGCAGGTTTGTCACATATGTATATATGTGCCATGTTGGTGTGCTGCATCCATTAACTCGTCTTTTACATTAGATATATTTCCTAATGCTATCCCTCCCCCCTACCCCCACCCTAACAACAGACGCCAGTGTGTGATGTCCCCTTCCTGTGTCCAAGTGTTCTCATTGTTTAATTCCCACCTATGAGTGAGAACATGTGATGTTTGGTTTTTTGTCCTTGCGATAGTTTGCTGAGAATGATGGTTTCCAGATTCATCCATGTCCCTATAAAGGAAATGAAGTCATCATTTTTTATGGCTGCATAGTATTCCATGGTGTATATGTGCCACATTTTCTTAATCCAGTCTATCGTTGTTGGACATTTGGCTTGGTTCCAAGTCTTTGCTATTGTGAATAGTGCTGCAATAAACATACGTGTGCATGTGTCTTTATAGCAGCATGATTTATAGTCCTTTGGGTATATATCCTGTAATGGGATGGCTGGGTCAAATGGTATTTCTAGTTCTAGATCCCTGAGGAATCGCCACACTGACTTCCACAAGGGTCGAACTAGTTTACAGTCCCACCAACAGTGTAAAAGTGTTCCTATTTCTCCACATCCTCTCCAGCACCTGTTGTTTCTGGACTTTTTAATGATTGCCATTCTAACTGGTGTGAGATGGTATCTCATTGTGGTTTTGATTTGCATTTATCTGATGGCCAGTGATGGTGAGCATTTTTTCATGTGTTTTTTGGCTGCATAAATGTCTTCTTTTGAGAAATGTCTGTTCATGTCCTTCGCCCACTTTTTGATGGGGTTGTTTGTTTTTTTTCTTGTAAATTTGTTTGAGTTTATTGTAGATTCCGGATATTAGCCCTTTGTCAGATGAGTAGGTTGTGAAAATTTTCTCCCATTTTGTAGGTTGCCTGTTCACTCTGATGGTAGTTTCTTTTGCTGTACAGAAGCTCTTGAGTTTAATTAGATCCCATTTGTCAATTTTGGCTTTTGTTGCCATTGCTTTTGGTGTTTTAGACATGAAGTCCTTCTCCATGCCTATGTCCTGAATGGTAATGCCTAGGTTTTCTTCTAGGGTTTTTGTGGTTTTAGGTCTAATGTTTAAGTCTTTAATGCATCTTGAATTAATTTTTGTATAAGGTGTAAGGAAGGGATCTAGTTTCAGCTTTCTACATATGGCTAGCCTCTTTTCCCAGCACCATTTATTAAATAGGGAATCCTTTCCCCATTGCTTGTTTTTCTCAGGTTTGTCAAAGATCAGATAGTTGTAGATATGCAGCATTATTTCTGAGGGCTCTTTTCTGTTCCATTGGTCTATATCTCTGTTTTTGTACCAGTACCATGCTGTTTTGGTTACTGTAGCCTTGTAGTATAGTTTGAAGTCAGGTTGCGTGATGCCTCCAACTTTGTTCTTTTGGCTTAGGATTGACTTGGCGATGAGGGCTCTTTTTTGGTTCCATATGAACTTTAAAGTAGTTTTTTCCAATTCTGTGAAGGAAGTCATTGGTAGCTTGATGGGGATGGCATTGAAATTACCTTGGGCAGTATGGCCATTTTCATGATATTGATTCTTCCTACCCATGAGCATGGAATGTTCTTCCATTTGTTTGTATCCTCTTTTATTTCCTTGAGCAGTGGTTTGTAGTTCTCCTTGAAGAGGTCCTTCACATCCCTTGTAAGTTGGATTCCTAGGTATTTTATTCTCTTTGAAGCAATTGCGAATGGGAGTTCACTCATGATTTGGCTCTTTGTTTGTCTGTTATTTGTGTATAAGAATGCTTGTGATTTTTGTACATTGATTTTGTATCCTGAGACTTTGCTGAAGTTGCTTATCAGCTTAAGGAGATTTTGGGCTGAAACAATGGGGTTATCTAGATATACAATCATGTCATCTGCAAACAGGGACAATTTGACTTCCTCTTTTCCTAACTGAATATGCCTTATTTCCTTGTCCTGCCTCGTTGCCCTGGCCAGAACTTCCAATACTATGTTGAATAGGAGTGGTGAGAGAGGGCATCCCTGTCTTGTGCCAGTTTTCAAAGGGAATGCTTCCAGTTTTTGCCCATTCAGTATGATATTGGCTGTGGGTTTGTCATAAATAGCTCTTATTATTTTGAGATATGTCCCATCAATACCTAATTTATTGCGAGTTTTTAGCATGAAGTGTTGTTGAATTTTGTCAAAGGCCTTTTCTGCATAGATAATCATGTGGTTTTTGTCTTTGGTTCTGTTCATATGCTGGATAACATTTATTGATTTGCATATATTGAACCAGCCTTGTATCCCAGGGATGAAGCCCTCTTGATCATGGTGGATAAGCTTTTTGATGTGCTGCTGGATTTGGTTTGCCAGTATTTTATTGAGGATTGTTGCATCAATGTTCATCAAGGATATTGGTCTAAAATTCTCTTTTTTGGTTGCATCTCTGCCAGGCTTTGGTATCAGGATGATGCTGGCCTCATAAAATGAGTTAGTGAGTCCCTCTTTTTCTATTGATTAGAATAGTTTCAGAAGGAATGGTACCAGTTCCTCCTTGTACCTCTGGTAGAATTCGGCTGTGAATCCACCTGGTCCTGGACCTTTTTGGTTGGTAAGCTATTGATTATTGCCACAATTTCAGATCCAGTTATTGGTCTATTCAGAGAGTCAACTTCTTCCTGGTTTAGTCTTGGGAGGGTGTATGTGTCAAGGAATTTATCCATTTCTTCTAGATTTTCTAGTTTATTTGCATAGAGGTGTTTGTAGTATTCTCTGATGGTAGTTTGTATTTCTGTGGGATCGGTGGTGATATCCCCTTTGTCATTTTTATTGCGTCTATTTGATTCTTCTCTGTTTTCTTCTATATTAGTCTTGCTAGCGGTCTATCAATTTTGTTGATCCTTTCAAAAAACCAACTATTGGATTCGTTAATTTTTTGAAGTGTTTTTGTGTCTCTATTTCCTTCAGTTCTGCTCTGATTTTAGTTATTTCTTGCCTTCTGCTAGCTTTTGAATGTGTTTGCTCTTGCTTTTCTAGTTCTTTTAATTGTGATGTTAGGGTGTCAATTTTAGATCTTTCCTGCTTTCTTTTGTGGGCATTTAGTGCTATAAATTTCCCTCTACACACTGCTTTGAATGTGTCCCAGAGATTCTGGTATGTTGTATCTTTGTTCTCAGTGGTTTCAAAGAACATCTTTATTTCTGCCTTCATTTCGTTATGTACCCAGTAGTCATTCAGGAGCAGGTTGTTCAGTTTCCATGTAGTTGAGCAGTTTTGAGTGAGTTTCTTAATCCTGAGTTCTCGTTTGATTGCACTGTGGTCTGAGAGACAGTTTGTTATAATTTCTGATATTTTACATTTGCTGAGGAGAGCTTTACTTCCAACTATGTGGTCAATTTTGGAATAGGTGTGGTGTGGTGCTGAAAAAACTGTATATTCTGTTGATTTGGGGTGGAGAGTTCTGTAGATGTCTATTAGGTCCGCTTGGTGCAGAGCTGAGTTCAATTCCTGGGTAGCCTTGTTAACTTTCTGTCTTGTTGATCTGTCTAATGTTGACAGTGGGGTGTTAAAGTCTCCCATTATTATTGTGTGGGAGTCTAAGTCTCTTTGTAGGTCACTCAGGACTTGCTTTATGAACCTGGGTGCTCCTGTATTGGGTGCATATATATTCAGGATAGTTAGCTCTTCTTGTTGAATTGATCCCTTTACCATTATGTAATGGCCTTATTTGTCTCTTTTCATCTTTGTTGGTTGAAAGTCTGTTTTATCAGAGAGTAGGTTTGCAATCCCTGCCTTTTTTTGTTTTCCATTTGCTTGGTAGATCTTCCTCCATCCTTTTATTTTGAGCCTATGTGTGTCTCTGCACGTGAGATGTGTTTCCTGAATACAGCACACTGATGGGTCTTGACTTTTTATCCAATTTGCCAGTCTGTGTCTTTTAATTGGAGCATTTAGTCCATTTATATTTAAAGTTAATATTGTTATGTGTGAATTTGATCCTGCCATTATGATGTTAGCTGGTTGTTTTGCTTGTTAGTTGATGCAGTTTCTTCCTAGCCTTGATGGTCTTTACAATTTGGCATGATTTTGCAGTGGCTGGTACCGGTTGTTCCTTTCCATGTTTAGTGCTTCCTTCAGGAGCTCATTTAGGGCAGGCCTGGTGGTGACAAAATCTATCAGCATTTGCTTGTCTTTAGAGGATTTTATTTGTGTTTCACTTATGAAGCTTAGTTTGGCTGGATATGAAATTCTGGGTTGAAATTCTTTTCTTTAAGATTGTTGAATATTGGCCCCCACTCTCTTCTGGCTTGTAGAGTTTCTGCCTGGAGATCCACTGTTAGTCTGATGGGCTTCCCTTTGTGGGTAACCCAACCTTTCTCTCTGGCTGCCCTTAACATTTTTTCCTTCATTTCAACTTTGGTGAATCTGACAATTATGTGTCTTGGAGTTGCTCTTCTCGAGGAGTATCTTTGTGGCATTCTCTGTATTTCCTGAGTCTGAATGTTGGCCTGCCTTGCTAGATTGGGGAAGTTCTCCTGGATAATATCCTGCAGAGTGTTTTCCAACTTGGTTCCATTCTCCCTGTCACTTTCAGGCACACCAATCAGACGTAGATTTGGTCTTTTCACATAGTCCCATATTTCTTGGAGGCTTTGTTCATTTCTTTTTATTCTTTTTTCTCTAAAGTTCCCTTCTCGCTTCATTTCATTCATTTCATCTTCCATCACGATACCCTTTCTTCCAGTTGATCGCATCAGCTCTTGAGGCTTCCGCATTCTTCACGTAGTTCTTGAGCCTTGGCTTTCAGCTCCGTCAGCTCCTTTAAGCACTTCTTTGTATTGGTTATTCTAGTTATACATTCGTCTAAAGTTTTTTCAAAGTTTTCAACTTCTTTGCCTTTGGTTTGAATTTCCTCCTGTAGCTTGGAGTAGTTTGATCGTCTGAAGCCTTTTTTTCTCAACTCATCAAAGTCATTCTGCGTCCAGCTTTGTTCTATTGCTGGTGAGGAGCTGCTTTCCTTTGGAGGAGGAAAGGCACTCTGCTTTTTAGAGTTTCCAGTTTTTCTGCTCTGTTTTTTCCCCATCTTTGTGGTTTTATCTAGTTTTGGTCTTTGATGATGGTGATGTACAGATGGGTTTTTGGTGTGGATGTCCTTTCTGTTTGTTAGTTTTCCTTCTAACAGACAGGACCCTCAGCTGCAGGTCTGTTGGAGTTTGCTAGAGGTCCACTCCAGACCTGGTTTTCCTGGGTACCAGCTGCAGTGGCTGCAGAACAGCAGAGTTTCGTGAACTGCGAATGCTGCTGTCTGATCGTTCCTCTGGAAGTTTTGTCTCAGAGGAGTACCCAGCTGTGTGAGGTGTCAGTCTGCCCTTACCAGGGGGTGCCTCCCATTTAGGCTGCTCAGGGTTCAGGGGTCAGGGACCCACTTGAGGAGGCAGTCTGCCCATTCTCAGATCTCCAGCTGCATGCTGGGAGAACCACTGCTCTCTTCAAAGCTGTCAGACAGGGACATTTAAGTCTGCAGAGGTTACTGCTGTCTTTTTTTTTGTCTGTGCCCTGCCCCCAGAGGTGGAACCTACAGAGGCAGGCAGGCCTCCTTGAGCTGTGGTGGGCTCCACTCAGTTCGAGCTTCCCGGCTGCTTTGTTTACCTAAGCAAGCCTGGGCAATGGCGGGCGCCCCTCCCCCAGCCTCTCTGCCGCTTTGCAGTTTGATCTCAGACTGCTGTGCTAGCAATCATCGAGACTCCGTGGGCGTAGAACCCTCTGAGCCAGGTGCAGGATATAATCTCCTGATGCACCGTTTTTTAATCCTGTTGGAAAAGCGCAGTATTGGGGTGGGAGTGACCCGATTTTCCAGGTGCCATCTGTGACCCCTTTCTTTGACTAGGAAAGGGAACTCCCTGACCCCTTGTGCTTCCTGAGTGAGGCAATGCCTCGCCCTGCTTCAGCTCACACACGGTGCACTGCACCCACTGTCCTGCGCCCACTGTCTGGCACTCCCTAGTGAGATGAACCACGTACCTCAGATGGAAATGCAGAAATCACCCATCTTCTGCGTTGCTCATGCTGGGAGCTGTAGACCAGAGCTGTTCCTATTTGGCCGTCTTGGCTCCAGCCTCACCACATTTTCTTAATCCAGTCTATCATTGTTGGACATTCGGGTTGGTTCCAGGTCTTTGCTATTGTGAATAGTGCTGCAATAAACATACGTATGCATGTGTCTTTATAGCAGCATGATTTATAATCCTTTGGGTATATATCCAGTAATGGGATGGCTGGGTCAAATGGTATTTCTAGCTCTAGATCCCTGAGGAATCACCACACTGTCTTCCACAATGGTTGAACCAGTTTACACTCTCACCAACAGTGTAAAAGTGTTCCTATTTCTCCCCTCCTCTCCAGCACCTGTCTTTTACTGACATTTTAATGATTGCCATTCTAACTGGTGTGAGATAGTATCTCATTGCGGTTTTGATTTGCATTTCTCTGATGGCCAGTGATGATGAGCATTTTTTCCTGTGTCTGTTGGCTGCATAAATGTCTTCTTTTGAGAAGTGTCTGTTCATATCCTTCACCCATTTGTTGATGGGGTTGTTTGCTTTTTTCTTGTAAATTTGTCTGAGTTCATTGTAGATTCTGGATATTAGCCCTTTGTCAGATGAGCAGCTTGCAAAAATTTTCTCCCCCTCTGTAGGTTGCTACAGAGTGGCATCTGCTCACTCTGATGGTAGTTTCTTTTGTTGCTCAGAATCTCTTTAGTTTAATTAGATCCCATTTGTCAATTTTTGCTTCTGTTGTCATTGCTTTTGGTGTTTTAGACATGAAGTCCTTGCCCATGTCTATGTCCTGGATGGTATTGCCTAGGTTTTCTTCTAGGGTTTTTATGGTTTTAGATTTAACATTTAAGTCTTTAATCCATCTTGAATTAATTTTTGTATAAGGTGTAAAGGTGTAAGGAAGGGATCCAGTTTCAGCTTTCTACATATAGCTAGCCCGTTTTCCCAGCACCATTTGTTAAATAGGGAATCCTTTCCCCATTTCTTGTTTTTGTCAGGTTTGTCAAAGATCAGATAGTTGTAGACATGTGGTATTATTTCTGAGGGCTCTGTTCTGTCCCATTGGTCTATATCTCTGGTTTGGTACCAGTACCATGCTGTTTTGGTTACTGTAGCCTTGTAGTATAGTTTGAAGTCAGGTAGCCTGATGCCTCTAGCTTTGTTCTTTTGGCTTAGGATCGACTTGGCAATGCAGGCTCTTTTTTGGTTCCATATGAACTTTAAATTAGTTTTTTCCAATTCTGTGAAGAAAGTCATTGGTAGCTTGATGGGGATGGCATTGAATCTGTAAATTACCTTGGGCAGTATGGCCATTTTCACGATTTTGATTCTTCCTATCCATGAGCATGGAGTTTTCTTCCATTTGTATCTTCTTTTATTTTGTTGAGGAAGTTCTGGCCAGGGCAATCAGAAAGGAGAAAGAAAGAAAGTGTATTCAATTAGGAAAAGAGGGAGTCAAATTGTCTCTGTTTGCAGATGACATTATTGTATATCTAGAAAACCCCATCGTCTCAGCCCAAAATCTCCTTAAGCTGATAAGCAACTTCAGCAAAGTCTCAGGATACAAAATCAATGTGCAAAAATCACAAGCATTCTTATATACCAACAACAGAGAAACAGCCAAATCATGATGAACTCCCATTCACAATTGCTTCAAAGAGAATAAACTACCTAGGAATCTAACTTACAAGGGATGTGAAGGACCTCTTCAATTAGTTAATTTTTGTGTAAGGTGTAAGGAAGGGGTACATTTTCAGTTTTCTGCATATGGCTAGTCAGTTTTCCAAACACCGTTTATTAAATAGGGAAACCATTCCCCATTGCTTGTTTTTGTCAGGTTTGTCAAAGAGCAGATGGTTGTAGATGTGTGGCGTGATTTCTGAGGCCTCTGTTCTGTTCCATTGGTCTATATATCTGTTTTGGTACCAGTACCATGCCATTTTGGTTACTGTAGCCTTGTAGTATAGTTTGAAATCAGGTTGCATGATGCCTCCAGCTTTGTTCTTTTTGCTTAGTATTGTCTTGGCAATATGGGCTCTTTTTAGTTCCATATGAAATTTAAAGTAGTTTTTTCTAATTCTCTGAAGAAAGTCAATGGTAGTTTGATGGGAATAGTGTTGAATCTATAAATTACTTTGAGCATTGTGGCCATTTTCACAATATTGATTCTTCCTATCCATGAGCCTGGAATGTTTTTCCATTCGTTTGTGTCCTCTCTGATTCCCTTGAGCAGTGGTTTGTAGTTCTCCTTGTAGAGGTCCTTCACATCCCTTGTAAGTTGGATTCCTAGGTATTTTATTCTCTTTGAAGCAATTGTGAATGGGAGTTCACTCATGATTTGGCTGTTTGTCTGTTATTGGTGTATAAGAATGCTTGTGATTTTCGTACATTGATTTTGTATCCTAAGACTTTGCTGAAGTTGCTTATTAGCTTAAGGAGTTTTGGGGCTGAGATGATGGTGTTTTCTAAATATACAATCATATCATCTGCAAACAGAGACAATTTGACTTCCTCTCTTTCTATTTGAATACCTTTATTTCTTTCTCTTTCCTAATTGCCCTGGCCAGAACTTCCAATACTATGTTGAATAGGAGTGGTGAGAGAGGGCATTCTTGTCTTGTGCAGGTTTTCAGAGGGAATGCTACCAGTTTTGCCCATTCTGTATGATATTGGCTATGGGTTTTTCATAAATAGGTCTTATTATTTTGAGATATGTTTCATCAATACCTAGTTTATTATGTTTAGAATGAATGGGTGTTGAATTTCATCAGAGGCCTTTTCTGCATCTATTGAGATAATCATGTGCTTTTTGTCATTTGTTCTGTTTACTTGACGGATTACATTTATTGATTTCTGTTTGTTCAACCAGCCTTGCATCCCAGGGATGAAGCTGACTTGATCACGGTGGATAAGGTTTTTGATGTGCTGCTGGATTCGGTTAGCCAGTATTTTATAGAGGATTTTCGCATTGATGTTCATGAGGGATATTGGCCTAAAATTTTGTTTTTTTTGTTGTGTCTCTGCTAGGTTTTGGTGTCAGGATGATGCTGGCCTCATAAAATGAGTTAGGAAGGCGTGCCTCTTTTTCTATTGTATGGAATATTTTCAGAAGGAATGGTACCAGCAGCTCTTTGTACCTCTGGTATAATTCGGCTGTGAATCCAGCTGGTCCTGGGCTTTTTTTCTTGGTAGGTTATTAATTACTACCTCAATTTCAGAACTTTTTATTGGTCTATTCAGCGATTCAACTTCTTCCTGGCTTAGTGTCTGGAGTGTGAATGTGTCCAGGAATTTGTCCTTTTCTTCTAGATTTTCTAGTTTATTTGTGTAGAGGTGTTTATGGTATTCTGTGATGGTAGTTTGTATATCAGTGGGACACTGGTAATATTCCCTTTATCATTTTTTATTGTGTCTATTTAATTCTTCTCTCTTTTCTTCTTTATTAGTCTGGCTAGTGCTCTATATATTTTGTTAATCTTTTCAAAAAACCAGCAACTGGATTCATTGATTTTTTGAAGGGTTTTTCATGTCTCTATCTCCTTCAGTTCTGCTCTGATCTTAGTTATTTCTTGTCTTCTGCTAGCTTTTGAATTTGTTTGCTCTTGCTTCTCTAGTTCTTTTAATTGTGATGTTAGGGTGTCAATTTTATTTTATTTTATTTTTTCTTATTATTCTTTAAGTTCTAGGGTACATTTGCACAATGTGCAGGTTTGTTACATATGTATACTTGTGCCATGTTGGTTTGCTGCACCCATTAACTCATCATTTACATTAGATATTTCTCCTAATGCTATCCCTCCCCCATCTCCCCACCACACAACAGGCCCTGGTGTGTGATGTTCCCCACACTGTGTCCAAGTGTTCTCATTGTTCAATTCCCACCTATGAGTGAGAACATTTGGTGTTTGGTTTTCTTTCCTTGTGATAGTTTGCTCAGAATGATGGTTTCCTGCTTCATCCATGTCGCTACAAAGGACATGAACTAATCGTTTTTTATCACTGCACAGTATTCCATGGTGTATATGTGCCACGTGTTCTTAATTCAGTCTATCATTGATGGACATTTGGGTTGGTTCCCAACCCAAAAGACCTTGGAAACACAGTATATTGATGCAAATTGTTGAGAGCTTCAACTGACAGAAAGGTGCCTGAGCTCCTGTTGCAGTCCTGCTCCTCACTTTGACCCCATCCTCACTCACTGACAGGGTCTCTTTCAGCTCTTCTGTCACCTCTGTTTTATTTGTGTCTGGAGAGTTCATAGCTGATTTTTATTCTTCTCTAATACACTAATCTTTTTCACTCATTGCTGACATTGGAAAATGTCAGGGAAAGGGCGTGAGCTGAGTGATATTTGAAGGCAATGCTTGCTGTCTTCCTGTATTCACCAAGACAAGGGGGAGCCTTTCTTTCACCAGGACTATCACTTCTACAGGAACCTATGCAACGAGGCAAGTCTGCATGGCACTTCCCTCTGTGCCTGCCCTCTGATCTTCCTTTCCTACTTAGAAGGTCCAGCATAAGTCACTAAGCAGGAACATTCATCTCCAGTTTCCCTGTCCAATTAGTGTGTGTGGAATGTAGTGACACTCATCCCAATAACATTAGGGTACCTGCTAGGCCAGGCAACTATTCTGTGCCTCCCATAAAGCACATAAAGCCAAGCTACAATTGTTTTATTATTGCATAGCCAAAGAAGAATTGCTAACTGGTAATATATTTCCTCTTAGCAAACATCCCTAATATTCCAGAAGGGGTGAGGGAGGAAAACAACAATCTGCCTGATCACCAGCCAATGGCAGAGTAATCAGCAACAAACTTCATTGTATGAGGACAACTTCCAGTAATATAAGGCATCTTCAAACTGTTTGTGGAAAATATATATTATTTTTTAAAATTATGCAGGGATACAAACATTTTTCATACCAAAATACATTTTTACTAACTTGTTACAACATGTCTGAAAAGGATATAGTTCAGTCACTAACATGGTTGAGACAGCAGTTTGAAAACAACTTCTATCAGATCAACAAATATTCTACTAAAATTGTATCAAGAACAAATATCAAGTTTATGATGCAGCTTGGGCGGAGGGATGGTGAAATCACTGATGCATCATGAAATATTTGTGCCCAAGTAAATCAGCCCTTCACAAATGGATAACTCCTTTTAAGAATTGACTAGATGATGGTGAAGATGAACTCTGCAGCAGCAGACCATACACAGCAACTTATGGGCAAAAATTTTATCTTCTTTTATTCCAATTGAAGAGACCTCACAGTTAACAGCAGAAAAAAGGGCTAGCACAAGAAGACTGTCAATTGGTTCAGATTACATAAATTTTTTTCTGGCTGAAAAATTAAAGTTGAGCAAACTATCGACTTGATGATGGCCAAAACTGCTGTACCTGAGTCAGCTACAGAGAAGAACAGAAGGTTCAATGAAAAATTAAAGAAGTAGGAAGTAGAAGAAAAGAAAAGAAAAGATCCTAAAGCATTTCTTTGGAGAGTTGTAACAGGAAATCAAACATGGCTTTACCAGTGCCATCCTAAAGGAAAAACACAATCAAAGCAATGGCTACCAAGAGGTGGAAGTGGTCTAGTCTAAATAAATGCGACAAGAGCAAACATCATGTCAACGGTATTTTTGGATGTTCGAGGTATTTTGTTTGTTAACTTTCTGGAGGGTCAAAGATGACGACATCAGCTTATAAGTTTGGAGTTTGGAGAAAGTTAGCCAAATCTTTAGCAGATAAATGGATGAGATTGGATGCCTAGTGAATGTCCCTCATAAGTCTGGCAAAATTGCCCTTGTTTCATGAGAGAAATGAGCAGGAGCATTGTTGTGATGGATAAGAACTCTCTGCTAAAGCTTTTCCGGGCATTTCCCTGCTAAAGTTTTGGCTAACTTACTCCATACTCTCTCATAAGTTGATGTTATCATTCTAAGTCAAGCAACTTAGGAATGGAAAAGCCAACATCGCATGTTCTCACTCATGAATCGGAGCTAAACTATGAGAATGCGAAGGCATAAGAATGACACAATGGACTTTGGGAACTCAGGGGGAAAGAGTGGGAAAGGGGAGAGGGGTAAAAGACGTCACTTTTACCTCTCTCTTATACACTGGGTGCAGTGTATACTGCCCGGATGATGGGTGCACCAAAATCTCACAAATCACCACTGCAGAACTGATTCACATAACCAAACACCACCTGTTCCCCAAGCTATGTAAATAAAACAAAAAAGAAAAAAAAAAAAAAGAAAATCCCTAGGCACCCAACTTACAGTTCTGATGCAGTATCTTTGGACTTCAGATTTTTTTTCTAATATTGAAATATTTTTAAAGTGTACTCTGTTTTCTTCAGTTAATGATGTGAAAAGACTGCATTCTGAAACTAATTTCAGGATCGTCAATTTTTATAGATAGGCTAAATTACTTGTATCATTACTTGCTAAACTTCTTGAATGTGATGGAGCTTACGTTAAGAAATAAAGTTTACATAATGTCTACTTTCATATTGTAATTATATTCTTCCACAAACTTTTTGAAATCCCCTTTTATTCTCAAACCATTCTGGAAGGGCAGGAACAGATTCTTATGTGTACAACACAGGATCCCCTCATCCAACTGATCAAGCAGTTTGTCTTTAGGATTTCCAGTCACATCCCCCTACTCATTACTTCTAACATGGCCATCCCGAAGTTATCACTATCCCTGAACAAAAACTGAATGACAGCACGAGACTTATTCAAAGCCTGAAATGATAAGTGGCAGCTGTTGATACTGACTCACCTACGCTTTCCATGAAAAGGATGAAAGGATGGGCAGGAACTACTTGATATAACAGAAAAGTCAGCAGATGAAAAGAGAGCTACCAACAGAACCTCAGTAAAAAGACCTTGGAAACACAGTATATTGATGCAAATTTTAAAAACAAAAAGAAAAATAAAGGAGTAACAAGAAATATAGATGGTTACTTAGAAGATTAGATTTAAAAATTTTCCCAAATTTCATTTAAAAAGAAGTCAGATATAAGATGAAAAGTAAACACAGGCAAGATTGATTTAGAACACAAAATTTCAATAAATACATTTTAGAAAGAGACTGGGAAGAAATTAGTTTCAGAATATTGCAAAAATGAAAAAAATTTCTGTGTGAAAGAACAGTCTGGGAGACAGATATCACAGGCTCTAAGAAATAGATCAATGCAATACTCTTGAGGCTTTTATGTGGGTGCCAGACCATCTTATTTAAGCATATAATTGTGACCACGCATTTTAATTGGGAGTGATTAAAAATTTTTCCTAGAAGAAAGGCTGAATGTGGCAACTGATGCCTATAATCGCAGGACTTTGGAAGAGTGAGGTGTGAGGATCCCTTGAGGCCAGAAGTTCAAGACCAGGCCGGACACGGTGGCTCATGCCTGTAATCCCAGCACTTTGGGAGGCCGAGGCGGGCAGATCATGAGATCAGGAGATCGAGACCATCCTGGCTAACACAGTGAAACCCCGTTTCTATTAGAAATACAAAACCAAATTAGCCGGGCGTGGTGGTGGGCGCCTGTAGTCTCAGCTACTAAGGAGGCTGAGGCAGGAGAATGGCGTGAACCCAGGAGGCGGAGCTTACAGTGAGCAGAGATTGCGCCACTGCACTCCAGCCTGGGACAGAGTGAGACTCCGTCTCCAAAAAAAAAAAAAAAAAAAAAAAAAGGCCAGCCTGAGCAAAGTGAGGCTCCATCTCTTCAAGAAAAGTTTAAAACAAACAAACAAAAAATAAACGGACATGGTGTCATGAACCTGTAATTCAAGCCACTCAAGAGGCAGAAGCGGGGGGAATCCCCTGAGCACAGGAGTTCAAGGATGCTGTAAGCCAGGATCATGACACCACACTCCAGCCTGGGTGACAGAGCGAGAATCTATATTAAAAAACAAAATTTCCTAAAAGATGTAAATCCCAAACTGAATCTGATCAAACATTCTAACAAAGGGGTAGAGCAAGGAAAAAAATTTAAAGACAAAATAGGATGTCCCCTTTAAGAACTGTGTATTCATTCTGTTCATTCTAGAACCCCTTGGTAGTTTTCGGGGCCAACTTTGTTTTAACCTCCCCATGAATATTAATAATACAATGCGTGAAGACACCTGTATTCTACAACACCAAGACTTTTCTGACTAGAGCCAGATCAAAGAATATTAGACAATCTGTGTGGGTCTGACCAGGCTGAGGGCCAACCTTCTGTCAGCCATGAATGGCCAGGTTTGTGTTGTCTTCACACAGCTCAAAGTTCCAAAGAAATAATCTCTATATAATCAAATATTTAGCAAAATATGATAGGCATAGGTATACAAAAATCCACAACCAACTTCTTGTCCCTTAGAATATGATTGTGTTTAGAAAACAGCCCTAGGAAGAGGTTATCAAGCTGAAATGATGGAGTTTCAGTGGAACTAAATCCAATAAGATTGCTGTCCTTATAAGAAGTGGAAATTCCTTATAAGAACTGGAAATTTGTAGAGAGAGACACAGGAAGTACATACACATCCATGGAAGGACACAGCAAGAAGGCAGATACCTAGATGCCAAGCAGACACAGCCCAGAAGAACTAAACCTGCTGACACCTTCCTCATGGAACTTGAGCATCCAGAAGTGTTGGAAAGTAATTTCTATTGCTTAAGAATACCTAGTCTGTGATATTTTGTTTTGACGGCTATGATGAAGAAATTCAGGGGAGAGCAGGTTTTAGGAGTAGAAATCAAGAGTCCTGCTTGGCACATGGTAAATTTACATTTGTTTTAAATGGCAAGTGGATTACTGAGGTCCTTGACTCATGGACAAGTGCCTAAGCTCCTGTTGCAGTCCTGCTCCTTGCTTTGACCTCATCCTAAGTGACACTGTCTCCTTCAGTTCTTTGGTAACCTCTGTTTTGGTTGTCTCTGGTAGCTTGATACCTGATATTTACTCCTTCCTGATATGCTAATCTCTTTCATGCATTTCTGACATAGGAGAAGGTCATGAATAGGGTGTGAGCAGAGTGATATTTGGAAGCATCACCTCTTGGCTTGCTGTACTCAGTAGACAAAAAGAAGCCTGCCTCCAACCAGGACTATTGACTCCCACAAGGAGGCACATCTGCCTGGCACTCCTCTCTGCTTCTTCTCTCTTGTGTTTCTTCCCTACCTGATGGGCCATCGTAAGCTACCTAGGCCAGACTGCTCATCGCCAGCTTATCTTTCCAAATAATGTTTGGTGAAACCAGAGAAAATCATTCAATAAGATCAGGACACCAGGTTGGCCCAAGCACTCTGTGTCTCTATTAAAGCATGTGACTCTTACTTACAAATGTTAAACTTTCCATGTAGCTGGAGAAAATTTGGCCATTGGTATTATATTCCACCTTCAGAAAACATTCCTATTTATGCTAGGAGAAAAACAAGAAACCAATCTGCCTAGTCAGCTGGAAAAGTCTAAGTTACCTGTAGTAGAGCTTGTTGTATCAGGACGCCTTCCTATATGCAGTGGGTTGTTAAAATGTTAATGGAAAATGTATATTCTATTAAGAAATACCATGAATGGATTCCAAGTTTTTTGGCACCAAAATGAAATCATAATGTTTTGCTATAACATGTCTGAACACGAGCTAGTTTGAGGCATCAAGAAAAATAAGAGAGCAGTTTCAAAAGAGCTCCTAGAAGAGCAACATGAATTCTTCTAAAAGTAAAGTGAGTAAAAACATCAAATTTATGGTGAAGCTTGGGTGGAAGAAGATGAAATCATTGATGGTGTCCAAAAAGTTGTCCTACTTGGCACATGGTAAGTTGACATTGGTTGAAGAAGTCAGCAGTTCACAAATTCAATGAGGAGTTCCTCATTTCAGGAAGGAATGAGGCAATGTTGAACCTAAAGTCTACAGTGACAGATGATTCACATCATATTGCAAGGAATAAATTCATCTTCTTTATACCCAGGAGAAGATGTGTGATGATTAGCAGTTCACACAATAGCCAACATTGCAGACTTCTCAGTTGGTTCAGTTTACATGATTCTAACTGAATGATTAAAGTTTAGTAAACTTTTCACTTGATGGATGCCCAAACTGTGTCACCAAGATGAAGTACAGACAAGAGCAGAAGTTTCCCTAAAAAATTTAAATAGGAGCAATGAAGACTGTAAGCATTTCTTCAAGGAATTATAAGAGGAGATAACGCATGGCTTTACCAGTAAAATCCTGAAAACAAATACAATCAATGCAATGGCTACCAAGAAGTGGAAAAGTCCAGTCAAAACAAAAGTGGATGAGGAGAGCACAAAGGTCATGGCAAGAGTTTATTGGAAAGCTCAAGTCATTTTGCTGGTTGACTTTCTGGAGAATGACAATAACTGCTTATTCTGAGAATACTTTGAGAAAGCCAAAGCTTTAGTATAGGAATCCCTGGGAAAGCTTCAGCAGAGTCCTTCACCACAACCTTGCTCCTGCTCATTTATCTTATCAAACAGGGCAATTATATGAGAGTTCTGATGGAAAATCATTAGGCTTGCACATTACAACCCTAATTTGTTTCCTTTGGATTTCTTTTTGTTTTGTAATCTTATAACATTTGTAAAAGGCATTCATTTTTCTTCAGTTAATAATGTAAAAAACACATATCAATAGCTGGCACATTGACCAAAATGTATGACAAGTGGTCAATAAATCTTTTCCTTTTATATAGCTCATTAAGAAGTAGGATTAGGAAATGGTTGTAAACTGAGTACCAGGTGGTATAATTGAAACCAACTTCCCATGTAACACTTAGTTTTTGCTCCATTCCACAGATAACAGGAGGTAAAGTGTTAAAAATCCCCCAAAGCTGTTGCACACCTTTGGGGGGACTTCAAATTCAGTGTTTATTCATTTGAGTCTTAGGCTGCGGTTACAATGCTTGAATTAGCCAGTAAATGTATCTTGCTTACTTGCATGAAGATGCTTTGTTCACATCTGTCTTATCACTTCTTTTCCTCTACTCTGATTTCAGTTCCTTTAAGGCTGAGATGACCCTGGCCCAAGAAGGACTAAAGGCCCTACATACCCATCTCCAAATATTGTAAAAATATCAAGGAGGGTAGAAACATAAATATTTATAGCTCTATTGCCCATACTTGCTCAGTTCACCATTGTACTTGATTTTGTCGGAGTGTGGGAAGGCTTGCTGAGGATACAGGATAGAGCCACAGTGGCACATGAGGGGAAAGAAAGGAAGAGACTGCAAGTCTGTAGAATCCATAGACATTGGAGATGCATTTGAAAGGAAGTAGACCCTGGGGCTAGAAGCCAAGGTGGGGGAAAAAAACCTTTTCAGTTGCAGCAGTCATTTATTATTATTAATGTTATTATTAGTATTATTTCTTTTTAGAGACAGGGACTTGCTCTGTCTCTTAAGCTGGAGTACAGTGGTGCAATCATGGCTCACTGCAGTCTTGAACTCCTGGGATCAAACAATTCTTCCAGATCACCTTCTGAATTAGATGGGACTACAGGTGCCAATCACCATGCAAGGTTGATTTTGTACATTTTCTTATATACATGGGGACGTCTCACTGCATTGCTCAGGCTGATCTTGAATTCCTGGCATCAATAGTCCTCCAACCTCAGCCTCCAAAAGTAGTGGGATTACAGTCATGAGCCAGCATGCTAGGTGTATAGTCACTCTTTCTACCTCTGCCTCATTTTCCTGCATTCTGTAAATCCCCAGTCAGAAGACAGCAGGGCTGCCTGGCTACGGGGATAGCATCTAAGAAACAAATGTTAAACTCTGCGGTTCCTGTAGGGCAAAAGAAAAAAGAAGTGCTTGAGTTCAATTGAGCTTTGAGCAAATGGGTTACAAAAGATGAAAAGTTAGGAAGATGTTGTGGATAGGGCTCTTGGGACTCATTCAGTGCACTTTTCTATTGTTTTTAATTTTATAAGTGTGTATTATGTGAAATACTTATGCTTTTATCTCATAAGAGCCAAGGGGAATCATCCACGTAGAAGCTCCAAGTAGAATAATGTCAGTGGGACTAACCCATCTGCCAGTGGAGCCAGTAGGTGGATCACAATGCAGCCTGAGTGCCTGCACCCTTCAATGTCCAAAGCTTGCCTTATTGAACTTTTCATGTATTGTAAACTGAGAAAATGCCTATCTGAGGAATACAATAGAAAACTACTCAATATACTTTTACAAACCGTAAACAATTGACCAATTCTTCATGAAGCATGCAACCAAGGGATGACAACCTTGAAACAACTTGGATATGGAAATGATCAGACTTTAAAGCAGCTCTTATAGCCATCTTTTCTGAGGTAAATGTGAACATTTCCAAAATAAAGAGGGAAATAACTTCTCAGCAGAAAAGAATGGGAAAAAACTTCTCAGCAGAAAAAGGAACTATAAAATATTATAAAATAGAAATTTCAGAACTGACATATATAATGTCTAAAATTAAGAAAAAACCATATTGGCTGTGAAAATTATCAGAAAGCAAATGATTGAGGAAAGACTCAGTCAGTGTTTAGGGGTTGCAATAATAGAAATTCTATACTCTGAACAACACAGGGTAAAACAATTGAAAAAATTTAACATAGTTTCACAAATATGAAAGGCCACAACAAATGATGCGACAATCATGCAATCTGAATTTCAGAAAACAGAACAATGAGGATGATATTAAAAAAGGACTTAGAGAAATAATGGCCAAAAAATGCTCACACTTGCAAAGGACATAGACTTACAAATGCAAGAAGGTGGGAAAATTCCAATCATAATATACACAAGGAAACACATGCCCAGCAACACCATAGTCAAATTTCTGAAAAATAAAACAAATAAAATATTTTTTAAAAAGCAAGCAAGAAATGGCATCATAATTATAGGAAAAACACAATGTGGATAACCATAGAGTTAATATCAGAAACCAGGAAATGAAGAAGAATGTAACTCAAATATTTAAAGTGCTGAAGGAAAAAAAATTGCAAACCAGATGTTTATGTCCAATAAAACTGTCCTTCCATAATAAAAAGGAAATTCAGGTATTCTCAGAAGAAAGAAAAGAAGGAAACCTAAAAGAATTTGTTTCCAACAAACTAATCTTTTAAAAATGGCTCGATGGAACTTTCTCAACTAAAAGAAAGGATAGAAAAGGAATTTCTGGAAATTCAAGAATGTAGAATAAAAGAAACAAAGTGAGAAAAAAGTAAATTAACAAAAATATCTTCCTTTTCTTCTCAAGTTTTCTGCATGAGTTTCAAAAGGCTCAACTGGTATTGCTAGCTTTGAAGATGGAAGAAAGACAGGTAATGTGGCAAGAAAATGAGATTCTTCTCTAGAACCTCCAGAAAGGAATTCCATCCATGACACATGGACTCAACCCAGTGAGACCCAGTACTGATTTCTGAGCTGCAAAACTGAAAGACAATACATTTGTGTTGAAGCAAAAATTATAAAACTTACTGTGGTGCTAAGTGCCTGTAGATATGTATTTAAGATGATTATATTATGAATGCAAAGGTGAAAAGACAGAAACAAACATGAGAATTTTCCTTACCACATCGTGAGTTGTAAAGGAAAGAACCCATTGCTAACATTGACCATTTGTTCCATGCTGAGAGGTAGAAACACTACAAATACTAAGGGAAGGCACCATTCTGCAGGGAGTATGTTCTGCAGAGGAAAAACTAGTAGAAGAGCAAGAATTTAAAGCCATACCTCATATCAATAGGCCCTTCAGTTTAGCCACTAAAGTACATTTTTCAGATTCTTCCATGTACAATCTGCAATCCCACATTACATTTACAGCAGTGCTGGAAGATAGCTATTATTTGTAGACATAAAAATCAGATTATTTAGAAACTTGCTTCTATAGGTATTCTCAAGTCTTCTTTTCAGAAAAAAAATCAGATATCCCTCAAATGATTGGAGTTTGTTTTAGGGAGGAGAAGTTCTTGAAATCTTATGGTCCCCATGGGTCAGTGGAAGACAGAAAAATACATAAAGGCTTGAGTAAAGGAGTTGGCATAAAGAAGACCACTGCTAGTTCCTGAAGCTTTTACATCTCTTTTTATTCTGTTCACTCAAAACAGGGTCTTGAAAAGGGCCTGTGCACATGAAAGACCCCAAAGGTCAAGCCTCATAAGCTTTGTAGATCATTCCAATCTGACAAAAGCCATATGTCCATGTTGTTAGGATGACTGGTTAAATGAGCCTTTAATTGCTCAATAAAAATGTACAAAGGCATATTTCAGTCAAGAAAATGTGAATATAGACCAAGTTTAGCTAAAAAATAAGGTTAGTAAAAATGTGAGATAAATTCAAACTCTTTATGTATCATATCATAAACTTCTGTTTCTGATGATGTCTGCTTACTAAAAGGCACAAAAGATTCTTTTAATAGTATGGAGAGATTTGCTTTGGCAGTTCTAAAGGTGGATAAGTAACAGACTTGAAACAATGGACATTTGTTATTAAAAAATTATATTTGTTAGACTATTAGAGTATAAAAATGTATTCATCATTTAAAATTGTTGCTAGATGTTTATTCAATAACATTGTAAAAAATAACCATGTGATTATCAACTCATGGTCCTGTTACATCTAATGCAGCCAGGGAAGAAAAGACAGCAGCAGATTCTTCCGATAAAATTAGGAACACAGGTAATAGCAGTCTGCCTTGTAAAGTCACTTGAATACACTTAAATAGAAAGAGACATAAACAGAAAGATCATCTGTAGAACCTGCTATAGACTGTGATAAGGAATTTGTCTCTCTACTAAGGGTATTGGAATGCACAATGCATTGAACACATAAACATGGACTGATTTCTGCTCTTTCCTAATGTCCCAGTAAAATTAAAATAAAGAAGCACAGAGGAAATTAATACCCAAGGATGAAGAGAATGAAAGAAGAGATGACAATAAACAACAAAACTGTGGAAATGGAATGACAAATAGAAAAATAAGAGTTTGTGAATGAGCAAAGCTGAAATCAGACATGAAGAGGGGACTGTGGTGCAATTTTCACCAGAACACCTGGAAAATTAGTCCTATTTGAATATTGCAATTTCCTGTGCAAAAATTTACATGTATATACATTTCAGTGCATATTCTGCATCAAAGTTTGATCATTCTTCTTCAACTGAATCCTGTGCATTTCTTGCTATTTGATCTTAGGTATTTTATATTGTTCTCATGAATAAGGTCATTCTCTCATTTCTCTCTCTCTCTCTCTCTGTGTCTCTCTGTCTCTTTCCTTGCATTGTCTTATGCTGTTCCCTGTGAAGTGTATGTCTTAGGGAAAATCACTCGATCACATTAAGATTTTACTTTTTATTTTTATTTTAAATATATATATGTTTTATTATACTTTAATTTCTAGGATAGATGTGCAGAACGTGCAGGTTTGTTATATATGTATACATGTGCCATGTTGGTGTGCTGCACCCATTAACTCATCATTTACATTAGGTATTTCTCCTAATACTATCCCTCCCCCCTCCCTCCACCACACAACAGGCCCCGGTGTGTGATGTTCCCCTTCCTGTGTCCAAGTGTTCTCATTGTTCAATTCCCACCTACGAGTGAGAACGTGTGGTGTTTGGTTTTTTGTCCTTGCGATAGTTTGCTGAGAATGATGGTTTCCAGCTTCATCCATGTCCCTACAAATTTACATGTATATACATTTTAGTGCATATTCTGCATTAAAGTTTGATCATTCTTCTTCAGCTGAATTCTGTGCATTTCTTGCTCTTTGTTCCTAGGTATTTTATATTGTTTTCATGAATAAGGTCATTTTCTCATTTCTCTCTCTCTCTCTCTCTCTCTCTCTCTCACTCTGTCGCTCTCCTTGCATTGCATTATGCTGTTACCTATGAAGTGTATGTCCAAGGGAAAGTCATTCAATCATATTAAGATTTTATTTCTACCTTTGAAAAGTGAACATAAATGCAAAAAATCCTCAAAGTGCTATTGTAAGTACTAGAAGAGCTAAGGCATCTGAAACATCACTATGCAAGGTAGATAGGAATAATCCATAAATCTTTAGCTATGTAGCCATGCATGTGTAGAAATATAATATGTGGTATAGGTAGGAATTGGGTCACTGAAACAAACTTGTTTATTGAATATTGTTTAGCGATAATTTTGTATCCAATCATTTTTAAAATGAATGTTCTATCCCTGTCTCACAGCATGGGCTTCCTCGCAGCATGTGGCAGGTTCCATAAAGAACAGTTTGGAATTGCATGGCATTTCTATGATCTAGACTCAAAAGTCATAAAGTATCACTTCTGATATAATCTATTGGTCATGGCAGTAACGAAGTTCTAACGAAGCTCAAGGGGGTAAAAACAGACCTCACCCCTTCAAGAGAGGATGTCAAGGTACCATTGTAAGAAAACATTAGATGAATGATTCTGTCGTGATCAACTTTTAAAAACACAATGTGCCACACATTCCAATTCCCAAGATGAAAAATATGCATACATGTGGATTTCAATATCAATGAAATAAAATAATAATTTGTGGTTTTTAAGCAGAAGAGAAAACGTCTTTTGTAAGAAATAGGTACAGGTTTATCTGTTTAATAAGTGAGTCATTGATTAATCACTTTAATGAAATTCCTCTTAAATGTATCAGCTTACCGACTTGGTACATCATCAGGAAAATACGAGGGTGATATACATTGCTTTGTATTTCTTATGAGATAAGTTGTGATTGTACTTCTCTATGAACTGCTAGGAAGTGTAACTGAAAGGTCAAGAATACACTCTGACATTGAGATAACAGTGGTGAGCTGAGGCTACAGACACTTGACCTTAGGCTGATGACCAATGCCTTCTACAGCCCCAACCACTCAGGATGGTACACCAGCTCTGGGGCCAGGACACAGGCGACATCTTCATGCAGAATATGAAAGCTGTGTAAGCGGTGTACAATTTATCCTTTCTTAGACAACTCTCTGATCAGACTCCCTCTTGGATTTCTAGAATGTTAATTCCATTGTGATTAGAAGGATCAAATTTAGTCAATTTAAAAGGGCATACACAAATTTTGCCAATGCTAATATGCTACCCAAGAAAAATGCATGTAGCATGGATTAAGGAAGTACATACAGGATCTACATTGACAGAGTTTTGTAACTAGGAAAAAAAGGAATTAATTCCCCTGAGTATCTTTATATAAATGCAAGGGGTAAAGCAGAATACTAGAAGACATTTTAAATGTGATTACGATTTCAAACAAACATGTTTACTCAGGAAAATATATTTTTTCTCACCTCAGCTGTTAAAGTCTCAGGAAAATTTAACCTTGAAAATATTCTAAGAGAAACTTGTTTTTCTTCTCTGAATCTCATTTCCTTTCACTTTCTTGTAAAGAAATGAATGAATGAAGACCAAGTAACCAGTGAAGCACAGTAGGCAAGAACTCAGATCTGAGAACTGACTCCCTTCCATTCCACTCACTACCTTTACATGAACCTAGGCACGCACCTAAATCACCTCATCTACAAAATTAAGATAATAATAATAATCACACCTCCCTAATATGATAGTTCTGAAGACTGAATATCATAGTAAATGCTGAAGAAGTGTTTTCTATTATAATCAGCCTTTGCTAGGATAAATGGAAAGAATATAAATATGCTCAAATAATTGTGAAATATATATTTAGAGAGCATCAACATCAAATAAAAATATAAAGATGACCATCACATAATATATATTATGTTATCATATAATATATAGTATAATATAATATAATATAATATAAAGATGACAATTACATCAGTGTAACCGAAGCTTTTAGACAATTCCAAGCAAATCTGAATTCTCACACACAACCGTATTATTAGAATGGCTGGTTTATGCAATGAGCACAGTAAGTTGAGGAAAATTCTGCTTTCTGTTCCGTTCACAGAACTTCCCAGTCTTCAAAAAGAGAGAGATGTGTGGGTGTGAGAGAGCTAATGCTGGGGTAGGAATGTTACCAAGAGCAGCTGAGGATATTAAGCTCTTCAGGAGAGTGCATCGTGGCCTGAACTATCACCTTCTAGTAAAGATTATGCAAGTGGTTTTATTTGGGATGAGTGTTGAAAGTGGAGGCAACTCAATTTGCTAAAGGACAGTGCCTGAAGGGAGTGAGGATTTTTGAACCACTGAACACCTGTTAGTGACTTAGAAAAGGTTGGGAGTTGTTATGAGAGCTGAATTGTGTTTCCTAAAATTTCATATGTTGAAGACTGTTCCTTCAGGGCCTCAGAATATGAACATGGATATTAGAAGGCAAGTGGAGTGCTGAGGGCTGCCACTCACCTCTAGATGCCCAATCTCCTGCTGCAGTCCTGCTCCTCTCTTCCACCCACCCTCACTCACAGACAGTGTCCCTTTCCACATTTCCATCACTTCTGTTTTTGTTTTGTCTGGTTAGTGCATAGCTGATATTTATGCTTTCCTGATACACTTTACTCATTGCTGACATTGGAGAAAGTCAGGGAAAGGGCCTGAGATAAGGGACTTTTAGGGGCATTTCTGTTGTCTTCCTCTACTCTCCTGCCAAGGACAAATCTTTCTTGTATCAGGCCTGCAGCAACCTAAGTTGGCGACAACATCAGGCAATGTTGGCCTGGCCTCTCTGCTGCTCCTTGTTTCTGACATTCCTTTGTTACCTGATGGTCTAACTTAAGACACCTAGGCAGGATTGGTCATCTCCAGTTCCTATGGAGGAGACCAGAGATAGAAATCTCAATAATATAATGGGACCTGCTGGCACAAGCAAGTACTCTCTGCCTAAGATAAAACTCATGAAGACTAGCTAGAACCAGTCCACTTTCCATAGAGCCAGAAATAATTTCCAATTAATAATATATTCCCCTTTCAAGTATGTCTATATTTTTGCCAGGGAAAATATCAATCTTCCTGGTTCCCTTGCAAGGGCAAAGTTATCTGTAGCAAAGCCTTCTGTATTAGGAAGTCTTCCTGTACTATTACCCCCAACTCTTCAGAAGGGCCAGACCAGACCCTCATCTGCACAGTCCAGGATCCACTCATCCACAATGGTCAAGAGGTCTGTCTTTAGGATTTACTGTCACATACCCTCTCTACCTCCATCATACCTCCAGCCAAGCTGTCCTCAAATTAATACCAGCCATGCACAAAATGTGAACAATTACACAAGACACACAGAAGGTCTAAGTGGTAAATGGCAGCTGACTCACTGACTAACCTGTATATTCCATGAACTGATGAGCAGGGATTTACTAGGTATAACAGAAGAATCAGCAGCTAAAAGAAGTGCTAACAATGCAGGACTCTGAGAGGGCTTTTTGGAAACACAACATTTATTGTGAAATTACACAGACAAGAATGAAACAAAGGTGGTGAGAATTATAGCTTATTACTTAGAAGATTAAATAAAGGAAATCTTACCAAATTCCTGGGGAAAAAAGCCAGATATATAAAGAAAATTACACAAAATGAGCTTGACTCAGAAAATAAAATATGAACAAAGAAGTACCAGAAAGAACGTCAGGGAGGAATGCATATCAGAATATTGTAGAAAAAATACTCTTTGTGGAAGAACAATCTGAGAAAACAGGTAACACAAATACTGACTAAACCAAGAAAACCAATACAATGCAATTGAGGCTTTAATGAGGGTATCTGATTACCTTATTTGAATGTAGAATTGTAGCCACTTAATTATCAGAGGTAGGAATTCAATACAATTCTTAAAAGAAATGAAGCAGAGGGTGAATTTTGTAGAATATTCTAGAGAAAGGGAAGAGCATGAAGGAAGTTTTGGCAACATGATATTGCATGGTTCCTGCAAGGAACTATATATTCAGTTTTCTCAGGTCTAGAAATTTCCTCGTGGTTTGTGTGTCCATTTTGCATTCATAACCCCTAAAGATACTTTAAAATACACAATTTTGGCCTTCCTGTGTTTCACAACAAGAAGCCTTTCCTGACTTGAGTGAGATCCACAGAAGCATGAACAATAGCTGTAGCCTGAGTAGGCTGTGAGGCAGCCTTCTGTCATCTGTGTGCCCAGGAGTGTGCTGTCCTCAAACATCTCCCAGATAGCAGAAACTATCTCTATCGCATCAAAAGTTAAGCTAAATGTGATACTCTCTGTACACACACATCACGAGAGATGGAAATAGGCTATAAAAACAGCCAGAGATATTGATCATCATCACCGCTGGCTGTAGCTTCACTGCCCACACACACATACACAGAAATAAATAGCAAAGTTGAAAGTGGACAATAGTCTTACCAAAAAGATTGAAACTCTAATGACGTCTGAAGTTCAATTATGACACCGTGCTGATTGCTTGGACACAGTTCCTTTAAAACCTTTGTTCAAGTCATAGTTGTACCTTTTAGAAATAAGGTACAAACAACATCCAACCCAACCTGTTCCTCTGGGCTAGAGTCCCAGACAGAAATAAGGGATACACCTGACCTGCAGTAAGGAAAGCAGAACCCAGTCTCTGGGGTGGTGAGGCCCACCCAGTGTGGAGCTCAAAGGTGCCACTGTTCTGCTCCTCTTTATAAAGGGAGCTGCCATGGTTCTCCCAGCACAGAGTTGGGAGTGACTCCAGAGCCTCCAGCAAGATGCTACTGATTCTGCTGTCGGTGGCCCTGCTGGCCCTGAGCTCAGCTCAGAGCTTAAATGAAGGTAAGACAGAAGGAGGAGAAGATGTGGTGACTCTGCTTGGGGCTTAGGAGGTGATAGTTGTAATTATGGGGAAGAGAGGAGAATGAAAACACAGATGGGGCTGCAGAGGTTTCATGCCTAGGATCAGGAGACCTGTTGTGCCCTCATTCCACACCAAGGGCTTCTAATTTATTTAATGTACAATGAAAATCCAATAAAGAATTTGTACCAGGGGAATGAGAAGGTAAGATTTGCATTTATAGAGAGATAGAACTGTGCTGTGAAGGATGCAGTGGTGAATGCAAGGCAGATTCAGGAAAGTCCAGCTGTGAAGATCCTAAACTGATCTCAGTAAGTACACAGGGATGATTGTGGCCTTGCTCTACCTAGTGGATCAGCATTGATGATGGAGATAAACACACATTAGAGATACTGCAGAGACAGAACTGGATAAAACACTTGCCTGTGTCTAACTACAGATATAGAAATATCAGATTCAATCATTGTGATTTTTCTTTCCCCTACACACAGTATTTCAATGTGCTGGGAGTGGTATAGGTAAGATTGTATTGAAACAATTACTTCTGGTTACCGAAATTGAGAAAGCTTGTGAATATAAGCAATGTATTTATAGGAGATGGAGGGCATAAGAATACCAAAATATCACATTGAAGTACCTGGCATGTGTAAACTAAATTAGCATTAAGTCTTGAAGGATGCTAGGGAAGAAAAAAAGGGGCTCTTCTATATTGAGTTCATGGCTGTTGCTCTGTGTGGTAACAACCCTGCCTCCCCTTACACCTTCCTCCCCTTCCAGCAGCTTCACAGATGGTAGCTGATGAGCTAACCTAGGGGATGCATGGGGTGTGGTGAGAAGTCCCCTTTCCCTGTAGAACACCTGTGAATCTTGCAAAATTCGAGATGTAACCTTTCCCATCATCCTGTGCTTCTCTTCTAGATGTCAGCCAGGAAGAATCTCCCTCCGTAATATCAGGTAAATCCCAATTCACTCTCAATCTGTTTTAACTATCTTCTTCTGCTTATGAATGGATCAGTTCTCCAGTGTCTTCTCACCAACATTTTCCTTTAGAAATTGATTAATATTAGTCCCCCTAATAATGCAGGCAATCTTCATGCAACCTTGATTTTGGGGACCATGAGCAGGGCCACCAAATTGAATGGCAGAGATGCTTGGCTTAGATGAAAACGGGAGTGGGTTGACTTCCCTCCTGCCAGGAGTGCCTGCTGGGAGATGACAGACAAATGGCCAGTGTCCTTATTCTGACTCCTCCTTAGACTGAGAGCCCCTCAACTGCTTCCTTCTTCTCCAGCATTCCACTCCAGAGTTCTAGAGCTTCACTGAAAATGCAAAGAAATTAGTGTCTGGGTCTTATTTTTGTGCATTTCCCCATTTAGCTGCGTTACTGTAAAAATTTGCGGCAACTATTCAGTGAATGCCGTGTGTCCACCTCCTCCAGGAAAGCCAGAAGGACGACGCCCACAAGGAGGAAACCAGCCCCAACGTACCCCACCTCCTCCAGGAAAGCCAGAAGGACGACCCCCACAAGGAGGCAACCAGTCCCAAGGTCCCCCACCTCGTCCAGGAAAGCCAGAAGGACCACCCCCACAAGGAGGAAACCAGTCCCAAGGTCCCCCACCTCGTCCGGGAAAGCCAGAAGGACAACCCCCACAAGGAGGAAACCAGTCCCAAGGTCCCCCACCTCGTCCGGGAAAGCCAGAAGGACCACCCCCACAAGGAGGAAACCAGTCCCAAGGTCCCCCGCCTCGTCCGGGAAAGCCAGAAGGACCACCCCCACAAGGAGGAAACCAGTCCCAAGGTCCCCCGCCTCGTCCGGGAAAGCCAGAAGGACCACCCCCACAAGGAGGAAACCAGTCCCAAGGTCCCCCGCCTCATCCGGGAAAGCCAGAAGGACCACCCCCACAAGGAGGAAACCAGTCCCAAGGTCCCCCACCTCGTCCGGGAAAGCCAGAAGGACCACCCCCACAAGGAGGAAACCAGTCCCAAGGTCCCCCACCTCGTCCGGGAAAGCCAGAAGGACCACCCCCACAAGGAGGCAACAAACCTCAAGGTCCCCCACCTCGTCCAGGAAAGCCAGAAGGACCACCCCCACAAGGAGGAAACCAGTCCCAAGGTCCCCCACCTCGTCCAGGAAAGCCAGAAGGACCACCTTCACAAGGAGGCAACAAACCTCAAGGTCCCCCACCTCATCCAGGAAAGCCACAAGGACCACCCCCACAAGAAGGTAACAAACCTCAACGTCCCCCTCCTCCAGGAAGGCCACAAGGACCACCCCCACCAGGAGGCAATCCCCAGCAGCCTCTGCCACCTCCCGCTGGAAAGCCCCAGGGACCACCTCCACCTCCTCAAGGGGGCAGACCACACAGACCTCCCCAGGGACAGCCTCCCCAGTAATCAAGGTTCAATGACAGGTATGATTCCAGTTTATTCTTCACCAAGTGCTCTAAGTGTTACAGTTCTCCAACTTTATTGTGCCAATGAATCAACTAAAAACCCATTGACATTGTATTGTCCTAGAACCCATTTCTAAAGATTTGTATTCAGATACTCTGGAATAGGGTAAGAAGACCCTGTATTTCTAACAAACTCTTTAAGGAACTCTGATGTTGAGAAACAACATACCATACAATCTGTCTTAAATTGTGTTGGCAATGAGGAAGTAGTACCATGTCCATTCTTGGTGCTCTGCTTTCGGTCCACAAACTCAGAGATATTGCATTTAAATTTTTCACCTGAGCACTGTTTGCTCATTCCTGCCTCACGCCAGCCTCTCGAGTCCAGTATTCCTGCCAAATGGTCCCTGATCTTTCAGCAGCTAAATGGTGTCTCATTTTTTACATACTTAGTTTTCAGTAAGTACATGATTAAGCTAACAAAAGATATCTAATGGAATGGAAAAATATGAAGTTAATTTTAAAGGCGTAGCTCATCCTACTCACCTTCCTTCCTTCAAAAAGCTACCACTGTTGACTTTATGGGATCTTCTCTTTGAAATATTTATGTGTGCATAGACATACAGCATTCTTTTACCCTACCACTAATACCATAACTTATATGCAGGTATATATGGTAGTCATTTAAAAATACACTTCTTGAAAATTTCCACATCAGTTTATGAAGCTAAATACATCTCTTCAGTGGTTTTCTGTTTGCTTTTACAATTTTATGCTACTCCATTGTGTGGCTGCACCATGATTTCTTTAATCAATCCCTGTCACTGGATACTGAGGGTGGTTTCATCTTATCACTATTATAAAATAGGTTCTGATTATCATATGTGTAAATATATCCCTGAACAAATTCAACAGCAATGAGTCATAACAACCTAAGGATGATCTTTTCTCTTCATCTTCTCAGCAACAATTTGGAGCACATTGTGTGCAAGGGCATCAAAAGAGTGAACACAGAAAAAATCAGGAAAGAATCACAGGAGGTTGAAGGGATTGGGGAGAGAGGATGGGATCTCATGTACTCTACTGCAGTAACACCAGTGAGGAATTCGACATTTCCTGCCATGTCAAGTCTGCTCTATGAAATTCCTTGTTTGTTTGTTTCAGGAAGTGAACAAGAAGATGACAGTGATTCAAATGATTCAAATGCCATGACATTGGAAGAAGGTGGTCATAGCTCTACCTTTAATATACCAATAAAATAAACAGCTTACAATTTCTGATTGTGGTGTCTCTTTCTCAGTGTTTGTGAATGTGGAGTGTGAGGACCAAGAACACATTATAAGAACATCTAGGACCCCTTCTCTTTGATGCTTCCAGGGAGATTCCCTCCTCTTTAATCCTAATTTAGCCAGCTGCCATGAAAAATATTTTACTGTTTATCTCCTTCCCTGACTTCTATTTTTTTCTTTTTCTGAAATGGAGTCTTGCTCTATCACCTAGGTTGGAGTGCAGTGGCATAATCTTGGCTCACTACAACCTGCATCTCCTGGATTCAAGCTATTCTCCTACCTCACCCTTCACAGTAGCTGGGATTACAGGATCCCACCATCATTCCTGGGTAATTTTTGTAATTTTATGTGAGATGGGGTTTCACTCTGTTGGCCAGACTAGGCTAGAACTTCTGACTTCAGGTCATCTGCTTGCCTCGGCCTCCAAATATGTTGGGATTACAGGAGTCAGCCACCATGCCTGGCCCTTCTCTGGCTTCTACAGCACAAATTGAAATTTTAAAATTATTTTCAGATTGTTTACTGATATTCCAGTAATTTTAAGGACAAAAAACACAACAAATGGAAAATAAGTCATAGAAACTAAAAGAAATCCCTATAATTTCTAAGAAACTGAGTTTGGTTTCAAGTGAATGAATATGGGTCTGTGCTTCTTATCCCTAGAACCCTCTCTATCCCATTGACCCTATTTTAACAGTGATCACTTCTCTCCCTCCCTATGTTCCTCACCTTTCTTTAATGAAACCTGAATGGATTTCATCAAGAAGTCAGCATGACTTTTAGGAGCAAAGAACTGGGACACTCTCAGATTTTAGTTAAGACATAACTCTTTCTTGCTAGCTCTGAACTCTTAAAAAGCTACTTGGTCTCTCAGAGCGTCAATTTCCTTATCTACAATGAGAAGAATCATAACAACTACCTTAGAGTATGGAGACTATTCAGATAACATACATACCAAAAACCTTGCAGAGATTGGCATGTCTGCTTCTCAAGCAAGGAAGGTTCAATATTAGAAAACTGCCCCTGTGCCCACCGATAGCCCAGATAATTCACTATGAATTTCAGAAAAATTGGAATAGAAGGATCTTGCCATAATCACCACCAAGTTGAGCAACCCACATTCAGTTCAATCCCAGTTCTCTGGCTTCTCTCCTATTACTGTAGTTGAAGCCTCCCTACCCCTATCTCTTACCTACCCTCATGACTCTGAACCACATTACCCAATCAAGGATTTTGCTTCTGCATGTGACCCTTTTGTCTCCTGATTCTTACATCTATGCTCTATGGGATTACTTCAATCAGCAAAAACCTGCTGAAACATCACCCATTTCTACAGAGGTTTTGCTAAGACTCTTAGTGCTTCTTTCCTACCATATTATTTGTCTGCCATTTGTATTGCAAAAGTTCTTGAAACGTATGTATGTGATTATTTCCCCATCCCCTCCCTTCCATTTTTTTTTAAAACACACATTAAAGATGCTTTTGTTCTTTCCACTCCAAGTCTGTCAAGGTCATCTACTGCCTCCATTCTACTCATTTCAGGAATCAATTCTCAGTCATCCATCTCCTGTGACCCCTCAGCAGTTTAACACCATTGATCCTACCCTTCTTTGGGGAACACTCTATCAGTCTTTCCTGGAACCTCCTGTTCTCTTCCCTGTTTTCTTCTACCTCTGTCTCTCCCTCCTACAACTACAGAATTACTCCTCTTCCAACTCTATTTGCTCTTGGTAAATTATTCTCTAATTAATTAAGGAAACTAGGATTTATTCTAGACTCTTTTCCTCTTACATCACATTACATCTAGTCAAATCAACTATGTTATCATTGTGAAGTTCAAGCTTCAAAATAATTTCTGACTGCAGCCAGTTTCATCACTTTCATATCTATCAGCCCATCTAAGCAAGCCTCACCTGCAGTTTACACCAAATAGTTCTATTTATTTCCCAACAATCAATTACCCACCTTGGCCATTTAAAAATTATATTACTTTTCTATGTTTTCCAGTTGATGGCCACCACTTTTACTCTCTAAGAACAAGATGCTAATTTTCAACTATCCTAAAGTCCTATGTATTGAGCCCTAACTATCTCTGGAATTGGTGGCTGCTCTATACCTAATTCATTCTGCTATGGCCACACTGGTCATTGCCTCTTCTTTTTAATGGTGAGGATGGGGGAGCAGTATGACTAGAGTTTCTGTTATTTTTTAAAAATTTTATTTGCACAAATGTATGTATTACAAGTTCAGTTTTGTTACATAGATTACATAGTGCATAAGTCACAGCATTAAGGTATTCATTATTCAAATAACAAACACTGTATTTATTAATTAATATCCCAATATTCAACCCCTCTGCCTTCCACTTCCAAGTCTTCATTGTGTATTATTTCACTCTCTTCATCTGTGCATACACATTCTTTAGCATCCGCTTATGAGTGAGAACATGTTATATTTCATTTCCTGTATCTAGCCTGTTTTGCTTAAGAAAATGACCCCCAGTTCCATCCATATTGCCACAATATATGTGATTTCATTCTCTCATTATGAGTGAGTGGTATGGCATTGGGTATATATAATTACATTTTTAACCCAATCATTCATTAATGGACACTTTGGTTGATTCAATATCTTTGTTCCCATGAATGTTGCTACAATAAACATACAGATAAAGGTATGTATTTGTTACACTGACTACTTTTCCTTTGGGAAGATACCCAGAAGTAGGGTTGCTCAATGCAAATGTAGTTCTAGTTTTAGTTCTTTGAGAAATCACAGTTCTCCACAGAAGCTGTACTAATTTACATTCCCACCAAGTGTGTATAAGAGTTCTTCTTTCTCCATATCCTTGCCAACATCTCTTCAGTTTTCACCCTTTTAATCATAGTCATTCTGACTGAGGTAAGATGATATCTCATTACGGTTTTCTTTTCTTTTCTTTTTTATTATACTTTAAGTTCTGGGATACACGTGCAGAAGGTGCAGGTTTGTTACATAGGTATACATGTGCCATGGTGGTTTGCTTCATCCATCAACCCATCATCTAGGTTTTAAGCCCCGTGTGCAATAGGTATTTCCCCTAATGCTATCCTTCCCCATGCCTCCTGCCCCCTGAAAGTCCCTGGTGTGTGATGTTCCCCTCCCTGTGTCCCTGTGTTCTCATTGTTCAACTCTCACTTATGAGTGAGAACATGTGGTGTTTGGTTTTCTGTTCCTGTGTTAGTTTGCTGAGAATGATGGTTTCCAGCTTCATCCAAGTCCCTGCAAAGAACATGACCTCATCCTTTTTTATGGCTGCATAGTATTCCATAGTGTATATGTGCCACATTTTTTTAATCCAGTCTATCACTGATGGGCATTTGGGTTGGTTGCAAGTCTTTGGTCTTGTAAATAGCATGGCAATAAATATATGTGTGCATGTGTCTTTATAGTAGAGAGATTTATAATTGTTTGGGTATATACCCAGTAATGGGATTGCTGGGTCAAATGATATTTCTGATTCTAGATCCTTTAGGAATTGCCACACTGTCTTCCACAATGGTTGAACTAATTTACACTCCCACCAGCAGTGTAAAACTGTTCCTATTTCTCCACATTCTCTCAAGCATCTGTTGTTTTCTGACTTTCTTTTTTTTTTTTTTTTTTGGAGACAGAGTCTGGCTCTGTCACCAGACTGGAGTGCAGTGGCCTGATCTCAGCTCACTGCAACCTGCACCTCCTGGGTTCAAGTGATTCTCCTGCCTCAGCCTCCTGAGTAGGTGGGATTACAGGTGCATGCCACCATGCCTGGCTAGTTTTTGAATTTTTTCTTTTTTCTGGACAGAGTTTTGTTCTTTTTTGCCCAGGCTGGAGTGTAATGGCATGATCTTGGCTCACTGCAACCTCTGCCTCCTGGGTTCCAGCGATACTCAGCCTCCTGAGTAGCTGCAATTACAGACATGCACCACCATGCCTGGCTAGTTTTGTATTTTTAGTAGAGACAGGGTTTCACCATGTGGGTCAGGCTGGTCTCAAACTCCTAACTTCACCTAACTCCACCCACTTTGGCCTACCAAAATGCTGGGATTACAGGCATGAGCCACTGTACCCGGCCTGTTTCCTGACTTTTTAATAATCACCATTCTAACTAGCATGAGATGGTGTCTCATTGTGGTTTTGATTTGCATTTCTGTAATAATCAGTGATGATGAGCTCTTTTTCATGTTTGTTGGCCACATAAATGTCTTCTTTTGAGACATGTCTGTTCATATCCTTCACCCACTTTTTGATATGGTTGTTTGTCATTTTCTTGTAAATTTGTTTAAGTTCCTTGTAGATTCTGTAAATCAGACTTTGTCAGATGGATAGACTGCAAAATTTTTCTCCCATTCTGTTGGTTCCCTGTTCACTGTAATGATAGTGTCTTTTACTGTACAGAAACTCTTTAGTTAATTAAATCCCCTTTGTCAATTTTGGCTTTTCTTGCAATTGCTTTTGGTGTTTTAGTCATGAAGTTTTTGTCCATGCCCATGTCCTGAATGGTATTGTCTAGGTGTTCTTCCAGGGTTTTTATGGTTTTTGGTCTGACGTTTAAGTCTTTAATCCATCTTGAGTTAATTTTTGTATAAGGTGTAAGGAAGGGGTCCAGTTTCAGTTTTCTGCATATGGCTAGTCAGTTTTCCATACACCATTTATTAAACAGGGAATCCATTCCCCATTGCTAGTTTTTGTCAGGTTTGTCAAAGAGCAGATGGTTGTAGATGTGTGGCGTGATTTCTGAGGCCTCTGTTCTGTTCCATTGGTCTATATATCTGTTTTGGTACCAGTACCATGCTGTTTTGGTTATTGTAGCCTTCTAGTATAGTTGAAATCAGGTAGCATGATGCCTCTAGCTTTGTTCTTTTTGCTTAGTATTGTCTTGGCTATATGGGCTCTTTTTGGTTCCATATGAAAATTTAAAGTAGTTTTTTCTAATTCTCTGAAGAAAGTCAATGGTAGTTTGATGGGAATAGTGTTGAATCTATAAATTACATTGGGCAGTATGGCCATTTTCACGATATTGATTCTTCCTATCCATGAGCATGGAATGTTTTTCCATTTGTTTCTGTCCTCTCTTACTTCCTTGAGCAGTGTTTTGTAGTTCTCCTTGTAGAGGTCCTTCACGTCCCTTGTAACTTGTATTCCTAGGTATTTTATTTTTTGTATCAACTGTGAATGGGAGTTCCCTCATGATTTGGCTCTCGGCTTGTCTGTTATTGGTGTATAGGAATGCTTGTGATTTTTGCACATGGATTTTGTATCCTAGGACTTTGCTGAAGTTGCTTATTAGCTTAAGGCGTTTTGGGGCTGAGACCATGGGGTTTTCTAAACATACAATCATGTCATCTGCAAACAGATTCAATTAGACTTCCTCTCTTTCTATTTGAATACCCTTATTTCTTTCTCTTGCCTAATTGCCTGGCCAGAACTTCCAATATTATGTTGAAGAGGAGTGGAGAGAAAGGGTATTCTTGTCTTGTGCCAGTTTTCAAAGAGAATGCTACCAGTTTTGCCCATTCTGTATGATATTTGCTATGCGTTTTTCATAAGTAATTCTTAATATTTTGAGATGTGTTCCATCAATACTTAGTTTATTGAGTATTTTTAGAATGAAGAGGTGTTGAATTTCATCAAAGGCCTTTTCTGCATCTATTGAGATAATCATTTGGTTTTTGTCATTTGTTCTGTTTATGTGATGGGTTGTTTATTGATTTCTGTTTGTTGCACCAGCCTTGCATCCCAGGGATGAAGTTGACTTGATCATGGTGGATAAGCTTTTTGATGTGCTGCTGGATTCAGTTTGCCAGTATTTTATTGAGGATTTTTGCACTGATGTTCATCAGGGATATTGGCCTAAAATTTTCTTTTTTTGTTGTGTCTCTTCTAGGTTTTGGTATTAGGATGATGCTGGCCTCATAAAATGAGTTAGGAAGGAGTACTTCTTTTTCTATTGTTTGGAATAGTTTCAGAAGGAATGGTACCAGCAGCTCTTTGTACCTCTGGTATAATTCGGCTGTGAATCCATCTGGTCCTGGGCTTTTTTTTTGTTTGTTTGTATGTTATTAATTACTCCTTCAATTTCAGAACTTGCTATTGGTCTATTCAGGGATTTGACTTCTTCCTGGCTTAGTCCTGGGAGGGTGAATGTGTCCAGGAATTTATCCATTTCTTCTAGATTTTCTAGTTTATTTGTGTAGAGGTGTTTATGGTATTCTCTGATGATAGTTTGTATTTCAGTGGGACAGTGGTAATATCCCCTTTATCTTTTTTTGTGTCTATTTGATTCTTCTCTCTTTTCTTCTTTATTAGTCTGGCTAGTGCTCTATTTATTTTGTTAATCTTTTCAAAAAACCAGCTCCTGGATTCATTGATTTTTTGAAGAGTTTTTCGTGTCTCTATCTCCTTCAGTTCTGCTCTGATCTTAGTTATTTCTTGTCTTCTGCTAGCTTTTGAATTTATTTGCTCTTGCTTCTCTAGCTCTTTTAATTGTGATATTACGGTGTCAATTTTTTATCATTCCTGCTTTCTCTTGTGGGCATTTAGAGCTATAAATTTCCATCTAAACACGGTTTTAACTGTGTCCCAGAGATTCTAGTACATTGTGTCTTTGTTCTCATTGGTTTCAAATAACTTATTTATTTCTGCCTTAATTCTGGAACTGCTTGCTTAGTTTCCATGTAGTCATGTGTTTTTGAATGAGTTTCCTAACCCTGAGTTCTAATTTGATTGCACTGTGGTCTGAGAGACTCTTTGTTATGATTTCCGTTCTTTTGCATTTGCTTAGGAGGTTTTACTTCCAGTTATGTGGTCAATTTTAGAATAAGTGTGATGATGTGCTGAGAAGAATATATATTCTGTTGATTTTGGGTGGAGAGTCAGGTAGTTATCTGTTACGTCCACTTGGTCCAGAGCTGAGTTTAAGTCCTGAATATCCTTGTTAATTTTCTGTGTCTTTTATGTGTCTAATATTGACAGTGGGGTGTTAAAGTCTTCCACTATTATTGTGTGTGAGTTTAAGTCTCTTTGTAAGTCTCTACGAGCTTGCTTCATGCATCTGGGTGCTCCTGTATGGGGTGTGTATATATTTGACAGTTAGCTCTTCTTGTTGCATTGATCTTTTTACCATTATGCCCTTCTTTGTTTCTTTTGACCTTTGTTGGTTTAAAGTCTGTTTTATCAAGACTAGGATTGCAACTCCTGCTTTTTTTTGCTTTCCATTTGCTTTGTAAATATTCCTCCATCCCTTTATTTTGAGCCTATGTGCATCTTTGCACACGAGATGGGTCTCCTCAGTACAGCACACTGATGGGTCTTGACTCTTTATCCAATTTGCCAGTCTGTGTCTTTTAATTGGGGCATTTAGTCCATTTACATTTAAGGTTAATATTGTTATGTGTGAATTTGATTCTGTCATTATGATGCTAGCTGATTATTTTGCCCATTAGCTGATGGGGTTTCTTCATTATGTCGGTGGTCTTTACAATTTGGTATGTTTTTGTAGTTGTTGGTACCAGTTTTTCCTTTTCATGTTTAGTGCTTCCTTCAGGAGCTCTTGTAAGGCAGGCCTGGTGGTGACAAAATCTTTCAGCATTTGCTTGTCTGTAAAGGATTTTATTTCTTCTTCCCTTATGAAGCTTAGTTTGGCTGGATATAAAATTTTGGGTTGAAAATTCTTCTCTTTAAGAATTTTGAATATTGGCCCCCACTCTCTTCTGGCTTACAGGGTTTCTGCAGAGAGATCCACTGTTAGTCTAATGGGCTTCCCTTTGTGGGTAACCCGACCTTTCTCTCTGCTTACCCTTAACATTTTTTCCTTCATTTCAGCCTTGGTGAATCTGATGATTATATGTTTTGGGGTTGCTCTTCTCGAGGAGTATCTTTGAGGTGTTCTCTGTATTTCTTGAATTTGAATGTTGGCCTGTCTTGCTTGGTTGGGGAATTTCTCCTGGATAATATCCTGCAGAGTGTTTTCCAACTTGGTTCCATTCTCCCCGTCACTTTCAGGTACACCAATCAAATGTAGGTTTGGTCTTTTCACATAGTCCCATATTTCTTGGAAGCTTTTTCATTCCTTTTCATTCTTTTTTCTCTAATCTTGTTTTCACATTTTATTTCTTTAGGTTGACCTTCAATCTCTGATATCCTTTCTTCTGCTTGTTCAATTCAGCTATTGGTACTTGTGTATGCTTCACAAAGTTCTTGTGCTGTGTTTTTCAGCTCCATCAGGTCATTTATGTTTTTCTCTAAACTAGCTATTCTAGTTAGCCATTAGTCTAACCTTTTTTCAAGGTTCTTAGCTTCCTAGCATTGGGTTAGAACATGCTCCTTTAGCTCAGATGAGTTTTTATTACCCACCTTCTGAAGCCTACTTCTGTCAATTTGTCAAACTCATTCTCTGTCCAGTTTTGTTCCCTTGCTGTCAAGGAGTTATGATCATTTGGAGGAGAAGAGGCATTCTGGTTTTTGCAATTTTCAGGCTTTTTGCACTGGTTTCTCCCCATCATCGTGGATTTATCTATGAAGATTTATCAAAGACCAAAGTCTTTGATGTTGGTGACTTTCGGATGGGGTTTTGGTGAGGATGACTTTTTTGTTGATGTTAATACTGTTCCTTTCTGTTTGTTAGTTTTCCTTCTAACAGTTAGGTCCCTCTGCTGCAGGTCTGCTGGAGTTTGCTGGAGGTCCGCTCTAGACCCTACTTGTCTGGGTATCACCAGCAGAGGCTGAAAAACAGCAAAAATTGCTACCTGTTCCTTCCTCTAGAAGCTTTGTCCCAGAGGGGCACCCAGCGGATGCCAGCCAGAACTCTCCTGTATAAGGTGTCTGTTGACCCCTGCTGGGAGGTGTCACCCAGTCATGAGCCACGGGGGTCAGGGACCTACTTGAGGAGGCAGTCTGTCCTTCTGCAGAGCTCGAGCACTGAGCTGGGAGATCGGCTGCCAGGCAGGAACATTTAAGTCTGCTGAAGCTGTGCCCACAGCTGCCCCTTCCCCCAGGTACTCTGTCCCAGGGAGATGGGACTTTGATCTGTAAGGCCCCGAGTGGGTCTGCGGCCTTTCTTTCAGAGATGCACTGCCCGGAGAGGAGGAATCTAGAGAGACAGTCTGGCTACAGTGGCTTTGCCAAGCTGCAGTGGGCTCCACCCAGTTCAAACTTCCCGGTGGCTTTATTTATGCTGTGAGGGGAAAACTGCCTACTGAAGCCTCAGTAATGGTGGGCACCTTTCCTCCCACCAAGCTGGAGTGTCCCAGGTGGACTTCAGACTGCTGTGCTGGCAGCAAGAATTTCAAGCCAGTAGATCTTAGCTTTCTGGGCTCTGTGGGAGTGGGAATCACTGAGCTAGACCACTTGGCTCCCTGGCTTCAACTCCCTTTCCAGGGGAGTGAACTGTTCTGTCTTGCTGGCATTCCAGGTGCCCTTGGGGTTAGAAAGGAAACTCCTGCAGCTAGCTTGGAGTCTGCCCAAATGGCCACCCAGTTTTGTGCTTGAAACCCAGGGCCCTGGTCGCATAGGCACCGGAGGGAATCTCCTGGTCTGTGGGTTGTGAAGACCGTGGAAAAAGCGTAGTATCTGGGCTGGAATGCACTGTTCCTCATGGCACAGTCTGTCATGGCTTCCCTTTGCTAGGGGAGGGAGTTTCCCAACTCCTTGCACTTCCGGAGTGAGGCGACACCCTACCTTGCTTCTGCTTGTCCTCCATGGGCTGCACCCACTATCTAACCAGTCCCAGTGAGATGAGCTGGGTAGCTCAGTTGGAAATGCAGAAATCAACTGCCTTCTGCATTGATCTTGCTAGGAGCTGCAGACCAGAGCTGTTACTACATCATGACGCTTTTTTAAAGTGGAATCTTCAAGATCTTTCTTATCATTAAGATTTAATTAGATATAAGTTGATGTAGGTCTTTTTCATTTATTATGTTGGGCACTCTGTATTTCAAGAAGATCTGCTTTCCCAGGCCCTGCAGTTTAGAGGGGGCTCCACAAAAATACCAAAATCAAAGGCATTGTTCATTCTTTTTATTCTCATTAGTAAGTATTTTTAAAGTTCATAAATAAAACAGAAATTATAGGAGTGAGCAGGGGCTGAGCTATATGCTCTTCCAGGCCTGACGAGGCAGGTGAAGAATTTGAAAAGATAATAAATTTACTGTGTCTGCTATGTGGCACCCAAGAAAAAAATGGATGCTTCTCTGTAAAGAGAGCCAACTGAATAGGACCAAGTAGTGCATTATCAAATCCTGGATAAGTACCTCCACACACACTACTAAAACAAATTGGAGAAAAGTAAGATTACCTATCCTCTCTGTGGGAGGAAAACATGGGCATCCCAAAGATGCTCATATTCTAATGAGTATATTTTGTGTAAAGATGAAAAGAAAGACAGGTCTGGAGAATCCTGTGTAAATGTGTTTATGATTTAGAAAGAAACTTATTTATTCAGAAAAGAGTTTTTTATTACCTCACCTTTAAGATCTCAGGAGAAGTTTTACCTTACACATTTCCTATCACTTGTACCTGAGTTTATATTCTGGACCTGGTTTCTTCTGACTTTTTTGGAAGTAAATAAATATATAAGTAAATAGCAAGAAAGTAGTGGAGTACAGTAAGCAAGAACATAGGCTCTGAAGACTGACAGCCATCTATACCACTTATTACCATTCTAACAACTTTGGCATGTGCCTCAGTCAGCTCACCTATAAAACTGAGATAGTAGTAAACATTATTCTTACCTAATAAGCTGATTCTGAAGATTAAATGACATACAGTAAATGCTTAAGAAATATTTTTATTATAATCAGTCATGGCTACAATGTGTTCATTGAATATGAATATGAATACCCTAAAATAATTGTGAAATATGTGTTTATAAGAGAAAAGATAATAATAAACTATATGAACCAATATGGTAATTGTGTAGTCAGGATTTATAGAAAAATCTATGCAAATTTGAATTTTTTGAGACATTTTTGTTTCATTGCTAATTATATTAAAATAATACTTAGTTGATTCAATGGGCACAAGGATTCCTCCAATTCCCATGAACTATTCCCAGACCACAGGACTCAATGCAATTCACTCAATCACATCACAAGTCCATCCACTCTCTTCATGTTCATCTCTCCTGGTAGACAACTCTCTTGCGTTGCAGACAAGCTAGTTCAAGATGAAGTTGAGGAAGATTCTGCTTTCTGTCCTACTCAAAGAATCTCCCATTTTTTAAGAAAGAGAAAGTCATGTGGGTATGAAGAAGCTGACATATGAAATTCAAATCTGATTACCAGTGTAATAAAAACCTGTGGTGGGTGTGAAGCACAAATGGTATATGATCTAATTTTCATCTGTAAAAGGTCACTCTGGCTATTGTGGGGAGAACTGATATGGAATGTAACAAGAATGTTATCAAGACCTGGTTAAGGTTCTTAACATCCTCCTTGAGAGAGAATCATGGCATGAACTACAGCTCTGTAGTAGGGAATATGCAAGTGTTCATATTGCGAGGGATTTAGAGGTGAGCCCACTGGATTTGCTCATGGACCAGGCTTCGGTGAGAGAAAGGCAAGCGTGATTCCAATATATTTGAACAAAAAAAAGAAACTGCTGTCGTGGACTGAGAAGACACTGGGTAGTGCTATGGGCTGAATTCTGTTTCCCCTTATTTATATGATGAAAGACTTCACTCCTAGTTTCTCAGAATATGACCATATTTGAAGGCAAGAACAGAAATGTGTGGATTAACTTAAAATGAGGCTGTTATGGGGGCACATAGTCCCATCTGCTAGGTGTCCTTATAAGAAGAAGACATTTGCATACACAGAGAGACACCAAATATCCACATGCACCAAGGCAGCTCCTTTTTTGAGGACATAGCAAGAAGGCAGATGTCTAGAGGCTAAGGAAACACTGAACCTGTTGACACCATGATCTCAATGAAACTGTGAAAAAATGAATTTCTGTTGTTTAAGACACTACTCTGTGGTAATTGCTTAGGTAAGTAACAAAATATTTTGAGGGAGAGAGGTTTTAGGATGTTGAAATCAAGAACATGACTTGAGACATGTTAAATTTGCTGCCATTTTAGATGGCAAGTGAATTACTTAGGGCTTTGACTCATCTCCAGGTGCCTGAGCTGCTGCTAGAGTATGGTTGTTGCTTTACCCACCCTATCTCTGTCTTTCAAATCTTTGGCAAACTCCATTCTGATTGTTTCCCATGAGTTTATAGCTGGTATTTATTCTTTCCTGATACACCCATCTCTTTCACCCTTTGCAAGCATTGGAGAAGGTCAGGAAAATGCCTGAACGGATTGATATTTAAAAGCATCTCCTGCTGTCTTCCTGTATTCATCGGACAGGAAGAGCAAGGCACGTCTGCCCTGCATTCTCCTTTGTTCCTTCTCTCTGACCTTCCTTTCCTACTTGAAGGGCTACCATAAGCTATGTAGGCTGGACTGCACATCTCTGGACTGCACATCTATCTGGAGATAGTATTTGTGGCTGGCAGAATTTTTTTTTCTTTGAACACTTTAAATATATTATTTCATATCTCCTAGACTGTACAGTTTCTTCTGTGAAAATCACTCCTAATATGATGAGGCTTCCCTAATATATGTCTTGATGCTTTTATCTTACTCTTTTTAGAATTTTCTCTTTGGTTTTGATCTTGACATTTTGACTCTTATGTGCCTTGGAGAAGGCCTTTTGGGGTTGTGTCAATTTGAATATGTTTGAGGTCCTGTATTTGGGTGTCCCAGTCTCTTGCTAGATTTGACAAATTTTTTAGCTACTATTTTGTTTAAAAATTTTTTCCATGCTCTTACTCATTTCTTCTCCTTCTGGAATACTCAAAATCAAACTTCTGGTCGCTATATCATGTCTTAGGAAACATCAGCTAAATTGTGGATACCATTTTAAGGGACCGAAATTTTGGTTCATTTATCACAAGAAATTGAAAATTTCAGAAAGTCAGGAGGGAGATTGGTCAGAGAGTTGTATATCAAGAGATAAATTTGTATATCACATGGATAGCTATTAGGTTTCTGCCTGAGAGCATCTCCAATGTCCTGGCCCCAGAGTTGGTGTTACTTTTTCAGTGGTTGGGGCCGTAGACAGAGGCAATATGAGTAGTGTAAAGTCAAGTGTTTTTAGCCTTAGTTTACCACTGTTTTAGCGATATCTGGGAGAAATACAATCACAACTTTTTAAATATGTTATACAAAGCAACAGAAATCTTCCTCATATTGTTATAACATTATACAGATATCTTTAAAAGAGGGATTATTTTCAAGTGATTAATGACAGACTTACTTTTCTTTTAAGTGAACACATAGATTTTCTCTCAGAACAGGGTCTTCTCTTCTGCTTAATGACATTGATAAGAAATTCTACCATACATTTCTTACCACAGTTGTTGATTTTTAGATGCACGTGTTTACATTTTTAACATCTTGGAATTTGCAATGTGTGGCAGATCATACCTTCCAAAAACGTCCAAAAGATCATCTCTCACCTCATGCTTTCTGATGACAATGGGACCTTGATATCTTCCCTGCAACTGGTGACATCGGATTCCTCCCACTTGAACCTCAGTGGACCATTGTAACTGCTTTGACCAATAGAGTATGTAAGAAGTGATGCTTAGTAACTTTTGAGTCTAGATCCTAAAAATGCCATATAATTCTAACCTGTTCTCTCAGGAACCTGTCCACATGTCGTGAGGAAGCCCATGCTGTGAGAGAGAGATCTAAAATCAGTTTGCAAACTAATTGGAAATTGAATTATCCCCAAACAACATTTAATGACCAAGTTTTAGTCATTGGTTGTATTGCTTCAGAATCATACAATAAATTTCCATACAGATATGGGTAAATCGCTAAAGATGTAACAACCATTCCATTATACTTAGAATAGTAATACCTGTTTTATATCATTTGCCCTTTTGTCCTTACAATAGCCCTTTGATAATTTCTTGCATTATGTTTACTTCTCAGATGAAGGAACAAAGCTCAATATGATTGACTGACATTTTCTGTCATATAGCTGACAAGTATTAATCTGCTTGGCTAAATTTATTACTGAGTAATTAATTTTTTGTAGCTTTGTAGAGGGAATTGAATATTTGATTTTTCTTTCATGCTATTTTATTGTTGTTATATGCTACTAATTTTTGCATATTGATAATTTATCCTTCAATGTTAGTGAACTTGTTTTTTAGTTCTAAGTGTTTGTGGTGGAGTTTAGATTTTTCTTTTTTTATGTTAACAATAATTTTTTAACTCTTATTTTAAGTTCAGGGGTACAAGTGCACATTTGTTACATAGGTAAACTTCTGATGGGGGTATGTTGCACAGATTATTTCCTCACCCAGGTATTAAGCCTAGTAACATTAGTTATTTTTCTTGATCATCTTCCTCCTTCCACCCTGCACCCTCCAAAAGCCTCAGTGTGTGTTTCCAAAATATAAGAGTATGACACAAAAAAATTCTGTGTTCATGGATAGGAAGAATCAATATCATAAAAATGACCATATAACCCAATTAATTTACAGATGCTGGCAAGGATGCAGAAAAATCTGAACATGTTTACACTGTTGGTGGGAGTATAAATTAGTTCAACCATTGTGGAAGAGAGTGTGGCAATTCCTCAAGAATTCAGAACCAGAAATACCATTTGACACAGCAATCTCATTACTGGGTATATACCAAAGCAATTATAAATCATTCTACTGTAAAGACACATGAACACATATGTTTATTGTGGCACTATTTACAATAGCAAAGACTTGGAACCAACCCAAATGCCCATCAATGATAGATTGGATAAAGAAAATGTGGCACATATACACCATGGAATACTATGCAGCCATAAAAAAGAATGAGCTCATGTCCTTTGCAGGGACATAGATGAAGCTGGAAACCATTATCCTCAGCAAACTAACACAGGAACAGAAAACCAAACACCGCATATTCTCACTCACAAGTGGGACTTGAACAATGAGAACACAGGGACACAGGGAGGGGAACATCACACACCAGGGCCTATCAGGAGGTGGGGGGAAGGGGAGGGAGAGGCATTGTAACACGTCATCTAGGTTACAAGCCCAGCATGCATTAGGACAAATACCTAATGCATACTGGGCTTGTAACCTAGATGATGTGTTGATGGGAGCAGCAAACCACCATGGCATATGTGTACCTGTGTAACAAACCTGCGTGTTCAGCACATATATCACAGAACTTAAAGTAAAAAAAAAAAAAAAGGAAATGTTGTCACCACAAAAAAAGGGTAAGTTGGAATATGATAGGTTAGCTTGATTGAATCTTTCTTAATGTATACAAATATTAAGACACCACATTGTGAAAAAAGTTGAATACATGATTGGCCCAAACAATATGGAATAACCAAGTTTTCTTTGGTGATTGGATTGTTATCTATATCATATTTTCAATTTCTGTACATGCATGGCTATGTAGCTAAAGATTTATTGATTGTCCCTTTCTACCTATTATAGTGATGTTTCTGATGCCTTTGCTCTTTTAGTCTTTACAATAGTGTTTGAGGATTTCTTGCATTTATGTTCGCTTTTCAGAGGATGAAAAATCTTAATATCATTGACTGAGTTTCCCAAAGCCATAAGTTTATAGGTATCAGCATAGAAAATACAATAGAGAGAGAGCGAGAATATGAGAGAATGTCCTTATTCATTAGAACAGCTTAAAATTCCTAGGATCCAATAACAATAAATGGACAGGATTCAGTTGAAGAATGATTAAACATTGATACAGAATATAAACTAAAATGTGTGTACATGTAAATTTCTGCATAGGAAAATGCAACATTCAAATAGAGCCAATTTTCCAGGTGTTCCTGTGTAAATTGATTGCACCACTGTCCTTTCTTCCTGTCTGGTTTCGGCAATGTTGATTGACAAACTCAGTTAATTGTCATCATTTCAGTTCTACAGTTTTGTCTACATTTATTTTATACTGTCGTCTCCTCTTTTGTTTTCCTTGTCCTTGGGTATTAATTTCCTTTTTGATTCTTTATTATAAGTTTATTGGGATATTGGGAAAGAGCAGAAATCAGTACATGTGTTCAATGAAGTGTGTGTTAACGCCCTTAGGATAAAGAAACAAATTCCTTATTATAGTTTAAAACAGATACTACAAATTGTCCTATTGTTTATTTCTCTTTCTTTGTAACTGTATTCAAATTACTTTACAACAAACTATTATTACCTGTATTCCTAATTTTAACAGGAGAATCTGCTGTCCTCTCTTCAGTGGCTGCATTAAATACAACATGACTATGAGTTCATAATCAGACAGTTAGCTTTCACAAGATTACTGAGTAAACTCAACCTGTCTTTGCAACTCTAGAGACAATTTTAAGTGACAAATACTTTTTCATACTCTAGTAGGCCAATAAATATAGTTTTCTAGAGTAAAAGTACATAGTTTCAAGTCTATCACTTATTCATCTTTAGAACTGCCAAAACAAATCTCCCTGTATCATACAAAAAATTTTTTTGTGCCTTTTAGTAAACAGACATAGACAGAAACACAAGTTTATGATAAGAAACAAAAAGAGTCTAAATGTGTCTTATATTGACACTATGTTATAGCTATACTTAGTTTATACAGCAGTTGTCTTGATTGTCTAAAATGTGCCTTTTTACATTTTATTCAACAGTAAAGGCTTATTTAAATGAGCCTCCAAACAAGACTGACATGTTGCATTTGGTCGGATTTGATTGGTCTATGAAGGTAATGAAGCTTGAACTTTGGGGCCCTCTTCTGCATAGGCCCCTTCCAAGACCCTGTTTAGACTGAACAGAAGAAAAAGGTATTTAAAAGCTTTATGAACTAGGAATGGTCCTCTTTCTGCCTACTCCTTCACACAAGCCCTTTCCATCTTCCACTCACCCATGGGGTCATAAGATTTCAAGACTCTCAGTCCCCTAAACATACTTTAATAGCCTGAGGAATATTTGAGATTTCTTCTGGAAAGAAGGCTTGGGAATACCTATAGGAGCAAATTTCTAAATAATCGGATTCTTACATCCACCAAAATGGCAAAGTATATTCCAGCACTTCTCATGGCAAAGTATATTCCAGCACTTCTCTAAATGCACTGGGGATTGCAGATTGTAGATGGAGGAATCTAGAAATCATATTTTATTGGTGGTCAAAGGCCTACTGAAATGAGGTTGGTTTATGACTTCAAATTCTTGCTCTTCCACTAGTTTCTCCTTTGCAGAACATGCTCCCTCTGGAATGCTGCACTTCTTCAGGATTTGTAGGGTTCTCACTTCAAAGCATGGAGTGAATAGTCAATGTTAGCTGTGTCTTCCTTCGTTTACAATCAGTGGGGGAGTCAGAGAAAATCTCACATTTGACTACAAGAGCAAGGGGCAGCTTCATGGCCCAAATCCATTTGGGCATTTCTGCTTGTGTCCCGGCCACACCCATTTTCACACCATCCAGAGATGATGCTGACTGTGACAATTACCAACACAGGGAGGTTCTTTGATTTTTAAGAGAAAGTGTAATTTCCCTTGAGGCTTACCCTTAAAGGAAGGCATTTATTCACTGATTTCTAGTACATATTACTGCTGTTTATTCTGAAGAGCTCATGACTAGCACACTAGGTACGGCCATAGATTTTTGTATTTTTTCTTTATTCCTGGTCTTTGGTTTTCCTTGGGAAACATTCCAGGAGAGATTTAATAAGTTAAACTCTAAAATTCTGCTCGCATTTTGTATCTTTGTTTCCCAGGCATTATGTTGAGTTAGCTGAGTCCACATTTGGGCAGAAGAGAGAAAATGGTGCTAGCTCATGAGGACATGTCCCATTCACCTGCCACCCTTAGGAACTTCTGAGTATGACTGGACCAAGTGTTTTTACCAAATCCTTCTTGGGGAGTGAATTTACACTCCATTTCTATGTCAGGATATCAGCCCTGTAAAAGGGTCTTGGCAGTTAGGAAAAGGAGGGTTTTGGTGCCACAGATGCAGGGAAATCCTACACTTACTAAGACTATGGGAAGGTGACAACAGAATGCTAGACACGTGGTGAATTATTCTTATTAAAGTGAATCAAAGCATTTCTTAATTCAATACAAACCCAGCACCTCCACAGGAAACAGAGCCCATTCCAGGACTGGTTTGTGATTTTCATCTCGTTCTCCCTGATTATCTTACTAGAGATTTCATACTATTTTCAATGGGGTTATTTTAATGTCCCATAAAAGCATTCCAAACCTAAAAGTTTCCAGTTGCAATTAGTAAAATCTAACATGGAGGTTAAAGACAATCTCTTTTCTCCCTGTTGTTGTTGTTAACTTAGAAAATGAAGCAACTTTTTTATTAGCCCTGAGTGTCCTCCTGCTATCCCCCATTTTCTAAGAAGATTCTGAGCTGTAGGACAAGGCCACCACTAAACGACAGAAGATGGAATAATTGTAGAAATCTAGAGAAGCACAGGATATGTACAAAGGAGGCATAGATCCTGGCTGAGGGGAGTGGATTATTCAAGGATGAGGGAGGGACAATTATTAGCTGTTCTCCATTGAATATGGGCTCAATAATTATTCATTGGAATGAAATTTTGAGAGTGGTTTTTAGTTTATGAGGAAAGATTTGCTTAATTGCCTTGTGTTAATAGCCATGATAATTTTATTCTTCTCTAATTTTATGAACTGACACTAACACATTACAGTGGCCACAAAAAAGCATGAAATGAATGTTTGGAAAGTATATTAGTTTTCCTATTGCTGAAGTAAGTAACACATTACCATAAAGTGAGTAGCTTTGTAGCTCAGAAGTAACGGATGGGTCTCATGGGCTTAAATCCATGTGGAAAGGCTGAGTTTCATGCTAGAGTCTTCAGGGCAGAACCCATTTTCTGGCCCACATTCCCTGGCCCTCTTCCATCTTCAATGCCAGCAATAGCCAGATGAGCCTCCCATCACATCACATCAATCACATCACATCACACCACATCACCCTGGCACTGACTCTTCTGCCTCCCTCCTCAACATTTAGGGATGTTGTGATTACATTGCATGTACTTAGATATTCAGTAAAGTCTCTCTATATTCAGGTCAATTGATTAGCAAACTTAATACCCTTTTGTCATGTAAGTTAACATATACACTGGTTATGGGAATTAGGAAGGGTGTGTCTCTGGGAGACTGTTAATCATCATAGCACACACAGGACAGATATCTTACTCCCCTGGAACTGGTTTGGTTCAGGGCGGGTAAGGAGAGTTACCCAGGCTTCTTCCAGATATTTGCATGCAGATATGAATGAGTTTATGTAAAATTAGTTGTAATGTCAATATTTGTACTTTAAGTATATATCTATACAATAGTGTAAGTCACAAACTGAAATGGCAGAAATTTACTTTCAATTACCATTTTCATTTCACATAGTTGTTAATAATTTGTAGCCATTTTTGTTTATTTTATATTTATACTTGTTTTGTTTGTTTTCTTTCTCCCTATCTTGTGTGGGTTCCTTGAAAAGTTTTTTCGATTCCATTTTAGTTGATCTGCAAAGTTTTTGAGTGTCTTTCTCTATACAGCATTTTTAATGGTTGCTGTGGGTATTACATTACGTATACACAGCTTGTGACAGTCTAGTGGTGTGGGCATTTTACCCTATGGGGTTGAAATATGAAAACTTTACATTCCCGTTATTTACCCACCCCTGTTTGTAATATAATCATCTTAAATATATCTCTACATGCATTTACCACCTCAGCAAGTTTTATAATTTTTGCTTCAACATGACATTATTGTCTTTCAGTTTTGTAGCTCAGGATTCTGAATTGGGTCTCAAGGTTTAGTTTCGTTTTGGGGACTCCAGAGAAGAATCTTATTTTTTGCCTCATTCCCTGGACGTCTTTCCTCTTCAACACTAGCAATAGCCAGTTGAGCCATTTGAAACTCATGCAGAAAACTTGAAAAGAAAAGATGTTTTGTGTTTACTTACTTTTTCCCCAATTTCTTTTTCTTTGTTTTTCTTTTCTTTCTTTGTTTCATTCTTGCTGTTCTGAAAATTCCTCCTCTGTACTCTCCTTTCTGTTTAGAGAACTTCCTTGAGCCTTTTTGTTGTTGTTGTTGAGATGGAGTCTCGCTCTGTCGCCCAGGCTGGAGTGCAGTGGCATGATCTCAGCTCACTGCAAGCTCTGCCTCCCAGGTTCACGCCATTCTTCTGCCTCAGCCTCCCCAGCAGCTGGGACTACAGGCACCCACCACCACGCCCAGCTAATTTTTTGTATTTTTATTAGAGACGGGGTTTCACCATGTTAGCCAGGATGGTCTTGATCTCCTGACCTCGTGTTCCACCTGCCTCGGCCTCCCAAAGTGCTGGGATTACAGGCGTGAGCCACTGCGCCCCGCCCCTTGAGCCATTTTTTTAAAAAAATGGGTTTGTTAGAAGCAAATTCTCTTAGGTTTCTTTCTTTTCATTCGTCTGAGAATAACTGGATTTCTGTCTCCTTATTGCAGAAGAGTTTTACTGGACATAAACCTCTGGTTGGCAATTTTTTTCTTTCAGCACTTCAAATATTTGAGCTACATTCTTCTGTTGTTTTCTTCTTTCTGGTAGTAACGCCACTGTTATTCACATTGTGTTTTTCCTATAAGTATGGTATTATTTATTTGTAGCTGCCTTTTAAACATTTTCTTTGTTTTAATTCTCAGAAATTTGACTACAGTGTTGCTTGGCATAGATTTCCTTGGATGTATTTTGGTTGGGATTTGCTCAGTTTCTTGGATCTGCAGGTTTATGCCCATTCCAAGTTTGGGGGATTTTCAGCCTTTCTATCTTTGAGTCCTCTTTCAATACCATCCTCATTGTTCTCTTTTTCTGAGACTCAGACTGCATGATTATCACATCATTTGTTATAGCCTTTCATATTTGTGACACAGTGTAAATTTTTTTCAATTATTTAACCCTGCGTGTTCAGAGTATATAATTGCTATTAATCCAACTTCAAGAACACTATTTCCTCCATCATTTTCTTTCTGCTGTTGATCACATATAATGATTTTTAAGAATTTTACACATTATATATCACAGTTGTAAAATTTCTATTTTATTATCTTATATACTCCATTTTTCTCTGCTGAGAAGTTTTTTCTTTTATTTTGAGAGTGTACACATTGACCTCTTGAAGGATGGCTATAACAGCTGCTTTAAAGTCTCATCATTTCAATATCCAAGTTGCTTCCAATTTGTTATCTCTTGATTATTTCATTCCTTAATAATTGGTCAATTATTTCTGTTTTTTGAAGTACACTGGGTAATTTTCTATTTTGTCTTGCACACATGCATTTGCTCTGTTTGCAATACACAAAAAGTACAATAAAGCAAGCTCTGAACATTGGAGGGCAGAGGCAGTCATGCTACATCGTAATCCACCCGGTGGTTCGAATGCCAGAAGGATTTGTCCCACTATCATTTTTCTACTTGGAGCTTGTGCCTGGATGTTTCTCTCTGGCTCTAATGAGGCAATGTTATAAGTATTTAATATCATACCATACATTTAAACGTAAAAGCTACAAAATGTGCATCAAATGTGTCCCAAGAGTCCTATTTACAAAGTCTTTCCATCTTTTTTCTTTTGTGTGCTGTTGGCTCAAAGCACATGAATTGAAGTCAGGTACTTCTTTTTCCTTTTCTTCCTACAGGAATAGCAGAAGTTGACACCTGCTTATTAGAAGCTATCACAGTAGTCAGGCGGCTCTGCTGTCTTCTGATTGGGGATTGATAGAGTGCAGGACAATGAGGCTCAGGTAAAAAGAATATCTACAGGGCTGGCATGGTCGCTCATGCCTGTAATTCCACTACTTTTGGAGGCTGAAGTGGGAGGACTGCTTGATGCCAGGAATTCCAGGTCAGCCTGGGCAACATAGTAAGATCCTCTGTCTTTACAAAAAATTACAAATTTATCCTGTCTCAGTAGGTGTGCCTGTAGTCCCAGTGACTTGGGAAGGTGAGATGGAAGGTTTACTTGAGCCCAGGAGATTGAGGCTGCTGTGACCCACGTTTGTGCCACTGAACTCTAGCCTAAGCAAAAGAGCAGGTCCCTGTCTCTAAAAAGGAAAAAAAAAAAGAATGACTAGAACAACCAAAAAGGCCTTTTCTCCTTCGCTTTTTGCCCAGATTCTACTTTCTTTAAAGTGCATCTCCCAGTGTCCAGGGAGGCCACAGGCTTGAGGTCTCTTCCTTTCCTTTCCCTCACATGCCACTGTGGCTTCATCCTATGTGTCGAAGCATACCTTCTCCCACTCTCATAGAAACAAGTAATGTGGTGATTTGAGCAGCTATAAGCAATTTTAGTCCCTACCCTACTTGATGTCTTGCAACATTTTGGGATGAGTGTATAGGACCTTTGGTCCCCCTTGGGTCAGTGAGATCTCAGGCCCAGCCTGAATCCTTAACGGAATTGAGATCTGAGTAGAGGAAAAGAAGTAATAAAGGAGATATGGACTAAGTGTCTTCATGCAAGTAAGCAAGACACATGTACTTTTAAATTCAAGTAGTGCAGACACTGCTCAAGACTCAGCTGAATACACACCCAAATTTAAATCTCTCCAGTGACCTGGAACAGCTTTGGGGGATGTTTAATCCTTCTATCTCCTGTTATATGTGGAAGAGAGTCAAAATTAAAGTCTCATTTGGGAAGTTTGTTTTAATTCTAACACCTGATACTCAGGTTTCAACCATTTCCCAATCCTAATCATTAACGGGCAACATAAGGGGAGAATATTGAGAATATTTATTGACCAATCATCATACATTTTTGTCAGCATGTCAGATATTGGTGTGTCTTTTTTACATTATTAACTGAATAATAATGGATGCCCTTTACAGACATTATGACATTATGAAACAAAAAGGAACCCAAAGGAAACAAATGAAGATTGTAATGTGGATGCCTAATGATTTTCCATCAGAACTCTCACACAACAGCCCTGTTTGATGAGAGAAATGAGCAGGAGCACTGTTGTGGTAAAGGACTCTGCTGAAGCTCCCCCAGGCATTTCTCCACTAAAGCTTTGGCTTTCTCAAAATATTCTCAGAATAAGTCGTTATTGTCAATCGTTTGCCCTCCAGAAAGTCAACGAGAAAAATGCCTTGAGCTTCCCAATAATCTCTTGCCATGACCTTTGCACTTTCCTTATCCACTTTTGCTTTGACTGGACTTTTCCACCTCTTGGTAGCTATTGCTTTTACTGTATTTGTTTACCGGATTTTACTTGTAGAGCCAGATTGCATCTCCCATTACAATTCCTTGAAGAAATGCTTCAAGATCTTCATCCCCCTTATTTAAAACTTCATGGAAAGCTCTGCTCCTGTCTGTAGCTTATCTTTTTGCCACAGTTTTGGCATCCATTGAGGGAAAACTTTACTCAACATTAATTATTCAATTAGTATCAGGTGAGGGAAACCAATTGAGAATTTTGTAGTGTTGGCTGTTGTTTGTACTGTTAGTCATTCGTTGTCTTCTAATAGAGTATAAACAAGATGAATTTTATCCATGCAATTTGATGTGAATCCTCTGTCTCTATGGGCTGTAGGTTCTACGTCATCTCATTCCTTCTTGAAATGAGTTACCTACTTGTAAACTGCCAATGTTTTGGGCCACTATCCCCATCAGTGTTTCAGAAAGCATCGTGGATTTCACCTTCTTCTACCCAAGTTTCACCATGAATTTGATGTTTGTACTCTCTTTAATTTTAGAAGAATTCATGTTGCTCTTATAGGGGATCTTTTGAACCTGCTCTTATTTTTCTTGATGCCTCAAGTAGCTCCTGTTCAGACATGTTAGAGCATGTCAGTCTGAGTTTATTTTGGTGCAAAAGAAAATTGGAATCCATTCATGTTATTTTTTAATATAACATACATTTTCCTTGAACATTTTAAAGTCCCATTGCATTGCAGGGAGGCTTCCTAATACAATAAGGTTTGCTATAGTTAACTTTGAGTTTTCCTACTGATTAGGCAAATTGTTTTCTTATTTCTCCTGGCATAAATAGAGACATTTGTTGAAGGAGGAATATAATACCATAGATGAAACATTCTCTAGCTATGTGGAAAGTTAAACGGTTTTAACTAGGCTTCACATGCTTTAAGGGAGGCACAGAGTAACTCCTTAGGCCGACCAGATGCCCTGATGTTAAATGATTATCTCTGGTTTCACCAAACATTATTTCAAAAAAGACACTGAACATGAACAGTCTTGCCTATGTAGCTTATGGTGGCCCTTCAGGTAGTAAAGGGAGGTCAGAGAGAAGGAGCAGAAGGGAGTGCCAGGTAGATGTGCGTATGGTGGAGGAAGCTGTAGTCCTGGTTGGAAGCAGGCTTCTGCTTGTCTGCTAAGTCCAGGAAGAGAACATGTGATGCTTCCAAATATCACTCAGCTCATGCCCTATTCCTGACCTTCTCCAGTGTCAGCAATGAGTGAAAGAGATTAGTGTATCAGGAAGAATAAATATCAGGTATGAACCCACCAGACACAACCAAAACAGAGATGATCAAAGAGCTGAAAGAGACACTGTCAGTGACATAGGATAGAGTCAAAGCAAGGAGCAAGACTGTAGCAGGAGCTTAGGCACCTGTACATGCGTCAAAGACCTCAGCCATCCACCTTCCATCTAAAATGGTCGTAAATTTACCATGCACCAAGGAGGCATCTTAATTCCAACTTCCTAAAACCTGCTATCCTATGAATTTCTTTGTTATAGCTGCCCAAACAAAATATCATGAACTGAGTGTCTTAAACAACAGAAATTATTTTTTCACAGTTCTGGATGCACAAGTTCATGATGAAGGTGTCAGCAGGTTCAGTTTTTCTGGGGCCTGTCTGCTTGGTATCTAGATATCTGCCTTCTTGCTGTGTCCTTACATGGGGCTGCCTCTGTGCATATGCACTTCTCAAGTCTCTCTGTCTGTGCACATTTCCAATTCTTATAAGAACTCCATTCTGATTGGATTTTGTCCCACTGTAACACCCTCATTTTAAGTTGATCACCTCTTTTTAGGCTCTTTCTCTAAGTGCAATCATATTCAAAGGAATAAAGGGTTGGCCTTTCAACATATGAATATAGGGAACAGAATTCAGCCCATAACACCACCCAATCCCTTTTCAGTAAATGACTGATGTTTCCTTCAGTTATTCAAATATATGGGAGTCACATTTGCCTTTTTCTTCCCTAGGTCAGGTCCATTAGAAAATTCAGTGGATTCCACCTCAAAATATATTGCAGTATGATCACTTGCATATTCTCTGGCACATGGCTCTTGTATGTGCCGTGATTCTCTCTCCCGGAGGATGTCAACAGCCTCCATCTGGTCTTTGTAACATTCTTGTTACATCTCATACCAATTCTCCCCACAGTAGTCAGAGTGATCTTTTACAAATGGAAATGAGATCATATAAATTGTGTGCTTCAAATCTTCTACGGTTTTTTTGTTTTACTTGTAAGAAGATCTAACATACCTGAGCTATTTCATACCCACATGGCTCTCCCTTACTTGAATAGTGGGAGGTTCTTTAAATGGGACATAAAGAAGAACCTTCTTCAACTTCACCATACGCTAGTTTGTCTGGAACACTAAAAGGTGGATAACCAGGTAAAATGAAATTTGACCACATGGATTAACTCCTGCTGAGATCATGTGAATGGCATTGAGTCCCTGTGGTGTGAGAGGAGTTCATGTGAATTGGGAGAATCCTTCTGTCCATTGAATCAACTAAGTGTTCTCCTGATATAATTAGCAATTAAAAATAATTCTCTGTGAGGATTAATTTTGCATAGATTTATCTAACAATTGTGGCTACACTTTTATGATACTGGACCATATATTTTAATACTACATGTTGTCTTCATAAAAATATATTTCACAAATAGTTTAGTGGTTTTCATATTCTATGAGCCTATTGTAGCCATGACTAATTATAATAAAAAAACTATTATGCATTACTAATGCCATTTAATCTTCTGAATCATCTTATTCAGTAGGAGTAATTTTTATCCCTATGTCAATTTTATTAGAATGTGACATTAATTTTATTTCATTAGGACATGGTCTTCATTCACAGACCCATGTCTTCCTCTTACAGACAGGACAGGTAATGTTACTCCTCTCAACATTGTTTCAGGGGTACATGGAGGCAGTTATCCATGATATGGTAATGTTGTTTATTCTAGACTTTTGTAAAGGGTGTGTATGAATTTCTGGAACATTAGATAATATTACATGTACTTATACCTTATAGCATGTATATGGAATAGCTTAAGTGACAAAACAAAAATGGTACATGTTGAATTTGAGGTTGTTCTGCATTTGCGCGTTTGAGTAGTTACTTCCTTGGAGTGTTGTGCGGTCTTGGTAATAAGACACTGTGAATTCTCATTCTAATTCTGCTGCTTAACAGTTGGATAGTTACTTGCAAAGTCCAGCTTTCTCTAATAAAATGAGACCCTAAGTCTTACTCAGACCAGCTCCAAAGTGCCAGCAGTGAGTATGATGCTTGAAAGTCAGGAGACAGGTGGATAATTCAGAAGAGTCAGCCCAGCATCAGAGGCAGCACCTGGAGCTCTTCACAAAGTACCTTCCTGGGCATCCAATCCCCCAGCTGTGAAGAACGTGATTCCTCAAAACTCTTGCAATTTGCATATAGCTTTCTGATTGTCTTAGTGTCTACTCTTAATTATGAACAGAATCAAAGGAACACTAGACAATTAAAAACTATCTCCATCAAATGAGAGTCAGAGAAACAGGAAAAAAAGGGAATGCAGAGAAAACAGAGACAAGAGGCAATGGAAACCTTTAAGAGATGATAATTAATATATCCTGAGAGATAAAAATAGACACCATGCTCATATAGAATAGGAAGCAATTAAATTAAAAAATTGACCAGAAAACAAATGAAATATGTGGAATTGTAAACATAGCTGACAAATTCAATAAAATATAAAGTTAAGAAACTCTCATGTAAAGTAGGAAAAAAGGCAAAAAGATGTTCCATAGATGCAAATTTTTTTTTAAATATCAACTATCATGAATTTCAAACCAAGAAATCTGAGAATATGTTGAGAAAGACATTAGCAATGAAACAATAAAATACATGTCCCAGAACTAAAGGATAATCACCATTTTGAAAGGGCCCAATTAATATCCAAAAGCCCAAATTTAACATTTGCAGGACTCAGTACAAGAATACAAATGGTGTCTTATATACCCTATGTCTGAATAATCACATGTTATAAAGCATGTGCTTCCCTGCACCAATCCTGACCCTGAAAGCTGAGAGGTGGGAGGAGCGGGACGCACAGGGCTGTCTGCTGGAGCAGCAGACCAGAAGCTGGGTTGGGGAACAGGACTGATCTGGTTAAGCTCCTACAGAGCATACCAGGCATCTTGTGCTTCCCCATGCCTCGCTTCTAATTTTAGACTACCAGAAAGTCCTTAGCAGTTCCGAATAATACCTCCACTGAGCACAGGACTAGTAGGGAGTGAAGTTGGGCAGTGTGGGTGAACCTGTCTACCTAGATGTCCTATTTGGTCCAATTCAGTTGGCTAACCTCAAAAGCACAGAAAACTACAATAAAAATAGATAAATGGGACTGAAACTAAAAAGTTTTGGCACAGAAAACAAAATCATCAACAGAGTCAACAGACCATCTACAAAATGAGAGAAAATATCTGCAAACTATGTATCAACAGGGTATAATATCCAGAATATACAAGAAACCCAAACAACTCAACAGCAACAAGAAGATATTCTATTATGAAGTAGACGAAGGACAGAAATAGACATCTTTTCAAAGAAGACATAGAAATGACCAACAGTATGTGAAAAATGCTCTATATCACTAATCATCAGAGAAATAAAAATCAAAACCACAATGAGATATCACCATACCCCAGTCAGAATGGCTATGATTAAAAAAACAAAAAATAACAGATGTGGGTGAAGATGTGGAGTAAGAAGAACTCGTATACTCTCTGAATGAAATGTAAATTATTACAATCTCTATGAAAAACAGTATTTCTCAATAAACTCAAACTAGAACTATCATTCAATCTAGCAATCTTACTGCTAGATATCTATCCAAAGGAAAGGAGATCAGTATATGAAAAGTATATCTGGACCATCCCGGCTAAAACGGTGAAACCCCGTCTCTACTAAAAATACAAAAAAATTAGCCGGGCGTAGTGGCGGGCGCCTGTAGTCCCAGCTACTTGGAAGGCTGAGGCAGGAGAATGGCGTGAACCCGGGAGGCGGAGCTTGCAGTGAGCCGAGATCCCGCCACTGCACTCCAGCCTGGGCGACAGAGCGAGACTCCGTCTCAGGAAAAAAAAAAAAAAAAAAAAAAAGAAAAGTATATCTGCACTTCTGTTTATGGTAGCAACGTTCACAATAGGAAAGATATGACATCAGCCTAACTATCCATCAATAGGTTTGTGGATAAAGAAATTGTGGTACATATACACAAGGCAATACTACTCTCCAAAGAAAAAAATAAAATCACTCACTTTGCAGCAATATGAGTGGAACTGGGCATGACAGATGATGTGTTAAGTGAAACAGGCCAGACACAGAAAATCAAATATAACATGTTCTCACTCATACACGTGGTGTTAAAAAAAAAAAAAGAATGCGTTTACATAGATGTAGAGAGTGGAATGACAGTCAATGTAGACTTGGAAGGGTGAGGAGGTGGGAGAGAGGTAATAGTGAGACATTAATTAATAAATGCACTCTATGTTATTCTGGTTATGGATACCCTAAATCCCTGAATTACTCAGTATGCAATATATGCACATAACAAAATTACCATTGCACCACATATATTTATACATATAAAATTTAAAAATAAATAGAGGACAAATCTAAGCATATCTTTCAAAAATAAAAATGGAGAAGAAGAATGAGAAGGAGAGGAAGAAGAAGATCAGTGTGGCCATAGCAGAGTCAATTAGGTATAGAGCAGTCAATAAGTTCACCATAAGATTGGGTTTTGTTCTACTGTAACACTCTCATTTAACTTAATCATCTCTTTTTAGGCCCTGTCTCCAAATACCGTCATACTCTGAGGAACTGGCGGCTTCAACATATGAGTAGGGGGAGCATAGTTAGCCCAGAACACTACCCAATCTCTTCTCAGTCAACAACAGCTATTTCATTCAGTCATTCACAAACATTGGATTCACATTTGCCTTTCTCTCTGCTAGCCCTGGTTGTTAGCAAATCCAGTGGGTTTCACTCCTCATAATGCATTGCAATATGACCACTTGCATAATATTTACTACAGGGCTCTGCTTCAGGCCATGATTCTCTCTCCTGGAGGACATTAACAGCCTCCATCTTGTCTTGGTAACATTCTCGTTACGTCCCATATCAGGTCTCCTCACAATAGTCAGAGTGATCTTTTAAGGATAGAAATTAGATCGTATCACTTTTGTGTTTCACCTCCAAGATTTTCCCATTGCACTTGCAAGAAGATCTAAATTTCATACCTCAGCTCCTTCACAACCAGATGTTTATCTCTTTATTGATGAGTGGGAAGCTCTCTGTACGGGACAGAAAGCAGAATCTTCTTCAGCTTCACCATGCACTAGTTTGTTGGAAGCACTAAAGAGTGGTTTACCAGGACAGATGAACATTGATAGAGTAGATAAACTAGTGCTGTGGGTGACTAAGTTGCTTTAGGTCGCTGTGGCCTGAGAGAAGTTCATGTGAATTGGAAAAATTGCTGTGTGCATTGAATTAATTAAGCTTTCTGATGATATAATTAGCATTTAAACATAATTGTCTCTGAAAATTAAACATTGCATAGATATTCCTAAAAATTCAGGCTACACTATTATGATAGTGATTTATATATTAATAATTTCATTGGATATTGACTATTCATAAATGTATATTCCACAATTATTTTACCTTTTATGTATTTTGTCAACTTTCCATAGCCTCAACTGTTTATAATAGGAAGTGTTTATTAAGCATTTGCTATATGCATTGAATCTTCAGTACCATCTTCCTAGGTAGGTATGATTGCTAGTATCTCAGTTTTACATATGAGCTGACGAAGGCACGTGGCAAGGTTGTTGTGAAGGTAGTACCTGGTATAGAGGGCAGGCAGTATCCAGAGCACAAGTTCCTGGTTGCTGTGTTCCACTGCTTGCTCGCTATTTATTTATTTAGAAGGTGAGAGGGAATGAGGTCCATAGAACAGACATAGGCACTTGTATTGGACTGTTCAGGCAAAACTTTTCCTGAGATCCTAGGAGGTGAGGTGAGAGAAAAACTTTTTCTTGAGTAAATAATTTTTTTTTTTTTTTTTTAGACATGGTCTCACTCGGTCACCCAGGCTGGAGTGCAGTGGCAGGATATTGGCTCACTGCAACCTCTGCCTCCCTGGCTCAAGTGATCCTCCCACTTCAGCCTCCCAAGTAGCTGGGACCACAGGTGTGCACCACCATGCCCAGCTAATTATTGTATTTTTTGTGGAGATGAGATTTTTCCAAGTTTCTCAGGCTGGTCTTGAACTCCTGGGCTCAAGTGTTCCTCTCACCTGGGCCTCCCAAAGTACAGGGATTACACGTGTGAGCCACTGTGCCCGGCCCAATAAGTTTGTTTTTGAATCATAACACATTTACGTAGGTTTCTAGTGTCCTGTTTCCCCTCCTTTTCATATAAAGATATCTCATATAGATTAATTTTTTGTTGTTGCAATTACAAATTCTCAATGTAGATCATGTGTGTACTTCCTTAATGTGTGCTTACATGCATTTTTCTAGGGAGACGTATTATCTTTGGCAAGATTTGTGGATGCCCTTTTAAGTGGCAGAAACTTGGATTATTCTAATAAGAATGAATCTAAAATTTTAGAAATCCAAGTGGGAGACTGGTCAGAGAGTTGTCTATGAAAGGATAAATTTGGCCGGGTGCGGTGGCTCACGCCTGTAATCCCAGCACTTTGGGAGGCTGAGGCAGGTGGATCAACTTGAGGACAGGAGTTCAAGACCAGCCTGGCCAACATGGTGAAACCCTGTCTCTACTAAAAATACAAAAATGAGTTGGCTGTGGTGGTGCATGCCTGTAATCCCAGCTACTCGGGAGATCATGCCACTGCACTCCAACCTGGGTGAGAGAGTGAGCCTCTTGTCTCAACAAAAAAAAAAAACAACAAAACACAGTCTCCTCTTTCATCCAGTTGAAATTAACTATTGTGATTACTATGTGGCAGAGCTCTGAAATTAGTTTTTAAAAATAACTAGGTAGGTAATAGTCCCCAAATATTGAATAACCAAGTTTTCTTCAGTGATTGATGCTATCTTAATTATATATTAAATTTTCACACATGTATGGCTCTATAGCTCAAGATTTATTGACCATTACAGTGTGCCTACTATGGTGATATATGCTGTATGTTCATTAGCTCTTTTAATCCCTAATTTAGCCTTTTGATTATTTCTTGCATCATGTTCACTTTTCAGATAAAGGAACAAAAGCTTAATATAATTGAGTGACTTTCACAAAGCCATACACTTAAACACTTTCTAAGTATCAGCATAGGTAGGAAGTACAATGGAAAGAGAGAGAATGAGAAAACAACCTTCTTTAGAACAATTTAAAAATTTCTAGGATCATATAATAAGAAATGCACAGGTTTTAGTTGAAGAAAAATGACCAAATTTTTGTGCAGATTACACACTACATATTCATCGAGTCATTCCAATTCTACAGTTTTGTTTAACTTCTTGTTTGCTGACATTTCCTCTTCCATTCTCCTTGTCCCTGGGTATTTCTTTTTACTTCTGTATTATAATTTTGTTGGAACATTGGGAAATAGCAGAAGTAAATACATGTGTTCAATGCACCATGTCTAAATAACAACACGAGTCCTATTTCTAATGTGCAGTGTTCATCATGTTACTTCCCAGCTGATATGGTTTAGATGTGCGTCCCCTGCAAATCTCACTCTGAAATGTGATCCCCAATGTTGGAGGTGGGGCCTGGTGGGAGGTGTTTGTGTTATGAGGGTGGATCCCTCATTAATGGCTTGATGCTGTCCTCGAGGCAAGAATGAGTTCCTTCAGTTATTAACATGAGATCTGATTGTTAAACAGAGCCTGGCACCTCCTCCTCTCTCTTTTGCCATGTGACACGCCTGTTCGCCCTTAGCCTTCTGCCATGAATAAAAGCTTCCAGAGGCCTCCCCAGAAGCTGAGCAGACGCTAGTACCATGCTTGTACAGCCTGCAGAACTGTGAATCAAATAAACATCTTTACCCAGTCTCAGGTATTCCTTTGTAGAAATGGAAAATGGCCTAATACACTGGCTTCATACTCTTTGATAGCATTCCAATATCCTTAGGTTGAAGAGAAATTCCTTAACATAGCTTTAAAGAGCTTCTGTAAATGGTTCCTTCGCTTATCTCTTTCTTTTAAAATTTATTCAAGTTGCTTTACAACACAGATTGCTGTTACCTGTGTTCCTAATTTTAGCAGAAGAATCTGTGCAGACCATTTTTTACTAGCTGCATTAAATATAACATGACCATGAGTTCATAATCATACGGTTATTTTTCAGAAGGTTGATGAGTAAACTCAACCTATTTTTTGAACCCTGGAAACAATTTTAAGTGAACACTGCATTCTATTTTAATATTCTAGCACATGTAGTTTCCTATAACAAACCCCTATAGTTTCAAGCCTACCAGTGAAGAGGCTTTAGGACTACTAAAATAACCCTCTGGATAGACAGGAATATCCTTTGTCCCTTCCATTATACAGACATGCGCAGAACTCAAGTTTATGATAAGATACAGAAAGGTTTTTGATTTCTCTTAAATTTCCACTAAATATTTCTGTTTTCCAGCTTAATTCAGTTTATACTTTTTTCCTGATTGTCTCAGAAATGTCTTTACACTTTTGTAGAATGAATGCAAATTATTTAAATTAGGATCCACACAAGGTTGACATGTTGCATTTGATCAGTTTTGAATTTTCTACACAGCAATTGAAGCTTAACTTTTGGATTCTTTCATTTGCAAAGGCCCTTTCCATGACCCTGCAAGGGCCTTAGCAAATTTCTGTTCCTAATTTTGTATTATTTTTCTTAAACAGAACAATTGAAATTACATCAACTTTAGTCTCCCCCAAACCTGGAACCTTCCCTACACTTAGTTGTTATGTTTTATATTCGGCAAAGGACATTCACCCTCCTTTCTTCCCATGCAATGAACTTACTGATTAAGTGGATGACATGTCCTCAGAACTATCACACATTCTAGATTTGCTTGGTGTTTATTTGTGTGTGTGTCAGTTAACTTCACACTCCATCCCCTGTATTTCCTGGAAACTGGAAGTTGGTTGTAAAGGCTTTAGAATTCAAAACTCTGGTTTAATACTTGAATCTATCTCTCACCACTCCGTCATCTCACTCCATGTTCCACCCACATTAAAAAAATCTTTCTATTCTTCAAGGGCTCTGTGCTTTGTCTCAACTTCAATACTTTGTATATTCCGTTCATCCAATATGAAAATCTTTCCATTAATTTTATTGTTTAAAATCTGTCCTTCCAGTCTGTGTCCACTCTTCTGCCTGCCCTGCAATACCTCCTAGATCTCACTGTTCTGTGGTTCCTCAGCCCCCTGTCCACCTCTACCTTACCTGTTGCCATTATTTGTTTGATTATTCAGTGGATATGAAATCCAAAGACCATGAGTCCAAGTGTGTGGAAAAATATCACTTTCTTTTCTTTATCTGATCTTAGTCAATTTTTCTTGCTGTATTATGTTAAAGTCTAGTCAACTCAAGGTAAACCCAGTAATTTCAGAGCCCTCCCACTCCTACGTCCATCCTGCCTTCTTCCTGAGGTAGCATACAATTCTATCAAGCATTAGTGGGGCTGGGGTGGGCCTGGTTGTTAGTCATCTGCTGCTGCACCTTTATCCATGCAGGTCTCCACTGGTTGCTCTGACACTGGCACTGGCCGAAGCTTTTGAGCTTCTACTTGGCTCTAGTTCTTAGTCCCCTCTGACATCCACTACTGTGTCCCTCTGTCCAAAGGACTACCCGTCTCTCTGGCTCAGCCATCAGACCATATTCATACCTATTCTGGTAACCTGAGAAAGTATTTTGCCCTTGACTGTACCATGCCAGGGTAGACAGTGACCATTTGTCTAAGCATCTTTATGCAGTTAGTTCTTTCTTTTATTCTTTTGAAAGCTTTATTGAGGTATCATTGGTGTATAAAAGTTGGACACATTTAATATGTATATATATATCTTGATGAGTTTGGCCCTAGGGATCCACCTGTGATAACATCACCACAACCAAAGTACTGAGCATATCCTGTCATTTCTAATCTATTGTGTAGATTATCCTGCTGGACAGAAAGTTTTCTTTAACCAGGCTTGCTGCCTCCTCAGGCTTCACCAGGCCAGACACAATTGTCTTTTACTTTCCTTTTTCCAAATTTATTTGAGGTTCTGTTACTCCCTCCTGTGTGCTTCAAATCTGCTGTAGGTTTTAGGGGTGGGAGACAGGTTGTAGAGGGCCCTTCTCAGAGACCTATAAAGCATCTATCTCTGTTGAATTCCTCTTAGATCTTTTTTTTTCTACCCCTGAATCCAGGATACTTTTATCTGTGCCAGGGAACCCGTGCTTTCTAAGTATTCTTTAAAACTTACAGTTAAGCTCAGATCTTGGACAAGAGTTAACTTTTGTCTCCCTCTGTTTTTTTTTTTTTTTCATCTTGGAACACCCTGGACAGAAGAAAAATTAGGATTGTGGTCAATAAGAGCAGTCCACATTATAGCTAAAAATGTGGAGCTAATTGTCACATCTGAACTATAAAGTGAAACACAAGTAGGAGTCTACATAATGAGCTCAAATACCAGGATTGTCAGAATTGGGTGAGGATGTGAAATAAGAAGCTCAAGATAAAGAGAACACACTACTAGGAATTTATCCAAAGCAAAGGTAATTATTATATTAAAGAGACATCTGCACTCTCATGTTTCTTGCAGCACTATTCACAATAGCTAGGATAGGAAATCAACCTAGGTGTTCATCAATAATGAATGGATAAACTGTGGTATACATACACAGTGGAATATTATACAGCCATAAAATAATGAAATCTTATCATTTGTGGCAACACAGATGGAACTGGAGGACATTATGTTAAGTGAAATAAGCCAGGAACATAAAAATTAAACGCTGCATGTTCTCACTCACATATGGAAGCTAAAAAAAGTTGATCCCATAGAAGTAAAAAGTAGAACCAAGAATCCTAGAGGCTGGGAAGGGAAGGGGGAAGGGAGGAATAGGGAGAGATTTGTTAAAGGGTACTAGCCAGATAGGAGGATTAAGTCTTAGTGTTCTGTGTAGGATGACTACAGTTAGCAATAATACATAAGAAAATTAAGACAAGGTAATCAAATGGTGAAAAGATATCTGAAGCTTGGAATACCTGTGTTGCTTCATGAGGAGAGAGCTAATCTGAGGAAGATTCACAGTTTTAGGGATTGTAGGAGGAAAGACTGAGAAGCGAAATTGTTATTGGAGTTCTCAGGAAAAGCCCAGCACAAAGACAGCCAGGCAATAACATTGAGGCAGAAGAGTTTTTCTCAGGGGAGAATGTTCCCTTACCATGCTAATCTATCTTGCTGTGTCCCCAATCAGATACAGAGAATTTGAGCCAGATCCCAGTGTATAGCCTCATATAAACCTGCAGTGTTTCTTAAGCTCGCCTGAAGGCATTTGGAATAGGATTTTCTCCCAAATTCAATGACAAGATTCCTAATTGATATTGTACAGAGATGATAATTACATCTCTTATTACCTTTTCTTAGAGATAACTGTGTTAAAATTGGAGCCTTTCTCCTATAAACAGGTGTGTGGCCCTGTTATTTGGAAACATGGTTCTTCTCAATAGTGGTAAGAATTAAGACTTAAGGTGCTCAAATGATGAGAGGATATTTGAACTGCTGGGTTCTTTCTTGCTCTTGCTGGGTTATTTCTTGCTTTTCCTGAGGGCTGAGAACATCTTAACAGAGCCATGCTAGATTTCTGTTGTGACTTTGTTGAAAAATAGGCTGACTCTGATCACACTCTTTTGGTTCTTTTGATCAAGTCAATCTTTGGTTGTACGAGGTAGAATTGGTGACCCCCACGCCTTGTCTATCAATCAAATATTTGTAACCTGGTTGTCATAAGCTTTCTTTTTCTTTTTTCTTTCTTGATATATGTCACCTGCTGTTCCCTGAGAGGCCTTTGGAAATTTTAGTCTTATTCTCTGCGGCGCTTTCAGGTTTCTTCTCCACTCATTTTAATGTCTTTTCTCCACTTTCAACAATCTATCATATTTCCATTTTGGGCTCTGTTCACACCAGAGTCCTTGCAGCATAATGTGGTATATTTACTGCTTCTCCCCTGAATATCTACTGTGTCCCCACTCTGTTAAAGATCACATAAATAGATTATTGGGAGGGAACATGTAGTTATTTAAATCAGAAAGTCTTTCTAAAGGACAGTGATGTACATGGGAAGTATAAAGATGATAACTTTAATGTAGTGGGAAGTCTTAGGTCTTTGAAAAGGAGGTGTCCTAAAAGAACACTGCATTTTTTCTCCTCAACGTCATGGACTTTACCCACATTTCCCTTCATCATGTGTTCTTCACTCTTTCCCCTTGGGGAAACCCATCTCTCCTCATAGATATTAGTTCTACACTCAGGCTCTTGTTATGATTTGTGCACTGGAGCTCCTCCAGCTTAAGCTGCTAGCACAGAAAGATCTTCCAGGTAGCAGCTGCATTCCAAAGATGGAGATATAAGGCCCAGTTCCATGAATGTGAGTACCACATGGCATTCAGTATCCCTTTCAAGGTTCACTGTAGCTAAATCCCCACTTAAAAAAATATAGTATGCAAATAATGCTGCCAAGGCAAGTATTAATTTTTATCAGACACATAGCATAATTTCTGATGCGGAGAGCCAGTGCTCCTGTAATGATTTTAAAGATATGACTACAAATTATTTGGTATTCCTCCCCTCAAGCAGAGGAGCTTCATTACTGGGGCTTTGAATGATGGGCTGCACTTGCTTCAACTGCATAGAATATGGCCGAAGTGATGAGATGTCATCTCTGATATTAGGTCACAAAAAGACTGGGATTTCCATTGTGGGTGGACTCTTTTGCCCTCTCTTGAATCACAGCTTGCTGTGGGGGATCCAGTTGCCATGTCATAGGGAAACTTAGGGAGAGTGAACCCATTTACCACGTTGTGAGAACACTTAGCCTATGTCTATACAGCGAGGAACTGAGGACCGACACCAGCAACTATGAATGAGCATGGGAATATATCTCCCCCTGCTGAGCCTTGAGGTCACTGCAGCTCTAGCTGACAGCTCCACCACAACTTCATGAGAGACCATAAGTCAGGGCCTCCCAGCTAAGCTGCTCCTGAATGCTTAACCCACACAAATGGTGAAGTAACAGGTGTTTATTATTTTAAGGTGCTAAATTTGGGGTAGTTTGTGGCACAGCAACAAATAACCAAATCACCTCCTGTTAATACCTTGCCCCTTCCAAAACAACAACTCTTGCAAGAAACTCAAAGAAACAACTCTTGTGGTAAGGAAAACATACCTATTTCCTCAGCCTGGCAGATATTATTGTATCTGATATGCAGGAGGTAATTTGTTGTGGGGGTTGTTATCTCTGATAACCCAGAAAGATATTTTTAAAATTTCTTTTAATAAATGAAGGGATATGGATCTTCCCAGTTCATTCCACTACTAATATTCTCCATCAAGAGGAGATCATTTGTGGTGTGTAGAGAAAAACAACCTTAAAATCCAAGGTGTATAATAAAGAAGTAGGAAAACCCATAAAACTTCAAATATATTCATGTTCTTAGATCAGTCGCATCTTGTGTTATGGGGAACTTGTAGATGTGATCAGACAGTCAGAAATATTTGAGGCAAGGAAGTTCCAGGAGAGATGAGAGCATAAGCACAAGCTTTTAGAACCCCTGCCGTAAACATAATTGAACAAAGTAACATAAAAAGAGGAAAAGAAAAGAGTGTAGGGGATGATGATCAGTGCTGAAGCCATAGGAGAGGTGTTGGATTATTGGCCAGCCTGCCCAGCCTCCCTTTCTTGGGGAAACTACTTCAGTCCTTGTGGTCTCATTAGAACTTCTGATCATAGTTGCCCAAACCTCAGGCCATGGGGTTGGCATGTGATTCAATGTGTGCCCATCACAGCAGCCAGCTTTTTACCATAGCGATGGTTGAGGAATGCCATGTGATTAAAGCAGGTCTAGTCAGTGTCACCAAGTGTTTGCTGTATGAATAAACTGCTAAGATGAGGCAATGAAATACGGGGTTGCCGGCAGTCACGTGGCAGCTGGATGGAGAGAGTTGAGAGACTGATCAAAGCTTTTTGATAACATGTTGGAGCCATTGGATCTTGTCATGTTTGAAGTCCAAGTTATTTGCATTATCAATTTTTCTTTTTCACTTAAAAACTAATTTTAGTTGGACTTTTTTGATTTGGAACCAGAATGATCCTGGTGGGAAAAAGTGCTCATTGCAAAACACAAATTTTGACATATTTCTTCTGCAAGAAACAGTGTTGAACTTCTCTCAATAAGAGAGCAGCACACATTTTATGAAACAAGTAGGGGCTATTTTGTCAAATTCCGTAAATTTGAACTTTCTAAATCTGGAGGATTCGTTGCAATAAAATGGATATTCTGACTGTTTGGTAGCCCCTTTTTCTGTCACAGGACAATAGTATTTGGAGGTAAAATAGTAACATAGAGCTGTGATATCACAGGGGAGAGTTAACTATTCTTGATGCTTCTGGGTATTTTTAGTATTGTGCTTTTTAAACTGAACCTCACGTTAGAATTACCTTGGAAGTATAAAAAAATTCTTATGCCTGGATTTATCCCCAGAGGTTCTGATATAATTGGAATGGGGTGTTGCTCAGGCATTAGGAATTTTAAATTTTAAATCTTGAAATAATTTTAAACTTGCAGAAAAGTTGCAATAATAGTCAAAGAACTCTCAATTTTTATACTTCACTCAAATTTTTAATAATTTGGCACATTTGCTTTTTAAATTTCTCTTTCTCTCTTTTCCTATCTCTCTCATACATACACTATCTTTCTAATCAATTTGAGTGTGAGCTGCATATATCATGTCTTTAGCTTTTAACATCTCAGTATTTCCTAAGAACAAGAATATTCTGTTATATAAGTCTAACATAATTATCAAATTCAGGAGATCAAATACAAATATGTTACATTTTCTGTAATATGAAATCTTTTGTAAGAGGAAGAAATACACACAGTTGACACTTCAGATTTATAAAAAGCCTAAAATTAACATAGATAAATTTTTGATAACTATTTAATGACACTACATACAAGTATCTACTATAGAATACATCACACTGTGAATGTGGGTCATTTTTTCCACCAATAGACTGAGTCATTGAACACAGAAGACACATCAATTTTGTCTGTTAGCAGCATGTACAATTCTTGATATATACTAGGTGATAAGTGAAAGCATAAAGCATAAATGTTTAAATAAATAAGTTGCTGTGATTCATATAATATTTTAGAGTTATTTATTAAATAAATGATTTGGTACCTTAGCAAAAAAAATAATCACTAAGGTTTATGATAATTTCATTAAGACTTGCCAAAATTAAATTAGACACATAACTGATTTTGAAAATAGAGAATGAATTTATCAATTTGAGGACATAAAGCTGAAAGTTCTATTAAATTTGGTAGATATCAAAATCAGGATTTGAAACCTCTCAGTTCAAAACTATAATCAACCATGTTTGAAATTTTGTATTAGATTTAAAAATTACACTAGTAATAGTTTAAGCAAAATCTGTTTCAGTTCATTGCTAGTTCAATATGAGTTACAGTAGAAGTGTGAGCCAGTACGTTAGAAAATAAAATCAACATTATTGATTAATGTTGGAAATAAAATCAACCTTAGCATTAACTAACCAAAGTACAGTGACTAGACCATTGGAACTGAACATAATCAGACTCTGAAGAAATGTTCCTCAGTCCCTTGAGGAACATGAGGGTTGTCAATCTTTTCCAGAGATGCTCATGAACAGGCTCTGTGCCATTGTAGAGATTCGCCTAGGCAGATTCTCATCATTTTATAACATTTCAAGTTAGACAAAGAGCTAGATGAAATCCGAATTTTCTTTTTCTACCTGAAGTCAGCAACCTCAATGTGCAGGTTTCTTTTTTAATACTGATGTTTTTACGTCCATTGTAAAAGTATCATTTAACTCAGGCACTTTTCCCAACATGTTAAAATAATGGGAAGGAATAGAAGTTGTCAATGTACCATAACAGAATAAATATCAGAAACTCTATCACTACAGGAACTATAAAGAGCACTAGAAGAGGAATTACATGAGCTTCCTGCCAAGGATGAAGGTCAAGGGAAAGTAGACAACAATTTGTAGCGGGGCACAATATTAGCTTGTTAAGGCTCCCAAGCAATCTAGCTTTAAACCTTTACTCATTTGTGACAATCCAGGCTTTTAGATTTTTCATTTGAAACACTAGAAATTTGTTGACTTATCTCCTTTGTCATGTTAAAGAATTACCATTAATTAATTGATTTTTTAGGGGTTTATATCAAGAATAGGTGCAGAATTTTGAACTAACATCTTTTTTTGTGCCTACCAAGAGGCAATGTACAGTATTTAAGAACTTCAGCAGGAGGCAGTCTTGTTGAGGACATTTTGTTTTTCCTAACATAACACATGATATATATCTGAGCATACGTAACTGCATTATTATGTCTTTGCACACAATTTAACCAAATGTATTTTAAATACTTATTAATTATATAACTGAATAAACTTTTCTATTCCTGGGTAATAGATTTCCTGCTTCATTTCCCTTAGGTTTCTTCTGTTGTTATTATTCAATTTTGGTTGAAATGAATATTTAATTCATTTATGTTTAACTACTGAATTTATTTGCTTATGGCAAGAGATAGAAACAACGTTAATTTTTATGAACCACTTGTCTAGGATTTTATATTTTTCTATTAATATTGATAACTAGTCAGTATCTATCAAGTTTCCATATAGATATACTACAAATCCTCTTTGCCTGCTGTCTCTTCTCTTTTTCTCCACCATGTCACTTCCCACTCATGTTTGATTAAGCTAGAAGTTTATTTCTAGGTTAAAAAAATTATTTTCACAGTCTTAGGAAGTATTTCTGATTTCTTTAAGTTTTAGAGCTATTTTATTAGTAATTGTTGACAATTATTATCTATATTGCCTTCCTTCCTTACTACTATTTTCTTGGTCCTTTTGTGTTTGCTGTAGTGGAGAAATTCTTTCAAGAATCATTGCCAGTGTAAAGTGTCTTTATTTGACTTCACAATTAAATGGTAGAAATCTTATTTTAGAAGTTATCCTTTAGGAATTTGAAAAAAAAGAAGTCAAGGTCAGTATGATGTTCATGTTTTCGTTGGCAATTTTTATTTTTTTCTTCCTATTTTACATTTTAAAGACTTTGAAAATTTTCTCTTTATATTTCTATTCAGAAATCTCTCCACAATCTTTTAGCAGTGTTTTTAACATTATTTTCTCTCTTAAGTCACTTTCACGTTTGAAAATTTTTCTTCTATTATTTTATTGATGATTTATTGCTTACAATCTTTATATTTTCTTATTTTGTATCCCATATTAAGTCATATATCTTCTTTTGTATCCCATATTAGGTCCCATAAATTTCTTATTTTGTATCCCATATGTTAGAATAAGTATCTAACATATTAGATACTTATCAAAAATTTTGAATTTATTCTCTGTCTCTCTAAAATTTTCTTTTACACTTTTCTCTTTGTTCTTTTGTGTTGTATTCTGAGAAAATATTTTAACATTATCTATACCTCTAATTCAATTTTTACTAGTTCATTCTGCCATTTAGACCATGTACTCTATTTTATTTATATTTTATATTTTTTATTTCCATATGTTTTGGGGGGACAGGTGGTGTTTGGTTACATGAGTAAGTTCTTCAGTGCTGATTTGTGAGATTTTGAATACATCCATCACCTGAGCAGTATACGATGAACCCAATTTGTAGTCTTTTATCCCTCACCCCCTTCCTACCCTTTCCTCCTGAGTCCCCAAAGTCCATTGTGTCATTTTTATGCCTTTGTATCCTCATAGCTTAGGTCCCAGTTATGAGTGAGAACATCCAATGTTTGGTTTTCCATTCCTGAGTTACTTCACTTAGAATAATAGTCTCCAATCCTACTCAGGTTGCTGCGGATGTCATTAATTCATTCCTTTTTATGGCTGAGTAGTATTCCATCATATACACACACACACGTATATATAAACATATATATGTGATATATATACACACACGTATATCTATGTGTGATATATATATACACACGTATATATATGTATATGTGATATATATATACACACACATATATATATCACAGTTTCTTTATCCACTTGTTGGTTGATGGGCATTTGTGTTGGTTCCACATTTTTGTAACTGCAAACTGTGGTGTTATAAACATACGTGTGCAAGTATCTTTTTTGTATAACGATTTCTTTTCCTCTGGGTAGATACACAATAGTGGGATTGCTGGATCAAATGGTAGTTTACTTTTAGTTCTTTAAGGAATCTCCACATTGTTTTCCATAGTGGTTGTACTAGTTTACATTCCCACCAGCAGTATAGAAGTGTTCCGTTTTCACTGGATCCACACAAACATCTATTGTTTTTGATTTTTTGATTATGGCCATTCCTGCGGGAGTAAGATGGTATTGTGTTGTGATTTTGATTTGCATTTCCCTGATCATTAGTGATATTGAGCATTTTTTCATATGTTTGTTGGCCATTTGTATATCTTCTATTGGGAATTGTCTATTCATGTCCTTTGCCCACTTTTTATGGGATTGTTTATTTTTTTCTTGCTAGTTTGTTTGAGTTCATTTTAGATTCTGGATATTAGTCCTTTGTCAGATGTATAGATTGTGAAGATTTTCTCATGGTCTATGGGTTGTCTGTTTATTCTGTTGACTGTTCCTTTTTCATGCAAAACTCTTTAGTTTAATTAAGTCCCAGCTATTTATCTTTGTTTTTATTGCATTTTCTTTTAGGTTCTTGGCCACGAAATTCTTGCCTAAGCCAATGTTTAGAAGGGTTTTTCCAAGGTTATCTTCTAGAATTTTTATAATTTCAGGTCTTAGATTTAAGTCCTTATCCATCTTGTGTTGATATTTTTATAAGGTGAGAGATGAGGATCCAGTTTCATTATTCCACATGTGGCTTGCCAATTATCCCAGCACAATTTGTTGAATACGGTGTCCTTTCCCCACTTTATGTTTTTGCTTGCTTTGTTGAAGATCATTTGGCTGTAAGTATTTTGGTTTATTTCTGAGTTCTCCATTCTGTTCCATTGGTCTATGTGTCTATTTTTATACCAGTACCATGCTGTTTTGGTGACTATGGCCTTATAGTATAATTTGAAATCAGATAGTGTGATGCCTCCAGATTTGTTCTTTTTGTTTAGTCTTGTTTTGGCTATGCAGGCTTTTTTTGGTTCCATATGAAATTTAGGATTTTTTTCTAGTTCTGTGAAGAATGATGGTGGTATTATGATGGGAATTGCATTGAATTTGTAGATTGCTTTTGGTAGTATGATCATTTTCACAATATTGACTCTACCCATCCATGAGCATAGGATATGTTTCTGTTTGTTTCTGTCATCTATGATTTCTTTCAGCGGTGTTTTGTAGTTTTCCTTGTAGAGGTCTTTTATCTCCTTGATTAGGTATATTCCTATATACATCTGCAGCTATTGTAAAAGGAGTTGAGTTCTTGATTTGATTCTCAGTTTGGTCGCTGTTGGGGTATAGGAAGGCTACTGGTTTGCACACATTAATTTTGTATCCTGAAACTTTGCTGAATTCATTTATGAGATCTAGGAGCTTTTTGGAGGAGTCTTTAGGGTTTTCTAGGTATACAATCATATCATCAGCAAACAGTGACAGTTTGTGTTGTTCTTTACCAATCTGGATGCCCTTTATTTCTTTCTCTTGTCTAATTGCTCTGGCTAAAACTTCCAGTACTATATTGAATAAAAGTGGTGAAAGTGGGTATCCTTGTCTTGTTCCAGTTCTCAGAGAGAATGCTTTCAATTTTTCCTCATTCAGTATTAACTTGGTTGTGGGTTTGTCATAGATGGCTTTTACTACATTGAGGTACGATCCTTGTATGCTGATTTTTCTGAGTTTTATTCATAAAATGATTTTGTCAAATGCCTTTTCTGTATCTATCAAGATGATCTTTCGATTTTGTTTTTAATTCTGTTTGTGTGGTGTATTACATATTGACTTGTGTAAGTTAAACCATCCCTGCATCCCTGGTATGAAACCACTTGATCATGGTGGGTTATCTTTTTGATATGTTGTTGGATTTAGTTAGCTAGTATTTTGTTAAGGATTTTAGCATCTATGTTTTCATTTTTGGTTATGTCCTTTCCTAGTATTAGGATGATACTGGCTTCAGAGAATAATTTAGGGAAAATTACCTCTTTCTTTATCTTGTAGAATAATATCAATAGAATTGGTACCAATTCTTCTTTGAATGTCTGGTAGAATTCTGCTGTGAATCTGTCTGGTCCTGGACTTTTTTTGTTGTCGGTAATTTTGAAACTACCATTTCAATCTTGCTTCTTGTTATTGGTCTGTTCAGGGTATCTAATTCTTCCTGATTTAAGCTAGGAGGGTTGTATGTTTCCAGGAATTTATTCATCTCCTCTAAGTTTCCTAGTTTATGTGCATAAAGGTGTTATAGTAGCCCTAAATGATCTTTTGTATTTCTGTGGTGTCAGTTGTAATATCTCTTGTTTTGTTTCTTAGTGAGGTTATTTGGATTTTCTCTCTTCTTGTCTTGGTTAATCTTGTGAATGGTCTATCAATTTTATTTATCTTTTCAAAGAACCAGCTTTTTGTTTCTTTTATCTTTTTTTTTTTGGTTTCAATTTGATATAGTTCTGCTCTGATCTTGGTTATTTCCTTTCTTCTGCTGGGTTTGGATTTGGTTTGTTCTTGTTTCTCTAGTTCCTTGTGGTGTGACCTTAGATTGTTTAGAAAGACTTAGAAAGTTTTCCAGACTTTTTGATGTAGGCATTCAGGGCTATGAACTTTCCTCTTAGCAACACCTTTGCTGTATCCCAGAGGTTTCGATAGGTTGTGTCACTACTGTCATTCATTTTGAAGAATTTTTAACTTACATCTTGATTTCATTGTTGACCCAATGATCATTCTGGAGCAGGTTATTTAATTTCCACATAATTGCGTGGTTTTGAAGGTTCCCTTTGGAGTTGATTTCCAGTTTTATTCCACTCTGGTCTGACAGAGTATTTGATATAATTTCAATTTTCTTAAATTTATTGAGACTTGTTTTGTGGCCTATCATATGGTTTATCTTGGAGAAAGTTCCATGCACTGTTGAATAGAACGTATACTCTGAGGTTGTTGGGTAGAATGTTCTGTAAATATCTGTTAAGTCTATTTATTCCAGGGTATAGTTTAAATCCATTGTTTCTTTCTGTGACTTTCTTTTAAATCCATTGAGACTTTCTGTTTTGATGACTTGTCTAGTGCCCTCAGGGCAGTATTGAAGTCCCCCACTATTATTGTGTTGCTGTCTATCCCATTTCTTAGGTCTAATAGTACTTGTTTTATAAATTTGGGAGCTCCAGAGTTAGGTGCATACATATTCAGGATTGCCATATTTTCCTGTTGGGCAAGGCCTTTTATCCCTCTTTGTCTTTTTAAACTGCTGTTGCTTTAAAGTTTGTTTTGTCTGATAAAAGAATAGCTACTACTGCTTGCTTTTGGCATCCATTTGCATGGAATGTCTTCTTCCACCTCTTTACCTTAAGTTTATGTGAGTCCTTATGTGTTAGATGTGTCTCTTGAAGGCAGCAGATAATTGATTGGTGAATTCCTATCCATTCTGCATCTTTTAAGTGGAACATTTAGACCATTTACATTCAATATTAGTTTTGAGATGTGAGGAACTGTTTAATTTATCATGCTAATTTTTTTTAGTTGTATTTTTGTTTTATAGGTCCTGTGAAATTTATGCTTTAAAGAGGTTCTGTTTTGATGTGTTCAGGATTCATTTCAAGATTTAGAGCTTCTTTTATCAGTTCTTGTAGTGCTGGCTTTGTAGTGGTGACTCACTCGGCATTTGTTTGTCTGAAAAAGACTGTATCTTTCCTTCATTTATGAAGGTTAGTTTGGCTGGCTACAAAATTCTTGGCTGATATTGTTTTGTTTTAGGGGGCTGAAGATAGAGACCTAATCCCTTCTAGCTTGCAGGGTTTCTGCTGAGAAATCTGCTGTTAATCTGATAGATTTCCCTTTGTATCTTTCCTTCATTTATGAAGGTTAGTTTTGCTGGGTACAAAATTATTTGCTGATAATTGTTTTGTTTAAGGAGGTTGAAGATAGGGCCCTAAGCCCTTCTAGTATGTAGGGTTTCTGCTGAGAAACCTGCTGTTAATCTGATAGGTTTTCCTTTACAGGTTACCTGATGCTTTTCCCTTGAGGTTTTCCTTTATAGGTTACCTGATGCTTTTCCCTTGTGGCTCTTAAGATTCTTTCCTTTGTGTTAACTTTAGATAACCTGATGACAATGTGCCTAGGCAATGATCTTTTTATGATGAATTTCCCAAGTATTCTTTGAGCTTCTTGTATTTGGATATCTAGGTCTCTAGCAAGGCCAGTGGAGTTTTCCTCATTTATTCCCCCAAATACGTTTTCCAAACTTTTAGATTTCTCTTCCTCCTCAGGAACACCAGTTACTCTTAGGTTTGGTCATTTAATGTAATCCAAATCTTTTTGGAGTCTTTGTTCATTTTTTCTTTGTCTTTGTTGGATTGGGTTAATTTAAAAACTTTATCTTTGAGGTTGAGGTTTTTTCTTCTGCCTGTTCAATTCTATTGCTGAGACTTTCCAGAGTATTTTGCATTTCTCAAAGTGCATCCACTATTTCTTGAAGTTTTGATTGTTTTTTTATTTATGCTATATATTTCACTGAAGATGTCTCTTCTCATTTCTTGTATCATTTTTTGATTTCCTTAAATTGAACTTCACCTTTCTATGATGCCTTCTTGATTAGGTTAATAGCTGACCTTTTGAATTCTTTTTCAGGTAAATCACGGATTTCTTTTTTGTTTGGATCCATTGCTGGTGAACTAGTGTGATTATTTGGGGGTGTTAAAGAACTTTGTTTTGTCATATTACCAGAATTGTTTTTCTAGTTCCTTCTCATTTGGGTAGACTATGTCAAAGGGAAAGTCTAGGGCTCAAGGCTGTTGTTCAGATTCTTTTGCCCATGGGGTGTTCCCTTGACATAGCACTTTCCCCTTTTCCTAGGGATGTGGCTTCCTGAGAGCTGAGCTGTAGTGATTGTTATTGTTCTTCTGGATCTAACCACCCAGCAGGTCTACCAGGCTCCGGGCTGGTACCTGGGGTTGTTTGCACAGAGTCATGTAATGTGAATCATAGACCATGTGCTTTAAAACAATGTTCTCAATTTATTAAAATTATTTTCCTTCTACAGTGATAGCTTGTTTTTCTAAATTTAGTATCCCTGAGAATATAATTTTAATAAGAAAAAAATTGTGTCTCTTTTTATGTCTGCTTTCTGGGGCTGGAGGTGGATTTGTTTTTGAGTAAGTCCTGTAAGTGATGCATGTTTCCTCATGTGCTTGGTAAAACTTAGTGTTGATGAGGGGTGTCCACACTAAATGGTATTGATAGCTGGAGCATGTATTCTCAGGCAAGAAGAGAAATCCTGTTTGCCTGTAAGTGAATATATTTCCTAATAGTAAAATTTCCTTTAAATGTGTTTGTAATGCAATATTTTTAAAAAACCTGTTATCGCTGGTGACAGAGCAGGAGTATTGCCATCTTGGACAAGCACTGTCATTTTAAGTTCACCTTGATCAAAAACTGCCTAAATCCAAAGGTCATCAGCCTTCTGGCTAAGGTCAGCATGACCATAAACCACAAATAATATCTCTGACCAAAAAAATTCCAAACCTCTCCCCTACCAGAGGCATGCCAGACCCGAGATAATCTCCCCTCCACCCAGAGACAGTCTGACCCCAACATAAACTTCTCCCCCACACAGAAACATTTCAAGCTTGTGATAAACCCCCTCACTCTAAAACCAATGTATACTCTGTTGCTGCTTCTGAATCCTATAACCCCAAAGGGCCTAGCAAGGCCAACATCTCTGCCATTGGCTCCTCAAAACTCTGTCTTCCTCTGCTTTTGAATGTTCCAGTTTGAGAGTAAAATTTAGGTTGAAGACATCTCCCCAACCTGTCTCCTGCTGGTGAGATATTCCTCTACAGTTTAAAGCCCCCTCACGAATGCCCACTCATTTCATTTTATTTTTGTACTTAAATAAAATCAACTTTATATGTATTTTTTAAAATATTTTAATATTTTCAGCTTTATTAGGGTATAAGTGATAAATAGAAATTGTATATATTTAGGGTGTGCAACTTCCTATTTTGATTTATGTATACATTGTGAAATGCTCACCATAATCTAGCTAGTTAACATAGCCATCGCTTCACATAGTGACCTTTTTTTTGTATATGTGTGGTGAGAACACTCAAGATCTGTCCTTTTGGCAATTTCAAGTATTCAATACAATATTTTAAATTATGGTCTCCATGCTGTACTCGCCTACTCATTTTAGGCATGGTCAGGTGATATATAAACTCAAACTATTTCTAAATGTGATCTATTTCCTTTTCTACCATCTTATGGGTAACTATTTGTTGGAATATAATGCCTTCAAATTCCTTTAATATTCCATTTGCTTTCACGTTCTCAGGTGGTTTTTTTTAAATACTTTCTTTAAATATGTTTATGGAGTTCTCCACAGTGAGAGATAGGAAGTTGATAAATTCTAGTTCTAATAAAAGAGGCTTTATTCAAACATATTTTGTCCAACTTTTCCCCACTGTGGGTAATGCCACTTAGGAATTATTCTATCAGAACAGCATCTGACCTAAACCTTGACCTCATATATTACTCCTGCCCCTTGCTAGCCTTAGTAGATCTCATTTTCATTGTTTCTTTTCTATGAGAGCTGACTCTTCAAATATCTTGATTATGTTTCTCTCTCACACTGGAAATACCTGCATCTTTACCTACAACATATATGTGAATCTGAAAATCACGTAATACTATTTCGGCTAATTTTCCTGGTTTTCTCTTCTCAAATATGTGCCCACTTTATATAACTAGTTCCTGGGGAGGGGTCTCTTCTGTTAGTTTTCTGTTATTTGTTTACTTTTTTGGATGTTAGTAGTCACCCTTTCCAATCTAGAAACAAAAACCTCTCTTTTTCAGTTTCTTCTTTCTGAGTAATTAGATGCAGATTCCTTTGATGTGTGCCTAGCCCGGCCTCCAGATTCTCATTTTTCCTGACATTGCTCTCTAGTAAATTCCTCAACCTTTCTCCTAAGAAAGTCTTTCTTCCACAACAGTAACCAGGCCTTCTTGTTTTCCCTTTATTCTCCCATGACTTCCATTCTTATAGTTACATTGAAGAGTACCAAAAAACAAACTAAAATAAAGCAAAAACCGAAAACCCGCCTTTTTCTCCCAGAGACAGTATTCCGAGAATGAAACTTTTTATATTTCTGATTTCCTTTTGAGTTAGTGGTAATTTAATTGAGTTGTTTCAGCCCAAGAAAATAACATACATACTGTATTTAATAAAAAACCCAATTATTTTAAGTGGGTGAAGGTATAGATGAGTAATTTAGGAGTATTAATATAATCAGTAAATTGGAGAGACCATTTGGTGAGTGTGACTCACAGTGTGACAAGGCATATGAATGTAAGAAGTTTCCTTTCATCGAGTTTCCTTCGCCCTGGAAACTGATGCAGGTTAAGTCCTAACGATGCAGGGACTAATGATTTAGGGATTAAAATCTTATGCATTGATAGTCTGTAGCCTAGCATCTAGCTGCCATCCCCCTGTTTTTATTTTCTTAAACAAGCTTTATTTTTAGAACAATTTTAAATTTATAGAAAAATTGTGGAGCTAGCACATGGAGTTCCCATGTGTCTTGCACTCAGTTTCTCCTATCCTACAATACCATGGTATATTTGTTACAATTAATGAACCAATTGTCACATTATTATTAATTAAAGTTCATATCTTATTCAGGTTCCTTTAGTCGTGCCTCATGTATTTTTCTGTCCCAGGACCCCATCCTGGACGGGGATTTATTTATTTTATTTAGATGTTGGGTCTCCTTAGGTTCCTCTTGGCTGTGACAGTTTCTCAGACTTTCCTTGCTTTTGATGACCTTGATGATTTAAAGAATACTGGTCAGGTATTTTGCAGCATGTCTCTTTGTGAAGATGTGTCTGATAATTTTCTCTTGATTAGACTGGAGTTATGGGATTTTTGATTAGAAAGACCTCAGAGGCAAAGTTAATGTGCCATTTTCATCATGTCACATCAGGAGTATATACTATCAACATAACTTGTCCCTTTCTATGTTGTCCTTCGTCACCCAGAGGAGACAGTGTTTGAAAGTCTTTTTCATTGTAAAGTTATTCTTTCCCTCCCTCTTTCCAAGTGTAAGGAGTGGAGAGTTATGTTCCACTTCCTTGAGTATTCATACAAATTCTTTAGAACTATTCTGCATGAGAGGTTCATCTCTTGTCTCTCCCCACTCCCCCCACTTTTTAATGAGCCCTTCCTCACTTTCTGGTTCTACAAGGGATTTCAGGTTCATCTTGTATATTTCCTGCCCCAGTCGTAGAATCAGCCATTTCTCTAAGGAGTCCTAGTTTCTTTTTTCAGATAGTGGCATCAGAAACCAAGATCTGGGTATGCTCATTGCTCTTGTGTGTCTTTGCTTCTAGTCCCTTAGTAACCTGTGTTTATGTACTTATACAGAAATATTTCTTTATGTAGAAATAATTGGTGTTTATATATATCCATATTAAGCTAAACTTAAGTTCATACTGACATCTCCGACTCTGATCCATTAGTACATGGATCATTCCATCTCCCCCTTGCTTATCTGCAAACTCCTGCTCCAACAGTGAGAAACTGCCTGCCATGATCTGCCATCCATTTATTAATTGTTTAATTTTGGTATACATGTGTAAAAACATCAGAATCGTTAACCAATAACTTTATGAGAAACAACTTTATTAACTATACTGCAGTACTTATGTGTAGTTTCTTTGACCTTTAGTTTTACAGACTCCACTTATTTTCAAAGTTATGTAGGCCAGCACTTTTGTCCCTACCGTCTTCAGTGAGAGTTTTTTATACTAACTGTGATACAATTAAGTTATATGGCCATTTTCACGATATTGATTCTTCCTACCCATGAGCATGGAATGTTCTTCCATTTGTTTCTATCTTCTTTTATTTCATTGAGCAGTGGTTTGTAGTTCTCTTTGAAGAGGTCCTTCACGTCCCTTGTAAGGTGGATTCCAAGGTATTTTATTCTCTTTGAAGCAATTGTGAATGGGAGTTCACTCATGATTTGGCTCTCTGTTTGTCTGTTATTGGTGTATAAGAATGCTTGTGATTTTTGTACATGGAACAAACTACTTTAAAGTTCATATGGAACCAAAAAAGAGCCCACATCACCAAGTCAATCCTAAGCCAAAAGAACAAAGTTGGAGGCATCACACTACCTGACTTCAAACTATACTACAAGGCTACAGTAACCAAAACAGCATGGTACTGGTACCAAAACAGAGCTATAGATCAATGGTACAGAACAGAGCCCTCAAAAATAATGCCACATATCTACAACTATCTGATCTTTGACAAACCTGAGAAAAACAAGCAATGGGAAAGGATTCCCTATTTAATAAATGGTGCTGGGAAAACTGGCTAGTCATATGTAGAAAGCTGAAACTGGATCCCTTCCTTACACCTTATACAAAAATCAATTCAAGATGGATTAAAGACTTAAACGTTAGACCTAAAACCATAAAAACCCTAGAAGAAAACCTAGGCATTACCATTCAGGACATAGGCATGGGCAAGGACTTCATGTCTAAAACACCAAAAGCAATGGCAACAAAAGACAAAATTGACAAATGGGATCTCATTAAACTCAAGAGCTTCTGCACAGCAAAAGAAACTACCATCAGCATGAACAGGCAACCCACAAAATGGGAGAAAATTTTCGCAACCTACTCATCTGACAAAGGGCTAATATCAAGAATCTACAATGAACTCAAACAAATTTACAAGAAAAAAACAAACAACCCCATCAAAAAGTGGGCGAAGGACATGAACAGACACTTCTCAAAAGAAGACATTTATGCAGCCAAAAACACATGAAAAAATGCTCACCATCACTGGCCATCAGAGAAATGCAAATCAAAACCACAGTGAGATATCATCTCACACCAGTTAGAATGGCAATCATTAAAAAGTCAGGAAACAACAGGTGCTGGAGAGGATGTGGAGAAATAGGAACACTTTTACACTGTTGGTGGGACTGTAAACTAGTTCAACCATTGTGGAAGTCAGTGTGGCGATTCCTCAGGGATCTAGAACTAGAAATACCATTTGACCCAGCCATCCCATTACTGGGTATATACCCAAAGGAATATAAATCATGCTGCTATAAAGACACATGCACACGTATGTTTACTGTGGCACTATTCACAATAGCGAAGACTTGGAACCAATCCAAATGTCCAACAATGATAGACTAGATTAAGAAAATGTGGCACATATACACGATGGAATACTATGTGGCCATAAAAAATGATGAGTTCATGTCCTTTGTTGGGACATGGATGAAATTGGAAATCATCATTCTCAGTAAACTATTGCAAGAACAAAAAACCAAACACCGCATATTCTCACTCATAGGTGGGAACTGAACAATGAGAACACATGGACACAGGAAGGGGAACATCACACTCTGGGGACTGTTGTGGGGTGGGGGGAGGGGGGAGGGATAGCATCGGGAGATATACCTAATGCTAGATGACAAGTTAGTGGGTGCAGCGCACCAGCATGTCGCATGTATACATATGTAACTAACCTGAACATTGTGCACATGTACCCTAAAACTTAAAGTATAATAATAAAAAATTTAAAAGGTAAAATAAAATAAAAATAAAAATAAAAATAAATAAATAATAAAGAAATTATATTGTCACATTTTGCATTTCATCCTGACATTCTCCCAAACTCTTAAATGATTTTTAAAATTTATATGGATTTTCACTCTTTGAACTGCAAAGTTCAATGCGTTTTGGCAAAGTGTCATTTGGCCACAATTACAATATTGTACAGGATATTTTCACCACCCTAAAAAATCCCTAGTGCTTCACCTATTCAACCCTCCTCTCTCCCTCCCTCCAGGAAACCACTAACCTTCTATTTTTAATCTTCTTTATAGAGTTTTGCAAACATTTTGCAAATATTTACAAGTTGATTATTAATTTATAAGGAGAACCAAAGACCTAGAATAGTCAATATAATACTGAGCAAGAATAAAAGTCGAAAGATTGGAATGACCAAAATCCAGAACACTGACAACACAAAACGCTGGTGAGGATGTGGAGCAACAAGAACTCTCCTTCATTGTTGGTGGAAATGCAACATGGTACAGCCACTTTGGAAGACAGTTTGGTGATTTTTTTATAAAACTAAACTTACTGTTACCATATGATCTAGCAATCATGGTGGAACATCATATAATTAGAATCATAGCATATGTACCCTTTCTATACTGGCTTCTTTTCACTTACAACATGCATTTAAGATTCATCCATGTTCCTTCATAGATCAATAGCTTCTTTCTTTTTCTCAGTGAATAATATTCTACTGTATGTGTACACAACAGTTTTTTAAAATTCATTTGCCTGTTGAAGGACATCTTGATTGCTTCTGGTTTTCGATGATTATAAATAAAGCTGCTATAAACTTGTGCATGTAGGTTTTTGCAGAAACATAAGTTTTTAAATCACTTGAGTGGATAGCTAGGAGTGCACGTGATGAATTACATAGTAAAACTAGGTTAAGCTTTGTAAGAAACTACCAAACTGTCTTCCAAAGTGATCCTATCATTTTGCATTCCCACCAGCAATACATGACAGTTCCTGTTTATCTGCATCCTTGCCAGTAATTAGTATTGTCAGATTTTTTTTCATTTTAGTCATTCTAATAGGCATATAGTGATATCTTATTGTTGTTTTAATTTTCAGTCCGTAATAACATACAACGTGGAACACTTTTTCATGTTTATTTGCCATCTGTATATCTTCTCTGGTTGAGGTGTCTCCTTAGATCTTTTTGCCTATTTAAAAATATTTTTGTAATAAAGACTTTATTTTTTAAAGCAGTTTTAGGTCCCTAGCAAAATTGAGATGAAAGTACAGAGATTTTCCATAGATTCCCTGTCTTCACACATGCATAGCCTCCTTCATTGTCCATATCTCCTAACAGAGTGGTATATTTGTTACATTTGATGAACCTACATTAAAACATCATTATCCCCCAGAATCCACAGTTTACATTAGGATATGCTCTTCATGTTGTACATTCTATGGATTTGAACAAACTTATAATGACATATAGCCACCATTATAGTATCGTGCAGAGTATTTTCATTGCCTTAAAAATCCTTTTGGCTTTAACTGTTCATTCTTCCTTTTCCCTAACCCCTGGCAACCACTGATCTTTTTATAGTCTTTATTGTTATAACCTTTCCAGAATGTCATAGAGTTGGAATCATACAGCCTTTTCAGATTGGCCTGTTTTACTTAGCAATAGGCATTTAGATTTACTCCATGTTTTTTCATGGCTTGATAGTGCATTTCTTCTTAGCACTGAATAGTATTCCATTGTATGAATGTACTGCAGTTTATTCATCCATTCACCTACTAAAGAACATCTTGGCTGCTTCCAAGTTTTGACAAGGATATATAAACAAACATTCATGTGCAGATTTTTGTGTGGGCATAAGTTTTTAATTCCTTTGCATAAATACCAAGGAGTGTGATTGCTAGATCATATGGTAACGGTACGTTTAGTTTTGTAAATGAAATCACCAAACTGTCTTCCAAAGTGGCTGTACCATTTTGCATTTCCACCAGCAATGAAGGAAAGTTCTTGTTGCTCCACATCCTCACCAGTGTTTGGTGTTGTCAGTGTTCTGGATTTTGATCATTCCAACCTTTCAACTTTTTTCTTCTTCAGTATTATGGTGGCTATTCTAGGTCTTTGCTTCTTCTTATAGTCTTGGCTTGTGGTCTTCCCTGAGAAATATTACAGGAGGTAAAAATCATTTCATCCATCTGAAATGGTACTCTTGTTGTGGGTTTTAATGGGACTGAAGTGCTAGTTCTCTAACATTATATACCTTTTCCAAGAGCTTTGAAATGCAAAGCTAAGTTTCAGTGAGTCAAGGTAATGCCAGCCACAGTGGTCTCACATCAGTAACAGAGGACCTCACACCAGGACCTTAGAAACCTTCCTTGTAAAGATCATAAAGTTCTCACACTAAAGCTTCAGTGGCCTTGTAGTAAGGCCATGAAGGTCTCTCACTAGAGCCACAGAGATTTCTTACCAAGTTCTAAATGTCCCCTTAGCTTTTTGGCTCATATGTGCTTCTTCACTTAGAAACCCAAGTTTTGCATTACTTCCAAGCAGGTTCTTCTAATTTCAACGAATGGAAACTGTAGAGTTTGCCTAAGAATTTGCTGTCATTTTAATAGAGTAAAAAAAAAACACAGGATTATTTCATGTTACTCTTTATGTTTTACTTATGAGCCCAAATAGTGATTAGCAGTCTGTCTGTACTAGTCTTCTGGCTTTTGATGATGGGAAAGTAAGGAGTCCAATAGGATGTTTTGTTTTATCTGATAGGTTCTTAATCTTTAAATGCAAGGTATCAATTTGTAACCACTTCTGCTCCAATGATCTCACAGAAGATAGAAATAATTATTACTTAATTCCTGGTCTTGGACCTGGGTGTTAATGACTGTTAATATAACTAATATTTGTACATAGTTTAAAAGTTTACAATCATTTTTACATAATCTATGTTTCTTAATATGTAATTTTGTGACCTAAGAATTTTATGCTCCATTTTAAGAAAACTGCCCATAAAAGCCACTAGTAAGCTGTTAAGTACTAAATGCATTTATTTATCGTAAGGGAAGAAGCTAAGGTTCAGAGAAATAGGTAGTAAAGAAGCTGTTCTCACTTCCAGGCACCACCCACTGCTTTCCATGGTATTCAACATCCTGCCCTACCCTTTTATTCTTTTCCCAAAGGAGTGAACAAAGCAAAGTGCCAGCAGACATCAAGATCTGGAGGCACAGAGTAGAAATCCAGTTCACTGACTCTGGCTTGCCTGATTGTGCAGGGATTGGTCTATTAGATCTGACACAAAGCACAATGGGAATGTGGCATTTAGGACACAGAGGGCGCCTGTTCCCCAGGTAGGAGGAAAGAATTCAATATACTCAGCTGCAAATATCAGCCTCTTAGTCAAGCATTGGGGTTTCTGTGGAAGATAAAAAAGAAAGTAATATGCAAAAGGTCTTGCTGATGCCTGAAATGTGGCATTTTACAAGTATTAGGAACCCAGATTCTGGAGCGAGAGGGTCTGTGTTTGAATCCCAGACCCAACCTTACTAGCTTTGTGACCTTGGGCAGCTTACCTAACCATTTGTGTGCTTTGGTTTTTCTTTTCTATAAAATAAGGAGTGTTATAATACTTTTTTTTTTTTTTGAGATGGAGTTCCGCTCTTGTTGCCCAGGCTGGAGTGCAATGGCACTCTCTTTGCTCACTGCAACCTCCACCTCCCAGGTTCAAGCAATTCTCCTGCCTCAGCCTCCCAAGTAGCTGGGATTACAGGTTCCTACGACCACATCTGGCTAATTTTTTTTGTATTTTTAGTAGAGATGGGGTTTCACTATGTTGGTCAGGCTGGTCTCGAATTCCTGATCTCAGGTGATCCACGCACCTGGGCCTCCCAAAGTCCTGGGATTAAAGGCGTGAACCACCCCGTGCCCGGCCTGATTGTTAGAACACATTAATTACATTACCCATAAAATAATTTAATGACTTAAATTAATCAGTATTGTAAATCACTTAGAACAGTGCCTGGCAATGCTATTTATTATTATTGTTGTTGTTATTATTCTACCATGAGAGTTGAGGATGAAGATTACTGTGCTAAGTGGAAACATTTGACTAGAAATTAAAAAAAATCAAACAATACTCTTACCCTGGGCCATGAGAGTCTTCTCTGGGTCAATTTATATAAATTAAAACATTAGTTATTCCAATAAAAAATTTCTAGTTCATTTCTACATGTACATTTTATATTTCATTGGTATTAAACTATTTGGTCTATAGGGTCAGGATGATGGAGGAAATTCAGAGATATTTTGTCTAATACCAAACCTGGAATTTTCAGTGCACGGGAGAGTTAAATAAACACATAAAGGCTTAAAAATTACGGTTGTTGAAACTGAAGCCAGTTTTTCAAACTATGGTTCTTAGTGCCAGCAGTTTCTCTTAGTTTCTCTTCTATAGCTGATTATACCAGAGGCAGGAGCTATGTTGTGACATTGTACCTCCACTGTTATTTAGGATTATATAGTGAGAAAACTGAAGCCTGCAATCACAAAATCTGTAGCGCATTGAATTCAAAAAATAGAAAATAGGAATAGAGAGACTTCTGTTGTCTTCGGAGTATATTTTGTCAGTTATACTCGCACTGTCTGGTTATACTTGCATTGACTCCTTTTAGGAAAAGGAGGTGAAAATCAGAATCCTAGCCATATGGATTTTAGACTGAGGAAGTATTATAGCAAACATTTAGTTCAGTCATGTTTAAACAACTTTTTGGTAATTTTTTAGTCCCGATATAATTTCAGAAGTACAGAAAAGTTACAACAATAGTAAGAATAACTACTCTTAGCCTGTACCCAGGTTCACTAATTGTTAAGTTTGCCCCATTTGCCATCTCATTTGTGTTCTCTCTCCCGCTCACACACACACACACACACATATACACATATATATTTTTCAAAGCATTTGGGAGTAAGTTGCAACACGATGCTCCTTTACTCCTAAATACTTGGATGTGTATATTTTGGAACAAAGACATTCTCTTATATCGTCACATGCCATGATCAAAAGCAATAGGTTTAGGTTTAACACAGGACCCACTCATTATCTAATCCACAGTCAAATGTAAATTTAGTTAATTGTCCTGATAATGCCCTTTATAGACAAATTATTTTTCCTGGTCCAGGATCCAATCTGGAGTCATGCCATGCATTTATTTGTCATGCTTCTGTGGTTTTCTTTAATCTGGATCAGTTTCTCAGCCGTCCTGTCTCTTTCATAACCTTGACATTTTTGAAGGATATGCCAGTTGTTATTTAGAGCATCTCCTGATTTTGTGTATCCCTGAGATTTCCACATGATTAGATTTAGGTTTTTCTTTTCTTTTCTTTTCTTTTTTTTGAAAAACACCACAAGAGTGATACTGTTTCTTTTTCAGTGAATCAGTATCAGAAGGTAGATGATACTGGTTTGTCTCAATATTGGTGATGTTAGCTTTGATCTCTTGGTTAATGTGGAGTTTGTCAGGTTTCTCTGCTTTAAAATTACTATTTCCGTGTTTATAATTAAAAGTAATTTGTAGGGAAAAACTTTGAGACTATGCAAATACTCTGCTTAGCATTAAAATTTCACCTATTAATTTTAGCATCCATTGATGATTCTTGTTTAAGCAAATTATTAATTACTATGATAGTTGTAAGAAACAGTTATTTTTTAACTGTATCATTTCTTCAACATTCAATAATTGGCTTTATAAAGTAGATTTCCTTTAATCATTTATTCCAGTTTGCATTTTTAGCTTCATATTTTATTTGGAGAAAATTAATTCTATAATTATTAGAATTCTATGTAATTATGGAATTCTATAGTTCATTGGTATTATGACATATTCATACTATTAATGTTCAAATTATCCTGCATTTGGCCAATGGGAGAGCTTCAAGCTGGCTCCTGAGTCTTTTTTTTTTTTTTTTTATAGTATATCCTTATTTTGCATCCCAAAAAAGAATCAAGAATTAGCTTGTGCTTTTACTGCCATAGGCCTGAAATCAGCTATTTTTCCAGGGATCCCTAGATCCTTTGGGATCTATTTAGAGTGCAGAATGCTATTTCGAAAACAGTATCTGGGAGGTAAAGGTGCTCATTATTAACTGTGATATTCTTTCTTTTAGGCAGACAGAGCTAGGAAACACATAAAATATATATATATATATATATATTTTTTTTTTTTCCTTCTCTATTAAAAACTGAATTCATACTGATAACTTCATGATATGGTCTGGCTCATCTTGAGCCAAACCCACCCAAATCTCATCTTGAATTTTAGTTCCCATAATCCTCATAAGTCTTGGGAGGGAACTGATGGGAAGTAATTGACTCATGGGGGCAGTTCCCCCCATGCAAATCTTGTGATAGTGAGTAAGTTCTCATGAGATCTGAAGTTCTCATGAGATCCATGTGAAGAAGGAAGTGTTTGCTTCCCCTCCCACCACGATTGTAAGTTTTCTGAGGTCTCCCAGTCCTGCAGAACTGTGCGTCAATTAAACCTCTCTCCTTTATAGTTTACCCAGTCTTGGGCAGTTCTTTATAGCAGTGTGAGAACAGACTAATATTCTTCAATTCCAATTCAAGACCACATGCTACTCTTGCCCTTTCTACATTTACAGTTCCCTTCAAGAAACTTGGCTTCCATTATGCTTAATATATTTACAGTCATCCCTCAGTGTCCACAGTGGATTGGTTCCATGACCCCTGTGGATACCAAAATCCTCAGATGTTCAATTAGGTTTGGCAGATGTGAGGATGTGATACTGTGAAATATGCATTTGGTCTTCCTCCCCAGTTTCCTAACATACAACTCCTAAAATCCTTGTACTCTCCAAAGTGCTTGCTTTTTTTTATACTTATATTGACTGATAACTTCAGAGTGAGGCTGGTCACCAGAATGACCAAAGACAATATTAGAGGGTTGAGACCTTCAGCCCCATCCCCCAACCTCCAGGGAGGGGAGAAGGGCTGAAGGTCAAGTTGATCACCAATGGCCAATGGTTTAATCAATCATGCCTATGTAACCTCCACAAAAACACAAGAAGACAGGCTTGGAGAGCTGCCAGGAGGGCAGTATGCACAGGGAGGGCGTGGAAGCTTCAGGCTCCTTCCCCCATTAATGCATCTCTTCAACTGTATCCTTAGTAATATCCTTTATAATAAACTGGTGAAGGTTAAAAAAGAAAAACAAACCCACAGAAATGCATGGCTGACTGTATACATTTGTCCCACCTTAGAATATCAAAAAGTAGTTTTAGAATTGCTAATCCATATCACTGGAGGGTAGGGGATAACATTAACTAGAGCTTAATATTTATTTAGTATTTTTTTTTTGTCTTTAGACTTGGGGAGTATAGTCCAAGTACTATGTTGCAAGATAAGTCAGTTACTTTTTTCTTTCAGTTTGGTTATGCTATTCATTTGCAATATTTAAGTTTATTTGTTTTTTTTTTGTTTTAAAATTCTACTTTATTTCATGTTACCATCCTTGTTGATTTTAGGCACTTTTGAGTACATGAAACATTAACATGGTACCCCCAAATCAAAACTATGTAAAATCGTGTACTCTCCCAATCCTCAATCCCTTAAATTCCATTCCCACCCACTTCCTGTAGGTAACCAATCTTATTAATATCTATTTTAGCTCTCCTGTATTTCTTTTTCCTTTCTTTTCCTTTTTTCTTTTTTTGACAGAATCTTACTCTGTTGCCCAGGCTGGAATGTGGTGGTATACTCTTGGCTCACTGCAACCTCTGCTTCCTGGGTTGAAGTGATTCTTCTGCCTCAGACTCCTGAGTAGCTGGGACTACAGGCACACAGCATCACACCTGGCTAATTTTTGTATTTTTAGTAGAGATGGGGTTTTACCATATTGGCCAGGCTGATCTAGATCTCCTGACCTTGTGATCTGCCAGCCTTGGCCTCCCAAAGTGCTGGAATTACAGGAGTGAGCTACCATGCCTGACCAGCTCTCATGTATTTCTTTATGCAAAAATAAGCATATTTATGGATATATTCTTATGTCCCTTCTTTTTTTTTTTTTTTACAAAAATGGTGGCGTATATGCATTTCCCCTTTGCTTTTTCTACTTTACAATGTACCCTAGAGAACGTTCCACATCAGTTCATAGAGATCATCCTCATTCTTTTTTATAGCTGCTTAGTACTTCCTTACGTAGACATACCATAGTTAATTTAACCACTCTCCTATGTATGGGCAATTAGGTTGTTTCCAATATTTTGTGAGTACAAACAATGCTGTAATGAGTAAGTTTGTCCATGCTTATTTCTTTGTTAGTGGTACATGTTTAGAATAAATTCCTAGATGAAGAAATGCTGGATCAAAAATAAACACACATGCAGTTTTGTTAAATATTACTCATTTTCCTTCTGTTAAATAAAATGTATGGTAGGTCATTGTTTTGGGTTGAATTCCTGCACTAGCCCCCAACAGGACAAACCAAAATGGAGTCACTCTTGACAAGAGCCATGTAGTCAAACTGAAACTTTAAAAAACAGGAAAATCTCCCATCAGGCCAAATTTTCCAAAAAAAAAAAATCCCCAAAAAAACAAAAAACAGGAGATTCACAGTAACCAGTTAAAAAGGTCCCAGTAAACCTAGGCTGGCATGATATGAAAGTACCCCTTGTTTTAACCCTTTCAAGGAAAGTAACCCTAAGTTAACCAATCCACTTTGTTGTATTATGCTATTTCCTTGTTTCTGCTCAAACTCCCTTACACATATTAATCGTTCTGCTATGCCCATGGAGCATTTTTCTGTTTTATAGATGGAATGCAGCCCAATTCATAATTGATAATAAAAGCCAATTAAATCTTTGAAATCAGTTTGTTGAAATTTTGTTTTTTAACATCTCTAAAAGCATTATACTGATTTGCAAACACCAGCAATGAATGTTTTTATTTCTTATTTCACTAACAAAATAGGTTGACAAGCTTTTAGAACTTTTTGCCAACGTGACAAATGAGGCACAGTTTTAATTTGCTTTTCTCTTATAAGTGAATTCAAATGTCTTTTTATATGGTTAAGGGCCATCTAGCCTGTTTATAATGACCTAGAAGAATAATATCTTCTTTGTCCTCCACAGAGGAAGATTCTCAGTGCCTATCCATAAAGTTTTGGTTTTTCACATGCCACTTTCATCTCTATTTATTAATTGGCACTTAGCCTACTTAATGGGTTGAGGTAAACATTTGCTGGGGCTTTTTGGAAACAGAAGCATGAGACTTTGGCAAAGATCCTGAAATCATTCATTCTGAAAAACCATCATATTAAAATGAAAATTTTGTCATGGTTTCCAACTTAATGCACAAAGTTATTGTTGTATTTTGTTACTGGGATGCCTAATGTGTTGATTAAGAAATGTCAATCTTACTGGACCAGCTACATCAGAATAAAGATTGGGGGTATCTTAAACAAAATAAAATTCTTAAGCCCTAACTGTAGAGATTCTGATTTATGAGATCATAGTTTAGACCCTATAATCTGTATTTTTAGCAAGTTCCTCAGTGATTCAACCAGTAGCAATGTTTGGATGTTTGGAAATCATTGCAACACTTGGAGGTAAACTACTTAGCAATTAGCAAATGGAATCAGTGATTCTGCCTAGTTATATCCCAAAGAGATGAACTTATGTAATCCAGAATTCTATATGATATTATGATATGATATTTCCTCCTTTTATATCCCCTGGCAACCACCATTCTACTTTCTGTCTCTACAAATTTGACTATTGTAAGTGCCTCATATAAGTGGCATCATATTTGTGCCTGGCTTATTTCTCTTAGTGTAATGTCCTCAAGGTCCATCTGTGTTGTAGCATGTGTCAGAATGTTCTTCCTTTTTAAGACTGGGTATATTCCATTCCATGTTTATACCACATTTTGTGTATATATTCATTTGTCAATGGACACTTGGGTTGTTTCTGCCTTTTGGTATTGTGAATAATGCTGCTATGAACATGGGTGTGCAAATATCTAAGTCCTTGTTTTCATTTCTTTTGAGTATATATCTAGAAGTAGAATTACTAGATTGTATGGGAATTCTGTGTTTCAGTTTTGGAGAACCCATCACACCATTTTCCACAACAGCTGCACCATTTGCTGTTTACATTCCCACAAACAATGTACAAAGGTTCCAATTTGTCTCCATGCTTGCCAATACTCCTTCCTTCCTTCTTTCCTTCCTTCCTTCCTTCCTTCCTTCCTTCCTTCCTTCCTTCCTTCCTTCCTTCCCTCTTTCCTTCTGTTGCAGTTTTTCTGCTCCTTAGCTTAGCTAGGTCCAAGTTCTTGTCTCACAACCAGGAAGTAGGCACACAGACACTGGAGAGTGAGTGAAGTAGAAATTATTAAGCAAAAGGAAAGCTCTCAGCAAAGAGGGGATGCTGGGGTGGGGGTTCCCCTACCCGATGGTGGGAAGTCCCCCACGTGGCTGGGTCCAGGGCTTTTTATGGATTCAGAATGGGGAGTGCACGCTGATTGGTTTGTGAGTATGCCAAAATGGTTAAAGCAAGGACACCACTCATAAGTGGGCACAACAGTGTAGAAAACCAATTAGGAAAGGGTAGGTGTATGTAAAACAGGTGAAAGGTGAGGATCAATCAGAGGAAAGTGAACCAAACAGGAAGACAAGTTATCAATCCCATCTGAAATTCAGCTTGTAGCTTGGCTTTCAGGCTTTAAACTGTCTTCTGCTTGGAGGTGGGGTTTCACTGGGTACCCACTCCTATCTGCCTAGGCATTTGGCTGCCTCCTGCCACTCTCACTTATTTCCCCTCTCTCCCTCCCTCCACCCTCCCTCCCTCCCTTCTTTCCTTCTTTCCTTCCTTCCTTCCTTCCTTTCCTTCCTTCTTTTCTCTCTTTTTTCTTTTCTTTTCTCTTCCCTTCTCTTCTTTTTCTTTTCTTTTTTTCTTTCTTTTGATAAAGCCATCCTAATGGGTATGAAGTGGTATCTTACCGTGGAGTTGCATTTCCTTAATGACTAGTGATGTTGAGCATCTTTTTATGTGTTTATTGGACATTTGTATATCTTCTTGGAGAGTGTCTTTGTTCTTTATGAAGATTATTTTGCCTACTTTGATTATTTTGTGTACCTTGAATGTCCATATAAATTTTAGTTGAGATTTTTCTATTTCTGCAAAAACGTTGTGGGATTTTGAATTTTTAGATTGCTTTAAGTAGTACTGACATTTTAACAATATTAAATCTTCCAGCCCATGAACACAGGACGTCTTTCCAGTAAATTTGTATTGTTTTAAGACAGTAAATATGTAGTAAGTTGTTTCAGCAGCAATAAAAAAACTAACACACTGATCAAATAAGTAAATCCATGTTCCATGTGTTCAGTAGTTTAACTGATTTTTTTAATCATGTAAAGATGAAAAGTGTAAATTATTCACCATTAATGTCTGTGACTTCCCACTCATCTCCCCTTACCATAAGCCCATCCTCCAGTCTTGCTGCTGGGAACTCTTCTGCTGTCATTTATGGAGAGAGCCCACGGATCTCCAGCTATCCTGGCTGGGCCTCAGAGCTGTGAGTGGGGCTACTCAAGGTCATACAGTCCCAACTGAGCCGGCCTAGAGGGGAAGGGCCCAGCCAGCCCACAGAATCAACTGTGAGAACGGTCATACATGCTTGTTGTTTTAAGCCACTGAGTTTTGATGTGGTTTGTTATGCTGTAACTGTTAATTGATACATTCTCTCTTCAAATAGGCTTTTTCCAACTGCCCTAAACAAAAAGTCCTCTGGCCTTTAGAATTAGTACGTCCAGGCATTCTGCTTTGTTTCCTTCAAAGCCCTTATACATATCTGAAAGTTTACTTTTACTTTATTTCTTTGGTTGTTTATTTTATGCATTCATCAAGGAGGATAGAAACTTCACCTTCACAGGGACCTGGTCTGACTTGTGTCTTGTGAGGCCACCAGCAACTGTAACAGATCCCAACACTTTGCTCAGTAAATATTTGTTTAAAAACAGCCTGAATTAATAATATGGCTCTGCCGCTTTTCAAATAGTGTTTATTTAATGAGATAAAACTAGGTTTATAATAAATTACATTTTAAAACCAATTTTCCTCATAATCAATGAAACTCACTCCTAGATCTTTTTTCAATATGTCCAAGCTATTGTTGATGTTCAAGATGCTTGTGATTTGTGCTTTTATTGTGGCTTTATAAATATATTTGCTGGAGTTTAAGAAAAACTGTATCAGAGGTTGCTTCTAAATTATAGGGTTTGTTGTTGTTGTTGTTGCTTTTTTTGTCTGTTTTGTTTTTGTTTTTCATTTTTTTGAGACAGAGTCTTGCTCTGTCACCCAGGCTGGAGCTCAGTGGTGCAACCTCAGCTCAATGCAACCTATGCCTCCTGGATTCAAGAGATTTTTGTGACTCAGCCTCCTGAGTAGCTGGGATTACAGGCATGTGTCAGCACACCCAGCTAATTTTTGTATTTTTTGTAGAGATGGGGTTTCTCCATGTTGGCCAGGCTGGTCTTGAACTCCTGGCCTCAAGTGCTCCTCCTGCTTCGGCCTCCCAAAGTGCTGGGATTACAGGCATGAGCCACCGTACCTGGCTCCAATTATAGTTTTAAACGAGAAATTGTCTTATGGCTTCTTAATACTTGAGGTAGTTTATCTTGTCACTTATTTAGCTTTATAGATTCATCCTTGGAAAGTTTAATTTTCCTAAAATCCTTTTCTGCAACTTAAAAATATTGTCAGTAGGTGGCACTCCTGACCCACAACTTGTTATTCTGAATTGCTACAAGAAGCGATTACCTATTGATTTTTGTTCTCTGCAGTCCTCACAGAGCTTCACACCAGCTGGTCTCTCTGCAGACTCAGCCAAAAACAATCTGCTATGACAGCCTTCTTAGTTTTGTATACTGCTATCTTGTTTCTGAATCCAGCTCTCCAGACCTTGGGTTTGGAGAGTCACTGAGATTGGGACTATATGGATTTCAGTCAGAGGGAAGATCCCTCCAAGGCCCTGAGGCTGGAGGGGCCCTGAATGCTTGGGAAACAGCATGGAGTGCAGTGGGGCAGGGGAGGGGTGGGTGAAGGGGAGAGTGCTTGGTGAGGAGGTCAGATGGGGGCTGAGGTAGAGGGTGGTGGACAGATCATGCTGGATCTTGCAAACAGCAATGAGAGCTTTGGATTTCACTCTGAGTGATACAAGGAACCACTTGGAGGGTTTTGGGCAGGGTGCTGACATGATATGACCTGCATATGAATGGGACCACTCTGTAGGGGCTAGCTCAGCAGCAGGAGGCCAGTAGGGAAGCTTCTACAATAATCTAGGTGAGACATGATGGTGGCTTGGGCCGCCACTATCCCAGCTGGTGATGGCAGTGATGATGGGGGCAGATTTCTCCTTTTGGTGCTGTTCTTGTGATAGAGTTCTCATGAGATCTGGTTGTTTAAAAGTGTGTGGCATCTTCCCCTTCTTTCTCTTCCTCCTGCTCTGGATATGTAAGATGTGCCTGCTGCCCCTTTGCCTTCTGCCATGACTGTAAGTTTCCTGAGGCCTCCCCAGCCATGCTTCCTGTACAGTCTGAGGAACCATAAGGCAATTTAACCTCTTTTCTTTATAAATTATTCAGTCTCAGGAATTTCTTTATAGCAGTGTGAGAGTGGATGAATACAGCATGCCACCATGTCTGGCTAATTTTTAAAATTTGTTATAGATGGGTTCTCACTGTGTTGGCCAGGCTGGTCTTGGACTCCTGGCTCCAAGCAGTCCTCCTGCCTTGGCCTCCCAAAGCACTGGGATCACAGGCATGAGCAACTGCACTTAGTAACACTAGTTTTCTTGATCTTGTTGGATTGGCTTGGTTGGCAAAAATTATTTCCTTTCCCATTATATGATTAACTGTTATGTTTAATTTCCAAAGTTAATATAGTATTACATATTTGTTTTATCATTATGGTAATTTTAAGAGATACCTTTAAAGATTTCCTGGAATTCCATGCATATATATCCATTTCCTGAAACTCTGTATCTCAGTTCCCTTATGTGTAAGATGGAGACAATGATGATACCTATTACTAGGACTATTGTGAGGATTAAATGAAATAAGACATGTAGAGTGATTGAACAGTGTTTTGCTCACAGAGTTCAATAAACGTCAACTCTTGTTTGTATTTTTATTACTGTGAGAGATGTAATGTATCTGAAATTAGCTTAGATCATGCAATTATCTTACAGCAACAATCCTAATGACTACTCTATATACTGCTGTGGCCTTAATGTAGAATGAAAGGTAGAAACAAAATTTTAATAATATGGCAGGTATAAGGTAAATGGGGCATCAGATATTAGGGTGAATAGAGATAAAAGCTGTTTGTCTCAAGCACAAATGATAAAGAAGCATATTGCTTATAAAGGACTTAAAACTGTAATGCAATCAATGAAAAGTTAGTCTACTTTTTATTATTATGACAGATTTGCAAGTCAGTGATAGAATACTTCTCTTATTGAGAGAAGACGGTTCCTATCTCCTTCTCTTTTGTTATGCAACATGTACAGGGCATAGAAGACATCTTTTGCCACCTAAGTTTGCCTACAGCTATTATCGGATATGATCCTCTTTATATGAGACTTTAAACTGTGCCTAATACAGCACATGGTATGGCAGGGGTTCAGTCTATATTTAAAAATTGATGTCTTTTTTCTTGAACCCAGGTAAACATTGAAAAATATTTATCTGCATAACTCACTACATAATAAATATTACACTGCTCCAATTCATAAATCATTTCCAAAGGACTCTTAGTCTGTTGCATATTCCTTACTGATGGTGATAAAAATTATTCAGTTTATTCATTTATATTTCTAACATTAGAAGTTCGATGCATAGTCTTTGTATTAGACTACTGCTAAAGACTCAGTAAATCATCTTGAGACATCTACATCATTTGGAGATGGGGCATGCAAAATTTAGAAAACTACTTGTCTTCAATTTGCATCTTTAGTAAAGAGAAACATATTTTAGTCACAATCTAATGTGGAAATCACAATCTAAGGGCATATTGGAAGATCATATGTAGAACTTGGGTTGAAAACTATGTCGAATTTTAGGGACAGGAGTACTTCCTGATTGAGGATTCAGAGATAAGAGTGATGGGTAGGAGACATTTATGAATACCAAATAACAGATGTATGTATTAACTACAATAAACGATTGGTGAATCGATGTTTGATTATTCAGAACTTACATTGCAAATTCAAGTGGGGCGTTCTTTCTGGAGCTATGACAAAGGCAGTGTAAAGTATCTCTACGACTGTAACCATGGTGGAATTCACAATAAGAATTTCAGGGACTGGCCGGGTGCAGTGGCTCATGCCTGTAATCCCAGCACTTTGGGAGGCTGAGGTGGGAGGAACACTTGAGGTCAGGAGTTTTCGCCAACATGGTGAAAACCCGTCTCTACTAAGAATACAAAAATTAGTGGGCATGGTGGCGCAGGCCTGTAATCCCTGCTATTTGGGACGCTGAGGCAGGAGAATCGTTTGAACCCAGGAGGCAGAGGTTGCTGTGAGCTGAGATTGTGCCACTGCACTCCAGACTAGGTGATAGAGTGAGACTCTGTCTCAAATAAAGAAAAAAAATATTCATGGACTGGATGGATTTAATTGGCAAACTTAATTGACTGGGCTGAGAACCAGATTTGTTTGATGGATTTCATCCTCTCAAGCTTGGCCATATGCAGAACACTTTTGCTCGGGTGTTGCTATTAGATGTACTTATAATGACTATCCAAATATAGATGCCGTTAATCATAACCTAATTAAAATTATAACAATATTTGACATTCTCAGATTAGTTTCAAAGCAGTTAGGTATCTGGTTAGCCTCATATCTCAGTATTTTTTATTTGCTTAAAGTAGCACTTTTCCACCATGCAATTTTCCTCTGGCTGAAGTGGAGGATTAGCAGGGCTGTTTTTACATTCTTAATGATCTTCTTGTTTTTCTACATATCCATCATTTCAATGATTAAGATCAAATTATTTCTGGATCAATGTTGATATAAAATATAACAGAAACTCCTATTGGAAGGTCGGTGTGAATGAAGCCCACCTTCCTGTTGACCAGATGCTCATTAACCTGGAGTTGTCTATTCACTTTACCATTTCTCCTATCTAATGTTCCTTGTTTGTTATCTCCCTAAGGGGAAACACTGTACAGCTGTAGTGATAGGCGACTGGCTCCAGAGACCCAGGACAGAGGCCTATGTGAGAGCCATGAACATTATGATTGCTTTCTTCTTCCACCTTCTCTACAGTTTGGGAACTTCCCTTTCATCCATCAGCTACTTTCTATGCAAGAGGAAAATAGTGGCACTAGGTGCCTACCTATCCATTAAGTCACTCATTTATCCTGATTATGGAAAACAACAAGGTTAGAAAAGCCCTTTAAAGATTGCCGTGTCAATTTAAAAATGCTTCAAAGTAGCAAAAAGAGGAAATCCTTAACTCCATATACAGACTTAAAAACTTTCACCTTATTTGTTTTTGTCTTTGAGCACCAGTGAATTTTCAAAGAATTGTCAGAACTGTATTTCAGATAACCATAGGCAGCTTTTAACCTATGGGCAACAAGCAGAAACAAAGGTTTCCTTTCTCCAGTTAGAAGGTAATAAAGTAGTATTCACAGATTTCTGAAGAGAAACAAGTGTAAATCTTATATGTTCAGCCATTTTATCATTGAAGTGTGAGGGTAAAATCAAGTCATTTATGGACAATGCCATGGCTCAGAAATACTGCGACACTTGCATCTTTCCTGAAAAAAATTGAGCCAAGTCAAGATAAAACAACCAATAAAAGGCACAGCATGGCAAATAAGCAGCAGTGGTGAGTGAGCACTCAAACCAGCAAAACTTTTACTTGTTTAAACAATTTTTGTTTATGTGGTTTTGAATTTTATTTAAAAATATAAGTAAATGAATTATATGACTAATAATGTAAAGAACCATCAGCAGTAGTTTGGAAGTAAATTCTAGATGTTTTCAACAAAATCTAAGAGCTAGGAAGAGCTCTGGGAGAAAATAATTTTATAATAAATGAGGTCCTCTTGGAGCAGGAGTATTATAATCAATCTTGTTAAATTTGCTATGTTTACTGAAAATTATGAATTTAATTCGCTTTATAAACACTTCAATGATAACTACTAGTAGATTAGAAATACGGGTAAGAACTTTTTTTTTTTTAACCACTGGAGTGACAAGAAAAGGCAGTATAAAGTCTTGGTCAGCTCAGCAAAGTCAGGAAAGAAAATAAATCGAAAGCAAAATAAACAAGAAAAGACAAAAATAAAATATCAATCATAAGATCAAATGTACTAATCAGTACTACAAATGGTTTAATTCCATTACATCTCTCCCATAAGTGGTCTGTAGCTGGATTTGTATGAAGAAGTCAAATCCAACGATAAACTATTTATAACAACAAAAAAAAGAGATAGGGATATAAGTATCACATACAAGCACACAAAAATAACAGAAGACTGAAAGTTTTAATATCAGACAAACTAATAAGTAAATGAACAACTGCCATGAACAGTTATATGGATATTTGCAAAATATGTGTCTATATATTAAGGCAAACCATACCAAATATACTCTCCAAATTTGATATAAAAATCCATCTAGTTAGCTGCACATAGTGGCTTATGCCTGTAATCCCAGCACTTTAGGAGGCTGAGGCGGGAGGATTGTTTGAGATCAGGACTTTCAGACCAGTCTAGGCAACATAGCAAGACTCTGTTTCTACAAAACATAGAAGAAAATAGCTGGGCATGGTGGTGCGTACCTAAAATCCTAGGTACTCAGGAGGAGGAGGATTGTTTGAGCCCAGGCAGCTGAGGCTGGACTGAGCCATGGTTGTGCCACTGCACTCCAGCCTTGGTGACAGGGCAAGACCCTATCTCAAAACATCTCACAGATGTTTGTACCCATCTGTGTATTTTAGCTTCTGAAAAATGATGATTCATTTTTAAATAGTTAAATAAAAATATATTTCTCAAAATATATAAAGAAAAGAAAAGGAAATTTAGATAAAAACAGAGAGCCATGGTTCTTTTCTGGGCCATATTACATTCATACACACAGCAAATAAATCACGGAAGAGTGGATATATATAAGAAAATTAGTGACAGTGTCCAGTTGCATTTCAGATGACAACAGCACACAATTATTAGCTTCATTCTTTCACATTGTAGCCATTACAAAACTGTTACGTTTAATTAAAGGACTGAAAACTTTTTAATCTTCTAAATGGCTGTAATGCCACCACTTTGAAGTTTTGTTGTGCTAGTTAAATGGCACAATGTATAAAAATGCCTGGCACTGTGCTTTGCACATGCTGAGTGCTCAATAACAGACGCCAATATTATTTTAAAGAGACCTTGCCCTATCTGAATTTTCCAAATAAGTGCTAATAAAGCTTTTGTTTATCACCTAGGCCCAGAGTAGAATTTTATACTCTTGATTCACAGTAAAACAGAATTTAAATTTCATTTATAATTATCAAAACTTGTTAGGATGAGAAAAAGTAAAGCAGATATTATCCTATATAACTGGAATTTTCTTCTACAGTACCTTGGTATTCATTGAAAATAGTTGGATTTCAATAACAGGTATGAGTTGCCTCAATTTTTAAAAATTAACTAAAATTAACTATATGCAAGTTGTATGACTCACTTAGAAAACCAATGTTTGCTTTCTTAAATATGGCTCCTTGAGCCAATAGTAATTAGATCCCCCTTCCTTATGCCTATGAAATAACAAGAAATAAATCAATGGAGACAATCACTTGCCCTCACACCCTAACACATACCCTTAGAGAGAGACCAGAGAAAAGTTAGTTTGGTTCTCATGAACAGAAGCAGATGGAGGTGGAAGGAGCCATGTTCACTAGATATAACATGATTGATGTTAAAAAAAAAATCAGTAGAATGGAACTCTGATATCTAGCTCTACTATGCTCCCCCAAGAGATGATGAAGATCTGAGTCCAAAGCACCCAAGACCTGGTTCTCATGCAACCATTTAACACTGTGTCAGCTTTAAATTACATCTGTCCCAAGAATGGTCCTCAGACCCAGCAGTAGGGCCAGAGATGAATGGAAACCCACCTACATTGTTGAGGATGATCTTCTTTTCTCAGTCAACCAATTTAAATGCTAATCTCTTTCAGACAGCATCACAGACACACCCAGAAATCACGTTTTAAGTTCAGGGGTACAAACACAGATTTGTTTCATAAGTAAGCTTGTGTTGTGGGGGTTTGTTGTACAGATTATTTTATCACCCAGGAATTAAGCCTAGTACCTAATAGTTATTTTTCTGATCCTCTTCATCCTCCCACCCTCCACCCTCCAAGAGGCTTCAGTGTGTGGTGTTCCCCTCTATGAGTCCACGTGTTCTCATAATTTAGCTCCCACTTATAAGTGAGAACAGGCAGTATTTGGTTTTCAGTTTCTGTATTAGTTTGCTAAAGATAATGGCCTCCAGCTCCATCCGTATCCCTGAAAAGGACATGATCTTATTCTTTTTTATGGCTGCATAGTATTTCATGGTGTATATGTACCACATTTTCCTTACCAGTCTATCATTGATGGGCATTTGGGTTGATTCCATGTCTTTGCTATTATGAACAGTACTGCAATGAACATTTGCATGTATGTGTCTTTATAACAGAATGATTTATATTCCTCTGGGTATATACCCAGTAATGGGATTGCTGGGTCGAATGGTAGTTCTGGCTTTAGATCTTTGAGGAACTGCCACATTTTCTTCCACAATGGCTGAACTACTTTACATTCCCACCAATAGGGTATAAGCACTTCTTTTTCTCCACAACCTCACTGGCATTTGTTATTTTTCGACTTTTTAATAATAGTCATTCTGACTGGTGTGCAATGATATCTCATTGTGGTTTTGATTAATTTTTCTTGAATGATCAGGGATATTGAGCTTCTTTTCATATGCTCATTGGTTGTCATGCATTTTCTTAAGTTAATATATGCACAAATGCAAGTCAATCATTTTATCCAGAGCCAGGCATATAGTAAGAGTTCTAGAAATGATACCTTTTATTATTGTTGTTGTTACTATTGTTTTTTATAATTAGTAAAATACATGGCTGCTATGGTTTGAATATGTCCCCCAAAGTTCATGTGTTAGAAGCTTGATCCCCAGTGTGGAGGTTTTTGGAGGTGGAAACTTTAAGAAGTGTTTAGGTCATGAAGGCACAACCCTCATAAATGGCTTAACACAATTATTGAGTAGTGGGTTTGTTATTACAGGAGCTGATTCCTTATACAAGGACAAGTTAAGCCCCATTCTCGTTCTCTCTCTCTCTTTTTGCCCTTCTCCCATAAGATGACACAGTAAGAAATCCCTTACCACATGCTGGCACCTTTATATTGGACTTCCCAGACTCCAGAATTGAGGAATAAATTTCTTTCTTTATAATTTTCCCAGTTTGTGGTATTTTGTTAGAGCAGCACAAAGCAGGCTAAGACAGGAAATTGGTATGGGAGGAGCAGGCTAGAAAAAGCCTAGATTGCCACAAATTTTGTATTAAGAGTGATTCCACTGAGGTCTCAGGCGAGGATAACTGTAGGGAAAGTCTGCAACTTCTTAGAGATTACTTTTATGGTCCTGATGAGAATGTTGGTAGACATATAGAGAGTAAACGCCATTCTGATGAGGTCTCAGGTGGAAAAGAGAAATGTCTTATTGGAAACTGGAGTAAGGATCATCCTTGTTATGAAGTGGCAAAAAAACTTGGCAGAATTCTGTTCATGCCCTTTGGCTTTATGGAAGGCAGAATTTAAGAGAGGTGAACTACGATATCTGATGGAAGAGACATCTCAGCAGCAAAACATTCAGTGGGCTCCATGGCTTCTTTCAAGCACATATAGTAAAATGTTGAGGAGAGAGAAATGATTTAAAGATGGAATTTATAATGAAAAGTGAAGACTAATAGAAAAATTTGGAGAACTCTCAGCCTGGCCATATAAAGAATAAAAAAGCATGTTCGAGAGAGAATAAGAAGGGTTTGGCCAAGTGGTCATTTGCTGAAAATATTAATCTGGCTAGAAGGAAGCCAAGTTCTATTCATAAGACAAAGGGAGAATGACCTGGAAGATATTTCCGAGATCATGGAGTTAGGACCAGAAGTTACGCAAGTTAGGACCTTAAGGTCAAAGCTTCCAGAGAGGTGCCTGAAAGACCTCAGCATTCACTGCCCTGTGCTGCCTCACAAAACCAGTCTGGGAGATCTATAGGCACAAAACTCCAACCTGTGAGAGCTGCTCAGGAGTGAACTGAGACAAGCAAAGCTGTGGAGGTGAGGCTGCCTGGGAAATTGGGGGCCCAATCCCTGACCCAGTGGGTCTAGAAGGTGGGACATGGAGTCAAAGATTATTCTCAACCCTTAGGATTTAATATGGTTTGCCCTGCTGGGTTTTGGACTTACTTAAGGCCAATTGCCCCTCTTTTCTTGCCTATTTTTCCCAGGAATGGAAATGTCTTTCATATGTCTGTCCCACCACTGAATTTCGGAAGTGGGTAACTTGTTTTGATTCCACAGGCTCATGGCTGGAGAATTTGCCTCAGGATGAATTGTGCCTTGAGTCTTATCCATATCTGACTTGGATGAGACTCTGGAGTTTGGATTTTTAAGTTGGTGCTAGAATGAGTTACAATGTGGGGGCTACTGGAAGGGAGGAAATGAATTTTGCATGTGTGAAGGACATACCTTTGGGGGCCCAGGGGTGAAATGCTATGATTTGAATGTGTCCCACAAAGTTCACTTGTTGGAGACCTGGAGGTATTGGGAGGTGGGACCTTTAAAAGGTGTTAGGTCGTGAGGGCATTACCCTCATGGATGGATCCATGCTGTTATCACAGGAGTGGGTTTATCACATGAGTTGGTTTCTTTTAAAAGTGTGAGTTTACTCTGTCTCTGTCTCCCTCTCTTTGACGTTCTGCCATGGGATGATGCAGCAAGAAGGCCTCTGCCAGAGGCTAACACATTGATATTGAACTTCCCATCCTCTCAAACTGTGAGAAATCAGTTTCTTTTCTTATAAATTACCCAGTTTGTGATAGTCTGTTACAGCAGTACAAACAAACTAAGATAATCCCTGAAGTTGTATATGATTTCTCCCTTAGATATTATTTGGTTTCTTCTCAACTAATTTCTTGGTTCATTTCTAAAATTATTCAGGTATTTCAAAAGAGATATAGTTGAACAAGTGGACATAAATAGCATATCGGTTAGTACCCTCACATTGGCAAGAACCATTCTAATTAGTACCAACATCCTTTACATTAACATACGAAGGGCAAGTTCTGGCAAACTAAAATCCTTTGCAGTTCAGTTCTTAGACTTATTAGATAAGAGAACATAAATGTTTTATACCTTGACTCCAGTAATGCTTCAGGTATAGATTCCCCTGGTACCTGTGGACAAAACAGAGAATAAGGGCTACAGTATGGTACAATCCACATTTGTAAATTTGTAAGTGGTCAAACCACTACTCTGCCCATTGAAAGACTATAAGGCATGCCACACATCCTCTTCCTCCTATTCTGAACAAGATTCTGACCAAGATTTTTCTCACATGCTTGGATGAAGAGACTTTTAGATTGAATTTTAATATTTACGATCTGTAAATTCTTCCTCTAGATCTTCCATAGCTAAAGATACAAATGGAAATTCATTAGGCAAAGAAAATGCAAAAAGAGTAACAATATCGGTCTGTGTTTGCATAATAGTGAAGGAGAAACTCTCTTGTTACCCATCACCCCACATGGAAAAGTACAGCCCATAGGTTTTGAAAAAGAAAAAATACTGAGTGACTGGACTAGGTAAAAGGAGCAGGGCTGGTCTTTGTGGAGAGAGGGGATGGCTGATATGATATTAGAGGTAGTTGCTTTAGACTGGAAGACAGTCTATAATTAAGATACCAAGCAGGAAAACTGAATATATCCAATGACACAGTCAGAGAACTTAATGTTCTTGAATAATACGTAAAATGAGAAAAAGAGTGTGATAATGGTTTAAATTTTTTAAAACTCTGGAATGTTTGATTATATTCAATATGTATTAATTATAAGCTAATTATATGGGCATAAAAGCTAAGGTATTTTCAGACTTAAACTGTTGATGGTATGAAGAAATGCAAAAGATGTTTGCAGATTTTTGCAGATTAAAAATTAGCTCAGCTAATTTTGCTAAGAATATTTGTGAATAGATGCAGAATTGTATCAAATTTTTTTCTGAATGTTTCTCCTTTAATCTGTTAATGTACTGAATTACATTAATTGGTTTTCTAATGCTTCATTATTGGGGTCTCATTGACTCTTTAATCCATGGTAGTTTGCTTTGTCATCAGTTGAGCTGCTCTTGCTAAGTTAACTAAGTAGTTCCTTGGTCCTCAATCTAGTAAGTGACTTTTCATTAATATCATGAAGTACTGATTACCCTCCTTGTAACACTCCTTGCTCTTAGTAGCTTTGAAATCCTAGTCTCTCGGTTTTCCTCTTCCTTCTGATGGCTTCTTAATTTTTCCTTTGGTTTCTTTATTGTCTAGTGTTCCTCAGGGCCCTTGGAGCGCCTCACCTCTAATAAAATCAAATATGTGTTGATGTTCTCCAAACCTCCCCATGTGGTCCAAATTTCTTTTCTGAGCTGCAGTCACAAATATCAAAGTGCCTACTCCAACCTTCCACTTCGATGACTTTACAGATACTCCAAAACGTTCAAAACAGAACTCATCTTCAAACTTTTCTTCTTTCTCCTACTTTTTGGCTTCTAAGCCTATTCTTCCTCCAGTGATTCCCTCAGATCACAGTACCACATGCATCCAGCAGTGAAAGGAGAGCCTAAATGCATTTCATTGCAGACTCCTCCTCCTTTTTCTAGCCTCCAAATCCATCACACAGACTATTGATTCTTTCCCTTAATTGTTTCTCATAGCCATATATTTCTTTCCATCTCTAGACACTAATTTGGCCGAAGCCATCATTCTCCTTCCTATGATATTGCTACATTTCTTCATTTTCATTCAGCCTTTGTCTCAGAAGCTCCCTCCTTTTTCTTTCTTTGTCTCTCTCTTCCTTTCCTCTTTCTCATTCTCTTCCTTCCCTCCCTCTTTTCTTTCTTTCCTTCCTTTCTTGCTTACTCTTTTTCTCCTCCTGTCTTACTATAATTTTAAATATCTGTCCTAAATGAAAATATTTTTGTTCATAGGAAATAACTTACCAGTAGTTCTTTATACAACATCATTCTTAAAATATACACTTTTAAATGTTAATTAATAGAATTTAATTGAGGAGTATGACAGCAACATTAAAAAGGTCCAAGTTTTAAAAATGATTTCATTCATTTTTTGGGTTAATTTTTGTCTGGCAACACTTGAACACTAATTTCTAGTAATAGAATATCTGTTTGCTGACCATAAACCAAGACACATAATCTGTAACTCTGAGTTCAATTATGGTGCATTGGGGGTTTTTGTCAAAATAATTGTTCCTAGAATGTAGAACAAATACTTTTGTTTCCTCTTTCCTTATTTCATCTAAAACAATTTTCTACCTGTCTATTAAGGCTAAATTGGTAGCAATATATCTCTTGCCAAAAAAAAAATAGAACATATATAAAACCAAGGTAAAGAGCAAAACCATGTTTAATTTTGAACAAGTTACTATAAGATACCTGAGGAACATTTAGACTGAAATATCAGTAGGACTTTAATTTCAAAAAAGTAGTTTGGGTTTCGGTATCTTTCGGATATTATTCAATGAGTTCAAAATATGACTTGAGTTTCCTCATGAAATTCTAAGTATTTTCCAGATCCAAAGCAAATGTCACCCCCCTTTTCTCCCCAACAGTAGTGTTTGTAGTTCCCTTTTCTGCTTTAATAGCACATTTTATTCTTGATTCTGTCTCATTGTTTTTTTCCTGTTTTCACTATTTTATAGACTTCTTAATGCTTTTTTTTGTGGTAAATATATTGCATTTGCATAAGATCAGAAACACAGCAGGCACTTATAAAATATATTCGTTGAATAATAACAAAATTATTAGATTATATCTGCAGCTTCCTCTGAAAAACAATAAAGATATTTGGATCCAAGTGGTGTAGTTTTTCAGGTGAGCAGAAATGTACAAATCAGAGAAAGGGGGGGAATCCAGTCTATATTTGCATATTAATATACTTGACTTTATCCTTTTAATCATTACCACAAGTGGAAAGTTTCAGCCCATGACAATGATAAATGGACACAGAAACTGTTTGGTTTAGAATTCAGCAGCTCTTTCAAAGAAATGAAAACACTCCCGTGAAGGTATGTGAGACTGCATCCCTTAGTAGATCTTTTGGGATTAAGATCAGAATTATAGTAAAAATAGGCAAAGACTTCCTTAAGTATATGAGACTCTATCCAACAGCAGAAGGTTCTGATCAAGACTGGAAGTGCAATAAAAGCAATGAAGATAAGTATCAGATATGAATGCTCTTCTGCAATGGTTTGATTGTAAATTTATTAATGATACAAAGTATTAAAAACTTGGATTTTTTTGTCTCTGGAGATGGCCACCGAATTGGACAAAATCTTTCTGATTCTGGCAATAGCAGAATTCATCATCAGCATGCTGGGGAATGTGTTCATTGGACTGGTAAACTGCTCTGAAGGGATCAAGAACCAAAAGGTCTTCTCAGCTGACTTCATCCTCACCTGCTTGGCTATCTCCACAATTGGACAACTGTTGGTGATACTGTTTGATTCATTTCTAGTGGGACTTGCTTCACATTTATATACCACATATAGACTAGGAAAAACTGTTATTATGCTTTGGCACATGACTAATCACTTGACAACCTGGCTTGCCACCTGCCTAAGCATTTTCTATTTCTTTAAGATAGCCCACTTCCCCCACTCCCTTTTCCTCTGGCTGAGGTGGAGGATGAACGGAATGATTGTTATGCTTCTTATATTGTCTTTGTTCTTACTGATTTTTGACAGTTTAGTGCTAGAAATATTTATTGATATCTCACTCAATATAATAGATAAAAGTAATCTGACTTTATATTTAGATGAAAGTAAAACTCTCTATGATAAACTCTCTATTTTAAAAACTCTTCTCAGCTTGACCAGTTTTATCCCCTTTTCTCTGTTCCTGACCTCCTTGCTTTTTTTATTTCTGTCCTTGGTGAGACATACTAGAAATTTGAAGCTCAGTTCCTTGGGCTCTAGAGACTCCAGCACAGAGGCCCATAGGAGGGCCATGAAAATGGTGATGTCTTTCCTTTTCCTCTTCATAGTTCATTTTTTTTCCTTACAAGTGGCCAATTGGATATTTTTTATGTTGTGGAACAACAAGTGCATAAAGTTTGTCATGTTAGCCTTAAATGCCTTTCCCTCGTGCCACTCATTTATTCTCATTCTGGGAAACAGCAAGCTGCAACAGACAGCTGTGAGGCTACTGTGGCATCTTAGGAACTATACAAAAACACCAAACCCTTTACCTTTGTAGACAGACTTTACAGAAGCTTTTCTAAGAGAATAACTCAACAAGGAGCATTTGGGGATCACTTCCACTGTTTTTTTTTTTTTTTTCTACTGGGTTTCTCTAAGTATTTTGGAACATAAATGAAATCCTACCAGGTTGCTTTTGATGGTAATTCACACATTGCCGGTCGATACCATTTTAAAAGTAATCATTTTTGTTTGGAGCATTGGCAAGCAATATTTTAACCTCACATATTATTTCAAAAAATCTAAATTATTTAATTTTATATGCAAACGATAGGTAATTGCAACTTGTGGAGAAAAAGGTGTGTGTCTTTAAAAGCAAGATAGATTACAAACTTGAATGGGTAAAAGATATATACAATGTGGATAGAAAATCTAATTAAAAACTAAAGTCACAGCAGGAAAAATATAGCCTCATAGCTTCAAAGCTAAACTTTTTTTTTTTTTTTTTTTTTTTTAATGGCATCTCACTCTGTCGCCCAGGCTGGAGTGCAGTGGTGTGATCTTGGCTCACTGCCACCTCCACCTCCTGGGTTCAAACAACTCTCCTATCTCAGTCTCCCGAGTAGCTGGGACTACAGGCACACACCACCACACATGGCTAATTTTTGTATTTTTAATAGAGATGGGGTTTCACCATATTGGTCAGGCTGTTCTCGAACTCCTGACCTCAGGTGATCCACCCGCCTTGGCCTCCCAAAGTGCTGGGATTACAGGCATGAGACACTGTGCCCAGCCCCAAGCATTTTTTTTAAATGAAAAAAAGTGGTTTTTTTTTGTTATTAGAAGTCTTGTTGATAACAAGGAAATACGACGATTATGTGAGAAAAGGAGAAGATTTGTAGTGTGAAATAAAATAAATTATCTTTAAATGGAAACTGGAAACACATGATTTAATGCTGATGTCAATTTAAAACCCCAAATAATAAACATTTTGATGTTTCTAGGCACATGCTAATTTTGCTAAATTCTAGGACATGCAATATGCATTTTCAGAGAGGCAGAAACCAATGTTTCTACCATGTTATGTAATAGAACTAAAATTATAGAAGTTTATGTCTTAATTCACAATTATACTCATATTGCTACTACAAAAAGATCATAATTACATTCTGAGGATGTTTGTGTTTGTGTTTGTTTATGTGACATGCATTTTGTTGCAATCTGATCACTGTATTTCTTAGAGGAAAAAATAGAAACAATGTTAACCAGCAAGGCACAGAAAGCAAAGTGATGTTGTTTATAGAATGTTGCAGGCTTATTGTAAATTTTAGACAAGCATATGTATACATAGTGCTGCTTTGACTGTGATAATCTAAGATTAGATAAGGTAACAAACTACAGATTGTAAATAAGGCTAAGGGTGGGAAAATTTACTAAAAATTTTGAATATGATGGCATAGATTAAAACACTGTACAGAAGCTGTATAGTGAAACTTTTTAATAACAAAGAATTCCTTTTAGAATTTACTTTTGATATGTTCTTTATATTGTGCTAGATTACAGAAACAAAAATGTGCTATTAAATACTGATAAATACATGCTTGTAAATTAATCTTGATGAAGCTATAGTTGAGGGCATGACTCCACAGCTGTGCCCTGGAGCCGGAAATGATGTTAGAATTATTAGTACTTCCCCCTCCCCATATGCATAAAATGAAATTGTAAGTACATCTGGGCTATATGGTATCATGTATCAATAACAATGATGTTGATGATTGTTTTAATGATAATACAACATCTTTTTTTAGTAATTTGCATTTTACAAAATAAAATGTACATATATTATTTTGATCACTAATTTAGTATTTTGTCAAAGATTATAATTATAATTTTCTTGCCTTGATAAAAGGTAATGTGCAAATCAAGCTGAATATATTTTAGACTTAGATACTGAGTTTATTTTAAAGATATTCTTTTATATAAATGACTTAACCTTGTATTCTTTAAAACACAAAATACTATTTATATTTTTGTGTCAGTAAACTTTTCTTTGATAAGCAGTTGATCCAACTCATAAGCAACCTTAGTGGTAAATTAATACATGTCTAATTAAGAGTAATACATGTCTAACACTTAGTAGGCAGCAACCCCAGGGAGATGGGACTACAAGGAACAGGACCCCATTCTTCACAATAGAAGCAAAACAAAAAAGTAGTAAGAGCAGCCCGGGACATATTCTGGTTATTGCAATTGATGTATTGTAATCCGTTTTTGTTTTTTGTTTTTTTTTTTGACACAGAGTCTTGCTCTGTCGTCCAGGCTGGAGTACAGTGGGGCGATCTCGGCTCATGGCAACCTCCACCTCCCGGGTTCAAGTGCTTCTCCTGCTTCAGCTTCCTGAGTAGCTGGGATTACAGGTGGTGTATGCCACCACGCCTGGCTAATTTTTGTATTTTTAGTAGAGATGGGGTTTCACCATGTTAGCCAGGCTGGTCTCGAACTCCTGACCTCAGGTGATCCACCCACCTTGGCCTCCCAAAGTATTGGGATTACAGGCATGAGCCACCGTGCCTGGCCAGTAATCTGCATATTTGAATGGCAAATGAGAGCAAGCTCTGCACCTCCACTTTCTCCCAAACAAGGCCTTTGTGGGAATTTAGCAGCCACCAAGCCACAATCCAAGAGCCATGCCCAACACATGCACTGACACATGCAACATGCAACATCCCATCAACAAGACTGATGGGATTATGACCTACCCTGGGACCCAGCTGTTGGGGAAAGAGGGAAATTATCACTCATTTTTATAGACTCCCACTCATCTCACTTGTCAAATAAATGCTCATTTCAAGATACTGGGTGTAATCATTGTGGTTATTTCAATGCATACAGTCAGGTAATTTATAGGACAGGAACAAATAACCTGTTTCTACTGCTGAAATTGGCTTATCTCCAACCCATAGCTCTAGTTCTGAAGGCAAATAAGACACAAATCAAGTATATCAAGGCATGTTTTCTTAAACTGTACTGAATGTAACATCAGGTAGAAACCCATACCAATACTGATTTCCAAGAAAAAGGAGCACCAATTTCCTCACTGTCTTGGGTGGTTTATCTGCTATGTCTTAGTAGGTGGCTTTTTCTAGCAAAATCTTCATTAGACAGCATCTTCTCTGAGCCAGATCATGCTTTAAGGGGTGTTTTTTTTTTTTTACAAAAAAACTTTTAGTTTCAGGGGTAAATGTGCAGGTTTGTTACACAAGTAAACTCATGTCATGGGAGTTTGTTGTACAGATTATTTCATCACCCAGGTATTAAGCCTATTACCCAATAGTTATTTTAGGGGGTGTTTGTATATTTGCACAGTCATTTTGCTTTCATTCTAGACACTGGATGATATTTTGTCTAGAGTAGGACATAGATTAATTATGTAGATTTAAAAAATTGTGATTATTAACTTGGACTTTGAATACAACTCATAGTATATGGGACTTGTGGTTTTTATACTTGTTATTGCATCTTTTATTTTTAGTTTCTTCAGCGTAACTACAAACTTAGATGTTCTTTAATCACTATCTCCTGACTGACTTGTTTTCGGTGTTTTTCACAGCTAAACCATGCCTATCAATGGAATCTTCTTCTCAATTAGCCTTTACATGACTTGCAGAGCATTTCTGAAAACATTAGTGATCTCTAGGGCTATCTTGCTTCTTGGGTCATGAAATCTAGTTTTCTAGCCATCTTCAACAGAAGTAGTTCCTTTTCATGAAGAAAAGTACCAAGCCTCCCCCATCTTGGGTGGCAGACCATGTTCCTTTTGATTCTGTATGATTTCTTGATTGAACTAGAAAGATTACAGAGCAGTGTTGGGTTTTTCAGGATTAGAACAGAAATCTTTCATAAGCTCATACATGAATGTAACATTTTCTGTAAGGAGGTACTTTCTTTTCTTGCTCTGATACTTGTTTCACAGTCAAGCCTAATTCATTTTCTCCTTTTGTGTGCTGCTAGTGGGACTGCCAACTAAGTTAGCACTAATTCATTTAACAAATAGTTATGGAAGACCTGCTATTATCCATGCCCTTTATGTTCTGTGAATTGGAAACAGACTAATGAACAACAACAAAAAAGTCGCTTATGTGGTTGTTAAGAGAGTTGGTGGCCAGTTTGCCAGTCAGCGTCAAAATTGGCTGAATGAGAAACACATTGTTAGAGAACAAGGCAGGCAAAATCCTGTCCTGTCCTTGCAGAATCATAGATTTGCAGCTTTTGGGTAGAAATATTTTTGCCTGGGTTTGGGAGTCACTGTAAGACATACATCAAGAGCCTCTCAGTGAGTGCCAGCAATGTACTCCAGACCAATTAGGTAAAAAAAATCCCTGGGAGTGGCCCACAGGCATCAATATGTTTTTTTAAATCTCCCAAGTTAACTCCAATGTGCAGTCAAGTTTGAAAAACATTGTATTAGAGTTACAAAATAATACAAATAAATTATAAAATGTATTTTACTGTGGATACATTTTTATGAGACAAAGAATTTTACCAAAGGAAGAATTAATGAAAAGGAGAATCTCCCTCCTATTCTCCCTCTTATGTTTTTTTGCTATTTTTCCATCCTTTTTTACTATTTTTTTTTCATTTCAGTTGATAAGAGCTTATTCAAAATCAAATAGCCAGGAAGGCATTGGAAACCAAGCTCAAAAGTTCAGTAAAATAGCTCAGATAAAGGAATACTTTTTGTTTCTTTACATATGCTTTTACATAATTATGTAAAATCATCTCCCTTTTTGTCTATTTCTTTAAGAAATCCTAAAAGCTTCAAGACCCAAGCCAACTGTCATTATCTTCATGAAACTAGAATTAGTTATTGGCCATAGATTTTATAACACCCTCCTCTGTGTTGTAATTGCATTTTGATCAAACTGTGGTTACATTCAGTAGTAAAAGCACATTTAATGTTGCTTCTTTTCACTACTCTGTGAGCTTTTTGATGCTTCTTTTTATTACACTTAATTCCTCTAAAGTAGAATTGGAAAATTATGGAGTTTATTTAATGAAACTAATGAGTAATACATATATTGTAGAGGTTATTTTTAGATAATTCTTTTAAAATTAAGATATTCAAATCCAAATGGTATTGACTTTCAGTTGAGGAGAAAATTACAAATCAGTGTAAAGAAATCTGTTTGATATTTGCATACCTGACTTTGCCCTTCTAGATGTCCTCACAAGTGGGAAATTGCTCTCAGTGCCAATGATGAGTGGGCACATTTACTACATTTACTATTTAATTTGTAAGTCAGTAGCTGATTAAAAATAATGTTAAAGTTTTTTTTAAATTAAGATATGTGAGACTGGATCTTCTTGCACATATTTCAGGCCTACTAGTGAGATGAATATAAAAAAAAACAGAAAGATCTTTTGTGAAGATAAGTGAGGTGGCATCAAACAGAAGATCATTCTGAGTTACTCTGAACATTTTAAATATAAATCTGAAAATCATCAAGTTGGATATTATTCTGCAACGTTTTGACAGCAAAAGTATCAGTGAAACATAGTATTAGCTTTCTGGATTTGTTTCTCCAGAAATGCCACCTGGAATTGGAAATACCTTTCTGATAGTAATGATGGGAGAATTCATAATCTGAATGTTAGGGAATGGGTTCATTGTACTAGTTAACTGCATTGACTGGTGAGGAGTCAAATGATCTTATTAGACAACTGCATCCTCACCAGCCTGGCTATCTCCACAATCAGTCAACTTTGGATAATACTACTTGATTCATTTGTAACAGCATTATGGCCACATCTATATGCCTTCAATAAACTAATAAAATTTATTCATATTTTTTGGGCACTGACCAATCACTTAGTTACCTGGCTTGCTGCCTTAGTGTTTTCTACTTCTTTAAAATACCTATTTTTCCCACCCATGCTTCATCTGGCTGAGATGGAGAATTAGCAGAACGCTACTTGAACTCCCACTGGGGTCCTTGCTCTTACTGTTTTTCAACCTTGCATTAACAGGTGGACTTAGTGACTTGTGGATTAACATCTACACAATTTATGAAAGAAACTCAACTTGGTCTTTAGATGTAAGTAAAATTCTATATTGTAGCCTCTGGATTCTTGTCAGTTTGATCTACTTAATTTCCTTTCTTCTGTCCCTGATCTCACTGCTCCTTTTAATTCTGTCCTTGATGAGACATATCAGGAATTTGCAGCTCAACACCATGGGCCCGAGGGACCTCAGAATGAAGGCCCATAAGAGGGCCATGAAAATGAAAATGAAAATGATGGTGTCTTTTCTCCTCTTCTTTTTGGTTCACTTTTCTTCTCTCCTACCAACAGGTTGGATTTTCCTTATACAGCAGAAATAGCAGGCCAATTTTTTTGTCTTGTTAACGTCAATTATTTTTCCTTCAAGCCACTCATTTGTCCTAATTTTGGAAAACTGCAAGCTGAGACAGACTGCTGTGGGACCACTGTGGCATCTTAAGTGCCACCTAAAAAGAGTGAAACTTTAGTTTTGTAGACTTTTCTGGATTTTTCTGTATTCCAGGGGAATTAATGAGAACACATTGAAGATGTATTTTAGCATGTGTTTTTCACCCAGATTATTTTAAGGTGTAATTAAGCATCACAAAATTTCCCTAGAATGGCCTATAAATGAACGATTTACTCATAAAGTCAGCCAATGTAATACCGGATTTTTTTTAAAAAGTAAGTATCATTGTCATTTTAATATTTGCTAGTAACTAGGAAATATTTGAGACTTAATATAAATGTAAAATATATAATGCAACATGTATTTATTTTATATGTGCTGGCAAATGTGTGATTACATTCACATGTGAGGAAAAAAAACAGTAATATTTGGAAATGGTTCTAAATGCCATTAGAACCTAATACCTACTCCAATCTGGAGTAGGTGGCATATTTTTATAACACTAAGTCAAATACATTAAGAACTAAAAATATTGAAAGCATATAATCTCATAGCAATAGAGGTAACTTTTAAAACAAAATAGCATTCTCTCATTAGGACTCCAGCTAGGAATTCAAGCTATCCTACCTTTGTAGGATAAGTGCAAAATCAATTGAATTTCTAAAAAGAAGTTGAATACTTATCCCTATGTCCATAATGATGCTTATATTTTTACTTTTTTGGATCAAAACCACACTTTGACACAGGATCTCTGTGTGTGTGCACATGTGTAATGACATATTTTTGTCATACCATGAATACTAGTGTGTCACACCAGAGAAAACTAACACAACCAACTAACTCACTAAGAATAAGAACATAAAGGAAAATTTATAAGAGAATGTCACATATTTGCATAAATTTTAGGCATGTTTGTATTTGTGTATAGTTCTAGGTTGACTTTTACAAAAAAATAAAGTAACTGAAAATGTATATAATATATAATCTTAAGGCCAGTCCAGGCCTATACAGACATTTAGATTTTTAAAACTCCATTCATTGTTAGATACTGTATAATAAATTTCCTAATGATTATCATGGGCATTATCTTGCTTTAGAAAGGGCAACATTAAAATCACACTGGCTATATTTAGGTTCAGATAGTGAGGATAATATGGTTTGGAATTACTCCTTTCAGTAAATAAGTTAAATTCCCTTCCCTCCCCTCTCCTCCCACCCCTTCCCTTGACCCTCCCCATCCCCACTCCCTCCCCTCCCTCTCCCCTCCCCCTTCCCTTCCCTCCCCTTCCCTTCCCTTCTTTACTTTTTGGGATGGAGTTTTGCTCTTGTTGCCCAGGCTGGAGTGCAATGGCGCAATCTTGGCTCACTGCAACCTCTGCTTCCTGGGTTCAAGCAATTCTCCTGCCTTAGCCTCCCAAGTAGCTGGGATTATAGGCATGCGCCAGCATGCCTGGCTAATTTTTTTGTATTTTTAGTAGAGACAGGGTTTCTCCATTTTGGTCAGGCTGGTCTTGAACTCCCGACCTCAGGTGACCTGCCCGCCTTGGCCTCCCAAAGTGCTGAGATTATAGGGGTGAGCCACTGCGTCCAGACTAAACTTTTCTTTAATGATCAAGATTCAAAAGATTTAAACAACCATACACAACCCTTGCTTCTAGTGAGTGGGACTTAGAAGTAAATGTCTCATTAGGATTAAGTCTTCACATCTCACGTACTATCCTTGCAGAGATGAAGCCATATGGAGCAGAGACCTATTCCAGATAATAAAAGCACAGAAAATGACTATTAAATGATGAAGGCTGGGAGAAAGTGTGGGACTGTTGCTACCACTGTATTGCAGTCTCCCTATTACAATGGCATTTTGAGATTAAGCTCTGCACCATCATTTTCCATAATGAAAGCTTGGGTTGGAGATGCAAGCCACGATCCAAGAAAACCACGACTCTTACATCCAAAGCTAGTTTCAGGCAATCTGGAGAGAACTGTATCCTATCCTGGGAACAAATAATTGGGAAAAGAAAATGATCGACATTTTTTTTTTTTTTTTTTTGCCAATTGCTTTCCCCTAAAGTAAGTTTATAGTCTTGATGTCATGAGAGTTTTTGAGTTTCCCGCCCCTGCCCTCCCCCCAACCCAGTTTGGTCACACAGTTGATTTATAGAAGAGTTGCCAATAACCTGAATAACCTGTTTCTAATGCCAAAAACGGCTGATGCCTGAGCCCTGCCTTAGGCCTAGAACTTAAGATGAGAAGATATTTTGGGTGCGCAAGCCATGTTGTCCTTAGCTTTACTCAAAGAAAACATCCTAGTGAAAATATGCATGGATCAATACATATTTCAGAGGGCGTGATTGTCTCTGTTGAATCTCTGATAGTTCACATGGTTTGCTGCTGCCCTTAATCTCATGTCCTTTGAGCTAGAGACTTCCTTAATTAAAATACAGAAACAAGGAGGCCATCTGCAAATCCATACTTCCAGTGCACTCATCTGTTACATTGCTTAATGCTGTGTACAAGACCTAGGCCCTGAGCTAGATTATTGCCAAGAATAAATCTTCATTTAGAAAACTGATCAGATGGTTGGCTTGATAAATTCAGAAAAATGTTAGGCAATATTTTTTTGGGAAGGTTATTTGTAGAAGAAATCCCAGGTGACAGATAAACTATTTTCAATTTTAGCTATTTTGAGGGGCACCAATGTAGATGCAGCTTCAGAAGACAAAGGCATTATCCTGACTTGTATATTGCCACCTCTATTCCTTAGCCCCATGTTTAATAAATGAATCAGTTCTGGAAATAAGTTAGCTTCCCTTTTATATAGATATAACCTGGCCCCTGAACTTTGAAGCTTCTATTATTTTCCTTTTAGACTTCAGTTTGAGATACTTTCACAGTTTTCAAAAACCAATTAAAAAGTGAAAATGATCTCTTGAACAACAGTTCTTTTTTTAAGCATCTCGTATTTTTGGCTTTTTGTTTTTTTGAGACAGGGTCTTGCTCTGCAGCCCTGGCTGGAGTGCAGTGGCATGATCACAGCTGTTTTCTTTTTTTTTTTAATCTGCTGAACATAATCTCTAATTCTCTGCCAATGATCTTAGTTACAGTATTTCATTATTTGGTGGTGTGATTTTTTTCTCCCTCTTTTTGGCTGATGAAAAGTTGTACCCAACTTCCCTCACTAATAATATGAATGATCTCCATTTCTCTTTATTGTTCATTGATGCATGCCACTATTTTACAGTGGCTAAGTCCATATGCTTGGTGTTGAAAGCCATGGAGATGGTGAAGATTTTGTAATGTTCATTGCAGATCCCTAATCAGGATAGAAACTGGCAGGGATGTCCTGCAATTAAGCTACTAAGACTTCCATAGTTTCTTCATTTGTAGTAGGCTTTTGGGAAGGTCCTTGGGCCTTTTAGTTGTCCCAAGAGCACTGCTGAAATTTGTATTTGTGGAGAGTAGGGGTAAGGGGAGGTTTACTTATATTTTGAAAAGATCTCATGACTTGACCTGGTGGTAATCCTGCTGAGCAAATCCTATTAAGTCTAGTTTGTTCAGGCTGCTATAAAAAATACCATAAAATGGGTGCTTATGAACAACAGAAATTTATTTCTTATAGTTCTAGAAGCTGGGAAGTCCAAGATCCAGGCATTCACAAATTTGGTATCTGGTGAGGGTTCATTTCCTTGTTCATAGATGACTTTTCCCTATAACCTTACATGGCAAAAGGGGTAAGGGAATTATTTTGGGGTCTCCTTTATAAAGGCACTAATCCCATTCACGAGGGTTTCATCTTTATGACCTGATCACCTCCCAAAGGTCCCATCTCCTGAGATCATCACTTTGGGGGTTAAATGCCAACATGTGAATTTTTGGGGGGCACATTCAGACCATAGTACAAGTGTTAAAACTGCAAGAAGAATCCCCACACTCAAGGTAACCCAAGTAATAGACTAATATGAATCAATCCAACCCAATTGTTGGGAATTCTCATAGTTCTTGCAGAGGTTCTTTTCTTGGTTCATTTTCTTGGAACTTCCCAAGTCGTCTTTAGACTACTTTCCATGCTCAAACTTCCAAGTATTAGGATATTCCTTTCCCTCATCTTTTGTCCCTATATTCCTCAACTTTCATCCTACCCCTTTATGCTTCTGCATGTAACTTTATTTTCTTCTTGACGCTATCAAAAGCTATTGATGTCCTGCCAGAAAGATCTCCCATTAAAAGCAAACTGCAAGATTTTCTAACAAAATTTAGTTAGGGATCCTCAGGACAGGAACAGACATGGCTTCAAAATTTAACATTGTCTGATCTCTACTCTGGGTAGCACAGGAAAGTGTTTCCCTTCCATTCTGAGGACAACGTTCTTTCCTCTCTCTCCCTTTGCTCCCATATCCCTCAATCCCACCAACCCTCTAATAAAATAAGCCAATAGGTTTAAGGCTGCAGAGAGTATAAAATACTTGAACTTACATATCAAATCATGTTAAATATTTATATTTTAGTATGAAAGACCCTCAATAGTTATGTTAAAAAAAATAACTATTACCCAGGTAATATTTCTGTCCAGAAATTTGAGAAACAGAATTATTTGTAATTATCTACACATTTAAGAAAATTGAACTCCTTATGAAATATAACTTTAGGAATTACTGGAGATTCATTTGAGGTCTGGTTGGTTATCATGACCTTAGGAATTTACTTAACCTCTCTAAATCCCGGTTTGCTTCTCTGAAAAATGATAAAAATGTTTTCCTCACAGGGTATATGTGAGAATTACGGAGCTCATGTATATAAATAGTTTTTCATAGTTCCTGGTATTAAAAACTCAATATATTTTAAAAATGATGCTGATGGTAATGATATGCTATTTGTCAAGTAATCACATGTATTTTTACCCAGAATTAAAAAAAAAAAAACAACTTTTCCCCTATCCCTTAGGTTACATATGTTGCTATGTTCACTGTTTTCCTTTTATAGTTAAAATAAGCTGTAACGCATCGTTTCCCATTTTTTTTTTTGCCAGCTACATTTCTTATCTCTATTGATAATAACTATACCACCTATGTCTCTGCTTTTTCATGCTTGAGGGATCTCTGGATCAATCAACGTGCATGATGGCCTGAAAAAGCCCAATTTATGGGCAATAAAGTGAATCATCTTATTATCAGGAACGAATATATGTTTCCTTTATTGACTGCTGACTATGTAGAGCATACCAACAAAATTGCCATTCATCTATCCATTCAACAATATTTATTAGCTATTCCGCACTGGGCAGTGCTCTAGGCTTGGGGATAGAACAGTGAACAAACAAAATCCTTAGCCTAATGGATATTACCTGGAAGTGTGCCAGGAAGAATAAACTCACTTGTGAATTACAACAATAAGTGGTTTATTCAGGTCAAAATCTTGTTTTGTCTCCTGGGAATTTCACTGAATTGCATCATGTAGGAGGCAAACTATACCCCAAGAATTAAGAGCAATTGTGAATAAATGATAAACCACAGAGTTTACATTTACCTCCTAATACATTTAACTCCTAATATATATATATACATATATTACGAGGTAAATGTAAGCTGTAACTTTATGCATATATTGTAAGTAGTAACTATACATATATACTTATATACTGTATACATATATAGTAAGTAGTAACTATACATATATACATATATAGTTACTACTTAAATTTATATATGTGTATGTATATATATATGTATATATACAGTACACACACATACTGTTACTACCGGGTGTAAAATTGAATAGGATATAGTGTCTTCCCTCACAGAGCTGCCAATTATGTTGGAGGATGTAATAAATACAAAGTCTGTTTCTTCATCTTCGGTTTAACAAATGACTGATGTGAGGAAAAAAGTTATAGGAATATGTTCACATAGTCACCCAAATGGAGCATCCTACTCTGTCACCATTTCAGGATTAAGACTAGACAGTCTTTTGTGTTACAAATTGGGACATCAGTGCTCTGGGAAACAGTGATGTCCACGATTCTAAATCCCTTGGTATTACTATTTCATTGATTAAACTACACTTCTGATATTTTAGACTAAAATGTTTTGGCTTATCGCAGTCTAGGAAACCTGTCTTGGGTATATAAAACAGACAGTTGATGCACGATTAGGGAAAAATAAGGCAACCTATGAAAATGGCCTTATGGATTAAAAGAAGTGAGCTCCTATATGGTCAGTGGAATCCAGGAAAAATTTAATGGAAAAAGCGCCACCTAAGCTTAGCTTTAAAACACAGAGTATCTTCAGGTAGAAAAGGCTATAGGAGAATGTGCCCAAATGGAGTTTGGCTGGAGACAAAGAATAAAGACTAGAAAGAACAATTACCCTAGGCCAGACATGGTGTTGGACGGGGCAAGATGCTTACTACTTAAAGCCATAGAACACTGTTTGCTGGACACAATGAGTGGAATATAGAACAATGCAACTATTTTAACACTTTACCCCTCTTAGTGGTTTATTAGTTAATTTTTTCCTGAAAAAAAAAATGCGTATACTACTTTTTCTGCACTTTTCTATATCAGATCTTGATTTAAAACTTTACCACTCTTGGTGATTTATTATTAGTTTTTTTAATCCGAAGAAAACATGTGTATACTCCTTTTTCTGCATTTTTCTATATCAGATCTTGATTGGCTCACCACCATTACACACACACACATCTCTTTTCTCCCATCCTCCCAGCGTTATAGAATCATTTGTTGTAAAATCAGTATTCAGTATTTACATAATTATGACTGACTTTACATGACTACTATTATTCACAGTTGAGGTATACCGTGTATACAGTGTAGTTTTTAAATTTTTATTTTTCTCAGCGTTCAAAATTATATGTTCTGTTTTCTTAATTTTGAAAAATATGCATTCACTAATTTATCCCCACACTCTTTGGAAAATGAAAGCTCTCTAGGCTGTATTCAAATACACCAGGTACTCTATCAATTTTCATTTTTTAAACTATTCTACCTGAGCTCTCCATCTTTAGCCATTTCCTGTTGACTTCATACTGTTCTCCCCTACCACTCTCCCTCTTTAATATATTACCGTTTTAGAAACTTTATGGCTACCCTGTAAGTAATAAAAATGTCTTTCCCCACTCAACAACAGACAGTACCTTTCAAGTTTCCACTTTATAAGGACATAACCCCCATTCCATTTACTTCCCCCGCCCTCCTTCAACATTCCCACTTGTATTTTCCGGCTGTATTTTTAAAACATGGTAAATAACATTTGCACTCCACTTTGTAACCATAATTAAGTATGCCCTTAAACAATAAAAACCATAAACAACATTTGTATTTTACGATTATTTAAATGTTATTCACTGAACAGCCAAGCTTTGTGCTACTATGGGATTTCGTTTTCTGCGGTTCCAAGTCTTGATCCACGTCCTGCCACAGGATCACTGAAGTAGAGCCCATTTTCTTACACTCTCGCCATTAGTTCAAAAGCTTGCAGCATTTTATGTCTGGTACTTGGAGGATGATTTTCCTGTACAGTTTTGCGTTTTTTTCACCGAAAATTTCTGATTATTATTGTTTTCTCTTGTGGGATGAAATATGTACCTTCTATATCACAGCCTTAATACCTTCAGCTTCTTATTCATTGAAATCTTGCTTACAATCCAGTCCGAGGATTCCCGGTTTACTGATTTTCTTTTTCCTGCAAATTTTAGCCTTCTGTTTTGTTTTGAAATAATGCATCCTCTGCGCTTTGTCACATTCTGAAATTCGTCAGGTGTTTTAGGATGCACACTTTCTTAGATGTTTTCGAGGGTCTTAACTGCAGTTCTGTTTCCGGAACAGCGTATTCTCTTTCTAGGGATTGTAGGCTCCCGGCCGCCCCCTGAGGAGCTCCGCTAGCAGCTAAGAGGGCAGCCACGAAGAGCGCCTGAGCACTCTCGCGAGACTGTGGGGCTCGCCATTGGCTGCTCCGCCGCGCCGCAACGGACCCTGGGAGTCGGCCATCATGCTGGCCCCGGAGGCCGTTAGCTTAGTCATGGCTCTAAATATGTACCTGCAATCGGATGTTGAGGATCACCGAGCCCGCGACGTAGAAGTACGGGAAGTTCATGCGCAGCTGCCAGGCCAGCTCGAAGAAGGCGAGCAGGGTGCGGGAGAGCCCCTTGCAGAAGACGCCGTACGAGGTGGGTGTCGCGGCGGGGCTTGAGGCCCTGACGGCCAAGGAGGACGGAGCCGCCGCGGGGGCCATGAGCCAGGTGTCGCCGCCCGCCCAGCGTCTGTAGCGAGGGTTGCCGCAGGGCCCGCGGACCTCCTAGCGACGGCTGGGACCGGCAGGACGGTAAGCAAAGCGGCTCCCGGGCTCACACCCAAGCTTGCCGCTGCCGCCGCTCGGTGCAGTGCGGCGCGTAGCCCCGGGCGCCGCTGGCGCTCCGCCCCTTCCTGTCTGCTTCTCACTGTGGCATTTACCATTTAGAGCTCAACTGATGGTAGGTGGCTCTGGAATAGGATGTGTTATATAGCATGTACGAACATCCATGCAGATAGTTCCACTTTAAAATGAAAAAATCTAAGCGAGATGTAACTTGCCGTAGGGCACAAAATTTGTAAGGGCCAAAGCTAGATTAAAACTTTAGTTTGTCTGCTGTGTTATGTGGGATGTTAGGAATCTTACCCTTTTGATTTCATAATATTAATATTAGGGCAAGATGATTCCTACGCCAATAAAAGCACAAGGTCTCTGTATTCATAATATACCATAGACATAAAAAGGATCACAATCTTAGTCTTTGGATTTTTCTATTTATTAGGAATATTTAAATTGCAAGTGACAGGAATGATAAACATTCAAGCAAAAAACTAGTGGACACACACGCGTATATACATAAGGACATACATACAAAATTATATTCCCAGCCATGTAAACCCTTAAAAAGTTCAGATTAGCTGTGGAAGCTTCAGCCATTTCTGCATGGAGATGCATCTGTGAAACCTGTGGCTAGGCTCCAAGAGCTGGAATACTACTCTGTACTTCCAAACTCTTTTTTTGTTGTTGTTTTTGAGACGGGAGTCTCGCTCTGTCGCCCAGGCTGGAGTGCAGTGGCGCGATCTCGGCTCACTGCAAGCTCCGCCTCCCGGGTTCACGCCATTCTCCTGCCTCAGCCTCCTGAGTAGCTGGGACTACAGGCGCCCGCCACCATGCCCGGCTAATTTTTTGTATTTTTTGGTAGAGATGGGGTTTCACCGTGTTAGCCAGGATGGTCTCGATCTCCTGACCTCGTGATCTGCCCGCCTCAGCCTCCCAAAGTGCTGGGATTACAGGCGTGAGCCACAGCGCCCGGCCTGTACTTCCAAACTCTTAATACCATTAGAGTAACAGCACAGTGAATCTCTAATAGCCACAATACTTTTGTTATTTAAATGGTGCACATTTCATTACCTTCACTTATCTCCCATTTTAACTAGAAAGCACTGTATTTTTTAATCGCACACACCGTCTTCATTCATGGATTATTCAAATGTGTGATTTCTGATCATGACCTTAAGGTTACAGTCTTGTTCTGAAAAGCATTGTTGAGATACCACACATCGCACCGTGCACTGCATGTCTAGCAGCTATTCAGAGCACAAGTACGGTACCCTAGAGTACCTCTGTTTCTATATAGTCTACTGATTATATGACTGGTAGAAATAACGTGCCACTGATAAATTTGTAAAAATTAATTTTGTGTTCCCAGCTAGTATTCTTTTGCTACTTTGCTGCTCCAGTACCACTCCAGCGAGGTAGCACTTAGAGGAATTACTTATGACAACTTCTAAAATACTGGTATAGAGACTGAAGAGCGATGTAAAATAAATGATCAATTCTGAGAACTGGGAGAAGATATATAGTTTCAGTTCACACATATAATTTACTCCCTTTGAAAACTGAAAGACTAATACACAGAGCCATTCAGAGTCACAGGAGTCATTACGTCCTGGATTTTTCATTTCCAAATATGTAAAGCTATGTGGACTCATTCTGTCTTCTATTCCTCTTTTGTGCCACCCTTTACGCCCTACTTGCTCCGTTTCTGGGTAACTCCATGAAAACCTTATCTTCCACCCTGAGACCGTGGGGAAAATAGCAGCCACCCACTGATAACATGGCCAGATTGAGGGCCTATTCCAATGGGACGGGAATAGGCAAAGAACAGTCACAAAGCTCCAAATCCTACTCCTTAATGCTCTAGAGCTGAAGAAAGATTTCCTTCTTTCCACCTGAGAGTGGGATAGGAGCAATAATTTAGGTGGTTGTAGTTTTTATCTGCCCCTTGATGTTTAGATTTGAATGCCTAATCCACACTTCTTTTGCTGAGGGTGATATTAGGAGAATTCATGATTAGAGTATTCATGATTGGAAATGGCTTGATTGTACAAATTAGAAAATTCATGATTGGAAATGGCTTGATTGTACAGATTAACTGCATTGACTGGCTTGGGCATTGGAAGCTTCCTTTAACTGACTTTTCATCAGGTTAGCCAGCTCCAGAATTTAACAGCTGTGTTTAATACTGCTTAATATTTTTATACTTATGTTCACACCACACCATTAACTTGTGCTAATGCCAAACTAGAAAAAAAGTACGTTTCCTTTTGGACACTGATCAGTACTCAACCCTTTGGTTTGCTATCTGCCTGATAATTTTTGGAGGTGGGGGTGGTTCACAATAGCTAATTTTTCTCAGCCATTTTTCCTTTGGATAAAGTGTAGAATTAATTATGTGAATATTATGATTCTGATGGAGTCCTTGGTTTATTAACATTCCATTGGGAAATAAATGATTTTGGAGTCGTAATCTTTCTTATTTTCTTTTTATCATGTACTGTTTTTCAGCTTTTATAGCAGATTTGATTCACTTTATGGTAAACAGCCTGCTGGGCATGATGCTTTTCCAGATAGTAGGAGCCTTCTGCCTTTCTGATCACTCTGATTCTGATTCTTGGGAAGAGCAAGCTGAGTCAGACCTCACTGATAATGCTGTGGAAGATTAGATTCTTGATATGATGGGAAACCTTGGCTCCTTGAAAGCCTTGACGAAAACTTTTTTGTATTAGGAAAAAATAAAATCAAGTAGAAGCCCACATAAAAACTCTTTAATTTTTCTTTTCTCTTTCTTTCTTTCTTTTTTCTTTTCTTTTCTTTTCCTTTCTTTCTTTCTTTCTTTCTTTCTTTCTTTCTTTCTTTCTTTCTTTCTTTTCTTTCTTTTCTTTCCTTTCTTTCCCTTCCTTCCTTCCTTCCTTCCTTCCTTCCTTCCTTCCTTCCTTCTTTCTTTCTTTCTTTCTTTCTTTCTTTCTTTCTTTCTTTCTTTCTTTCTTTCTTTCTTTCTTTCTTTCTTTCTTTCTTTCTTTCTTCTTTCTTTCTTTCGTTTTTTGCCATGGCTTTAATATGTACATATAGTTTGACATCATTGTAATTCTTACCAGAACATACTCAGAGCTAAATATATACTCTTATTTCCATATTTCAAGAAAGACTTTTCTTTTTCTCCCCTCAAACCTCTCTTTTAGACAATGAAACACATTTAATAATTGTCAGATTATTAAGATCTATTGTATTCTTCATTACAAGGCCAGATTTCATAGGTGCATAAAAAATCACCTATACATGAATCTATTTTTTAATTGAGACATTTTTTAAACCATGCATGTGGAAGAATATGATATAGCATGCATTTATGCATGCATTTTGAAAACCAGCTTGAGAATTTTACTTCCTTTTAGTTAGCAGTAGACCAAAAGAGAATGTTGCTTCTGCTCTAACAAAGAGAGTAAACTAGGTAGGCTACAAAGTCATAATTTATTTTGAGCTTGTTAGAACTGAAGTTACAAGGTGAGCAGGTAAACTGAATTTTAGCACTTTGGGAGGCTGAGGTGGGTGGATCCCGAGGTCAGGAGATCTGGGCCATCCTGGCTAACATGGTGAAACCCCGTCTCTCTACTAAAAATACAAAAAATTAGCTGGGTGTGGTGGCAGGCGCCTGTAGTCCCACCTACTCGGGAGGCTGAGGCAGGAGAATGGTGTGAACCCAGGAGGTGGAGCTTGCAGTGAGCCGAGATGGGGCCACTGCACTCCAGCCTGGGTGACAGAGCGAGACTCCATATCAAAAAAAAAAAAAAAAATTACAAGCCTTTCCAAATAGGAGACATGAATTGTTTCATCTGTGGCAGAACTCCAGAAGAGTTCTCTGGCATTTCAGTAGGTAACAAGAAAATGGCTGAAATTTTAACAAATTCTTACAAAGGTTGAGTGTAGTTTAATGTGACAGTTTAGAATACCTGGGAGCCCCAGACACAGGAGTGGTCTGTAATTGCCAGCTTTTCCCCTTGGGCTTCTACCGAATGCTTACTGGAAAGGTTGAGGACAGACAGGAAACCTAGGAAAGTTCCTTTATGGTACACGGTATAGGAGGCAGAATAATGGCTTTCCCAAAGATGTCTATGACTTAATCTTTGGAACTAGTTAATATGTTACATTATATGGCATGGAGATTTTGCAAATGTGATTATTGGTATGCACCTTGAGATGGGAGATTATCCCATATTATTTAGGTGGGTTCAGTCTAATCATATGAGCCCTTAAAAACAGATTATTTCTTAACTAGGGTTAGAGAGATGCAACACTTCTGACTTTGAAGATGAAGGAGGCCCCAAACCAAGGTCTGCAGGTAGTTTCTAGAAGCTGGGAATGGCAAGGAAATGGATTCCTTCCTAGAGCCTCCAGAAAGCAATGCAGCCTTGCTGACACCTTGATTTTAGCTTAGTAAGACAAATACCAGACTTCTGATCTGTAGAACTGTTAAGATAATTTTGTAGTATTTAAGCCACTAAATTTATGATAATTTGTTTTAGCAGCAGTGCAAATCTAAAACAAATGGGAACAAAATCTTCTTAAGTTTTAAAGTGGAGTAATAGAAACTGGAGAAGCCCATTTACACTGGACCCTGCATGAGTAAAAGGTGGTTGTTGGCCAGTGCTAGGGGACAGGCAAGAAAACTACACATGTTCTGGATCTTTATTATGCAAAATCTGCCTGCTGCTGAGTGAGGGGCAGGGAATACACTGTAACCTGGACCCTACTCTGATATTGGGCAATAGCTGATTGGCACAAGGAGTGGGGTAAGAAACCTGCCTGCACTCCTAGGTCTGTATTAATACATATTAGAAGTCTGTTGTCACAGGGGAAGTCCAGGAAACTCACTTGCTCTGGGCTGCATGCTGGCTAAACAGAAAGGATCTGCCAGTGAAGGAAGGCAGAAAACCCACCAATCCTGGACTCTGCATGAACACCAGGAAAAACCCATTTGCTGCAGGAAGGGGGCAGTTAACCTGATGATATCAAGACCCTCCACTGATACAAGACATTGATTGACTGACACTCAAGGAGGGGCAGGAAGATTGCCTGACTTGGACTCCCATGCTGACACTGGGTGAAAGCCATCTGTTGCTACTGGAGGAGGGGGAGAAAACCGGCTTTCAGCCAGGATCCTTCACTGATTTTAGGCAGTTTTTCTTGTTGTGGGAGTGGTAGGAGCATTAAAAAAGTCCCACGTCTGAGGCAAAGGTACGTAGACAGGGGCAGTTGCTAGAGAAGAACAAAGAGCTCCCATTGCCCCACCATGAACTTTTCTCTGATTAACAAGCAATGCCACTATACTGGGAGAGGGACACAAGTGTAGAAAGAGCCTTCTCTATAGTGCATGTGTGGACTCTTGAAGCTGAGCACAAACACTGAGAATCCCTTTGGCACTCCAGTCTTCCCCAAAACACAAGTTACTGGCATTCCACCACTGGAGCCATTTGAATCTAAATACAGATAAACTACAGATTGGATTGATACAATTTCACACACTTAGTAGTCTGACAGAATAAGAAGGCAGCCCATTTTTGAGGGGTAATATTTATCTCAGGATTTACTGTAAATATGTATACACACATACAAAAACCCAGGCATTGTTAAGAGAAAATAATGGCCCAGAGGTTGAAATTATCAGACAGAACCTTTAAAAATAATTATGATTAATGTGTTAAAATTCTAGTGGAAAAGATAAATAACATGCTCAGGAAATTTTAGCAGAGAGATAGAAACTATATAAGAAGCTCAAATGAAAATGCTAGAAATGAAAAGCAGTATTGGAGGTGAAAGATTCCTTTGGCAATTTATCAACAGACTGGAGATGGCAGAGGCAGAATCAGTAATATTGAAGGCAGATTACTATATATTATTCAAACAGAAAAATGAAAGAGAGGGAGAAAAGGAGAGAAGAGATGGAGGAAAAAATTGGGAAGACTGGCAATACTAATTTGTGAGGATAGGGGGCAACTAGAATCCTCATACATTACTGGTGGAGATGCAAAGTGGCAAAGCCTCTTTGGTTGAGTTTGATAGTTTCTTATGAAGTAAAAAATACCATGAAACCCAGCAATTCTTAAGAGAAATGAGAACATACCCGTAAAATTGAATACTACTCAGCAACAAAAAAGAATAAATCACTTTTACATGCAACAACAAATGACTCTAAACATTCTACCAAGTGAAAGAAAGGTTCAAACATGATACCATTTTCTCTTCTACAAAGAGAAAAATATAGTGACAGAAAACAGATCAGTGATAGCCAAAGGCCTGAGGTAGAATGCACTGCAAAGGGGTCTAGGAATGTCAAGGATGTTTTTGGGGGTGATGGAAATGTTCTATATCTTGATTGTGGTAGTTAATCTGTATAATTTGCCAAAAGTAAACTGTATAATTAAAACGGTTTTTCATATAATTTATAAAAATTATATTTCAGTAAAGCTGATTTACAAAAAGAAGCATTTTTTTTTTTGAGAAGCCTCAGACCACATTAGGTAGAAAACAAGACATTTTAGATGTTCTGAGTTAGAAGAAGTTTAATCAGGGAGTTAGACACTATACAAACATTAGAAGGCTTTGGGGGAAGTGAGACTAATTCTGGAGGGTTACTTTCAGGAATCCAGAATTGTAGGGGTTGTACATGAAGGCAATAACATTTGTGTCAGCTACTTGCATCCTCTATGCAGGCTACTGTATTAGTCAGGGATCTCCAAATAAACAGATCCAACAGAATCATAATTATGAGCCAATTTTCATAATAAACATGTGTAAAAAGGGATTCATTATAGGGATTGGCTCAATTGATTATGGAGGCTGAGAAGTCCCATGATACAACCAGTGGTGTAGTCTTGAGGCCAAAGGCCTGAGAATCAGGGGCTCTGATGTCCAAGGGCAGGAGGAGATGGATGTCTCCACTCAAGAAGAGAGTATATTTGCCCTTCCTCCAGCTTTTTGTTCTATTAGGGCCCTCATCAGATTGGTTGATGCCTACCTACATTGGTGAGGGCAGATCTTTACTCGGTCTACAGATTCCAATGCTCATCTCTTCTAGAAACACCTTTACAGAGGCACCCAGAAATAATGTTTTACCAGTTATACGGGTATTCTTTAACCCAGTCAAGTTGATATGTAAAATTAACCATCACAGCTACTGATGATATCAGGTGCCTCTGGCCTCAAAGTGGGTGATTCCTAGGAGTATATTTGTAGCTATCCAACCCTTATGCTTGTAGTCTGTAGATACCTAAGTGCCAGTCTAGATTGCTGCCCAAGAAATAATAGCTTTACCTCAAAGTGTCTTTTTTTAAGGGGGAATTTAATTGACCATGGGGTCTGGGAAATGTTATTCCAGCTTCTTTTTTATGTCCCTGTGGCAAATGTGAGATTTTAGAAACTTGGGGATGGTATATGGTAGAGTAAAAAATCTGATACACACATTGTATCTAGATGCTTAGCTTTGAATCTGCTTCTGCAGACTTTGTAATGATTCTCTGATACACTTTAATAAATGTCTTTTGTGCTTAAACTACCAGAATAGATTTTAAAAATAAGTTCATGTTGATATTTCCAATTCAGATTTTATATTCTTACTTCTTTTTTTCTCATGCTGAAAATCTTGGTCCGTAACCACACAACATTCACATAATTAATTGTGTGCATCAGCGCATATAATAGTTTCAAACTAACAGTACTCAGATTAGATTATTCTAACAGCTTAATTATTAAAACACTTTCAGATTTATCTTAGCATATATCCTTCTGGAGATAAAAAAACTATGTTGTAGGATCATTTGAAACAATTCCTCTTTTAGTTAAATCATCCATCAGACAGGTTCATTTGTTTTTATTTTTATTTTTCAGGATTAATATTCCTTTATTTTAATTTTTAGTGATTATTTAATAAATGTTCATGGTACCAGGGGTAAAACTTCAAAACAAAATGTATTCAGAGAAGCCTAGCTTCTTTCCTGTCATATGCTCTGTGTTTCCTTTCCTATAGGTAACCAATTTTTTTTCCTTTTTTAATTGCTTTTAAAAATTTAAGATATGGAAGGGGCCATGCTAATATTCTCTGTAATTGTTCCAACTTTAGTATATGTGCTGCTGAAGTGAACACTATACGTAACCATTTTTTAAAGTCAGCTTTTGACAATACCATTCTTAAACAATATAGAACATACTACACACATTGTTCTGCATTTTTCCTTTTAAAATAATTTAATAATTAGGTATCACTTCATAGTACTATATAGCAATCTTTCTCATTTCTTTTTACAGCTGAATAGTGTTCCATGTATCCCTTCTCTCTGCAATTATTGATTGACTCAGGCTAAAGAAGTCTTCGCAAATATTAACACATTTTTCCATGGTTGCCCAGGGGGTATTCTTCATTACAAGTGTGCATGTGTATTTATGTGTGTGTTTGGGGTGAGGCTGTATTTGTTGGGGACATAGAGTTTTCACACATCACTTCTCAAGCTCCAGTGGCAAGAACTCAGACACTGGGTCACACCCAACTGCATGGGATCCTGGGAAATGTAGTCTCATGTGTGCTCAGGAAGAGGAGAACAAGGATTTTGGTCAGCAACACAGTACCTGCCACAGACTTCATGCCTATTTTTAAATCACCATATGTACCCTTCTTCCCACATATAGAACACACTTATGCTCCTTTCCTGGGGATGCATTAAAGTCTTATGTTACATCAGCTTAAAGTTCAGGGCTTCTGAGTGATAGACAGTTCTGTTTACCACTTCCAAATGTAGTCCCTCATGGTCTGGGAATAAATGAAAACAAAAAACACAAGATATATATATCTTCACTTCAAAGTATAAAGTGGATGATTAGGGGCAGGCTGACTGGCAACAATAAACTCCTCCCATTTAGAAAGAAAACAGGAGGAATACAATGGTAGATTGGCCATAGCAGTGACAAACCTTCCTTGATAGGCTATGTGGAGTCGCCTGCCCTGGATTTACAGGGAAGTTCCTGATTAGTCCCTGTGTCTGGACTCTGGGAGAAACTCCCTTATCCATCATTTTCTGAGGATCCTGGCTTTACCCTCTGGATGTTCTTCATTATTATCCTCCTTGGCTGCATCTGAAAAGGATGATGAGAAGGGTACCTTCCTGGAGAAGGTACGTATTTCAAGTCTTTTCAATAATGCAAGTTTGGAAGCCAGAGAGTCATTTTAATATCACATATTTAATTAAATCACTCATAATTTATTTGACAAATGCAATATCCTCAGCAACATATAAAGTTTTTAATCTACTTGCTTCTGGTCAGTTCCATCTTACCCTACAAAAATTTCCAAAATGGTTGTCCTTACACAAATGTTTCATGTCTGTATAAATAAGAAAATAGATAAACATTTTTCCCTTACTTATCCCAGGCCTCTTTCTTTCACTTTGGTGGCAGTTATCTTGAAGGCATTCGAAACAATGGTCTCTATGTTTAATTGAAAAGTCTTAATGGGCCTCTTAATTTTTTTTTCAGTCTCACTTATTGCTGTTTGATACCCCAAACCGGTGAGATTTTATACCCCTCTGAAACCTTAGATTTCTGAACTCTCTCTTGCTCTTAATTCTTATTTGCAAACCAGTCAATTCTTTTCCTTTCTCATCTTCTCATAATATCTTGCTAAAATATTTTGGAGAACAACCCTGGCACACCGTTTTGACTTTCATCAACCACTTCCCCTAGGGCCAGAGACTCATTAAACATGGCCTTCTTCTAAGTTATTGCATATAATGTTTTTAAAAAGTTTGCTTATACACCACATGTGCCATCGTGTTGCCAGTCTCCAAGATCTGTTCCTTCACTATCCAAATCCTCTAAACAAATTCTCCCACTTTCAGTTCCAATTTCTGTGTTAGACTGGGTAGACAAACTGCATCACAAATAGCTCCAAAATGTAAAACGTTTCAAACAATATGATTTAATTTTGTTCTTTTAATGGTACTGATATGTCTGAGTAACCTTCCCTATGTAGTTATTCACTAAAATAGGCTGATCACTTGGTGACCTTTAACACATAGCTTCCAAGATTGCCTTGGGGTCACCTTATTCCAGGCAGCCAGGAGCAGAAAAGGTGCATGGAGGAGGATGCATGGCAAATTTTTATGGGACGGGCCTGGAAGTAGTGCACATAATTTCCACTCACATTACATTGTTCAGCTTTTAGTCACATTGCATCTGTAAGAGAGGCTTGGAAATATAGTCTATATGCTTAGAAAAAAGAGTAGAACATGAAATTTAGGACATGGAAGTTGGAGAGTGCATTTTGCTTAAAATAGCCATACAAATGTGAAACAAAAAAGTTCCTGCCTATAGATGCATGGTATAGCTTGTTTATGTCACTTTTGTAGTTTGAAAGTGCCCTTAAACCTGTCTTGAATATTAGTTCTTTTCTTCTTTTTCATAAATTCTAAAGAATTCCAGGGCCAGGCGTGGTGGCTCACACCTGTAATCCCAGCACTTTTGGAGGCTGAGGCAGGAGGATCACGAGGTCAGGAGTTTGAGACCAGCCTGCCTGGCCAATATGGTGAAACCCCGTCTCTACTGAAAATACAAAAATCAGCTGGGCGTGGTGGTGCTCGCCTATAGTCCCAGCTACTCGGGAGGCTGAGGCAGAAGGATCGCTTGAACCTGGGAGGCGGAGGTTGCAGTGAGCTGAGATTGTGCCACTGCAGTACAGCCTGTGTGATGGAGTCTCACTCTGTCTCAAAAAAACAAACAAACAAACAAACAAACAAAAATTCCAGTTCAAACTGAATGTCCCTAACCTCAGAGAACTATAGTCAATTCTTCACTGAAGCATTTGTATCTTCCTCGTCTTTAATTCTGGTATATTTTGTTTATTCTTTTTAGCTCCTGTAACATTGCATACAAATTATTTATATTAATAGTTTTAGGACTTGGGTGAAATTCTTGAATTATGAATAATTTTAGGGACTTATTTCTATAAATCATATTGCATCAACAAAAATGCTTGGTATGTAGAAGGATGTTACTGAATGAGAGACAAATAATTACTGAAATAAATGTTATTTCTAACAATTTCTATTCAAAATTTAAGATATTTGTATTCAAGTGGTATGGCTCAGGGGAGATGAAAATGCAAATTAGTGAAAAATGATCTCTCATTTTTGCATGTTTACATACTCGACTTCGCTTCTTTAGTCATTACCATGAATGGAAAATTGTGGCTGATGCTGAAGATAAATAGACATCATTAGTGTTTGTTCTAGAAATTATATAGTAGCTGACTGAAAGTGGTAAGAAAGGTATTCATGAAGCTTTGTATCTCTTAACAATTTGGTTTAGTACCGGAGTTACAATATAAATAGAACAAACTATTTTTTTCATGAAGATCTCTGAACATATATCTGAATTTGGCTATGCCTTCTGAAATTGTGATGAAAACATAGATAGAAAGCATCATAAATGCATGCCCATCTGCAACTGTTTGACTATAAAGCTGTCAGTGAAGTAGAATATCGGAAATATTTTCATAGAAATGTTCGTTGGAATTAATATTTTCTTTCTGGTGGTGGCAACAAGAGGACTTGTCTTAGGAATGCTGGGAAACGGGCTCATTGGACTGGTAAACTGCATTGAGTGGGCCAAGAGTTGGAAGGTCTCATCAGCTGATTTCATCCTCACCAGCTTGGCTATAGTCAGAATCATTCGACTGTATTTAATACTATTTGATTCATTTATAATGGTATTGTCCCCTCATCTATATACCATCCGTAAACTAGTAAAACTGTTTACTATTCTTTGGGCATTAATTAATCAGTTAAGTATCTAGTTTGCCACCTGCCTAAGCATTTTCTACTTGCTTAAGATAGCCAATTTCTCCCGCTTATTTTTTGCCTGGCTGAAGTGGAGAATGAACAGAGTGGTTCTTGTGCTTTTCCTGCGGTCTTTGTTCTTATCGTTTGTTTACCTTTTTATGTCCAATGCCATTAGTGAGTTGTGAAAAAAACATGACTTTGCACTCAGATACAAGTAAAATAGTCTGTCTTCAAGGCCTTAGGCTTCTCAGCTTGACATACGTTATTCCCTTTCTTCTGACTCTGACCTCTTTGCTCCTTTTATTTATATCCTTAGTGAGACACACCAAGAATTTGCAGCTCAACTCTCTGGGCTCAAGGGACTCCAGCACAGAGGCCCATAAAAGGGCCATGAAAATGGTGATAGCCTTCCTCCTCCTTTTTTTTATTAACTTTATTTCCACTTTAATAGGAGATTGGATCTTCCTTGAGGTAGAGAATTATCAGGTCATGACGTTTATTATGATGATTTTACTTGCCTTTCCCTCAGGCCACTCATTTATTATAATTTTGGGAAACAACAAGCTAAGACAGAGCTCCTTGAGACTACTGTGGCATCTTAAATTCTCTCTGAAAAAAGCAAAACCTTTAACTTCATAGACAAAATTTAACTTTCTGCATCTATGAAAGAAATAACTTAATAGAAGACCTCATAAGTTAATTTTATATTTAACAATTTCTTTTTTGGAGTCCTTTTAAGTGTTGTTAAATAATTCTGAAATTTTCCTTAAAATATTCACTAACCATATTTTCTCAAAGTTGCCGGACATAATGTCTGATTCAAGGAAATGTCTCTACTATAATAATGCCTGCTAATAACAATAGAGTATGTGAGACTTGGAGAAAAAGATAAACATTTATAATGGAATATAAATAAATGCACATATGATATACAAGGCAATATGAATAAATATATATAAAATCACAGAAAAAAGTGTAATGTAATTTTTTGAACAAAAAATTATAAATACAGTAGGGAAAAAATTATAAAATGTTAAGTATAATTAAGTAAGTTTGTTAAAGCATAATATATATCAGTGTAATGCTTGGATATGTTTGTGGATGTGTAGTGCTACTTTGACTACTGTAATAAAATAACCCAGATGTAATCACAGTAGCTGGGAATGTAATGAAGCAGTTAAGAGAATTTTGCTTGCAAATGATGTTACTAAAATATGAAATGAAGATCATGTATTATTTTAATAGAGGAAATGGATATGTCCATATGAAAGAAAAAAAACCCAGCACTGTTGTTTGAGGTAACTTTTACCATAATTTTAAAAATGGAATAAAGGGAAAAAATAGCTGGTAAATCATGGGAAGTATGTTGGTTTTATATTAGTCTTCATGAAGTAGTAGGTGAAAATATTCTTCCAGGTTAAGCCCTGATGCAGAGAATGGTGTAAGAATGATAAGGCCATAGGGAAGAATTGTTGTTTTCTCCAGACAAAATGAACTCTTCCATTCAGGAAATTAGAGTGAGGTCACATCTATCACATTTATCAGGTAGGGTTCTCTCATTTAGCTATTAATATCATCATCACCACCACCACCACTATCATCATCATATATTTCATTTAACTATTTGTTTTTTAAATGTTTACATGCACGATTTGGAGAATGTCTAGGTAATTTCCTAAAGATTATTATTGTGGGTAAGTTGCATTATTAAAGAGCAAGGCTTATGTGAAACTTAATACATTTAGAGTTAGAAGTTGAGTGTATTTTTACTTAAAATGCATTGCTTGAACAAATGATTTATAAATAATCTTAAACTCATCAGAGGCTAACTACCAGAAATATTTAGTTTTTAGTGTAAATAGCATTTGTATAATAAGAGAGATAAAGTCAATAAACCATTTTATAATTAAACTCTTATTTCAAAAGAGAGGCTTTAAAAGTCAATGAACCAAACAGAAATAAGCCCTCACATCTTCAATATCATACTCTCTTGATGATGGACTTGTAAGGCACAAAGCCCCATGTCTAACAGTGTAAGGAGAGTAAAAGGACTACTTAAATATTAAGCCATGTTATAAGATGGTGTTGCTGTGATTGATGTATTATCTTTTATTTATGGTAATGGCATTTTGAGATCAAGTTCTGCTCCTTGAATTTTCATGTAATAAGAGTCTGTGGTGAAGATGCAGCAACAGAGAAGCTGCTACTTGCATCAAATTTATTTTTAGTTCTTTTCAACTTGGTTAAGAATGATTAGACTCACACTTTTATTCTATTCTTGACCAAAGTGTGGGTAATCCCAGCACTTTGGGAGGCTGCGGCAGGCAGATCACGAGGTCAGGAGATCGAGACCATCCTGGCTAACATGGTGAAACCCCATCTCTACTAAAAATACAAAAAAATTAGCCGGGCATGGTGGCGGGTGCCTATAGACCCAGCTACTCGGGAGGCTGAGGCAGGAGACTGGTGTGAACCCAGGAGGCAGAGCTTGCAGTGAGCCAAGATCGCGCCACTGCACTCCAGCCTGGGTGACAGAGCAAGCCTGCGTCTAAAAAAAAAAAAAAAAAAAATTGGTGTTTTCTTTGACCAAAGTGTGGGTAAAAGAAGAGAATTATTGGTATTTTCTTGTCAAGTTTACTAAAAGTTTTTAAAAAATCTTTAAGAATTTGGTATTATGAGTATTTTATTTATCCATAGAAATAACTTACAGAAATAGAGTGAAAGTTTCTTTCTACCACCAAAATAATGACTGAAAAAATTAATATTAAGAATTCAATATTTAACAATCAATTAGATTTAACAATCAGTTAGAAATGGTAGAATAAAGAATTAGTGAATTGGAAGATAACTACACAGAGTGAAGCATAATTAGACAAAGAGATGGAAAAATACAGGCTAAAGGGGAAGAGCATTGAGGCTACAGTCAGAAAGGCTTAACATACTTTTGGAGTTCTGGAAGATTAGAAGAGAGAATGTAGGGAAGAAGTAATGTTGCTGAGACCTTTCCAAAAATAATAAAATGTATCAATCCATACATTCGAGAAACCAACAAACCTCAGACAAGATAACTGAAAACAAATTAACATATAAATGCTACAGGAAACCAAAGACCAATAGAAAATTTGAAAAGTAGCCTGAGAAAAAAGATAGATTATGTTGAAAGGATCAACTGTTTGAATGACAACTGATTTTCAGCAGAAAGCATGGAAGCTAGAATTCAATGTAATATATTTTCAGTGCGTTTCAAAGGAGTAGCAGACATTTCATAAACAGAAATTCAAAAGGATACATTTTCAGATAGAAAAAAGTTACTGAAAATACAAAGTTGAAGATGCAAGAAGGAATGAAAATAAAGGCAATGGCAAATGTGCGTAACTAAAAGGACTATTGACTGTATAGAACAATAATATCTTGTGTTAAAAGAGGTAATGAATAAAATGTATGCCAATAACATATAGACTGGGGTGAAGGTGAAAAGATTAAATTTAGTTTAATTATTATTTAACCTTTTCATTGTCTGTGAAGAGAGTCTGAGTATCAAATTCAATGCATATACTCTAGCTATATATCCAAGAGAAGTGCATTGAATGACATGTAAAATAATGCCCATGGTAGTATTATTTGTAATTGTTCTAAAAAGAAACAGCTCAAATACCTATAAATTAAGGAAGGATTAATAATTATAGCAAATTCATATAATGGAACAATATAGAGAAATTGAAAGCAATGAACCACATGTACATGCAACAAAGTGGATACATTTTATCAACATAATGCTTAAAAAAAGAAGTCATAAACAAGAAGAAAATATATTAAGGTTGTATTTATAAAGAGTTCAAAAATGAGGCAAACTCAAATCAATTTCTGCAATAAACGAATCATCTTGAAAATTGTATTTACAACTTCACAACTTCCTGTGTTAAAGTCAGGAAATTTTCTTTCTATATGTCACATAAAATTCTAGTTTTGATTTTTAACAACTGACCTAATTGGTTTCTAATGTTCTAGAAAAGACTTATAATCATTTTTCCAGGTTTCTGTACCTTCTCTGGTTCTCTGGTTTTCAAGTGAGAAAAGCTACACCTAAGCACCCCCATGAATTATACTGGAAAGTTTTCCACCTCTCTTTTTTGAGCAGAGATTTAGGAAAGTTGGCATTTGGATCCAAGTGACCCAAGCTTTAGGGCAGAATGAAAATTGCAAATCAGTGCAAGTTACTTTTTCTCCTATTTGCATGTAATCAAAGTTGAATCCAGCCCTTCAATCAAAATTACAGATCGAGTGTTACTGCCTGGGATTGGCAGAACTGTTTGATAGGAATGAAAATGTTTTTATGTTAATATAAAATTTGTGCCCACATGTATGAAGGATTTTTCTATTAAAACTCTACAATTAAGCAGAAGATGTGACACACTGCAAGAAATATGGCACCATGAAACTAACTACAACTGTATACTATTGGGGCTCAGAAAATGATACTGAAAATATATCGCTCTTTGACTAAACAGGAAGCCTCAAATTCTCTGTCTGAAGTTTTCCCTTCTGTCTGTGTCTCTGATCCTCTTTCCTGAAGCACCAGAGGGAATTCTCTCTGGAATTTCCTTATCTGATTAAGAAAATTTCTTTCCAGAAGAAATGCAATTTTTAAAAGACTCCTTGTCTAGGAATCTCATCAAATGACCAGGATAAGATACTGGATCAAATAACCACTGGATAAGATACTTGGAGTTGTCAATATGCCTAGACAGACTTTTCAGTTGTTCTTTTGAAGGCAGCTCCAAGAGATTCCCTGGGTGACTTCATCTGCATAATAAGACAACCTTTGTTCACAGTGAAGTTCTGGCCCTAACCTTCCCTCCACCTCCCCTAGAGCTCAGAGGAAATTTGTCCTAGGCCATTGCTCTTTAGATTATGCATTTCCTCTGGAAATCATTTATTCTTACATCCCTTGCTTTCCTCTCCCCAATTAAGAGTATACTTAAGAGTCAATTGTCTGGCCCCTGCTTTGGGTCTCATACTTGGTATATGGCTGTCATTTATATATGCACATTAATAAAAACTTGTGTTTTCTCTTATTTATCTATTGTCAGTTTATTTTCAATGAACCCTCAGAGCAGATGAAAACTTTCTCTTGGCTTCTTACAATACTTGATTCTCTTTTAATGTATTTCAGTTGAATTGGAGTATATGCTACTGATGGGAGAATTAAAAGAATTATTGATAAAAAACATTTTGGCATTGTTTGATTGTATCCGTAAACTGCCAAAGTTGGCTGATGTATCATAAGATTTATTTGAGTGACTTTATTCTAACAAATTTGTCTCCAGTATTGAGTATGTTGAATACTATATACTATTTTTCAAAACTCAAAAATATTTTATACTATTTTTAAATATTACTTCTTTATTTCAATATTAAAGTAGAAAAAACATTCCACTATTTTGCTCTGGACACAAACCACTTGTTTCGCTCTCTTGTTTGCCATTTTTTTGGGGGTAATATCTGTTAGTGAGCTCATAATATTTATCATAATTCACATTATATGTATTATATTGTTATATCTACCCATTCATAAGATCCATTTCTACTCATATATCTCAGGTGTGTGTTGGTATAAAATTCACAAAATCTTACAAGTCTTTTGGTCTGAATTTTACTTTGTCCTGTATCACATTTTGTATCTTGTCATTTGGGGCCTGCTGGGAATTGAGTGTTATCATATATTTAAACATAAGAGGAGGCAGGGATATATATAGAGTGGTATCAGCATTCCTCTGTAAGCCAAACAGCTCAAGGTAACTCATTACAGGTTTTTAAGGCAAGGGAAGGAAGACTAACCTTCTCAGCGAGGGGAGGAAGAGTGCATCTCCTGGCAACGGTGCACCAGCAGAATTTAGGGGTTCAAGATCCTCCAGATTCTTTGGGATCTGCCATTACAGGCCCACCCCAATTTTTAAGTTCCTATTTCTTTTTTAGCAAATTTCCTGACTTTAACACAGGAAGTTGTGAAGTTGTAAATACAATTTTCAAGATGATTTATTTATTGCAGAAATTGATTTGAGTTTGCTTTTCAGAAATTTTAGTACTTCTGCTATAGGAGATAAGGACTTTTTTGAAGACAGTCGTAGGAATGTTATGTTAGTTTACATAATCCGAAGCTAGTAATTCAAAGCCTTAAGTTCATAATTTTTCTTTCTCCAAGTTTTCTAGCACACTTATAAGTCAGCAACGAACCCTATTCTACTTATGTTCACTAAAATGTTCTATGGCAGCCTCACTCAATGTCTTGTCTTCTATAGGAACTTGATTATAAGTTATTTTGTAAGTGATCATCTATGGACAATAATTTAAATAACTGTTGTGTCACCGCATGCCAGGGATTGCCAGTGTCTCCTTTACCGTTGGAAACAGGGTCATGAATACCCTTAAATCTAATTATATGAGACAACTAATACCAGACAACTCCTACCTAGACTTGGAATTTGATTCTGTCATGATCCACAGTCTCATTCTGAGTCTCAGGCAGAAGGGGCAGCTGTACTTGAAGTGTAGCTGTGGCTATTCTCATGGTGATCATCAAAATACAAGAAGGCCCAGACAAACTGATAATGCATTTTTAAGATCTCTGCTCATATACATTCTGCTAATATTCTAAAGCAATTCACAGACAAGTACAACATTAATGGGCATGGAAATTATACTTTGCCCACAGTGGGAGAGCACAGCAAAGTTACATGCAAAGGCTGTGAGTAATACTATTAAAGGGAATAAATAATTGGGGCTAAAAATCCAATCTACTGTCATCTCCCAAGCTGAACTTTCTTAACCATAGATGTCAATAAACATAAAAGTGGAGAATAGTTAAAACTAAAATATAGTACAGATAAGTGATAAAACAAAAATAAATTGATCTTGAGAGAAGAGAAATTTTCTTCTATAAAAATATTAAAACAGTTTTGTGATAAAAATAAAAAATTCTAATGTGCAATTTTCTAAAAAGTATAGATTATCAAAATTTTCTTGTGAAGAAATACTCTTGCATATGTCAAAAATAATGAAAGAAATTTTCTTGTATTATTATACTATCTCACAAATTATCTTTTCCAAAAGAGTTGTAGGTTATATTTAAAATTTTATTTATAATAAACATCACACACCGGGGCCTGTTGTGGGGTGGGGGGAGGGGGGAGGGATAGCATTAGGAGATATACCTAATGCTAAATGACGAGTTAATGGGTGCTGCACACCAACATGGCACATGTATACATATGTAACAAACCTGTACGTTGTGCACATGTACCCTAAAACTTAAAGTATAATAATAATTAAAAAAAGAAGAAAGAAAATGGAAAAAGAAAAATAAAGAAAAACATTAAGTTATTTAAAAATCTAAACACCCGACTGTAAAAATAATACCTATGTATTATTGCTATATTATAAAATTTTAGATCTGGCTACCATCATGAAAAAAAAAATATGACATACCAAAGAAATGCTGATTCCAGAAATGTGAAGATGGTTTAACCCATGGTAATATATTATGATAATCAACTCACTAATAGATTTAAGAGGGAAATAATATGTTTATAAAATAGTTGTGAACACACTCTTTAAATAAATTTAGTACCCAATTATAATAGAAAATTTAACCAACTAAAGAAAGACTTTCTTTCCCTAATATAATTTATCCCCTAAACAACTACAGGCAATCTTGTAACAAATGCTTATCATATTATGAGTTCCACAGAAAAGAGGCTTGAAGTAATCTTGTATCCTAGTAATTTATTTGAGCCTGCATTACCATGGAAGCAGGAATGGAAGTAAAGGATGAGTTAGGCAAAAAAAGGAAGAGAGCAAATACAAGACATATTTAGCTGGCTGTCACTTCATAATCACAGTTGATTTCTTCGTATGTGTTTAAAAGGAGACTGTGAAATTTCTGTCTCTATCCAAGGGAAGAAATAAAAAGAATGTATATATTGGCTCTCATCTTTCATTGGTCAGAGTTTCCAGGGAGTCCCCTCTGTGCATTTCTCAACTATATTTTCTAGCCTCTCTAACCAGCCCCTGGTGTAGCAAGATCCCGAGAGAGCAGCAACAGCACTTATGGCATAAGCAGGGCACATTGAAAAAAAAAAAAAGCAAGGATGACCAGCAGTCTGTTTTTGGCCAGCAGCCTGCAACTTCGTGTGCATTTGTGTGGATGTTGACAGACTCTTGCAGGTTCTCACACTTCAGCTGCTGCAGGTAAATCCCAAGACAGGAAAAGAGAGGTGGGTAGTATCAGGCTTAATGACTGAGGGGAAATGCAGTCAGGCTGCACTCATCTCCTTGGAGCAGCTTCAAGCAGGGTCCAGCCAGCCCAGCAAGAGGCAGAGTATCAGAATGATATGACTCCAGTTTCAAAGGCCTGTCACAGCTCAGTGAGACTCCTCAAAAGAGAAACCACCTCTCTGACATCTTTAAGAACACAGTTGGCAAAAAACAAAACAAACCAATGAAACCTATAGAAAGTGTTTCTGGGCAATATATAATGGAGTCTGGTATAGAGGATCAATACAAAAATATTTTCACTGATATCTTTTTTCATTATTATTATACTTTAAGTTTTAGGGTACATGTGCACAATGTGCAGGTAAGTTACATATGTATACATGAGCCATGCTGGTGTGCTGCACCCATTAACTCGTCATTTAGCATTAGGTATATCTCCTAATGCTATCCCTTCCCCTTCCCCCAACCCCACAACTGTCCCCAGAATGTGATGTTCCCCTTCCTGTGTCCATGTGTTCTCATTGTTCAATTCCCACCTATGAGTGAGAACATGCAGTGTTTGGTTTTTTGTCCTTGCCATAGTTTACTGAGAATGATGATTTCCAATTTCATCCATGTCCCTACAGAGGACATGAACTCATCATTTTTTATGGCTGCTTAGTATTCCATGGTGTATATGTGCCACATTTTCTTAATCCAGTCTATCATTGTTGGACATTTGGATTGGTTCCAAGTCTTTGCTATTGTGAATAGTGCTGCAATAAACATACGTGTGCATGTGTCTTTATAGCAGCATGATTTATAGTCCTTTGGGTTTATACCCAGTAATGGGATGGCTGGGTCAAATGGTATTTCTAGCTCTAGATCCCTGAGGAATCGCCACACTGACTTCCACAATGGTTGAACTAGTTTACAGTCCCACCAACAGTGTAAAAGTGTTCCTATTTCTCCACATCCTCTCCAGCACCTGTTGTTTCCTGACTTTTTAGTGATTGCCATTCTAACTGGTGTGAGATGGTATCTCACTGTGGTTTTGATTTGCATTTCTCTGATGGCCAGTGATGATGAGCATTTTTTCATGTGTTTTTTGGCTGCATAAATGTCTTCTTTTGAGAAGTGTCTGTTCATGTCCTTTGCCCACTTTTTGATGGGGTTGTCTGTTTTTTTCTTGTAAATTTGTTTGAGTTCATTGTAGATTCTGGATATTAGCCCTTTGTCAGATGAGTAGGTTGCGAAAATTTTCTCCCATTCTGTAGGTTGCCTGTTCACTCTGATGGTAGTTTCTTTTGCTGTGCAGAAGCTCTTGAGTTTAATGAGATCCCATTTGTCAATTTTGTCTTTTGTTGCCATTGCTTTTGGTGTTTTAGACATGAAGTCCTTGCCCATGCCTATGTCCTGAATGGTAATGCCTAGGTTTTCTTCTAGGGTTTTTATGGTTTTAGGTCTAATGTTTAAGTCTTTAATCCATCTTGAATTAATTTTTGTATAAGGTGTAAGGAAGGGATCCAGTTTCAGCTTTCTACATATGGCTAGCCAGTTTTCCCAGCACCATTTATTAAATAGGGAATCCTTTCCCCATTGCTTGTTTTTCTCAGGTTTGTCAAAGATCAGATAGTTGTAGATATGCGGCGTTATTTCTGACGGCTCTGTTCTGTTCCATTGATCTATATCTCTGTTTTGGTACCAGTACCATGCTGTTTTGGTTACTGTAGCCTTGTAGTATAGTTTGAAGTCAGGTAGCGTGATGCCTCCAGCTTTGTTCTTTTGGCTTAGGATTGACTTGGCGAAAGCAAGAGCAAACACATTCAAAAGCTAGCAGAAGGCAAGAAATAACTAAAATCAGAGCAGAACTGAAGGAAATAGAGACACAAAGAACCTTTCAAAAAATTAATGAATCCAGGAGCTGGTTTTTTGAAAGGATCAACAAAATTGATAGACTGCTAGCAAGACTAATAAAGAAAAAAAGAGAGAAGAATCAAATAGACACAATAAAAAATAATAAAGGGGATATCACCACCGATCCCACAGAAATACAAACTACCATCAGAGAATACTACAAACACCTCTACGCAAATAAACTAGAAAATCTAGAAGAAATGGATAAATTCCTTGACACATACACTCTCCCAAGACTAAACCAGGAAGAAGTTGAGTCTCTGAATAGACCAATAACAGGATCTGAAATTGTGGCAATAATCAATAGCTTACCAACCAAAAAGAGTCCAGGACCAGATGGATTCACAGCCGAATTCTACCAGAGGTACAAGGAGGAACTGGTACCATTCCTTCTGAAACTATTCCAATCAATAGAAAAAGAGGGAATCCTCCCTAACTCATTTTATGAGGCCAGCATCATCCTGATACCAAAGCTGGGCAGAGACACAACCAAAAAGAGAATTTTAGACTAATATCCTTGATGAACATTGATGCAAAAATCCTCAATAAAATACTGGCAAACCGAATCCAGCAGCACATCAAAAAGCTTATCCACCATGATCAAGTGGGCTTCATCCCTGGGATGCAAGGCTGGTTCAATATATGCAAATCAATAAATGTAATCCAGCATATAAACAGAACCAAAGACAAAAACCACATGATTATCTCAATAGATGCAGAAAAGGCCTTTGACAAAATTCAACAACCTTCACGCTAAAAACTCTCAATAAATTAGGTATTGATGGGACGTATCTCAAAATAATAAGAGCTATCTATGACAGACCCACAGCCAATATCATACTGAATGGGCAAAAACTGGAAGCATTCCCTTTGAAAACTGGCACAAGACAGGGATGCCCTCTCTCACCACTCCTATTCAACATAGTGTTGGAAGTTGTGACCAGGGCAATGAGGCAGGAGAAGGAAATAAAGGGTATTCAATTAGGAAAAGAGGAAGTCAAATTGTCCCTGTTTGCAGACGACATGATTGTATATCTAGAAAATCCCATTGTCTCAGCCCAAAATCTCGTTAAGCTGATAAGCAACTTCAGCAAAGTCTCAGGATACAAAATCAATGTACAAAAATCACAAGCATTCTTATACACCAATAACAGACAAACAGAGAGCCAAATCATGAGTGAACTCCCATTCACAATTGCTTCAAAGAGAATAAAATACCTAGGAGTCCAACTTACAAGGGATGTGAAGGACCTCTTCAAGGAGAACTACAAACCACTGCTCAATGAAATAAAAGAGGATACAAACAAATGGAAGAACATTCCATGCTCATGGGTAGGAAGAATCAATATCGTGAAAATGGCCATACTGCCCAAGGTAATTTATAGATTCAATGCCATCCCCATCAAGCTAACAATGACTTTCTTCACAGAATTGGAAAACTACTTTAAAGTTCACTGATATCTTAAATAAGGCAGAAATGCTCTTTAACATCTGTAGAACTCAACATTGTTCTAGCACTTTTAGCTAATGTAATAGGACAAGCAATATAAACTCATCTAGGAACTGGAATGAGATAGACAAATTTACAGTATAATGATGTGATGATGTCACTGCTTAAATGAACACTCCTAAAGAATCAACAGGTACTATTAGCATAAGAAAAGATAACAAGGTTCTTCATATAACATCGATTTACCAAAAAACAGTGTATCTATTGCCAACAGTAAATTACAATATGTAAATTTAAAAAATTCTTTGGCCAGGTGTCATGGCTCATGTCTGTAATCCCAGCATGTTGGGAGGCCCAGGCAGGTGGATTCCTTGAGTCCAGGGGCTCGAGACCAGCCTGGGAAACCTGGTGAAACCCTGTCTCTACTAAAAATACAAAAATTAGCGGTGTGTGGTGGCACACACCTGTAGTCACAGCTACTCAGTAAGCTGAGGTGGGAGGATCTGATCTTGGGAGGCTGATGCTGCAGTGAGCCGAGATCGTGCCACTGCACTCCAGCCTGGGCAACTGGAGTGAGACATTGTTTCAAAAACAATACATGAAGAGATGTATCATGTTCATAGATAAACTGAGTATTATAAAATATAATTTCTTTCTAGATTAATATAGTCAATGCAAGTTGTGGCAAAGTCTTATTAAAGTTTTGTGAAAATTGTGAAAAATGACTTGAAAAATACATATAGAAAATTAACAGTTCGGAGATAGGCAAGAAAACTTGGAAAAAGAAGGAGGTAAGTTCTTTACTGGGTATCAAGATTTATTATAGTGTAATTATGAAAATTGAAAGAATTTTGGCACAGAAGGATGCAATAGACAACAAAAGGGAATAGTAAGGCAGAATATATTTAGGTAATTTACTTTTTGTGCACATGTAATTTGTCTTATAATAAGATTATCATTAGAAATTAGTAGATAAGATGTGTTTTTTGCAGTAAATTGTTTGGATAATGGACTTTTCATAAGGAGGAAAATCAGTGTGTAACTTGTATCACAAAAAATAGTCCAAAAGGACTAAGATCTAAACATTAAGAACAAAATTTAAAGCTAAGAAAAATGTAAATTATTTTATAAATTCAGGGTAGGTGAGGATTTTATCTGAAAGATACAAAAACCACGAAACATAAAGGAAAAGTTTGATAAGTTTTAAATTCCTTGGAAAGATCTGTTAATTAATCCAGCTAAGTTAGCTGTCTGACTCTAGTCTAATTATACATCTAGGCATTTGATAATGAATACAGAAAGAGTATTAAAACTAGGAATATATGGATGAAATTAAAAATACTCATTTTACCTAATAAAAAAATCATGTTCTTAGATGACATTCTCATTGTTGTGATGACATCAATTCTTGCCAAATTCAGGTATACATGTAAGATGTTAAGGCAAATATTGCCATTTTTTTTCTCATTTAGAGTAGTTTATTATGCTAAGGGCCTGGGAAACACTTTAGATTCAGTAAAAAAACTACCTAGAAGAATAAAGCAGAATGAATACTAGAAAAAGACTGAAAGAAAAAAAATGTGTAAAGACGCACAGAATGAGGAACATCTGTTGGTAAAATATATTATAAAAATACTAAAAAGGTATCCAGATAGTAAAAAGCTCAGAAACATGAAAAATCTCTTTCACTACTGGTAGAAGCATATAGTAGGATATAGTCAAAGCGAATTTAGCATAAAAATACATACACTTTATATCTATGTATCTATGTACACATACTTTTTGATATGCATGTATAACTACATATTTCTGAAACGTTTCTAAAAATAATCATAAAATGATTACAGATATGCAAAAACAGTTATAGAGCTATGTATAGTTTGTTAACATTAAGATAAAAGCCTTAACATTTTTTATGCTTAAAAACATTATAATGCTTCATTATAGCAGAATACACATTTGTCATTAAAAGAGATATAGAGCAGAATTTCTCAGAGTTCAGCAGAATATTCATAGTTGTTACAAAAAAAAAGTTCTTAATTTTTAAATATTTTAGGCAATGCTGGCTTAAGCGACTTTAACCTTTTTGTTTGTTTTTAAATCATAAGCTTTCTGTATACTCTGTTAGTATGTAAAAGGAAGTGCTCTATGTGGAGTTTCCCAAATTTCCTTTTCTGTGAAATCCTTTTCTGTTTTAGAAAATACCTTTTAATTCTAACATTTTCAGGAATTTAATTTGAGAAATTCTAATATTGAGGGATTATGTATCAGTGAGGAACAATTTCATTTTTTAGAACATGTAGACTGGGTATGGTGGCTCACACCTGTAATCCTAGCACTTTGGGAGGCCAAGGAGGATAGATTATTTGAGGTCAGGAGTTTCAGACCATCCTAGCCAACATGGTGAAATCCCATCTCTACTAAAAATACAAAAATTAGCCATGCATGGTGTTATGTATCTGTAATCCCAGACACTCAGGAGGCTGAGGCAGGGAGAATCACTTGAACCTGAGAGGCAGAGGTTGCAGTGACCCGAGATTGCGCCACTGTATTCCAACCTGGGCAATGGGGCGAGACTCCGTTTCAAAGAAAACCAAAAACAAAAAACAAAACAAAAAAAGTATAGGCACATGTGTAGGTTCGGATGGAACAATAAACACTACAGAGTTTCGGGGGATTGTGGCAGATGGATGTGAGGCAGGACTAGATTGCAGCTCTAGACAGACCAGCATGTGGATGCTTGTATTGTGAATTTTAGCTACAAATCCACTGCAAGAACAAACCAGTAATCCCAAGAGGACCCACAGATCCTCTGAAGGAAGCAGAGTGCTCCTGCAGGACCCAGGAGACACCCAAATACAGTGACTTCCCCAACTGCAGGAGTAGGAAAGGGAGACCCTCCTCTTCTGAACACACACCACCACTGGAGAACTGAAGGTCTGTTTGCAGGAGAAGTTTCTGGCTTTACCTTGAGCTGAGTTAAGTTAGAGAGCTGAGTGAAATGCAGGGGTAGAGGAAGCAGGGCAGAAGGCCCTGGGAGCTCACTGGGTCCCCAAACAGCCGATTCCTGCCTGGCACCATAGTACTCCATCAGGAGGGTGGCCAGAGGAGCAGGGGGTAAAACCCCCCAGGCAGAAGAAATCTCTAGCTGAACTTTATAACAATTTGAACTGGTCAAGAAGCCTCCTGGCCAGAACTCGGGGGAGGATGTGAATCGGGCATGCAGACGTCACAGGCTGGGGAAGAACTAAAGCCCTTTTCTCTCATGGCTGGGAGGCAGATAGCCTTGGGCAAGTTTTCAAGCCCATTTTGCCCTCTGCCTGGAAATAGAATCGGTGCTGTCGGCTGGGAGGGGCATGGTGGGAGTGAGACCAGCCCTTCAGTTTGCATGGTTGCTGGGTGAGACCTGTGACTGTTGGCTTTCCCCCACTTTCCTGACAACCTGCAAGACTCAGCAGAGGCAGCCATAATCCTCCCAGGTACCCAACTCCAGTGACCTGGGAATCTCATCCCCATCCCCCACAGCAGCCACAGCAAGACCCACAGAAGGAGAGTCTGAGCTCAGACATGCCTAGCCCTGCCCCCACCTGATGGTCCTTCCCTATCCACCCTGGTAGTGGAAGACAAAGGGTATATAATTCTGGGAGATCTAGGGCCACACCCACTGCCAGTCCCTCACCACACTACTACAGCTGATGCTTTCTGGAAAGCACCACCTCCTGGTAGGAGGCCAACCAGCACAAAAATAGAGCATTAAACCACCAAAGCTAAGGACCCCCGTGGAGTCCATTGCACCCTCCATCACCTCAACTGGAACATGCACTGGTGTCCAAGGCTGAGAGTCCCATAAATTGTTCACATCACAGGACTCTGTGCAGACAACTCCCAGTACCAGCCTGGAGCCAGTAGACTTGCTAATAAGTTGTCATCTCCATCTATTACAGTATTTGCTCTAATCATATTTGACTTATATACGTGGGAGCTCCAGTGTTGAGTGCATATATATTTACAATTGTTATATCCTTTCGATGAGTTGACCCCTTTATATGTTGACCTTCTTTGTCGCTTCATAGTTTTTGTCTTGAAATCTATTTTGTCTAATATTAGTATAGCTATTCCTCTTTTTTTGGCTTCCATTGCCATGGAGTGTCTTTTTCCATCCCTTTATTTTCTATCTGTGCATGTCTGTATAGGCGAATTGTGTTTCTTATAGGCAACTGATTAGCTAGACTATGCCTTTTGATTGGAGAGTTTAGTCCATTTACATTCAATGTTATTATTGGTAGTAAGGACTTACTTCTGCCATTTTGTTATCTGTTTTCTGGTTATGTTGTGGTCTGCTCTTCTTTCTTTCCTTCCTATCTTTCTTTAGTGAAGGTTATTTTCTCTGGTGATATGATATAGTTTCTTGCTTTTTATTTTTTTGTGTGTATCCATTGTATTATGTTTTTTGATTTGCGATTACTATGAGGCTTGCAAATACTATCTTGTAACCCATTATTTCAAGCTGATAGCAACTTAGCACTGTTTGCATAAGCAAACAAACAAGCACAAACACTAAACAAATGAAGACTCTACACCTTAACACCATCTTCTCAGTTTTTAACTTTTTGTGTCACTATTTATATATCATTGTGCTGTCTATATCTTCAAAGGTTGCGGGAACTATTTTTTTTTTGTCAGTTCATGATTTAATTTTTGTACTTTAGCGAGGTTTACACACCACATTTACAGTGTTATACTAGTCTGTGTTTTTCTGTCTCCTTACTATTACCAGTGAGTTTTATAGCTTTAGGTGATTACATATTGCTCATTAATGCCCTTTTCTTTCTGATTGAAGTAATCCCTTTAACATTTCTTATAGGACAGATCTGGTGTTTATGAAATCCCTCAGCTTTTGTTGGTTTGGAAAAGTCTTTCTCTTTCATGTTTGAAGAATATTTTCTCCAGTAACACTATTCTGGGCTAAAAGTTTTTTCCTTCAGCACTTCTAATATGTCATGCCACTGTCTCCTGGCCTTTTTCCACTGAGAAGTCTGCTGCCAGATGTAGTGGAGCTCCATTGTACATTATTTGTTTCTTTTCTTTTGCTGCTTTAGAATCCTTTCTTTATCCTTGACCTTAGGGAAATTGATTATTAAATTCCTTGAGGTAGTCTTCTTCAATTTTACCTGGCATTGTTTGTTGAGAAAAACGATTAATTCCTTTCGAATTGCAATAGTACCTTTTTTTGAAAGCAATTGACCATGAATGTTGGTGTTAGTTTCTGGACTCTCAGTTGTGTTTCATTGTTCTTTTTGTCTACTGTAATGTGAGTTCTATAGAATCCTGATTAGGGCAGCTTTGAAGTAAGCTTTGAAATCAGAAAGTATAATCCTCCAAATTTCTTATTTTTTAACAATTTCTTTTTGTGATCTTGTCACTTGGCATTTCCAGATATATTTTAGGAGTGGTTTTCCAATTTCTGTGAAAAAAGTCTTCTGGGATTTGGTAGGGATTGCACTGAATATATATAAGTTGACTTTTCACCTATAAAGACTCTCCTTGTGCTGAATTTCAGTTCAGCTGGTCATCGTTGCTTGTACAACTCTGTGATGAATTGAAAATATAATTTTGGCCTTTTGTTTCTTTTATCCTAGTTGTTGGAGACGGATGTCATGCCTTTCTTAACCTTGTGTGTTCTGCTCAAAAATGGAGGTTCTCAGCCAGGTGTGGTTGTTCATGCCTGTATCCAAGCACTTTGGGAGGCCAAGATGAGGGGACCACTTGAGCACATGAGTTGAAGACCAGACTGGGCAACATAGGGAGACTCTTTGTCTCTATAAAAAAATAAAAAAAAATTATCTGGATGTTTTGGTGCATGCCTGTAGTCCCAGCTACTCCAGAAGGTGAGGTGGGAGGACCACTTGGGCCCAAAAGTTTGAGACTGCAGTGAGCTGTAATCAAGCCACTGCACTCCAGCCTGGGTGACAGAGCAAGACCCTGTCTCCCTCCCTCCACCCAAAACAAGGAAGTTCTCACTGGTATCTTTTATGTATCAAGTAACACATGATCATATGAAAAATTAATAATCCTTGATTCCTGCCTGTACCAGAAGGTAAAATTGAAAGCAGTTATACAAATAGTATATTAACTCCTCAGAAAGACTATCCAAAGAGAATATTATTATCATCTGTATTTTACAGATGATTATACCAAGGCATAGAGTAGTTGTAAAATGAGGTCTGTCTGGAGCATACCTATATGAAGCAGAAAATCTGGTTTCCTGTCTTGGCAGTCTGACTCCAAAATCCTCTCTTAGAAACAATTATACTGTAAAAATGAAAAATAAATAAAATCCAAGATTGGAGACTGATTTTAACATCTACTCATCTTAAACCATTAAGTAATCAAAAATAAATTAAGCAGAGGAAAACAAAACCAAATATTCATATAGAAAGAAGTCTAGACTCTTCAATGGAAAACGTGTTTTTCAAGTGACCCACAATAGTTACACAATTGCTGAGCATTTTAATTAAACAATAAATATTTAAGTATTAACTAGACTCAAGAGAATAACTTAGTGAAAGGCCTAAGCATGAGTGGTAAGTTTGATAAATATTGAAAATGGGTCAAAAAGCCCAAATGGGAAAATAGGGCTATTTCCACCTGGATGATCTCCCTAAAATTAATTTTCCATTTTGGAAATTATAGGACAATAATTCCTCCTATTCATGAGGGGTGAGTATGTGTGTATGTGTGTGAGTGTGTTTGTATTAATGAGCTTGTTAACAATAAGTTATACAAGTATTACTTAGTAGCAACCAGGTTTTAAGGACTATTGGCCTTTTTGAGGTTCCTAAGAAAACCTTGAATGCTTTTGGTAGGAAAAGTTGGGATTCACTCTACATATTACTGGCATTGAAAAAAAATAAATCTACTTTGGTGATGATCCTAGCTATCCTCAAGCTCCATTCACCAGGCTATACAACCAATGTGTCATATATGTATTGGGTTGTAAAATATCTCTAACAACTGAAGTTGCTGAAAACAAATTATGGAGAGGTGAAACAAGGAAAAAATTGCAGAACAATTAAAAAACTCTTCCTTGGCATGCTAGTATATGAGAATTCAGCTTTCACTTCAACATCAATATGGAAAATTTTACCTTACAGCAAGGATGTTGTGTTTGAATAGGAGTTAATTTGAGCTGTTTTGGAAATTATCATGTTTTCCATAAAGACAGCATTGATTTCATCCATTAGCATATTGAGATGATTTCCTCTTTGACGTTGGTCACAGAATTTAAAAGGAACAAGAACATTACTGCACATTCAGGAATCAGTTACACATAGAAGTTAAGGTCAGGACCTTAAAGGGAATCTTGACCAGTGATATTAGGCCTACTTTTTAAAACATTCAGACATGATAAATTTACTACCATTCATTTTTTCAATAACAGCAATGATATATTTATTTTTCCCATGGACACCTACATTAAGCTTGTTGTCTATTTTTATATTTCAACATTTTTGTCTTTGAGTCCTTTTAGGAGTTGTTAAACAATCCTGAAATTTCCCTTACAGTGCTGTTAACAATTATATTTTTTCAAAGTCCTTTGGCATAATGATTGATTAAAGGAAATATCTCCAGTATAATTACACTTGCTTATAAGAAAAGAGTATTTGAAACTTGAAGAAAAAAAGGTTAGACAAATTTATAATGAAATATAAATAAATATGTATAATATATAAGGCATTATTAATAAATGTATATGAAATAACTATCATAGAATGAAATTTATTGAAGTAAAAATACATTCTAAATTAGAATAGGAAAGAACTTGGAAACTATTGTTTAATAATATGTTATATAAATACAAAACTGTAAATATTACTCTTACGTTACTTATTTTGGAAAGGATATGAAACAATGGGAATTTTCATATTCTACTCCTAGGATGATAAATCTGTACCATCATTTTGGCTGAGTATGGCATTATCTGATTAAGATGAAGGATCACATCCTAAACCCAGTATTTACACTCTTATCCGAATACATATACATGCACATGCGTATCACTGAGTTTCAGTAGCTAAAGTTGAGAAGTACTTGGAATGTCTGTCAGTCCTCCAAATGGATAAACAAATTATGGCATACTTATACAATGGAATACTATACAGTGATCAAAATTAACAAAGAAGACTGACATGTTTACAACAGTATAATACAACAAAGGAAATGAACAAATTTGAGCTACATAGATAATAATACTCACAGATGTGAAAGGAATTATCAAGATGGAAAAATACATTTGGAATGATCTTTTACATAAAGTTTGGAAAAAAAATTTTTAATACATTGTAATTTGTTACATTGGTGATGAAACTCTACAGTGAAATATATGAATGATCATCATAACAATTGGGATAATCAGGAGGGAGGAAATAAAAGGGAAATATCAACAAGAAGACGTATATTGGGAGTATCTGGATTGCTGGCAAATTCTATTTTCTGACCAAGGTTTGGTAACATCAATGTTAATGTTATAATTTTTTCTTACTGTTTTTAGGTTTTATTACTCTCTGTATGTTATATTCCCCAATAAAAAAATGTTAAAAAAGCAAAAACATAAGTACATTTCTACGTATAAATTCAGGGTGATACAGCATATTCTCATAGATACCATTGTAATTAGAGTTTTTGCTGAATAAAGGAGAATAGAGCATTATGGTACTAAGAAATACAAGTTAAAATTTAAAACTTTTTTTATTTTGAGACAGGGTCTTGCTCTGTTGTCCAGGCTGGAGTGCACAAGTGCAATCGCGGCTCAATGCAACCTCTGCCACCCGGGCTGAAGTGATTCTCTCAGTTCAGCCTCCAGAGTAGCTAGGACAACAGGCGTGCACCACCACGCCCTGCTAATTTTTTCTATTTTTGGTAGAGATGGGATTTTGCCATGTTGCCCAAGCTGGTCTTGAACTCCTGTGCTCAGGCAATCCACCTGCCTCAGCCTCCTAAAATGGTGGGATTACAGTTATGAGCCACCACACCTGGCCCAAAAGTTTTCTTAAATTAATTAAAAAAGAAGATAAGCAAGAACTGTAAATCCACCTTCTTAATGCTAATATGAATTTGAAACATCAAAATTTGAATATTTATGATTGCTAGACACCTTTATTCTTATTTCCAATTTAATTATTCATAATTCACATTTCAGTGTCAGAAAGTCATGAATTTCCAATAAACTATAGTAAGATGGATATTACATATATAGACCTATTATGCCAAAATGTGTCTCTAAATGAAATATGTATATTCATATTGTTAGCATTCTAATTTCACAATACTATTCATGTGTACACCTGCATTTTGGGTTAAATATTTTGTTACTATATATTTTTTGGTTCTGCATTAGAGAAGAAAAATCATAGGCAAATTTGTTAAGGTGTAAAACATATTTAGCATGATCTTTGAGTATGTTTGTGCATATATAATGCTACTTTGACTGCTATAGTAAGATAACAGATTTAGTCACCATAGCTAAGAATGTGAAAAAGCATTTACAAGAATTTGGCTTGCTAATGATGCTATTAAAAGATGAAATAAAATTGATATGCTGTATATTGCATAGAGTATTTGTCTATTTTCATATTGAAAACTGCACAAAAAAACCCAAAATAGAATCCTAATTGTTGGAGATCACTTTTGCTATGAATTTTTAAAGTATAATAAAATAAAAAAAGCAAATAAATCATTGAAAATACATTGGTTTTACATTATTCTTGATGAAATACCACGTGAGGGTATTTGCCTAGGCCTGATGCTGGAATAATATAAGAATCATGAGGCCATGAAGAAGAATAATATTGTTCTCTCATTACTTTGAAGTCTAGTACTTAAAAAACAAGACTGAAATCACATTTATCAAATAGCATTCTCCCTTTTACCTGCCATCATCATTATCATTATCTATATCCACATCTATCTCATTAAATGATTTATTTTTGAAATATTTAAACACATAATTTGGAAAATAAGTAATTTTAAAAAGATCATAATTATTGGAAAGTTACAGGAGTAAACAGCAAAGTTTAAGTCAAGCTCAATACACTTAGATTTAGAAATTAAGTGTAGTTTATTTTACAATACATTGCTTAAGCAAATAATTATTTATGGATGAGCTTAAACTAATCCTCTTTTCACTATGATCACTATGGAAACAATTTAGATTTTAATGGAACTAAACCTCCCTAGTAAGAAAGACAAAGCAAATAGCACATTTTATGAGCAAGCTTATATTTCTAAAGAGAGAGTTTTAGGACCAGATTGTCAAACAGAGGTAAGACCTCAGATCTTCTGTCACACTTGAGTGAGTGATGATGGAGTTTGAAGGTTATAGTTCTATAACCAAAACTATATTCACGGATAGGGATTAAATGGTGGAATTCCTTAGAAGCACCAGATTCAGTTTTGTTTCCATGGGAATAAAAGTTCTTCAATGTTTGATAAACTTGTAAGTACTGTTTTACTCTTTGATCTTTTAAAGATTGTTATAAATGAAGAAGCCTTGATTTCTGCTTATAAAAACAGTAAAATTTAAATCGTGGAATAGATTGGTGGAGCTGTGGTTGAGATACTATATTTTATTAATTGTAATGACATTTTGAGATCTAGTGCTGCTCACTGAATTTCCCTATAAGGTGAGTTTGTGGTGATGACCCAGCAACAGACAAGCTACTATCCAAAAAAAGCTACTCACATCAAATCAATTTCCGGTTTCTTCCAAGTTGCAGGAGAATGCCTAGACCATGATTTTAATCTCTTCTGTGACCTTTGTATTACAAAAAGAAGAAAATTGTGACCATTTTCATGTCAGGTATACTAAAAATTTATAAAAACTCCTTTTTAAAGAACTTGTGAGTAGCTTCACTATGCCTGGCTCACATTTTCATTTATTGTAGAGGGAGTTTCGGTGTATTGCACAGGCTGGTCTTGAACTCCTGGGTGCTCCTGCCCCAGCCTTACAAAATGTTGGGATTATGGGTGTGAGCCACCCTGCCTGGCCAATAAAGAGACTTATTGAAAATATTAAGTTGAATATGCAAGAAGGAATACAAATTAATGAAAGTGATAAATATGTGCATAATTGTAAATGAATGTTTGCTGTATAAAATAATAATGTCTTGAGGGTGATTATATAATTGATAAGACATATGCAAATGGCAAAAAATAGACTGGAGGTAAAGGTGACAGGAGTAAATTTACTTGAAGTAGTTTTTGAACTTTTCTATGTCTATGAGGAGATTTTGAACAATGACCCTGTAATTTTACCCAAAGGTATATATACAGAGGAATTGCATCAAATGATATATGAAAGAATTCTCTAGTAGAATTATTCATAACTTCAAAAAAGAAGCAGACCAAATGTACATTAAGGATGGGTGAATCATTACATTAATTCCATGCAACGGAACAATATAGAGAAGTGAAAAAAAACCACATGTACTTGCAACTATGTGACTAAATTTCAGAAACATAATGTTGAGTCCAAGAAGCCACAAACAACAAGAACATGTAGGAATGCACCTACACAGAGTTCAAAGCAGGCCAGACCAAGCGATGGAGTTTAGGGTTGCATACCTAGTTGGTAAAGTGTGAAGAAAATTAAGGAAATAATCAATATAAATTATGGATATTGCTTATCTCAGGAGATGTGAAGAAGGGTTTAGGGGGTTGGAAAGTGGCATGGAGGTGGACCTAGGCTGTTTTCAGTGTTCCTTGTCTTGCTCCACATAATGGTTACTTGAATGTTTATGATACACTGCGGTATTTCCCATTTTTGTTTTGGTTCATTTCTAAGTGTGCATTATAATTTTAACATAAAAAGTTTTAATTAGGAGAAACGTCTCATAGAAATTATTATTACTCGTCTCATTATATACTGAGGGGAAAAATAAACTATTGGTATACATTCTTATACAACTCTAAGAGAGTTGAAGTAAGAACTTTATTTAGTTGCAACATGAGGAAATTTGAGATGATTTTATTTGCCACCCCAGATTTTTCCAAAGGATTTCTTCTAGCCTTAATTATCCACCTCACATGAACAAATCTTTGCCGTTCCCCATCTATTTTTTCTTTTGGCTCCTGAATTCCTGACACAACAAGGTTGTACACATTTCCCACACTCTTGGTTTAGCAGAGTTCTTTTATCAGTTATGTTTTTCTGCAAGAGAAACCCTTCAAAACTACATTAGATATTTATATATCACATGGCTTTGGATTTTGTTTTTCTAAATGGGTTTGTTGGATAGCTCTGGTGACTTGAGATGGGCCAAATTCTGCATCTTGGAGGTCGTTAGAGTTTGGCCAATTTAGTCTGGATCAGGTGGGGGGCAATCTGCCTTCATTAGTTTCTGATTCTCCTTCTGGGAACAGTGTACTAGCCAGGTGATATTCTCATAGTAAATGGAAAGAGGAAGAACACCCAGTATGGAAGCTATCTCAAATTTCTATGCAAAGTGTATTAATTTTTTGTTCATCAAAGTAAGTTAAATGATTGAACTTCAAGTTCAGGGGAAAGGTAGTCAGTCTTCGTGTGATGGGAGGATACTGCAAGATTATATATCAAAGGGTCTGGTACTCAGGAATACTTATAAAATTGCTGAACATTTTAATTAAATAATAAATATTTAAATATTAGACTTGAGAGAAACTTTACCAAAGGCCTAAGAATTAGAGATATGTTTGATAAATAAACATTATTCGTGGGCTGAAAACCTTGAGTGGGAAAATAGGACTAATTTCACCTGGACAACCTCCTGGAAACTGATTTTTTATTTTGGAAATTATGAGAAAATAATTCGTTCCATTCATAAGTGGTGTGCACATGTGTGTGTTTGTGTGTGTATTTATGAGCTTGTGAATAATGAAGTTACACAAAAGTATTAGCAGCAACCAGATCTTATGGAGTATTGGCCTGCCTGTGGTTCTCAAGTAAATCTTAGATGCTTTTGATAAAAGCAGTTTGGATTCTGTGTATTTAAATCTGGCATTTAAAAAAGTCCGTATTGGTGATGATCTTAGTTATGATCAAGCTCCCTTTAAGATTTTAGACATTTACTATACGATCTACATATCGGGTTATAAAACTTCCCAAGCAACTGAAGTCGCTAAAGACAAATGATGGAGAGGTTACACAAGGAAAAATTGCAAACACTGGAAGTGAACATGTCCTTGTTTGCATACTAGCAAATGAGAATTCAGGTTTCATGTCAATTTCAGTATGAATAATTCCAGCCTATAACAAGAACAGATGGTGAATGAGTCAGTTAATTTGAATTGTTTTGAAAATAAGAATGTTTTCCATAAAGAGAGCATTGAACTTATCCATTAGCATGCCATGGTGATTTCTGACTTGACACTGGTCACAGCAATTAAAAGTAAAAAGAATGTCACAGCACATACACAAATCAGGTGCATATAGAATTTAAGGTCAGGATATTCAAGCAATCACAACCAGTGATATTACACCAGCATTTTAAAAATTTCTTTTTGTCTGTTCAGACATGATAACTTTTCTGCCCATCATTTTTTCCATTCTAATAGTGGTTATATTTGTTATTGGAAATTTTGCTAATGGCTTCATAGCATTGGTAAATTCCATTGAGTGGGTCAAGAGACAAAAGATCTCCTTTGTTGACCAAATTCTCACTGCTCTGGCGGTCTCCAGAGTTGGTTTGCTCTGGGTGTTATTACTACATTGGTATGCAACTCAGTTGAATCCAGCTTTTTATAGTGTAGAAGTAAGAATTACTGCTTATAATGTCTGGGCAGTAACCAACCATTTCAGCAGCTGGCTTGCTACTAGCCTCAGCATGTTTTATTTGCTCAGGATTGCCAATTTCTCCAACCTTATTTTTCTTCGCATAAAGAGGAGAGTTAAGAGTGTTGTTCTGGTGATACTGTTGGGGCCTTTGCTATTTTTGGTTTGTCATCTTTTTGTGATAAACATGGATGAGACTGTATGGACAAAAGAATATGAAGGAAACGTGACTTGGAAGATCAAATTGAGGAGTGCAATGTACCATTCAAATATGACTCTAACCATGCTAGCAAACTTTGTACCCCTCACTCTGACCCTGATATCTTTTCTGCTGTTAATCTGTTCTCTGTGTAAACATCTCAAGAAGATGCAGCTCCATGGCAAAGGATCTCAAGATCCCAGCACCAAGGTCCACATAAAAGCTTTGCAAACTGTGACCTCCTTTCTTCTGTTATGTGCCATTTACTTTCTGTCCATGATCATATCAGTTTGTAATTTTGGGAGGCTGGAAAAGCAACCTGTCTTCATGTTCTGCCAAGCTATTATATTCAGCTATCCTTCAACCCACCCATTCATCCTGATTTTGGGAAACAAGAAGCTAAAGCAGATTTTTCTTTCAGTTTTGCGGCATGTGAGGTACTGGGTGAAAGACAGAAGCCTTCGTCTCCATAGATTCACAAGAGGGGCATTGTGTGTCTTCTAGCAGAAAACAAACTGGTGGTGTATGAAACATTTTATATTTCTTACTGGGTTTTCTGTAATATATGTATATGAATAATTTCCACATGTATACCTAGAAAAGTCTTTTACCTAAAGTTAGTCTAGAAAAGTACATATATATAGATGTGTGTGTGTGTGTGTGTGTGTATGAAAAACTGAAGAACATTGACAATAACATGCTTTTTATTGTTTTTTCACAAAAACTGCCAAATTATAGAAAATATGACAAAAATTCCTCAATTATGAAGCCATGTTTATTTCATACATGTATTTTATATTTCATTTGTAGAATTTATATCTATTTATAATTATTAAGAACTAACAGCTTATCTCAGGAAAAATATTGCTCTTTTCTATTGTTATTTGAATGACACAAATATACCACAGTGTGCTTACAATCTGTTGTTTTAACCTATAACTTTTTGATAATAAGGTCGTTCAATTCTTAATCACTAATGAGGATGTATCTTCAGGGTTTTATTCCATTATGAATTCCTATTTTATGTTTAGTAAAAAGCAATCAGAATTATTGTTACAAAACAATGAACACAATAAAATTTGAGTGAGAAGTATACGTATAGTAAATTTCATGTATGTGTACCATAAACAGTACTGAGGAATATTAGATTTAATACAAGTATGTGAATAGCTTAGAAAAAAATCTCTGCTATAAGAGGGATGAAAAATCATGATCATGATCTTGATTGCTATTATCAGCTTCCATATGCAGTTAGAACAGTCATTTCTTCCAGCTTTTCAATTAAAGAAAAACTTTTTTTGAAATTGAGCTCAGATGTAAATTATTTTAGTATTTTTTCTAAAGCACTTCTAAGCCCCTGAATTGCTAATTATATCCTTATCTTCCATTTTTAAAATTCTTTCTAAACTTCAGATAAGAGAACTCCAGTCTTCCGTTTTCTAAAAAAAAATCTGTCAATGTGAAAATAGTATAAAAATTATGGAAAATAATTCAGTGAAACTTTTTTTAAGTGTTAAAATAGTATCTATGAAATCTATGTATTAATTATGGGATTTGTCCTAGTGTAATTTTGTTGTCAATGATTAAATGGAATTGTCTTGACATATTCATTAATGGGAAGTTCTATTATAAGAAGGAAATGTACAGTCTTGTTTACAGCTAAATTCTACATGACTGTATTAATTCTTGGTGTTATGAAATTTTAACAATGTTGTTCAGACCTTAAGATAAATCATCCCCACACCTGATTCATGTATTTTTTAGAATCATGTATCTTCCTCAGTACAATGTAAGAACCATAAAAGAAGAGATCGTGTCTGTCAGGCTTTCTGTTGACTCCCAGGACCTAGAACCCAGCACAAGGAATAGATGGTCAAAAATGATATTTTAATGAACAAATAAATGGGTGGATAAAATGGGTAAGCTGATGTGGTAAACCAATGAAAGGGAAACTCATCACAAAATCTGCAGTTGCATGAGTTCCCCTGTTCTGGTCTCAGGTTAAGATTACAGGCTTATCCAAGCAGAATCCTTCCTCAGAGGAAAAGTTTGGCTATTCCACAATTTTAGGGGAAATATCACAATAATATAGTCTTGATGCAGCTGTATCAGGTGTCTGAATTGGCGACAAGGTAGAACATCAAAATTAGATGCCACTATTACAATATTTTAAAAAAGCATATAAAAGACTTTGGTCTATTTGCGTATGTATTTTTTTCTATTGTGAATTATATATTTGTATTATGATATTTTCTAGTTGATTATCATATAAAAATGGCATTTCATTTCAAAAAATTGAGTTAGTAACCAGCTACTTTACTAAAATGTTTTTAACGTAATACCTGATATTAAAGTGATGACATTTATATGGAAGGCCAATTCAAGACAAAAATGGCAGGGACATGTGGAAATTGAGACAAGAACCGATGTGAAACAATGTGTGGTGATGTCTGGTATGACTGCTGGCAGCCACTTCACAGTGAGGTGAGAGAGACAGCATGGTGGTCATCAGATGCATGCACTTGACTCCCAGAACTTTTCCAGAAGGGCTACAAAGGGAAACCACAGCTGGCATTAGTCCATGGAAGAGAGAGAGAGGAGGGAGAATGTATCTGCTCAGCTGTCGTTAGTCTTCTGTTTCCCCTTGGCCAGGGTTTCCCTGAGTTAGAACTACCATCTCTGTTGTTCTGTCTTACATCATCCAGTCCCTTGGTGGTGGTCATGAAAGTCAGACCTCATGCCCACAGTGTGGTGATGCATTCAAGTCCCAAATGGAAGGATGATCTGGATCAGGCAAGGTGCTGACCAGGGGAACAGGAGATAGTGAAGGGAATCTGAGAAAGCACATGTTTGTGTCCAATACCACCACTCCTTGTGCCACTGAGACGTGCTCATACCCTCCAGTCATGGCTGGCTTTATGAGCATATGACTTGCACAGTTGTACAGGGTTTTGTGCTTATAGGGGCTTGTGCTTAGAGTGACTCTATGCTTGGATTAATGTTCTGCACTTGCTGTTTGGCTTTTCAGACAGAGTATACTTCAGCATTCCCTCTGCTGAAGAGGGAATGGTCTTACACTGGTCTTACACTGATTCCATAGGGATTTGCTCTCCCCTCTCCTACAGGCTTGTCAGAGACATGCACAGAGTCCTATAATGCCCACTATGCATGCCTCTAGCAGCTTTGAATTCCGCTGGATCATCTGGCACAGTGGCCAGAGCAGCCTGGACCAGAGCCTATATCTTCTGTAGAGCCCTCTTTAGTTCTGGGCTCCATTTGAGACCAGTAGCCTTTAGAAACATCGTTCGTGAGTCAGAGCAATATTCTCAAATGTGGAATATGTTGTCTCCAAAATCCCAGTAGGCCCCCAAAACATAGTGTCTCTTTTGTAGTGATAGGAAATATATAGAGAGAGCAAAATGCCGTTTACTGTAAAAAAGATTGTCTCAGCATGTGGACTAGGGACACTAAAAACCTTAAAACATCACCTATGTTGTCGGTCCCTGAATCTTCTCTGATTTATCTATTTTCTTCTGGTATTTTACTTCTGCTCAATGTTATAATATTTTACTATACTGAAGAAACTTGCCATTTCCTGATTATTGTACCAACTAATATATTATTATTGGTATTATTTTGAGACACGGTCTCTTTCTGTCCCTGAGGCTGGAATGCAGTGGCAGGATCACAGCTCATTGCAGCCTCAACCTTCTGGGCACAAGTGATTCTCCCACTTCGGCATTGCTGGCAGCTGGGACTGCAGGGGCACAACACCATGCCTGGCTAATTTTGGTATTTTTTGTAGGGCTGGGATGTCACCGTGTTACCCAGGCTGGTCTCAAACTCCTGGGCTCAAGTGATCTGCCTGTGTCGGCCTCCTAAAGTGTTGGGATTACAGTCATATGCCACAGGGCCCGGTCTGTAATATTATCAATACATTAAACTGGCAGGATGTTTTAAAAAATGTAAATTAAACTGAGAACAGAAGTGACATAGCCCTGACATACAACAGTGAAGCAGTGCTATTATTCTTACAAGGCAAATTGTTTTGATTTTCCCTCATAATGGGTGTAGATTAAGAACCATTCACCAAATCACTAGCCCCACAAAAAGTACCAGAAGCTCTGCTCTGCTCAGTGAAGATAGCACATCCTGGAAAGCATTTGTGAGTGTTGATTTAAGTTTATGGTAGTCTGCATTCATTCGATAACCCATCTGGTTTTGGTAGAGGCCAGATAGGTTAAGTGAATCGGGTTATAGAAAAGACTACCATCCCCTGTAACTTTCAGGTGTTTTGTCATGACAGTGACCAGTTCCATTCCTTAGGGAATGCGGTTATTATATTTTATATATTTTGTTGCCAGTAGAGGAGAATTTCAGAGGCTTTCCCTTGGTCCTGCTATAATAATGTTCCTTACTCTACAGTTCACGAAGAATGTGAGAGTCCTGCCAGCTGCCATACGTATCCATTTCAATTCAGGAAGAGGTAATAACTACAAACTGATTAGATCCACCTTGGGATGGACATGAGCCGAAGCTCTAGGTAGCATCTGACCTTCAAAACTCCCACTGCGGGCTGGATGTGATGGCTCATGCCTGTAGTCCTAGTACTTTGGGAGGCCAAGGTGTGAAGATCCCTTGAGAGCAGGAGTTCCCTGTGCATCATATGGAAACTCCGTCTCTACAAAAAATTTTAAAAATTACCTGGCATGGTGGTACATGCCTATAGTTCCAAATAGTTGAGAAGCTGAGGCAGGAGGATTGCTTGAGCCCAGGAGTTCCAGGCTGCAGTGGGCTATGATTGTGCCACTGTACTCCAGCTTGGGTAACAGAGGGAGATGCTGTCTCAGAACAAAAAAAAAGGTGGAAGTTCTCACTGGTGTCAAATATCAAGAGAAACAGGATCAAATCAATAATTAACAATCTTTGGTTCCTGCTTATAGCAAACAGGTAAAATTGAAAGTAGTTACAGAAATAGTATATTAACTCCTAACAAAACTAACCAATGAAAGTTTTATTATCATCTCCTTTTTGTTGTTATTTTGATACGGAGTCTCGCTCTGTCTCTCAGGCTAGAGTGCAGTGGCGTGATCTCGACTAACTATAACCTCTGCCTTCTGGGTTCAAATGATTCTCCTGCTGCAGTCACCGAGTGGCTCGGATTATAGGTGCGTGCCACCACCACCTGGCTAATTTTTATATTTTTAGTGGAGACAGGGTTTCACCATGTTGGCCATGCTGGATTTGCACTCCTGACTTCAGGTGATCCACCTGCCTTGGCCTCCCAAAGTGCTGGGATTACAGCCATGAGCCACTGCGCCCGCTTTTTATAGGTGATTATACTGAGGCAGGAGTAGTTGGAAAATGGAGTCTCAGAGCATAGCTATACCAAGCAGGGAATATGATTTCCTGACCTGGCGTCTGACTCCAAGATCCCCTCTTAGAAACAGTTATGCTATAAAAACTGAAAAGAAACAAAATCCAGGATTGGAGACTGATTTTAACATCTATTCATCATAAATCAATAAGTAATCAAAAATAAATAGAGAAAAGTAAAAGTGAATATTCATACACAGAGAAGTGTAAATTCTTCTATGGAAAACATGTTTTTTTAGTGCCCAAGGAATAGTTATACAATTGTTGAGGTTTTTCTTTTTCTTTTTCTTTTTTTTTTTTTTGAGACTGAGTCTCGCTCTGTCGCCCAGGCTAGAGTGCAGTGGCGCCATCTCGGCTCACTGCAAGCTCCGCCTCCTGGGTTCACACCATTCTCTGGCCTCAGCCTCCCCGAGTAGCTGGGACTACAGGCGCCTGCCACCATGCCCGGCTAACTTTGGTTTTGTATTTTTAGTAGAGACGAGGTTTCACCGTGTTAGCCAGGATGGTCTCGATCTCCTGACCTCGTGATCAGCCCGCCTCGGCCTCCCAAAATGCTGGGATTACAGGCGTGAGCCACCGTGTCCGGCCAAAATAGTTGAGTATTTTAATTAAATAACTAATATTTAAGTATTCTCAAGAGAATAACTTAGTTAAAGGCCTAAGCCTTAGAGATTAAGTTTGATAAACATTGAAAATGGGCTGAAAAGCCCGAGTAAGAAAATTAATTTTCATTTTAGAAGTTATAGGACAGTAATTTTTCCAAACCATGAGGGGTGTGTATGTGTGTGTGTGTGAATGTGTTTGTGTTAATGAGCTTGTTAACAATAAGTTGTACAAAATTATTAGTTAGCAGTAACCAGTTTTCAAGGAATATTGGCCTTCCTGGGCTTCCCAAGAAAACCTTGGACACTTTTGGTAGAAAAGTTGGGATTCACTCTCCATAAATCTGGCATTGAAAAAATGATTCAACAGTGGTCATGATTCTAGTTTTGACCAAGCTACATATAACAGTGTAGGCATCCAATGTATGATTTATGTATTAGGTTGGAAAATTTCCCTAACAACTCACATTGCTGAACGCAAATTATGGAGACATTAAACAAGGAAAAAATTGCAAAATGATGATTAAGTGTATGACTTGATTTGCATGCTAGCAAATGAGAATTCAGCTTTCACATCAACATCAGTATGAAAAATTTTATCTTATAACAAGCATATAGTATTTGAATAGGAGTTAATTTGAGCTGTTTTGGAAATTATCCTGTTTTCCATTAAGACAGCCTTGAACTCATTCAATAGCATTCCCCGGTGCTTTCCTGTTTGACATTAGCCAGAGAATTTAAAAGGAACAAGAACGTTATTGCACAGTCAGAAATCAGGAGCACATAGAAATTAAGGTCAGGACCTTAAAGGGAAACTTGTCCATTGGTATTAGGCCTGCCTTAAAAAATGCGGACATGGTATGTTTACTACTCATCATTATTTTCCATAACAGTAATGGTAGAATTTGTATTTTCCCATGGGCACCTTCATTAGGCTTATAGACTATTTTGATATTTCAACATATTATTTTCTTTGAGTCCTTTTAATGAGTTGTTAAACAATGCTAAAATTTGCCTTACAGTATACTGTTAACTAATCATATTTTCCCAAAGTCATTTGACATAATGTTTGGTTAAAGGAAATATGTCTAGTACAGTTACACTCTAGGATTGTAATCCTAGAATTGTAAATCAGTGCAATTACTTTGAGTATGGCATTATCTGATTAAGATGATGGATCACATCTGAAGACCCACTATTGCACTCTTATCAGAATACATATACACACACATGCATATCACTGAGTTTTAATTGCTAAAGTTGACAAGTCTGTCAAATGTCCATGGGTGATAAAATGGATAAATAAATTATTGCATAGTCATACAATAGAATACTATACAGCAATCAAAATGAACCAACTAGAGAGACGTTTATAAAGAATGTTAATAAAAAGGAAAATGAACAAATTTGCACTACATAGATACGAGAGATATTAAGATGGAAACATGATTCCGTATAATTACATTTATATAAAGTTTACAAAACTATATTTTTAATGAATTGCAATTTATTACATTGTTGTCGAAATTCTAAAGTGAGACCCAAGAGTGATTATTGTAACAACTGGCACAGTAGGGACGGAGGAAACAAAAGGGAAATGATATCAACAAGAAGGTGTATATGGGGAGTGTCTGGATTGCTGGTAAATTCTACTTCATGACCAAGATGTGGTAACATGACCCTTAATGCTATAATTTTTTTCTATACTGTACCTTCAGGCTTTATTAATTTATATATATGTTATGTTTCATAGTAATGAAAATATTTTAAAAGCAGAATCATATAATAAATGAATGAATATAAAATAGGCTGAAAAAACATTCTTGTAGACACCATGGTAATTAGAATTTTTGCTGAATAAAGAAGAATAGAGCATTATGATAGTAAGAAATCCAAGATAAAATTTTAAACTTTAAATTAATTTTAAAAAGGAAGAGATAAACAGGAAGTCTACCTCCACACTCTTAATGTTATTCTTATTTTGAAACATCAGATTTTGCACATCTGTATTTTGCTAGACACCTTTTTTTCTTATTTCCAATTTAGATATTTATGATCACAACATTTCAAAGTGGCAGAAATTAGTGAATTTCCAATATAGTAATATCGATATTAAATATACAGGACAATTTTCTAAATTTATCCCTAAATGAAATAATAATACACATATTTTTACCATTCAAAGATTATAATACCATGCATGTGTACACATGTGTGAGGAAAAATATTTTGATACTACAAATTTTTTGAATATTACAGGAGAATTAGTAGAAAGATAATTTTGTTAAGGCATAAAACATATGTAGTATAACTACTTGGACTGCTATAATAAAATCACCCAGATTTTGTGACAGTAGCTGAGAATGTAAATAAGCAGTAGAGAGAATTTAACTTGTTAATGATGCTATTAAAAGATGAAATGAAGCTTATTCACTCTATAATTGCAAAGAGTATTTGTGTAAGTTCATAGGAAAGTGGAACAAAATTAAACAGCCAACAAGAGAGTATTCTTTGCTGGAGGTCAATTTTACTGTAATTTTTAGAATGTGGTAAAAGAAAAAAAATAGCAAGTAAATCATTGGAAATGTGTCGGTTTTGTATTATTCTTGACGAAATATTATGTGAGGGTATTTGTCTAGGCCTGATGCTGAGAATAATACAAGAATTGTGCCGGGCATGGTGGCTCATGCCTGTAATCCCAGCACTCTGGGAGACCGAGGCTGGTGGATCACCTGAGGTCAGGATTTCCAGACTGGCCTGGCCAATATAGTGAAAACCCATCTCTTCTAAAAATACAAAAATTAGCTGGGCGTGATGGCGGGCACCTGTAATCCCAGCTACTTGGGAGGCTGAGGCAGGATAATCAATTGAACCAGGGAGGCAGAGGCTGCAGTGAGCCAATATTGCGCCATTGCACTGCAGCCTGGGTGACAAGAGTGAAGCTCCATGTCAAAAAAAAAAATCGTAAATCCATGAGAAAGAATAATAGTGTTCTCCCACTACCCTTAACTCTAGTACATTGAAAAGAAGACCCAAATCACATTTATCAAATAACATTCTCCCTTTTAGCTGACATTATCATCATTATTATAATCATCTACATTTACATCTATCTTATTAAATGATTTATTTTTGAAATATTTACATACATAATTTGGACAACGTTTACATAAGTTCTAAGAGATATCATTGTGGGAAATTTACGTTAGTAAACAGCAAAGTTCAAGTCAAGTTGAATACATTTAGATTTAGAAAGTTAAGTGTAGTGCAGTTTAAAATACATTGCTGAAGAAAACAATTATAGATGATATTAAACTAATCCAAGGAACACTATAAAAAGATTTTGATTTTAGTATAAATAAAATTGCTTAATAAGAAAAATAAATAAACCATTTCATGATCAAGCTCTTATTTCTAAAGAGAGGATTTTAGGGCTAAACAAATCAAATAAGTAAGCCCTCCCCCACATCTTCTCTATTTCATGTAGGTAATGATGGAGTTCAAAGGCACAGAGCCCCATTTCTACAACATAAGCAAAGTGAAAATTAATTCATGGAATACAATGACATAGCTGTGGTTGATGAACTATATTTTATCTATTGCAATGATATTTTGAAATGCAGTGCTACTCATTGAGTTTCCTTGTGAGGAGATTGTGTGGCGAGGACCCAGCAAGACAAGCTACTATCCCAAAAAAGCTACTTATATGAACTTCATTTCCGGTTTCTTTCAAATTGAAGGTAAATTCCAAGATGAAGCTTTTATTCTATTCTCTGACCAAAGTGTTGGAAAAAGAAGGAATTTGTTACCATTTTCATTTCTAACATACTAAAACAGAAAACAAAAAACCCCAAAATCAAAAACACTTTTAAAAAGAACATGGCGTTAAGATTAGTTTGTTCAGTTTCCCTGTAGAAAATAATTTATGGAAAGATAATAAAAGATTATTCTGAACACTAAAACAAGAAAACTAAAAAATGAATTATCAATATTGAGAATCCAATAGACAGAGTTAACCAGTTAGATGGAGTAGAAGAGATAATTAGTGAATTGGAAGATAGCTACAAAGAATGAAGCACTGAGAGAAAGATGGAAAATATAAGACTAGAGGGTAACAAATTCATGCTACAGTTGGAATATGTAACATACTTCTGGAGTTCTGTAAGATTAGAGGAGAGAAAATAGAGCAAGAGAAAATACAAAGTTGTACTGAAAATACAAAGTTGAACATGCAAGAAGCAATAAAATTAATGACAATGAAAAATAAGTGTGTAATTCTAAATAAATGTTGCCTGTAGAAAACAATAGTGTCTTGTTGGATTAATTGTATAATTGATAAGATATATGCAAATAGCAATAAAGAGACTGGAGATAAAGTGACAGGAATAAATTTAGTCAAACTGTTTTGGGCTTTTCTATGTCTGTGAGTAGAATTTGAATATCATAATCAAGGACCGTATAAATCTACACCCAGATATATATACACAAAGGAATTGTAGCAAATGATATGTGAAAGAATGTTCATTGTAGCATTATTAATAATAGCTCAAAAATAAGCTGCCCAAATATATATCAAATAAAGATGGATAAATAATTACAGTAAAATCATAAAATGGAAAAATATACAGAAGTGAAAATAAATGAATCACATGTACATGCAACCATGTGATTAAATTTCAGATACATAATGTTGAGTCCAGGAAGCCATGAATAAGGACATATAGGATTGCACCTATACACAGTTCAAAGCAGACCAAACGAAGCTATTGAGTTTAGGGTTGCATGCTTTGTTCGTAAAGTACAAAGAAAATAAAAAAAGATCATTATAAATTATGGATGTACTTATCATAAGAGGTGTGAAGAAAGGTGTAGGGGATTGGAAAGTGGCATTGAGGTAAACCTAGCCTCTTAGCAATGTTCCATGTCTCGCCCTACATAATGGTTACATGAGTGTTTATGATACATTGCTATGTTTTCCATTTTTGTTTTGGCCCATTTCTAAGTGTGTAGTCTAGTTATAAAAATTATTAATTAGGAGAAATTTTCCATGAAAATTATTATTACCCTGCTCATTATATACTGAAGGGAAAAATCCACTATTTGTATACATTCATGTATAACTCTAAGAGATTTTAAGAAGAAACTTTCTGATTTTAGTTGCAACTTTTGGAAATTTGACATGATGTTTCCTGCCAACCCCAGATTTTTCAACAGGTTTTTCTTTTAGGTTTAATTATTGACTTCATATGACAAAACTTTGACATTCTCCAACTATTTTTCCCTTGTATCCTGAATTCCTGACACAACAAGTGTGGACATATTTCCCACACTTTTGGTTTAGCAGAATACCTATGTCACTTATGTTTTTCTGCAAGAGAAAATCCTCCAAAACTACATTAGATATTTGTATCTCATATGTCTTTGGATTTCATTTTTCTAAGCTGGGTTTGATGGATGGCTGTGGTGATTGGAGATGGGCCACGTACTGCATCTTGAAGATAGAGTTTGGATGATTTAGGCTAGATCAGGCAGTGGCATTCTGACTCCATTAGTTTCTCATTCTTCTTCTGGGAACAGTGTAATAGCCAGATGATGTCCTTATGGTAAATGGAAAAGAGCAAGAAACTCCAATGTGGAAGCCATCTTAAATCTCTGTGTAAAGTCTACTAATTTCCTGTTCATTGAAGCAAGTTACAGGAGTGCACACGCATATATATATGTGTGTATATGTGTGCATGTGTATGAATAACAACACTGACCATAAATTATGAAGCCGAGTACATTTCACATATATATGTATGTTTATTATATGATAGTTTATTGTATGATATTTCATTTGAAGAATTATCTCTATTTATAATTAAGAACATATAGCTTTTATCAGCAAATTATTGCTGTTTTCCATTGTAATTTGTACCACATGTATGAACTTAACTATCATTGTTTGAACATCTAATTTTTTGGATGGTAAAGACATTCAACTCTAAATCAATGAGGAGAATGTATCTTTGGGGTAGGTTTTATTTCATTATGAATTCTTATTTTATGTTGTTGTTAGATAATGATGCACACAATTAAATTTGAGTGACAAACATACGTAGAGTAAATTTTGTATATGTATACCAAAAACAGTACTAAAGAATACTAGATTTATACCAGTATGTGAATAGCTTAGAAAAAAAATTCGTTTGTATAATAGGAATGAAGAAACATAATCATGATCATTTCAGTGCTGTTATAATTTTTTATGTGTAGTTAGAAAAGAGATTTCTTCCACTTTTTAATTAAAGAAAGCCTTTTTTGAAGTTGACATCTGATGTCAAGTATTTCCATTTAATTTGCTTAGCCACCTCTGAGCCCCTGAATTTCCAATTATCTCCTTTGTCTCCCATTCCTAATATTCCTCAAAAAAATTCAAATATTCCTTCTCTTAAAAAAAACTCAATGTAAAGAGGGTATAGAAACTATGGATCATAACTGAATGAAACATTCTGCAAATATTACAAATTATCTGTCTAATCAATATATTGATGATAGGAAACGTATTAATGATATGTTTTATTGGGGGTGGGCAGTGAGCTGAGGATCCTCAGGCATCTCTTTCTATTTTTATTTTGTTTCTCTACGTAGTTTCTCCAGCATTTGGCTCTAGGTGCCAAGGGCACATGTGACAAGAAGGTGCCAGCTTTATAAACCTTGGAACTTCTTCTGTGTCAGTTCTGAGACATACAGTTTACTAAAACACATCATGAAGGCCTGTTTTGAAGAGAAGGGGAATAAGACTGCATCTGTTCATATGAGGTATGTCGAAGCACTTGGATATGTTTTCAAACCACCAATCTTGATCATTTAGAAATGTGCTCCCTTTTCCAATTTCATCCTGATAAAAATGTATGATCTCTGGACGTTGCCAATATTCCCCTCCATTCCATCATGAGCCGTTCTCTGTAATTCAGAATCTGTGGACTAAGCTGTAAAACTAATGACTGTCAATCTATTCTACGTGAAATAGTGGGCCAAAGAAAAAGGAAAACATGATAAGCAGTAAAAATATATACACAACATTTTTTGCTTACACTAATGATCAAATAACACCCATAGGACCAAACCTCCCACAGATACTTTCTATAAATTCTGGATAAAATATTTAAAAAAAAAACAGCCATCTGAAGGCAATGGAGAATGAACAAAATAGGCCGATACTGAAAAGCAGTTGACACTTGGAAGAAGGAAATAGCAAGGAGTGAGTTTCCTGATTTTATAGCTGGCCCTAGTGTGCACCAGGCAGAGGACTAAAACGTCAGTAAAAAAGCTGTAGAGTTACTGGGTTGAAGTAACAGAGGACTGAGTTTAGGGTAACATGAGCCGCAGGAGATCAGGAGAAAATCTGAGAAAGGAGAAGTCCAGAAAAGGGGAGCCCCAGCTTCTGACTATAAACTATCCAAAGCTTTGTCTGGTCCCTACACCACACATGTATAGGCAGACTTCATGAAGCCCAGCTAAAATAATAAAATTGATTTCAGTTATCATCAAGCACAGTGAGGACAGAAATAGCAACAAAACACATTACTTTAGGCAAAGATACTCTTTTCTTGAAAACCCAAACTACATTCCATTACCTTTCATAACAGTCATATTCCTTGTCCATTCTTGTTTCTACCATGGTTCTAACTCCTACTTTTATTCATTACATTAATCAAAGTAATTCTCTTTCAAAGAGGAAACTGGAAGTTATGTAATTGAGGACTATTAAAAATAAGTATTTTGGCAGATGTGCAAAATTCTCAAGCACATATATTACAACTTTCTATAGTCATATACATCCTTTTTACACTTGCTTGAATTGGCATACAAAACTCCCATGTTTGTTAATGTAATCCAAACAAATAGCCAGTCCATAAAATATAAAAGTTACATTTAGTTATTTATTTATATAACCCGTGATTGGTGACCACATTTCAGTATTCCATCTTAACTAGTAATTATCCAAAGATTTTCATGAAGTCACTGAATCTAATATTAGTCTAAGGTCTTGAACTAGGAATCTTGGAAATTAAATTTAAGACAATAGGCTACAGAAAATAATTACTGTCAATATGTGGAATTTTTCATAATTTGTATTCAGTTTGTTTGAAAACATAATTTTACATTTTTTGGTATTTTAACATTATGTGGGCATATTAGTTTACCTTATCAGTAAACAGGTATGGGAAGTTTAGGAATTTCTTTTTTTTTAATGTATTTTTAAGTTTTGTGGATATATAGTAGGTCTGTATTGAGTACACGGGATGTGTTGATACAGGCATGCAAAGAGTAATAATCACATAAGAATGGGGTAGCCATCCCCTCAAACATTTACTCTTTTTTGTTACAAACAATCCAGTTATACTCTTTTAGTTACGTTAAAATGTACAGCTAAATTATCATTGACTATAGTCACTCTGCTGTGGTATCAAATAGTAGGTCTCATTCACTCTTTCTATTTTTTTTTTTTGGTAGCCATTAACCAGCCACACCTTCCCTTTAGCCCCCACTACCTTTCCTAGCCTTTGTTAACCATCTATGTACTCTCTATGTCCACGAGTTCAATTGTTTTGATTTTTAGATACCACAGATGAGTGAGAAAGTGCAATGCTTGCCTTTCTGCACAAACATTGCAGTTATTTTTTACTTATTCAACTTAACATAATAATCTCCAATTCCATCCGTATTGCTGCAAATGACAGGATCTCATTTTTTAAATGGCTGAATAGTACTCCACTGTGTATATGTACCACATTCTCTCTCCCTCTTTTTTTTTTTTTTTTTTTTTTTTTTGAGATGGAGTCTCGCTCTGTCTCCAGGCTGGAGTGCAGTGGCGCAATCTCGGCTCACTGCAACTTCAGCCTCCCAGGTTCAAGTGGTTCTCCTGCCTCAGCCTCCTGAGTCGCTGGGACTACAGGCGCCAGCCACCACGCCCAGCTAATTTTTTTGTATTTTTAGTAGCGATGGGGTTTCACCATGTTGGCCAGGATGGTCTCAATCTCTTGACCTCATGATCCACCCACCTCGGCCTCCCAAAGTGCTGGGATTACCGGTGTCAGCCACCGCCCCCGGCCATACCACCTTCTCTTTATCTATTCATCTGTTGCTGGACACTTTGATTGCTTCCAAATCTTGGCTATTGTGAACAGTGCTACAACAAACATGGGAGTGTGGATACCTGTTTGATACACTTACTTCCTTTCTTTTGGGTATATACCCACCAGCGAGATTGCTGGATCATATGGTAACTCTAATTTTAGTCTTTTGAGAAACCTTTAAACTGTTTTCCATAGTGGTTTTACTAATTTATATTCCCACCTGCGGTGTACAGTGGTTCCCGTTTCTCCACATCCTCACCAGCATTTGTTACTACCTGTCTTTTGTATATAAGCTGTTTTAACTGGGATGAGATGATATCTTATTTTAGTTTTGATTTGCATTTCTCTGATGATCAATGATGTTGAGCACCTTTTCACATGTCTGTTTGACATTCGTATATCTTGTTTTGAGAAATGACTATCCAAATATTTCACCCATTTTTTTGATCAGATTGTTAGATTTTTTTTCCTATACAGTTGTTTAAGCTCCTTTTATATTCTGGTTATTAATCCCTTGCCAGATGAGTAGTTTGCAAATATTTTCTCCTATTCTGTGGATTGTCTCTTCACTTTGTTGATCATACCTTTGCTGTGCAGAAGTATTTTTTAACTTGATGTGATCCCAATTGTGCATTTTTTACTTGGTTGCCTGTACTTGTAGGGTATTACTACTTAAGAAATTTTTGCTCAAACCAATGTCCTGGGGAGTTTCTCTGATGTTTTCTTATGGGAGCTTCATGGTTTGAGATCTTAATCATACATCTTTAATCCATTTTGATTTGATATTTGTATAGATATATGGGCCTAGTTTCATTCTTCTGCATATGGATATTCAGTTGTCCCAGCACCATTTATTGAAGAGACTGTCTTTTTCCAGTGTACGTTCTTGGCATCTTTTTCAAAAATGAGTTCACTGTAGGTGTGTGGGTTTGTTTCCGAGTTGTCTGTTCTGTTCCATCGTTCTATGTGTCAGTTTTAATGCCAGTACATGCTGTTTTGGTTTCTGTAGCCTCAGTAGTAAGTATCATATGAAGTCAAGTAACATGATTCCTTCAGTTTTGTTCTTTTTTCTTAGGATAGTTTTGGCTATTCTGGGTCAGTTGTGGCTCTATATAAATTTTAGGATTGTTTTCTCTATTTCTGTGAAGAATGTTTTTGGTATTTTGATAGGAATTGCATTGAATCTGTAGATTCTTTGGGTAGTATGGCCATTTTAACAATGTTGATACTTCTAATCCATGAACATGGACTATCTTTTCTTTTTTTGGGTGTCCTTTTCCATTTCTTTCATTAGAGTTTTATAGTTTTCATTATAGAGCTATTTCATCTCTTTGGCTGAGTTAATTTTCAGGTATTTAATTTTATGTGTGACCTTTGTAAGTGGGATTACTTTTTTGATTTTGTTTTCAAATTGTTCACTATTGGCATGTAGAAATACTACTAATTTTTTATGTTAATTGTGTATTCTGCAAATTTACTGAGTTTGTTTATCAATTCTAATAGTTTTTGGTACAGTCTTCAGGTTTTACAAATATAAGATCATATTGTTTACAAACAAGCGTAATTTGACTTGTTCCTTTCCTATGTGGATGCTCTTTATTTTTCTTGAGTGATTGCTCCAGCCAGAGCTTCTACTATTATGTTGAATAATAGTAGTGAATGTGAGCATTCTTGTCATGTTCCAGATCTTAGAGGAAAGCCTTTTAGTTTTTCCCAATTTAGTATGATACTAGTTGTGGGTCTTTTTATGTGATTTTTATTATGTTGAGATTTTCCTTCTATATCCAGTTTTCTGAGGGTTTTTATCATGAAGGAATGTTGAATCTTATCAAATGCTTTTTCAGCATTAATTAAAACGTTTATATGGTTCTTGACCTTCATTCTGTATATATGATGTATCACATTGATTGATTTGTGTATGTTGAACTATCCTTGCATCCTAGGGATAAATCCCACTTGTTCATGAGGAAATATCTTTTTAATGTATTATTTAATTTGGTTCACTAGTATAGTATTGAGACTTTGGAATCAATATTCATCAGAGATATGTGCTTGTTGTTTTCCTTTTTAGATGTGTCTTTGTCTGGTTTTGGTATCAGGGTAACAAGAATTTCAAGAATGAGCCTGGAAGTATTCCCTCTTCCTCTGTTTTTCAGAATAGTTTGTGTAGGATTGGTATCAGTTATTCTTTAAATGTTTGGTAGAATTCAGCTCTAAAGCCATCTGCTCCCAGGCTTTGTTTTTTGTTTTTTGTTTGTTTTGTTTTGTTTTGTTTTTTCTAAAGTGGGAGACTTTTTATTGCAGAATTAATCTCATTACCTGTTTTTGGTCTTATCAGGTTTTGGATTTCTTCATGGTTCAATCTTTGTAGGTTGTATGTGCCTGGGAATTTTTCCATTTTTTTAGAGATTTCAATTTATTGGCATATAGTTGCTCATAGTAGTCACTAATAATTCTTTGAATTTCAGTGGTATCAGTTGTAATATCTCTGCTTTCATGTCTGATTTTATTAATTTTGATCTTTTTTTCTTGGTCGGCCTGAACGTTTGTCAATGTTGTTTAACTTTTCAAGAAAACAGGTTTTTGTTTCATTGATCTTTTGTATTGTTTTCTTCATTTCAATTTCATTTATTTCTGCTGTAATTTTTATTATTTGTGTTCTTCTACTAATTTTGGGCTTGGGTTACTCTTGTTTTTTCAGTTATTTAAGATACACATTTAGGTTGTTTATTTCAAGTTTTTCTTCTTTTCTGATGTAGGCCCTTATAGCTATAAATTTCCTTCTTAGTATTGCTTTCGCTGTATTTCATAGATTTTGGTATGTTGTGTTTCCACTATCATTTGTTTCTAGCATTTTTTCAATTTCCTTTTAAATTTCTTTGATGACCTACTGGTCATTCAGGAGCATATTGTTTCATTTCCATGTGTCTGTATAGTTTCCAAAATTCCTCTTGTTATTGAGTTCTAGTTTTATTCCATTGTGGTCAGAGTTGATGCTTGGTAATATTTCAATTTTTTGGATTGTTCAAGACTTGTTTTGTGATCTAACATATGGTCTATCCTTGAGAAAAATCCATGTGCTGAGGAAAAGAATGTTTATTCTGAAACTTTTGGATGAAATGTTATGTAAATATCTGTAATCAATTTGTTCTATACTGCAGATTAAGTCTGATGTTTCTTTGTTGATTTTCTGTCTGGAGGATCTGTCTGATGCTGAAAGTGGAGTGTTGAAGTCTCCATCTATTATTGTATTGAGGCTTTCTCTTTGCTTTGGTCTAATAGTATTTGCTTTATATATCTGGGTGCTCCAGTGTTGAGTGCATATATATTTACAATTGCAATATCATTTTGATGAATTGACCCCTTTATCATTATATGGTGACCTTTATCTCCTCATAGTTTTTGTCCTGAACTCTATTTTGTCTAATACTTGTATAGGTACTCCACTTTTTTTGGCTTCCATTGCCATGAATTATCTTTTTCCATCCCGTTGTTTTCTTTCTGTGCATGTCTTTATAGACAAAGTGTGTTTCTTAGAGGCAACAGATTGGTGTTTTGTTTGTTTGTTTGTTTTTCCATTTAGCCAGACTATGTCTTTTGATTGGAGAGTTTAGCCCATTTACATTCAATGTTAGTATTGGTAGTTAGGACTTACTTTTGTCATTTTGTTATTTGTTTTCTGGTTATGTTGTGGTCTGCTCTTCTTTCTTTCCTACCTTCCTATTTTTCTTTAGTGAAGGTTATTTTCTCTGGTGATATAATATAGTTTTTTGCTTTTTATGTTTGTGTATCCATTCTATGCTTTTTGGTTTGAGATTACCATGAGGCTTGCAAATACTACCCTCTAACCCATTATTTCAAGCTGATAACAACTTAGCACTGTTCGCATAAGCAAACAAACAAGCACAAAAACAAAACAAATGAAGACTCTGCACCTTAACTCCATCTTCTTCATTTTTAACTTTCTGTTTTCACTATTTATTTCTTATTGTACTGTGTATGTATTCAAAGGTTGTTGTGGCTATTATTTTTTTAATTATACTTTAACTTCTGGGATACATGTGCAGAACGTGCAGGTTTGTTACATCGGTGTACATGTGCCATGGTGGTTTGCTGCACCCATCAACCCGTCATCTACATTAGATATTTCTCCTAATGCTATCCCTAGCCCCCCTCACCCTAAAAGGCCCAGTTGTGTGACGTTCCCTGTGTCCTCCCTGTGTCCATGTGTTCTCATTGTTTAGCTCCCAATTATGAGTGATAATGTGGTGTTTGGTTTTCTGTTCCTGTGTTAGTTTGCTGAGAATGATGGTTTCCAGCTTCATCCAGGTCCCTGCAAAGGACATGAACTCATCCTTTTTTATGGCTGCATAGTATTCCATGGTACATATGTGCCACATTTTCTTTATACAGTCTATATTTGATGGGCATTTGGGTTGGTCCCAGGTCTTTGCTCTTGTGAACAATGCTGCAATAAACATACATGTGCATGTGTCTTTATAGTAGAATAATTTATAATCCTTTGGGTATGTACCCAGTAATGGGATTGCTGGGTCAAATGGTATTTCTGGTTCTAGATCCTTGAGGAATCACCACACTGTTTTCCCCAATGGTTGAACTAATTTGCACTCCCACCAACAGTGTAAAAGCATTCCTATTTCTCCACCTACTCTCCAGCATCTGTTGTTTCCTGACTTTTTAATGATCACCATTCTGTCATGAGATGGTATCTCATTGTGGTTTTGATTTGCATTTCTCTAATGAGCAGTGATGATGAGCTTCTTTCTTTCCCATATTTTCTTGGGAACATAAATGTCTTCTTTTGAGAAGTGTCTGCTCATATCCTCCACCCACTTTTTGATGGGGTTGTTTGTTTAATAGATTGCAAAAATTTTCTCCCATTCTGTAGGTTGCCTGTCACTCCGATGATAGTTTCTTTTGCTGTGCAGAAGCTCTTTAGTTTAATTAGATTCCATTTGTACATTTTGTCTTTTGTTGCAATTGCTTTTGGTGTTTCAGTCATGAAGTCTTTGCTCATGCCTACGTCCTGAATGGTATTGCCTAGGTTTTCTTCTAGGGTTTTTATGGTTTTGGATATTACATTTAAGTTTTTAATCCACCCTGAATTAATTTTTGTATAATGTGTAAGGAAGGGGTCCAGTTTCAGTTTTCTGCCTAAGGCTAGCCAGTTTGCCCAACACCATTTATCAAATAGGGAATCCATTCCCTCACTGCTTGTTTTTTGTCAGGTTTGTCAAAATCAGATGGTTGTAGATGTGTGGCATTATTTCTGAGGCCTCTGTTCTGTTCCATTGGTCTATATATCTGTTTTGGTACCAGTACCATGCTGTTTTGGTTACTGTAGACTTGTAGTATACTTTGAAGCCAGGTAGTGTGATGCCTCCTGCTTTGTTCTTTTTGCTTAGGATTGTCTTGGCTACACGGGCTCTTTTTTGGTTCCATGTGAATTTCTAAGTAGTGTTTTCCAATTCTTTGAAGAAAGTCAATGGTATGAAATGTTTTTCCATGTGTTTGTGTCCTCTCTTATTTCCTTGAGAAGTGGTTTGTTGTTCTCCTTGAAGAGATCTTTCACATCTCTTCTTAGCTGTATTCCTAGGTATTTTATTCTCTTTGTAGCAATTGTGAAATGGAGTTCACTCATGATTTGGCTCTCTGTTTGTCTGTTATTGGTGTATAGGAATGCTTGTGAATTTTGCATGTTGATTTTTTATCCTGAGACTGCTGAAATTGCTTATCAGCTTAAGGAGATTTGGGGCTGAGATGATGGGTTTTTCTAAATATACAATCCTGTCATCTGCAAACAGAGACAGTTTGACTTCCTTTCTTTCTATTTGAATACCCTTTATTTCTTTCTCTTCCTGATTGTCCTGGCCAGAATTTCCAATACTATGTTGAACAGGAGTGGTGAGAGATGGCATCCTTGTTTTGTGCCGATTTTCAAAGGGAATGCTTCCCGTTTTTGCCCATTCAGTATATTGGCTGTGGGTTTGTCATAAATAGCACTTAATATTTTGAGATACATTCCATCAGTACCTAGTTTCTTGAGTGTTTTTAGCATGAAGGCATGTTGAATTTTATCAAAGGCCTTTTCTGCATCTGTTGAGATAATCATGTGGTTTTTGTCATTGGTTCTGTTTATGTGATGGATTATGTTTATTGATTTGCATATGTTGAACCAGCCTTGCATCCCAGGGTTGAAGACGACTTGATCTTGGTGGATAAGCCTTTTTATATGCTGCTGGATTTGGCTTGCCAGTATTTTATTGAGGATTTTCGCATCGATGTTCATCAAGGATATTGGCCTAAAATTTTCTCTTTTTGCTGTGTCTCTATCAGGTTTTGGAATCAGGATGATGCTGGCCTCATAAAATGAGTTAAGGAGTAGTCCCTCTTTTTCCAGTGTTTTGAATAGTTTCAGAAAGAATGGTACCATCTCCTCTTTGTACCTCTGGTAGAATTTGGTTGTGAATATGTCTGTTCCTGGACTTTTTTTGGTTGCTAGGCTATTAATTACTGTCTCAGTTTCAGAACTTGTTATTGGTCTATTCAGGGATTTGACTTCTTCCTGGTTTAGACTTGGGATGTTGTATGTGTCCAGTATTTTATCCATTTCTTCTAAATTTTCTAGCGTATTTGCATAGAGGTGTTTATAGTATTCTCTGATGATAGTTTGTATTTCTCTGAAGTCAGTGGTAATATCTCCTTTATTATTTTTTATTGTGTCTATTGGATTATTCTCTCTTTTCTTCTTTACTAGTCTGGCTAGCTGTCTTTCTATTTTGTTGAACTTTTCAAAAAACCAGCTCCTGGATTCATTGATTTTCTGAAGGGTTTTAGGTGTTTCTATCTCCTTCAGTTGTGCTCTGACCTTAGTTATCTCTTGTCTTCTGCTAGCTTTTAAATTTGTTTGCTCTTGCTTCTCCAGTTCTTTTAATTGTGATGCTAGGGTGTCAACTTTAGATCTTTCCCACTTTCTCCTGTGGGCATTTAGTGCTATAAATTTCCCTCTAAACACTGCTTTAGCTGTGTCCCAGAGATTCTGGTACATTTTGTCTTTGTTCTCATTGGTTTCAAAGAACTTATTTATTTCTGTCTTAATATCGTTATTTACTCAGTAGTCATTCAAGAGCAAGTTGTTCAGTTTCCATGTAGTTGTGCAGTTCTGAGTGAGTTTCTGAATCCTGAGTTCTAATTTGATTGCACTGTGGTATGAGAGACTGTTTGTTATGATTTATTTTGTTTTGCATTTGCTGAGGAGTGTTTCACTTCCACTTATGTGGTCAGTTTTAGAATTAGTGTGATGTGGTGCTGAGAAGAATGTGTATTCTGTTGATTTGAGGTGGAGAGTTCTGTAGATGTCTATTAGGTCAGCTTGGTCCAGAGCTGAGTTCAAGTCCTAATATCCTTGTTAATTTTCTGTCTCATTGATCTGTCTAATATTGACTGTGGGGTGTTAAAGTCTCTCACTATTATTGTGTGGGAGTCTAAGTCTCTTTGTAGGTCTCTAAGAACTTGCTTTATGAATCTGGGTGCCCCTGTATTGGGTGCACATATATTTAGGATAGTTAGCTCTTCTTGTTGCGTTGATTCCTTTACCATTATGTAATTCTCCTCTTTGTCTTTTTTGACCTTTGTTGGTTTAAAGTCTGTTTTATCAGAGTCTAGGATTGCCACCCCTGCTTTCTTTTGCTTTCCATTTGTGTGGTAAATATTCCTCCATCCCTTTATGTTGAGACTATTTGTGTCTTTGCACATGAGATGGGTTTCCTGAATACAGCACAACAATGGGTCTTGACTCTATTCAATTTGCTGGTCTGTGCCTTTTAATTGGGGTATTTTTCCCATTTACATTTAAGGTTAATATTGTTATGTGTGATTTTTTTCCTATAATTATGATGCTAGCTGGTTATTTTGCTTCATTAGTTGATGTAGTTTCTTCATAGTGCCAATGGTCTTTACAATTTGGTGTTTTTCTGAAGTGGCTGGTACTGGTTTTTCCTTTCCACATTTAGTGCTTGCTTCAGAAGCTCTTGTGAGGCAGGCCTGGTGGTAACAAAATCTCTTAGCATTTGCTTGTCTGTAAGGATTTTATTTCTCCTTCAACTATGAAGCTTTTTGGCTTGCTATGAAATTCTGGGTTGAAAATCCTTTTCTTGAAGAATGTCCCCACTCTCTTCCGGCTTGTAGGGTTTCTGCCAGGAGATCTGCTGTTAGTCTGATGGGCTTCTCTTTTTGGTGACTCAGCCTTTCTTTCTGGCTGTTCTTAACATTTTTTCCTTCATTTCAACCTTGGTGAATCTGACTATTATGTATTTTTGGGTGCTCTTCTCAAGGAGTATCTTTGTGGTGTTCTCTGTATTCCCTGAATTTGAATGTTGGCCAGTCTTGCTAAGTTGGGTAAGTTCTCCTGGATAATATCCTGAAGAGTGTTTTCCAACTTTGTTCCATTATCCCCATCTCTTTCAGGTACACCAGTGAATCATAGGTTTGGTCTTTTCACATAGTCCAATATTTCTTGAGGCTTTGTTTGTTCCTTTTCATTCTTTTTTCTCTAATCTCATCTTCATGCATTATTTCATTAAATTGATCTTCAATGTCTGATATCCTTTCTTCCGCTTGATTGGTTCACCTATTGATATTTGTGTATGCTTCACAAAGTTCTCATGCTGTGCTTTTCAGCTCCATCAGGTCATTTATGTTCTTTTCTAAACTGGTTATTCCAGGTAGCAATTGCTCTAACCTTTTTTCAAGGTTCTTGGCTCCCTTGCATTGGGTTAGACCATGCTTCTTTATCTCAGTTGAGTTTATTACCCACCTTCTGAAGCCTACTTGTGTCAATTCATCAAACTCATTCTCTGTCCAGTTTTGTTCCCTTGCTGGTGAGGAGTTGTGATCCTTTGGAAGAGAAGAGGCTTCCGGTTTTTGGAATTTTCAGCCTTTTTTGCCCTGGTTTTTCCTCATCATCATGGATTTTTCTACCTTTGGTCTTTGATGTTGGTGATCTTCAGATGGGGTCTCTGTGTGTACATCCTTTTTGTTGATGTTGATGCTATTCCTTTTTGTTTGTTGATTTTCCTTCTAACAGTCAGGGTCCTCTGCTGCAAGTCTGCTGTAGTTTGCTGGAGGTCCACTCCAGACCTTGTTTGCCTGGGTATCACCAGTGGAGGCTGCAAAACAGCAAATATTGCTGCCTGTTCCTTCCTCTGGAAGCTTCATCCCAGAGGGTTACCCGCCAGATGTCAGGCAGAGCTCTCCTGTATGAGGTTTCTGTCCACCATTGCTGGGAGATGTCTCCCAGTAAGGAGGCACAGAGGTCAGGGACCCACTTAAGGAGGCACTCTGTCCTTTAGCAGAGCTCAAGTGCTGTGCTGGGAGATCTGCTGCTCTTTTCAGAGTGTCAGGCAGGAAAGTTTATGTCTGCTGATGCTGCTCCCACAGCTGCCCCTTCTCCCAGGTGCTCTGTCCCAGGGAGATGAGAGTTTTATCTATAAGCCCCTGACTGGGGCTGCTGCCTTTCTTTCAGAGATGCCCTGACCAGAGAGGAAGAGTCTAGAGAGGCAGTTTGGCTACAGTGGTTGTGCAGAGCTGCTGTGGGCTCCACCCAGTTTGAACTTCCTGGTGGCTTTGTTTACACCGTAAGGGGAAAATTGCCTACTCAAGCCCCAGTAATGGCGGACATCCTTCCCTTGACTAAGCTCAAGCATCCCAGGTTGACTTCAGACTGCTAAACTAGCAGTGAGAATGTCAAACCAGTGGATCTTAGCTTGCTGGGCTCCAAGGAGGTGGGATCCACTGAGCTAGACAACTTGGCTTCCTGGCTTCAGCCCCCTTTCCAGGGGACTGAATGGTTCTGTCTTGCTGGCATTCCAGGCACCACTGGGGTATGACAAAAAACTTCTGCAGCTAGCTTGGTGTCTGCCCAAATGATCGCTCAGTTTTATGCTTGAGACCCATGGCCCTGGTGGCATAAACACTGGAGGAAATCTCCTGGTTTGTGGGTTACGAAGACCATGGGGAAAGTGTAGTATCTGGGCCAGAATACGTCGTCCCTCACTGCATGGTCCCTTACAGCTTCCCTTGGCTAGGAGAGGGAGTTCCCCGACCCCTTGCACTTCCCGGGTGAGGCAACACCACACCCTCCTTCGGCTCATCCTCCGTGGGCTTCACCCGCTGTCTAACCAGTCCCAGTGAGATGAGCCATGTAACTCAGTTGGAAATGCAGAAATCACCCACCTTTTGTGTTGATCTTGCTGGGATTTGCAGACTGGAGCTGTTCCTATTAGGACATTTTGCCAGCCACTCCACTATTTTTTTTCATTATTACTTCATCATTTAGTTTTTCTATTTAAGTGATGTTTATGCACCACATTTACAGTGTTATATTAGTCTGTGTTTTCTGTCTCCTTACTATTACCCGTACGTTTTATAGCTTCAAGTGATTACTTATTGCCCATTAATGTCCTTTTCTTTCTGACTGAAGTAATCCGTTTGAAATTTTTCTAGGACAGATCTGGTGCTGATGAAATCACTCAGCTTTTGTTGGTCTGGAAAAGTCTTTATTTCTCTTTCACGTTTGAAGGATATTTTCTCCAGTTACACTATTCTAGGCTGAAAGTTTTCTTCCTTCAGCACTTTTAATATGTCATACCACTCTCTGCACTTTTAATATGTCATACCACTCTCTCCTGGCCTTTTTCCACTGAAAAGTCTGCTGCCACATGTAGTGGAGCTCCATTGTACATTATTTGTTCCTTTTCTTTTGCTGCTTTCAGAATCCTTTCTTTATCCTTGAGCTTAGGGAAATTGATTATTAAATTCTTTGAGGTAGTCTTCTTCAATTTTACCCAGCATTGTTTTTTGAGAAAAACCATTAATTCCTATCAAATTGCAGTAGTCCCTTTTTTGAAATCAATTGACCATGAATGTTGGTGTTAATTTCTGGACTCTCAGTTGTGTTTCATTGTTCTTTTTGTCTACCCTAATGCGAGTACCATAGAATCCTGATTCGTGCAGCTTTGAAGGAAGCTTTGAAATCAGAAAGTGTAATCCTCCAAATTTGTTATTTTTTAACAATTTCTTTTTGTGATCTTGTCACTTGGCATTTCCAGACACATTTTAGGAGTAGTTTTCCACTTTCTGTGATAAAACATCTGCTGGGATTTGATAGGGATTGCACTGAATATATAACTGCAATCTATAAAGACTCTCCCTGTGCTGGATTTCAGTTCAGCTGGTCATTCTTGCTTGTACAACTCTGTGACAAATTGAAAATATAATTTTGGCCTTTTATTTCTCTTATCTTAATTGTAGCAGAAGGTATCATGCTTTTCTGAACCTTGTGCATTCTGCCCAAAAATGGAAGTTCTCAGCCATGTGTGGTTGTTCACACCTGTATGCAAGCACTTTGGGAGGCCAAGATGAGGGGACCACTTGAGAACAGGAGTTGAAGACCAGACTGGGCAACATAGGGAGACTCTGTCTCAACAAAAAAATTAATAAATTAGCTGGGTGTTGTGATGCATGCCTGTAGACACAGCTACTCCAGAAGCTGAGGTGGGAGGACACAAATGTTTGAGACTGGAGTGAGCTGTGATCAAGCCATTGCACTCCAGCCTGGGTGACGAGTAAGACCCTGTCTTTCTCGCTCCCCTACCCCAAAAAAGAAGGTCTCACTGGTTATCTTTTATGTATCAAGTAACACACGATCATACAAAAAATTAATAATTCTTGGTTCCTGCCTGTACTAGACAGATAAAATTGAAAGCAGTTATACAACTAGTATACTAACTCCTCATAAAGACTACCTGAAGAGAATATTATTATCATTTGCATTTTACAGATGATTATACCAAGGCAGAGAGTAGTTGTCAAATGAAGTCTCAGACCATATTTGAAGCAGAAAATCTGCTTTCCTGTCTTGGCAGTCTGACTCCACAATCTTCTGTTAGAAACAATTATACTGTAAAAATGGAAAAGAAATAAAATCCAAGATTGGAGACTGATTTTAACATCGATTCCTCTTAAACCATTAAGTAATCAAAAATAAATTAAATAGAGAAAAATAAAACCAAATATTCATATATGAAGATCTAGACTCTTCAATGGAAAACGTGTTTTTTAAGTAGCCCACAATAGTTACACAATTGCTGAGTATTTTAACTAAAAAATTAATATTTAACAATTAAGTAAACTCAAGAGAAAAACTTAGTCAAAGGTCTCAGCATGAGAGATAAGTTTGAAAAATATTGAAAATGGGTTGAAAAGCCCAAATGGGAAAATAGGGCTATTTTTACCTGGATGATGTCCCTGAAATTAATTTTCCATTTTGGAAATTATAGGACAACAATTTCTTCTATCCATGAGTGAGTGAGTATGTGTGTATGGGTTTGAGTGTGTTTGTATTAATGAGCTTCTTAAGAATAAGTTATGGCCGGGCGCGGTGGCTCACGCCTGTAATCCCAGCACTTTGGGAGGCCGAGGCGGGCGGATCACGAGGTCAGGAGATCGAGACCATCCTGGCTAACACGGTGAAACCCCGTCTCTACTAAAAATACAAAAAATTAGCCGGGCGTGGTGGTGGGCGCCTGTAATCCCAGCTACTCGGGAGGCTGAGGCAGGAGAATGGCATGAACCCAAGAGGCGGAGCTTGCAGTGAGCCGGGATAGCACCACTGCAGTCCAGCTTGGGCGAAAGAGTGAGACTCCGTCTCAAAAAAAAAAAAAAAAAAAAAAGAATAAGTTATTCAAAAGTATTAGGAGCAACCAGGTTTTAAGAATTATTGGCCTTTCTGAGATTCCCAAGAAAAACTTGAATCCTTTTGGTAGGAAAAGTTTGGATTCACTCTACATATTACTCACGTTGAAAAATTAAATTTACTTTGGTGATGATCCTAGTTATGTCCAAGCTCCCTTTACCAGGTTATACAACCAGTGTGTCATCTCTGTATTAGGTTGTAAAATTTCTCTAACAACTGAAGTTGCTGAACACAAATTGTGGAGAGGTTAAACAAAGAAGTAAGTGCAGAACAATTAAAAAACTCTTCATTGGCATGCTAGTAGATGAGAAATCACTTTTCACTTCAACACCAATATGGAAAATTTTATCTTACAGCAAGGACGTTGTGTTTGAATAGGAGTTAATTTGAGCTGTTTTGGAAATCATCATGTTTTCCATAAAGACAGCATTGATTTCATCCACTGGCATATTGAGATGCTTTCCTGTTTGACATTGGTCACAGAATTTAAAAAGGAACAAGGACATTCCTGCAAATTCAGGAATCAGGTACACATAGATGTTAAGGTCAAGACCTTAAAGGAAATCTTGACCAGTGATATCAGGCTTGCCTTTAAAAAAATTCAGACATGATAAATTTACTACCAATCATTTTTTCATCAACAATAATATATTTATATTTTCCCATGGACACCTACATTAAACTTATAGACTCTTTTTATTTTTCAACTTTTTTTCTTTGAGTCCTTTTAAGAGTTGTTAAACAATCCTGAAATTTCCCTTACTGTATGCTGTTAACTAATTATATTTTTTCAAAGTCATCTGACACAATGATTGATTAAAGGAAGTATCTCCAGTATAATTACAGTTACTTATAACAAGAGTATTTGAAATTTGAAGAAAAAGGTTAGACAATTTATAATGAAATATAAATAAATATGTATAATATATAAGGCATTATTAATAAGTGTATATGAAATAGTCATAGAATGAAAAAGATTAATGTAATTCATTGAAGTAAACATACATTCTGAATAAGAATAGAAAAGGACTTGGAAAATATTGTTTAATAATATTTTATATAAATACAAAAATGTATATATTAGCCCAACATTATTTATTTTGGAAAGGATATGACACAATGGGAATTTTCATACACTACTCCTAGAATTATAAATCTGTGCCATCATTTCGGCTGAGTATGGCATTATCTCATTAAGGTGAAGGATCATATCCTAAGATCAAGTATTTACACTCTTATCAGAATACATATACATACACATGCATATCACTGAGTTTTAATAGCTAAAGTTGAGAAGTCCTCCAAATGTCTCAGTCCTCCAAATGGATAAAGAAATTGTGGCATACTTATACAGTGGAATACTATACAGTGATCAAAATTAACAAACAAGACTGACATGTTTACAACAGAATAATACAACAAAGAAAATGAACAAATTTGAGCTACATAGATAATAATACAGATGTGAGAGGAATTATCAAGATGGAAAAATACATTTACTGTAATCTCATTGACGTAAAGTTTGAAAAACTTTATTTTTAATACATTGTCATTCATTACATTGGTGATAAAACCCTACAGTGAAACATATGAGTGATCATCATATGAGTGATCATCATAACAATTTGGGATAGTCAGAAGGGAGGAAAATATCAACAAGAAGACATATATCGGGAGTATCTGGATTGCTAGCAAATTCTATTTTCTTCCTTTTTTTTTTTTTTTTTTTTTTACTCTTTCATTTGGATCTTATCTGTGCGAAGTATCTTTGACTGTGTTGGTCACCGTTGAATCAAATATCTAAATAAAGTGAATCTGGAACATCCTAGTGTCCACATCAAAAGCACTCAATGAAGTTGGATGGGGGAGTGGTAGTGGTGGTACAGCAACAGGGTAGCCTAGTTAGGTTGCACAAGCCCATCTAAACACGTGTGATTATCTGATTAGAACCAGGAAACTGGTTACTAGAAAAAGTAATTTAGTGAACTGTAGAAAGAAAATATTACATATTGAAGCACCTCACAATGACTTAACACCAATTTTATTTGAGGAATTTCTTTAGGTGTTAAAATACAATAAACAGCCACAGTAACAGTAATGCCACTAACATTCTTGAGCATTTATTGTGTGCTTAGAAATTTGTGTATGAATTCATTTAATATAGTCCTATGGCTTAACACGAGATTTTGTTCATTTTTTTTATATTTTATTTATTTATTTATTTTTATTTTACTTTAAGTTCTAGGGTACATGTGCACAATGTGCAGGTTTGTTACATATGGATACATGTGCTTGTTGGTGTGCTGCACCCATTAACTCGTCATTTACATTAGGTATATCTCCTAATGCTATCCCTCCCTCCTCCCCCCACCCCACAACAGGCCCCAGAGTGTGATGTTCCCCACCCTGTATCCAAGTGTTCTCGTTGTTCAGTTCCCACCTATGAGTGAGAACACGTGGAGTTTGGTTTTCTGTCCTTGCGATAGTTTGCTCAGAATGATGGTTTCTAGCTTCATCCACGTCCCTACAAGGGACGTGAACTCATCATTTTTTATGGCTGCATAGTATTCCATGGTGTATATGTGCCACATTTTCTTTATCCAGTCTATCATTGATGGGCATTTGGGTTGGTTCCAAGTCTTTGCTATTGTGAATAGTGCTGCAATAAACATATGTGCATGTGTCTTTATAGCAGCATGATTTATAATCCTTCGTTTATATATCCAGTAATGGGATGGCTGGGTCAAATGGCATTTCTAGTTCTATATCCCTGAGGAATCGCCACACTGTCTTCCACAATGTTTGAACTAGTTTACAGTCTCACCAGTAGTGTAAATTGTTCCTATTTCTCCACATCCTCTCCAGCACCTGTTGTTTCCTGACTTTTTAATGATTGCCATTCTAACTGGTGTGAGATAGTATCTCATTGTGGTTTTGATTTGCATTTCTCTGATGGCCAGCGATGATGAGCATTTTTTCGTGTGTCTTTTAGCTGCATAAATGTATTCTTTTGAGAAGTGTCTGTTCATATCCTTCACCCACTTGTTGATGGGGTTGTTTGATTTTTTTCTTGTAAATTTGTTTAAGTTCTTTGTAGATTCTGGATATTAGCCCTTTGTCAGATGGGTAGATTGTAAAAATTTTCTCCTTCTGTAGGTTGCCTGTTCACTGTGACAGTAGTTTCTTTTGCTGTGCAGAAGCTCTTTATTTTAATTAGATCCCATTTGTCAATTTTGGCTTTTGTTGCCATTGCTTTTGGTGTTTTAGCCATGAAGTCCTTGCCCATGCCTGTGTCCTGAATGGTATTGCCTAGGTTTACTTCTAGGGTTTTTATGGTTTTAGGTCCAACATTTAAGTCTTTAATCCATCCTGAATTAATTTTTGTATAAGGTGTAAGGAATGGATCCAGTTTCAGCTTTCTACATATGGCTAGCCAGTTTTCCAGCACCATTTATTAAATAGGGAATCCTTTCCCCATTTCTTGTTTTTGTCAGGTTTGCCAAAGATCAGATGGTTGTAGATGTGTCATATTATTTGTGAGGGCTCTGTTCTGTTCCATTGGTCTATATCTCTGTTTTGGTACCAGCACCATGCTGTTTTGGTTACTATAGCCTTGTAGTATAGTTTGAAGTCAGGTAGCGTGATGCCTCCACCTTTGTTCTTTTGGCTTAGGATTGTCTTGGCAATGCAGGCTCTTTTTTGGTTCCATATGAACTTTAAAGTAGTTTTTTTCCAATTCTGTGAAGAAAGTCATTGTTAGCTTGATGGGGATGGCATTGAATCTATAAATTACCTTGGGAAGTATGGCCATTTTCATGATATTGATTCTTCCTATCCATGAGCATGGAATGTTCTTCCATTTGTTTGTATCCTCTTTTATTTCATTGAGCAGTGGTTTGTAGTTCTTGAAGATTTCCTTCACATCCCTTGTAAGTTGGATTCTTAGGTATTTTATTCTCTTTGAAGCAATTGTGAATGGGAGTTCACTCATGATTTGGCTCTCTGTTTGTCTGTTATTGGTGTATAAGAATGTTTGTGATTTTTGCACATTGATTTTGTATCCTGAGACTTTGCTGAAGTTGCTTATCAGCTTAAGGAGATTTTGGGCAGAGAAGATTAGGTTTTCTAAATATACAATGGCAAATTCTATTTTCTTACCAAGGTATGGTAACATCAATTTTAACCTTATAATTTTTTATCTTACTGTTTATTAGTTGTTATTACTCTGTATCTGTATGTTTTGCTCCACAATAAAAAATGTTAAAAAAGCAGAAACCTAAAGTACATTTCTAAGTGTAAAATTAGGGTGATGCAGCATATTCTTATAGATATCATTGTAATTAGAGTTTTTGCTGAATAAAGAATAGAGGATTATGGTACTAAGAAATCCAAGTTAAAATTTAAAACTTTTCTATTTTTATTTTGAGACAGGATCTGACTCTGTTGTCCAGGCTGGAGTGCACAAGAACAATCTTGGCTCAATGCAGCCTCTGTCACCTTGGCTCAAGTGATTCTCCCATCTTAGCCTCCAGAGTAGCTAGGACAACAGGCGTGCACCACTACGCCCTGCTAATTTTTTCTATTTTTTTGTAGAGACATGGTTTTTCCATGTTGCCCAGGCAGGTCTTGAACTCCTGTGCTTAGGCAATCCACCTGCCTCAGCCTCCCAAATGATGGGATTACAGGTGTGAGCCACCACACCTGGCCCAAAACATTACTTAAATTAATTCACACAAAAGAAGAGATAGGCAAGAATTGTTAATCCACTTTCTTAGTGCTAATATGAATTTGAAACATCAAAATTTGAATATCCATGATTGATAGACACCTTTTTTCTTATTTCCAATTTAATTATTTTTGATACACATTTGAAAGTGTAAGAAATTCAGGAATTTACAATAAATTATAGTACGATGGATATTAAATATATTAAATTAAATGTATTAAAAATGTGTCTCTAAATGAAATATTTATATTCACATTGTTAGCATTCTAATTTCACTATACTATTCCTGTGTACACCAGTGTGTTGGGTAAAATTTTTTGTTACTATAAATTTTTTGGCTGTCCATTAGAGAAAAAAATCATAGAAAGGCAAATTTTTTAAGGTATAAAAAATAATTTAGCCTGATCTTTGAGTATGTTTGTGCACATATAATGCTACTTTGACTGCTGTAGTAAAATAATCCAGATTTAGTCACCATAGCTAAGAATGAGAAAAAGCATTTGTGATAGTTTGCTGAGAATGCCGTCATTTTTTGATAAAGTTTTAAGTACTGTTTTACTATTTGATGTTTTAAAGATTGTTAAAAACTAAGAAGTGTTGATTTCTGCTAATAAAAACAGCTTAAAATTTAAATCATGGAATAGAATGGTGGAGCTGTGGTGGAGATACTTTGTCTTATTAATTGAAATGACATTTTGAGATCCAGTGCTGCTCACTGAATTTCCCTGTGAGGAGAGTTTGTGGTGATGACCCCACAACAGACAAGCTACTATCCAAAAAAACTCCTCACATCAAATCAATTTCCAGTTTCTTCCAAGTTGCAGGAGGATGCCTAGACCTTGGTTTTATTCTCTTCTTTGACCAAAGTATTACAAAAGGAAGAAAATCATTACCATTTTCATGTCAGGAGGGTGGCATGGAGATGGACTTAGCCTATTTTCAGTGTTCCATCTCTTGCCCTTTATAAGGGTTAGTTGACTGTTTATGATGCATTCCGGTATTTCCCATTTTTGTTTTGGTTCATTTCTAAGTGTGCATTATAATTTTAATATTAAAGTTTTTGATTAGGAGAAATGTCTCATAGAAATTATTATTACTCATCTGATTATATACTGAAGGGAAAAATCAATTAGTTGTATATACATTCTTATACAACTCTAAGATAGTTGAAATAGGAACTTTCTTATTTAGTTGCATCATGAGGAAATTTGAGATGATGTTATCTGCCAAGCGCAGATCTCTCCAAAGGATTTCTTCTAGCCTTAATTATCCACCTCACAGGACAAACCTTTGCCATTCCCCATCTACTTTTTCTTTCGGCTCCTCAATTCCTGACACAACAAAGTTGTACATATTTCCCACACTCTTGGTTTAGCAGAGTTCTTTTATCAGTTATGTTTTTCTGCAAGAGAAGACCCTCTAAAACATTAGACATATATATCTCACATGTCTTTGGATTTCATTTGTGTGTGTGTGTGTTTTCTGTTTTTTGAGATGGAGTCTCACTCTGTTGCCCAGGCTGGAGTGCAGTGGCACTATCTTGGCTCACTGCAACCTCCACCTCCAGGGTTCAAGCGATTCTCCTGCCTCACCCTTCTGAGTAGATGGGACTACAGGCACACTCCACTGAGCCCACCTAATTTTTGTATTTTTAGTAGAGATGGGGTTTCACCATGTTGGCCAGGATGGTCTCAATCTCTTGACCTCGTGATCTGCCCTCCTCAGCCTCCTCCACACCTGGCCTGGATTTCATTTTTCTAAGCTGGGTTTGATGGATGGCTCTGGTGATTTGAGATGGGCCAAATTCGGCATCTTGGAGATAGAGTTTGGCCAATTTAGTCTGGATCAGGTGGGGGCAATCTGACTTCATTACTTTCTCATTCTCCTTCTGGGAACAGTGTACTTGCGAGGCGATATTCTCATGGTAAATGGAAAGAGGAAGAATCCCCAGTATGGAAGCCATCTCAAATCTCTATGCAAAGTGTAGTAATTTTCTGTTTATCAAAGTAAGTTAAATGATTGAACTCCAAGTTCAGGGGAAAGGTAGTCAGTCTTCCTGTGATAGGAGGATACTGCAAGATGATATACCAAAGGGTCGGGTACTCAGGAATTCTTATAAAATGGCTAAATATTTTATATAATAATAAATATTTAAACATTAGACTTGAGAGAAACTTTACCAAAGGCCTAAGAATTAGAGATATGTTTGATAAATAAATATTATTCTTGGGCTGAAAACTCTTGAGTGGGAAAATAGGGCTAATTTCATCTGGACAACTTCTTGGAAACTCATTTTTTATTTTGGAAATTTTGAGAAAATAATTTGTTCCATTCATAAGTGGTGTGCACATGCGTGTATTTGTGTTCATATTTATGAGCTTGTGAATAATGAAGTTATACAAAAGTATTAGCAGCAACCAAATCTTATGGAGTATTGGCCTGCCTGTGGTTCTCAAGAAAATCTTAGATGCTTTTGATAAAAGCAGTTTGGATTCTGTGTATACAAATCTGGCATTTTAAAAAGTCCATATTGGTAATGATCTTAGTTGTGACCAAGCTCCCTTTAAGACTTTAGACATTTGCTATATGATCTATGTATTGGGTTATAAAACTTCCCAAACAACTGAAGTTGCTAAACACAAATGATGGAGAGGTTACACAAAGAAAAATTGCAAACTCTGAAAGAGAGTACGTTCTTATTTGTGTACTAGCAAATGAGGATTCAGGTTTCCAGTCAATTTCAGTATGAATAATTCCAGCCTGTAACAAGAACAAACAGTGAATGAATGAGTTAATTTGAGTTGTTTGAAAATAAGAATGTTTTCCATAAAGAGATCATTGAACTCATTAGTTAACACGCCATGGTGATTTCTGGCTTGACACTGGTCACAACATTTAAAAGTAAAAAGAATGACCCAGCAGATTTACAAATTAGGTGCATATAGAATTTAAGGTCAGGATATTCAAGCAATCACAACCAGTGATATTACATTGAGAGGTGAAGCCAGCTGGACTTCCTGGGTGGAGTGGAGATTTGCAAGAATTTGGCTTGCTAATGATGCTATTAAAAGATAAACTAAAGTTGATATACTGTATTATTGCATAGACTATTTGTCCATGTTAGTGTTCAAAAATGCCAAAAAAAATCCCAAAATAGAATCCTAATTGTTGGAGGTCGTGTTTCTTATCGAATTTTAAAATGTAGTAAAAGAAAAAAAAGCAAATAAATCGTTGAAAATATGTTGGTTTTACATTATTCTTGATGAAATACCATGTGAGGGTACTTGTCTAGGCCTAATGCTGAGAATCATAGAAGAATCGTGAGGCCATGAGGAAGAATAATAGTGTTCTCTCATCACGCTGAGCTCCAGTACTTAGAAACAAGCCTGAAATCACATTTACCAAATAGCATTCTCCCTTTCACCTGCCATCATCATTCTCTTCATCATCTATATCTTCATCTATCTCATGAAATGATTTGTTTTTGAAATATTTAAATACATAATTTGGAAAATAAGTAATTTTAAAAAGATCATCATTGTGGGAAAGTTACAATAGTAAACAGCAAAGTTCAAGTCAAGCTCCAATACATTTAGATTTAGAAATTAAGTGTAGTTTATTTTACAGTACATTGCTTAAGCAAATAATTATTTATGGATGACCGTCAGTGAATCCTCCTTTCACTATGCTCATGATAGAAACAATTTAATTTTCGTGTAAATAAAATTCCTTAATAAGAAAGATACAGCAAATAACACATTTTTTGAGCACGCTTTTATTTCTAAAGAGCGGATTTTAGGACCAAACTGTCAAACAGAGGTAAGACCCCAGATCTTCTGTCACACTTGAGTGAGTGATGATGGAGTTAGAAGGTTGTAGTTCTATAACCAAAACTATATTCATGGATAGGATTAAATGGTGGAATTCCACAGAAGCACCAGATTCAGTTTTGTTTCCATGGGACTTAAAGTCTACTTATATCAGATGTCCTTCATTTGTTGATAAACTCGTAAGTAATGTTTTACTATTTGATATTTTAATGATTGTTATAAACTAAGAAATTTTGATTTTTGCTAATTAAAACAGCATAGGGCAGGCGCGGTGGCTCACGCCTGTAATCCCAGCACTTTGGGAGGCCTAGGTGGGCGGATCATCAGGTCAGGAGATCCAGACCATACTGGGGAACACGGTGAAACCCCGTCTCTACTAAAAATACGAAAAAATTAGCCGAGCGTGGTGGTGGGTGCCTGTAGTCCCAGCTACTTGGGAGGCTGGGGCAGGAGAATGGCGTGAACCCCGGGGACAGAGCTTGCAGTGAGCCGAGATCGCGCCGCTGCACTCCAGCCTGGGAGACAACGAGACTCCGTCTCAAAAACAACAACAACAACAACAAAAAAAACAAAAACCGCATAAAATTTAAATAATGGAATAGAATGATGGAGCTGTGGTTGAGATTCTATATGTAATTAATGACATTTTGAGATCCAGTGCTGCTCATTGAATTTCCCTGTGAAAAGAGTTTGTGGTGATGACCCAGCAACAGATAAGCTACTATCCAAAAAAAGCTATTGACATGAAATCAATTTCCAGTTTTTTCCGAGTTTCATGAGGCTGCCTAGATCCTGCTTTTACTCTCTTCTTTGACCAAAGTATTACAAAAATAAAAATATCATTACCATTTTCATGTCAGGTATACTAAAAGTTTAAAAAAACTTTTTTTAATAACTTGATTTTAGGAATATTGGTTTAGTTTCTCCGTTAGAAAACGATTTATATAAGGAGAACAAAAAGTTCATTTCTACCTCTAAAACAATAAGACAAAAAAAAGGGTCATCAATTTTGAGAATCCAATAGCGTTAACAACCAGTTAAACATAAGAAAGAATTAGTGAATTGGAAGATAACTACCCAGAATGAAGCATAAAGAGATCAAGAGGTAGAAAATATAAGGCTAGAGGGCCACAGACAGTGAAGCTACAATCAGAACAACTAACATACTTCTGCAGTTCCAGAAGATTAGAAGAGAGCAAATGGGGCAGAAGCAATGTGGAGATTTTTCCAAAAGTGATAAAGTATATCAGTTCATATATTTTTAGAAACTATCAGACTTCAGACACGATAACTAAAACCAAATTAACATAAAATGACAGGACATCAAAGACCAATAGAAAACCTGAAAAGTAACTAGAGGAAAAGATAGATTATGTTAAAGGGAATAACTGTCTAAACGACAAGCTGATTTTCAACAGACAAAAATAAAGCTAGAGTTCAATGGATTCATGTCTTCAGTGTATTTCAAAAGTAGAATAGATCTTGATAAACAGAAATTTAAAATATATCTTTTCAGATAAAAGAAAAATTATTATTATTATTATTTTTGTTGGTAGAGTTGGATTCTCACTCTGTTGTCCACGCTGGAGTTCAGTGGTAGGATCATGGCTTACTGCAGTCTGGAACTCCTGGGCTCAAACCATCCTCCCACCTCAGCCTTGTGAGTAGCTTCACTATGCCTGACTAACTTTTTCATTCATTGTAGAGGCAGTTTTGCTGTGTTGCACAGGCTGGTCTTGAACTCCTGGGTGCTCCTGCCCCAGCCTTACAAAATGTTGGGATTATGGGTGTGAGCTACCCTGCCTGGCCAATAAAGGGTCTTATTGAAAATATTAAGTTGAATATGCAAGAAGGAATACAAATTAATGAAAGTGGTAAATATGTGCATAATTCTAAATGAATGTTTAGAAAATAATAATGTCTTGTTGGGGTAATTATACAATTGATAAGACATATGCAAATGGCAAAAAATAGAATGGAGGTAAAGGTGACAGGAGTAAGTTTAGTTAAATTATTTTCTGAACTTTTCTATGTCTATGAGGAGATTTTGAACAATGATAATATAATTCTACTCATAGGTATATATGCAAAGGAATTGTATCAAATGATATATGAAAGAATGTTCTAGTAGAATTATTCATAACTGTTCAAAAAAGAAACTGGCCAAATACATATTAAGGTTGGATGAATCATTACAGTAATTCCATGCAATGGAACAATATAGAGAAGTGAAAAAAAATCACATGTGCTTGCAACTATGTGACTAAATTTCAGAAACATAATGTTGAGTTCAGGAAGCCACAAACAAGAGGAACATGTAGGATTGCACCTATACAGCGTTCAAAGTAGGCTAGACCAAGCGATGGAGTTTAGGGTTGCATACCTAGTTGGTAAAGTATGAAGAAAATTGAGGAAATAACCATTATAAATTATGGATATTGCTTATATCAGGAGATGCGAAGAAGGGTTTAGGGACTTGGAAAGTGGAATGGAGGTGGATCTAGCCTGTTTTAGGTGTTCCTTGTCTTGCCCTTCATCATAGTTACTTGAGTGTTTATGATACACTGTGGAATTTCCCAGTTTTGTATTGGTTCATTTCTAAGTGCGCATTATAACTTTAATATACAAATTTGTAATTAGGAGAAATATAGAAATTATTATTACTCATCTCATTATATACCGAAGGGAAATATCAAATATTTGTATACATTCTTACACAATTCTAAGATAGTTGAAATAGGAACTTTCTTATTTAGTTGCAACATAAGAAAATTTGAGATGATGTTATCTGCCACCCCCAGATCTTTCCAAAGGATTTCTTCTAGCCTTAATTATCCATCTCACAGGACAAACCTTTGCCATTCCCCATCTATTTTTTCTTTTGGCTCCTGAATTCCTGACACAACAAGGATGTACATATTTCCCACACTCTTGGTTTAGCAGAGTTCTTTTATCAGTTATGTTTTTGTGCAGGAGAAAACCCTCCAAACCTACATTAGATATTTATATCTCACATGTCGTTTGACGTCGGGTTTTTTTTTTTTTTTTTTTTTTTTTTGACAGAGTCTTGGTCTGTCACTCAGGCTGGGGTGCAGTGGCGTGATCTCAGTTTACTGCAACCTCCGCCTCCGGGGTTCACGCCATTCTCCTGCCTCAGCCTCCTGAGTAGCTGGGGCTACAGGCCCACACCACCATGCCCTGCTAATTTTTGTATTTTTAGTAGAGACGGGGTTTCACCATGTTGGCCAGGATGGTCTCCATCTCTTGACCTCATAATCTGCCTTCCTCAGCCTTGCCTGCACTGGACCTGGATTTTATTTTTCTAAGCCAGGTTTGGTGGATGGCTGTCGTGATTTGAGATGGGCCAAATTCTGCATCTTGGAGGACGTTAGAGTTTTGCCAATTTAGTCTGGATCAGGTGGCGGCAATCTGACTTCAATAGTTTCTCATTCTTCTTCTGGGAACAGTGTACTAGCCAGGCGATATTCTCATGGTAAATGGAAAGAGGAAGAATCCCCAGTATGGAAGCCATCTCAAATCTCTATGGAAAGAGGAAGAATCCCCAGTATGGAAGCCATCTCAAATCTCTATGCAAACTGTAGTAATTTTTTGTTTATCAAAATAAGTGAAATGATTGAATTCCAAGTTCAGGGGTAAGGTAGTCAGTCTTCCTGTGATAGGAGGATACTGCAGGATTCTATATCAAAGGGTCTGGTACTCAGGAATTGTTATAAAATTGCTAAATATTTTGTATAATAATAAATATTTAAACATTAGACTTGAGACGAACTTTACCAAGTCCTAAGAATTAGAGATATGTTTGATAAATAAATATTATTCATGGGCTGAAAACCCGGGAAAATAGGACTAATTTCATCTGCACAGCCTCTTGGAAACTCATTTTTTATTTTGGAAATTACAAGAAAATAATTTGTTCCATTCATAAGTGGTGTGCACGTGTGTATTTGTGTGCATATTTATGAGTTTGTGAATAATGAAGTTATACGAAAGTATTAGCAGCAACCAGATCTTATGGAGGATTGGCCTGCCTGTGGTTCTCAAGAAAATCTGAGATGCCTTTGATAAAAGCAGTTAGGATTCTGTGTATTTAAATCTGTGATTTAAAAAAGTCCGCATTGGTGATGATCTTAGTTATGACCAAGCTCCCTTTGAGAATTTAGACATTTACTGGATGATATATATATTAAGTTACAAAACTTCCCTAACAACTGAAGTCACTAAAGATAAATGATGGAGAGTTTACACAAGGAAAAATTGCAAACACTGAAAGTGAATATGTCCCTATTTGCATACTAGCAAATGAGGATTCAGGTCTCACGTCAATTTCAGTGTGAATAATTCCAGCCTATAACAAGAACAGACAGTGAATGAATGAGTTAATTTGAGTTGTTTGAAAATAGGAATGTTTTCCATAAAGAGATCATTGAACTCATCAGTTAACATGCCATGGTTATTTCTGGCTTGACACTGGTCACAACAATTAAAAGTAAAAAGAATGTCACAGCACATTCACAAATCAGGTGCATATAGAATTTAAGGTCAGGATATTCAAGCAATCACACCCAGTTTTATTAGATTGAGAGATGAAGCCAGCTATACTTCCTGAATCTTGTGGGGACTTGGAGAACGTTTCTGAAGCTAGCAAGGGGATTGTAAAATGCACCAATCAGCGCACTGTAAAACCACAGCAATCAGCGCTCTGTAGCTAGCAAGAGGATTGTAAAATGCACCAATCGCTCTAAAATGCACCAATCAACAGGATCCTAAAAGTAGCCAGTCGGAGGGAGGATTGATAAAAGGGCACTCTGATAGGACAAAAAAGGAAAATGGGAGGGGACAAATAAGGGAATAAAAGCTCATGGCTTCAGCCAGCCGCGGCAACCTACCTGGGTTGCCTTTCACTCTGTGGAAGCTTTGTCCTTTCTCTCTTCTCAATAAACCTTGCTGTTGCTCACTCTTTGGGTCCACACCATCTTTAAGAGCAGCAACACTCACCGTGAAGGTCAGTGGCTCCCTTTTGAAGTCAGCGAGACCACGAACCCACCTGCAGGAACCAATTCCGGACACAACACCAGCATTTAAAAAAATTTTTTTTGTCTGTTCAGACATGATAACTTTTCTACCCATCATTTTTTCCAGTCTGGTAGTGGTTACATTTGTTATTGGAAATTTTGCTAATGGCTTCATAGCACTGGTAAATTCCATTGAGTGGTTCAAGAGACAAAAGATCTCCTTTGCTGACCAAATTCTCACTGCTCTGGCGGTCTCCAGAGTTGGTTTGCTCTGGGTATTATTATTAAACTGGTATTCAACTGTGTTGAATCCAGCTTTTAATAGTGTAGAAGTAAGAACTACTGCTTATAATATCTGGGCAGTGATCAACCATTTCAGCAACTGGCTTGCTACTACCCTCAGCATATTTTATTTGCTCAAGATTGCCAATTTCTCCAACTTTATTTTTCTTCACTTAAAGAGGAGAGTTAAGAGTGTCATTCTGGTGATGTTGTTGGGGCCTTTGCTATTTTTGGCTTGTCATCTTTTTGTGATAAACATGAATGAGATTGTGCGGACAAAAGAATTTGAAGGAAACATGACTTGGAAGATCAAATTGAAGAGTGCAATGTACTTTTCAAATATGACTGTAACCATGGTAGCAAACTTAGTACCCTTCACTCTGACCCTACTATCTTTTATGCTGTTAATCTGTTCTTTGTGTAAACATCTCAAGAAGATGCAGCTCCATGGTAAAGGATCTCAAGATCCCAGCACCAAGGTCCACATAAAAGCTTTGCAAACTGTGATCTCCTTCCTCTTGTTATGTGCCATTTACTTTCTGTCCATAATGATATCAGTTTGGAGTTTTGGAAGTCTGGAAAACAAACCTGTCTTCATGTTCTGCAAAGCTATTAGATTCAGCTATCCTTCAATCCACCCATTCATCCTGATTTGGGGAAACAAGAAGCTAAAGCAGACTTTTCTTTCAGTTTTTTGGCAAATGAGGTACTGGGTGAAAGGAGAGAAGACTTCATCTCCATAGATTCACGAGAGGGGCATTGTGTATCTTCTAGCAGGAAACAAACTGGTGGTGTATGAAACATTTTATATTTCTTACTGGTTTTTCTATACTGTATGTGTATGAATAATTTCCAAACGTATACCTAGAAAAGTCTTTGACCCAATGGCAGTCTAGAAAATATATATATATATATATATATATATATGTGTGTGTGTGTGTGTGTATTTGTGTATGAAAACTTAACATTGACAACAACATGCTCTTTTCTGTTTTTTCATACAAACTGCCAAATTATACAAAATATGACAAAAACTTCTTAGAATTTTGAAGCCATGTTTATTTCATTCATGTATTTTTTATTTCATTTGTAGAATTTGCAATGTCTATTTATAATTATTAAGAAGTAAGAGCTTATCCCCGGAAAAATATTGCTCTTTTCTATTGTTATTTGAACCACAGGAATATACCACATTGTGCTTAGAATTCATTGCTTGAACCTCAAATTTATTGGATGGTAAGGTCATTCAATTCTAAATCAATAATGAGGATGTATCCTCGGTGTTTTATTCCATTATGAATTTCTATTTTATGTTTAGTAAAAAGCAATGAGAATTATTGTTAGAAAACAATGCACACAATAGAATTTGAGTGAGAAGCATATGCAGAGTAAATTTAATGTATGTCTACCATAAGCGGTACTGAGGAATATTAGATTTCATATGTGAATAGCTTAGGAAAAAATTCCTTCTCTAATAAAGGGATGAAACATCATGATCATGATCTTGATTGGTATCATCAGTTATGCATATGCAGTTAGAAACGTCATTTCTTCCGCTTTTGAATTAAAGAAAATCTGTTTTTGAAGTTGAGATCTCATGTAAATTATTTTAGTATTCTTTCTAAAGCACTTTTAAGCCCCTGATTTGCTAATTATATCCTTACCTTCCGTTTGTAAAATTCCTTCTAAACTTCAGATAAGAGAACTCAAATCCTCTCTTTTTGAAAAATAAAATCAATGTAAATATAGTATAGAAATTGTGGAAAATATTTCAGTCAAACTTTTTGTAAATGTTAAAATAGTATCTGTGAACCCTATGTATTAATTATGGGATGAGCCGTAACTTTGTAATTTTGTCATCAATGATGAAATGAAAGGGTGTTGACATATTCTTTAATAGGAAGTTCTATTATAAGAAAGAAATGTACAGTCCTGTTCACAGCTAAATTCTATTACGTTCATTAATACTTTAATGAACAAATAAATGGGTGGCTAAAATGGGTAAGCTGATGTGGTAAACCAATGAAAAGGAAACTCATCACAAAATCTGCAGTTGCATGAATTCCCCTGTTCCGGTCTCAGGTTAAGATTACAGGCTTATCCAAGCAGAATCCTTCCTCTAAGGAAAAGTTTGGCTATTCCACAATTTTAGGGGAAATATCACAATAATATAGTCTTGATGCAGCTGTATCAGGTGTCTGAGTTGGAGACAAGGTAGAACATCAAAATTAGATGGCACCTATTACAATAGTTTGAAAAATCATATAAACAACTTTGGTCTATTTGAATTTTTTTTCTATTGTGAATTATATATTTGTATTATGATATTTTCTAGTTGACTATTTAAATAAAATGGCATTTCATTTCAAAAAATTGAGTTAGTAACCAGCTACTTTACCAAAATGTTTTTAATGTAATACCTGTTATTAAAGTGCTAACATTTATTTAGAAGTCAAATTCAAGACAAAAATGGCAAGGACGTGTGGAAATTGAGACAGGAAGAAATGTGAAACAATGTGTGGTGATGTCTGGTATGGCTCTGCTGGCAGCCACTTCACAGTGAGGTGAGAGAGACAGCATGACGGTCATCAGATGCGTGTACTTGGCTTCCAGCACTTTTTCCAGAAGGGCTACAGGGGGAAACCACAGCTGGCATTAGTCCGTGGAAGTGAGAGAGGAGGGAGAATGTATCTGCTCGGCTGTCATTAGTCTTCTATTTCTTATTGGTCAGGGTTTCCTTGAGGCAGAACTATCATCTCTGTTGTTCTGTCTTCCATCATCCAGTCCCTTGGTGGTGGTCATGAAAGTCATACCTTATGCCCACAGTGTGGTGATGCATTCAAGTCCCAAATGGAATGATGACCTGGATCGGGCAAGGTACTAGCCAGGGGAATAGGACATAGTGAAGGGAATCTAAGAAAGCACATGTTTGTGTCCAATACCATCACTCCTTGTGCCACTGAGGCGTGCTCATACCCTCCAGTCATGGCTGGCTTTATGAGCATATGACGTCCACAGTTGCATAGGGTTTTGTGCTTATAGGGACTTGTGTTTAGAGGGACTCTATGCTTGGATTAATGTTCTCCACTTGCTGTTTTGTTTTTCACACAGAGGATACTCCTCTGCTGAAGAGGGAATGTTCTTGCACTAATTCCATAGGGATTTGCTCTCCTGTCTCCTACAGGCTTGTCAGAGACATGCACAGAGTCCTATAATGACCACTATGTATGTTTCTAGCATCTTTGAATCCTGCTGGATCATCTGGCACAGTGGCCAGAGCAGCTTGGAGCAGAGTCCATATCTTCTGTAGAGCCCACTTTTGTTCTGGATTCTGCTTGAGACCAGTAGCCTGGGAAACTTCATTAATGAGTCAGAGCTATATTCTCAAATGTGGAATATGTTGTCTCCAAAATCCCAATAGGCCCCCAAAATACTGGGTCTCTTTTGTAGTGATAGGAAATTTATAGAGAGAGCAACATGCCATATACTGTAAAAAAGATTGTTTCAACGTGTGGTCTAGGGACACTGAATGCTTTAAAACATCACCTATGCTGTAGGTCCCTGAATCTTCTCAGGTTGATTTCTTTTCTTCTGGTATTTTACTTCCATTCATCGTTAGAGTATTTTACTATAGTTAAGAAACTTGCCACTTCCTGATTATTGTACCAAGTAATATATTATTATTATTATTGCTATTATTTTGAGACAGGGTCTCATTCTGTCCCTGAGGCTGGAGTTCAGTGGCAGGATCACAGCTCATTACAGCCTCAACCTTCTGGGCTCAAGTGATTCCCCCACCTCTGCATTGCTAGCAGCTGGGACTGCAGGGGCACAACATCACGCCTGGCTAATTTTTGTATTTTCTGTAGGGCTAGGATTTCACCGTGTTACCCAGGCTGGTCTCAAACTCCTGGGCTCAAATGATCTTCCCGTGTCGGCCTCCTAAAATGATGGCATTACAGTCATGTGCCACAGGGCCTGGTCTGTAATATTATTAATATATTAAATAATCACGATGTTTTAAAAAATGTAAATTAAACTGAGAACAGAAGTGACATAGCCATGATATAAAACAGTGACAGTGTTATTATTATTATAAAACGAGGCAAATTGTTTTGATTTTTCCTCATAATGGGTGTAGATTAAGAACCATTCACCAAATCACAAGCCCGGTAAAAAGTACCAGAAGCTCTGCTCTGCTTAGTGAAGACAGCACATCCTGGAAAGCATTTGTGAGTGTTTATTTAAGTTCATGGTAGTCTGCATTGATTCTGTAATCCATCTGGTTTTGGTAGAGGCCAGATAGGTTAAGTGAATCAGGTTATAGAAAGGACTACCATCCCCTGTAACTTGCAAGTGTTTTGTCATGGCAGTGACCAGTTCCATTCCTTAGGGAATGCGGTTATTATATTTTGTACATTGTGTTGCCAGTAGAGGAGAATTTCAGAGGCTTCCCTTTGGTCCTGCTATAATAATGTCCCTTACTCCACAGTTCACGAATAATGTGAGTGTCCTGCCAGCTGCCATGCATATCCATTTCAGTTACACTTTCAGGAAGAGGTAATAACTACAAACTGATTAGCTCCACCTTGGGATGGACATGAGCCAAAGCTCTAGGTAGCATCTGACCTTCAGAAACTCTCAATGCAGGCTGGATGTCATGGCTCATGCCTGTAGTCCTACTACTTTGGGAGGCCAAGGTGGGAGGACCCCTTGAGAGCAGGAGTTCCCTTTGCAACATATGGAAACTCCATCTCTACAAAAAATTTAAAAAATTAGCTGGCATGTTGGTGCATGCCTATAGTCCCAAATACTTGGGAAGCTGAGGCAGGAGGATTGCTTGAGCCCAGGAGTTCAAGGCTGCAGTGGGCTATGATTGTGCCACTGTACTCCAGCTTGGGTAACAGAGGGAGACTGTGTCTCAGAAGAAAAAAAAAAAACAAGTTTAACTTCTCACTGGTATCTTAAATATCAAGTAAAACAGTATCGAATCGATAATGAACAATCTTTGGTTCCTGCCTATAAGAGGTAAACTTGAAAGTAGTAATACAAATAGTATATTAACTCCTAACAAAATTAACCAAAGACAGTTGTATTTTCATCGCCCTTTGTTGGTGGTGGTGGTGTTTTTGAGATGGAGTTTGCACGGTCTCCCCACTGGAGTGGAGTGGCATGATCTCAACTAACTACAACCCCCCACTCCTGGGTTCCAATGATTTTTCTGCCACAGCCACCTGAGTAGCTGGGATTTTATGCATGTGCCACCACACCTGGCTACTTTTTGTATTTTTAGTGGAGACAGGGTTTCACCGTGTTGGCCATGCTGGTTTCAAACTCCTGACCTCAGGTGATGCACCTGCCTCAGCCTCCCAAAGTGCTGGGATTACAGGCCTGAGCCACCGCACCCGGCCTATCGTCTCCTTTTTATAGGTAATTATACTGAGGCAGGCAGTAGTTGTAAAATGGAGTCTCACATCATAGTTATATGAAGCAGGGAATCTGGTTTCCTGTCTTGGCAGTCTGACTTCAAGATCCCCTCTTAGAAACCATTATACTATAAAAACTGAAAAGAAATAAAATCCAAGATTGGAGACTGATTTTAACATCTATTTTAAACCATTTCATAATCAAAAATAAATTAAATAGGGAAAAATAAACCTGAATATTCATACACAGAGAAGTGTAGACTCTTCAATGGAACACGTTTTTTAAGTGTCCGAGGAATAGTTATAAAATTGCTGAATATTTTCATTAAATAACTAAGATTTAAGTATTAGACTCAAGAGAAAAACTTAGTCAAAGGCCTAAGCATGAGACATTAAGCTTGATAAACATTGAAAATGCGCTGAAAAGCCCAAGTAAGAAAATTAATTTTTCATTTTAGAAATTATAGGACAATAATTTACTCAACCATGAGGGGTGTGTGTGTGGGGGGGGGAATGTGTTTATGTTAATGAGCTTGTTAACAATAAGTTATACAAAACTATTAGTTAACAGCAACCAGATTTTAAGGAATATTGGCCTTCCTGGGCTTCCAAAGAAAACCTTGGATGCTTTTAGTAGGAAAATTTAGGATTCACTTTCCATAAACCTGGCATTGAAAAAATGAATCAACAGTGGTCATGACTCTAGTTTTGACCAAGCTACATATAACAGTGCAGGCATCCAATGTATGATCTATGTATTAGTTTGGAAAATTTCCCTAACAACCGACATTGCTGAACACAAATTATAGACAGGTTAAACAAGGAAAAAATTTCAAAATGATGAATAAGAATATGACTTGATTTGTATGCCTGGAATTGAGAATTCAGGTTTCACTTCAACATCAGTATGAGACATTTTATAACAAGGACATAGTATTTGAATATGAGTCAGTTTCAGCTGTTTTGGAAATTATCATATTTTCCGTTAAGTCAGCCCTGAACTCATTCAATAGCATGCCCCGGTGCTTTCCGTTTTGACATTAGTCAGAGAATTTAAAAGGAACCAGAACATTACTGCACAATCAGAAATCAGGTACACATAGAAATTAAGGTCAGGACCTTAAAGGGAATCTTGTCCATTAGGCCTTGATATTAGGCCTGCCTTAAAAAAATTCAGACATGGTATGTTTACTACTAACCATTTTTTTCCATAACAGTAATGGTAGAATTTGTATTTTCCCATGGGCACCTTCATTGTACTTAAAGACTATTTTGATATTTCAACATATTATTTTCTTTGAGTCCTTTTAAGGAGTTGTTAAACAATGCTGAAATTTGCCTTACAGTATGCTGTTAACAAATCATATTTCTCAAAGTCATTTGACATAATGATTGGTTAAAGGAAATATGTCTAGCATAATTATACTTGTTCATAACAAAACAGTATTTAAAACTTGAAGAAAAATATTAGGAAAAGTAATAAAGAATATGAATAAGGGTTGGGTGTCGTGGCTGATAGCTGTAATCCCAGCACTTCGGGAGGCCAAGGTGGGTGGATCACGAGGTCAGGACATCAAGACCATCCTGGCTAACACGGTGAAACCCTGTCTCTACAAAAAATACCAAGAAAAAAAAAATTAGCTGGGTGTGATGGCAGGCCCCTGTAATCCCAAGTATTCAGGAGGCTGATGCAGGAGAATGGCGTGATTCTGGGAGGCAGAGCTTGCAGTGAGCCAAGATCATGCCACTGCACTCCAGCCTGGGCAACAGAGCAAGACTCTGTCTCCAAAAAAGAAAAGAAAAGAAAAAAGAATATGAATAAATAAATAAATAAATAAATGAAATATGTAATTCATTATTAATAAATGTGCATGAAGTCATGGTCATGGAATTTAAAAAGAGTAACAATTTTTGAATTAAGAATACATTCTGAAACATAATAGAAAAAGGCTTATAAAATGTTAGGTTTAATAATGTTTCATATAAATATTAAAGGTAAAAATTATTCTGATGTTACTTATTTTGGAAAGCTTATGAAGTAATGGGAATTTTCATACACTGCTCCTAGAATTGTAAATCAGAGCAGTTAGTTTGTCTGAGTATGGCATTATCTGATTAAGATGATGGATCACATCTGAAGACCCAGTATTTGTATCCTTATCAGAATACATATAGACACACATGCATATCACTGAGTTTTAATAGCTAAGTTGAGAAGTCTATCAAATGTCCATCAGTGATTAAATGGATAAGTAAATTATGGCATACTTGTACAATAGTATACTATACAGCAATCAAAATGAACTGTTGGAAGCAAGTGCTCAGAGTAGACAAAAGAAACCAACACTTCGACAGAAAATTTCTCAGCAAGGCATCTTTACTTTGGCAGAAGGGTGCAGAAGGGTGCTGCTTGTGCCCGTTACAATCCCAAGAGCCCACGGAACAAAGGAGGGAAGGAGTTTTTAATCCTAACACAGTTCCTGTTTCTGTGTCCTTCTCCTGTTGGCTGGGGTTGGACCGTGCTATCTAAACTGATCCTGATTGGCTAAGACTTAAACTTTTCCAAATAGGGTAAATGCAGGATTTGCAAAAAGAAGGAGGGGTGTGAGGTAGGATTGATTTACAACATTTGCAACTGTTGGCCAGAAGGTTGAGTCTTTGAAGGGAACTTAATTGTCCCAGCAGAACCAACTAGAGCAACATGTTTACAAAGAACATAAATAAAAAGGAAAATGAACAAATTTGAACTTCATAGATATGAGAGGAATTATTAGGTTTGAAAAATGATTCAGTATAATTCCACTTATATAAAGTTTACAAAAATATATTTTTAATAAATTGAAATTTATTACACTGGTGGTGAAATTCTAAAGTGAGACATATGAATGATTATCATAACAATTGGGATGGTAGGGATGGAGGAAACAAAAGGGAAATGTTATCAACAAGAAGGCGTATATGGAGAGTGTCTGGATTGCTGGTGAATTCTACTTTATGACCATGATGTGGAATCATGACTCTTAATGCTATAAGTTTTTTCTTTACTGTACATTTAGACCTTATTACTTTATATATATATGTATGTTATGTTTCACAATAATAAAAATATTTAAAAAGTAGAAACATACACTAAATGAATGAATGTAAAATAGGCTGAAAAAACATATTCTTATAGACATCATTGTAATTAGAATTTTTGCTGAATAAAGAAGAATACAGCATTATGATAGTAAGAAATCCAAGAAAAATTTTAAACTTTTCTTTAATTTAAAAAAGGAAGAGGTAAGCAGGAAGTCTACCTCCACTTTCTTAATGTTATTCTTACCTTGAAACATCAGATTTTGAGCATCTGTATTTTGCTAGACACCTTTTTTCTTCTTTCCAATTTAATTATTTATGATAACATTTCAAAGTTGCAGAAAGTAGTGAATTTCCAATAAATTATAGTTATACAGACATTAAATATACATGACAATTTTTCTAAATTTATCCCTAAATAAAATAATTATACACATTTTTTACCATTCAAAGATTTTAATACCATGCATGTGTACACATGTGTGAAAAAATATTTTGATATTACAAATTTTTTGAATATTCAAGAAAAATTCATAGAAAGATAATTTTGTTAAGCCTTAAAACATATGTAGTGTAACTACTTTGACTGCTATAATAAAATCACCCAGATTTTGTGACCATAGCTGAGAATGAAATTAAGCAGTTGAGAGAATTTAACTTGTTAGTGATGCTATTAAAAGATGAAATGAAGCTTATACACTTCATAATTGCACAGAGTATTTGTGTAAGTTCATATGGAAGTGGAACAAAATTAAACAGCCAGAACAAGAGTATTCTTTGCTGGAGGTCACTTTTGGCATAATTTTTAGAATGCAATAGAAGAAAAAAATAGCAAGTAAATCACTGGAAATATGTTGGTTTTATGTTATTCTTGATGAAATGCTAGTTGAGGGTATTTGTCAAGGCCTGATTCTGAGAATAATATCGGAATTATGCTGGGCAAAGTGGCTCATGTCTGTAATCCCAGCACTCTAGGAGGCCAAGGCTGGCCGATCACCTGAGGTCAAGAGTTCCAGACCAGCCTGGCCAACATGATGAAACCCCATCTCTACAAAAAATAAAAAAAAATTGCTGGGTGTGGTTGCAGCCACCTGTAATCTCAGATACTTGGGAGGCTGAGGCAGGAGAATCGATTGAACCAGGGAGGCAGCTGTTGCCGTGAGCCAAGATTGTGCCATTGAACTCCAGACTGGGTGACAAGAGAGAATTTCCATCTCGAAAAAAAAAATTGTGTATCTATGAGGAAGAATAATAGTGTTCTCCCACCAACCTTAACTCTAATGCTTTTAAAAGAAAACCAAAATCACATTTATTAAATAACATTCTACCTTTTAGCTGACATCATCATTATCATCATCTACATTTACATCTGTCTTATTAAATGATTTATTTTTGAAATATTTACATACATAATTTGGTTAATGTCTGCATAATTTCTAAGAGATATCATTGTAGGAAAGTTATATTAGTAAACAGCAAAGTTCAAGTCAGGCTGAATACATTTAGATTTAGAAAGTTAAGTGTAGTGTAGTTTAAAATACAATGCTTAAGGAAACAATTATAAATTATATTAAACTAATCCATGTAACACTATGAAAAGATTTTGATTTTAGTATAAATAAAATTGCTTAATAGGAAAAATAAATAAACCATTTCATGATCAAGCTCTTATTTATAAAGTAAGGATGTTAGGGCTAAATAAATCAAAGAGAAGTAACCCCTCCCCCATATCTTCTCTATTTCACTTAGGTAATGATGAAATTTAAAGGCACAGAGCCCCATTTCTACAACATAAGCAAAATGAAAATTAATTCTTTGAATACAACAACGTAGCTGTGGTTGGTGAAATATATTTTATCTATTGCAATGATATTTTGAGAGGTAGTTCTGGTCATTGAGTTTGCCTGTTAGCAGAGTTTGTGGTGATGACCCAGCAACAGACAAGCTAATATCCAAAAAAAGCTACTCACATCAACTTAATTTCTAGTTTCTTTCAAATTGAAGGTAAATTCCAGAACAAAGCTTTTATTCTATTCTCTCAGCAAACTATTGGGAAATGAAGAAAACCACTACCATTTTCTTTTCTAACATACTAAAACAAAAAGCCAAAAACCCAAAACTCAAAAATGCTTTTAAAAAGAACATGGTGTTAAGAGTAGTTTGTTCAGTTTCTCCCTAGAAAATGATTTATGGAAGGAGAATAAAAGATTATTCTGAACACTAAAAGAATAAGACTGAAAAAAATGAATTATCAATATTGAGAATCCAATAGACAGAGTTAACCAGTTAGATGCAGTAGAAGAGAGAATAAGTGAATTAGAAGATAGCTACACAGAATGAAGCACAGAGAGAAAGAGATGGAAATATACAAAGCTAGAGGGTAACACATTGAGGCTACAGTCACAACACCTAACATACTTCTGGAGTTCTGTAACAGTAGAGGGGAGAAAATAGAGCAACAAAATGTTGCAAGGAGTTTTCCAAAAGTGATAAAATGTATGCCTCCATGTATTTTTTGTAATCTCAAACTTCAGGCATGATGACTTAAATCAAATTAACATAAAATAATACAGGACACAAAAGACCAATAGAAAATCTGAAAAGTAGCTAGAGGTTGAAGATAGAGTATGTTGAAAAGAACTGCATTCTGAATACAACCTGATTTTAACAGAAAATATGGAAGCAGGAATGCAATGGAATCATGGGAATCATGTCTTCAGTGTGTTTCCAAAGAGTAGTAGACCTTCAAAAACAGAAATTGAAAATGATATTTTTCAGATAAAATAAAATTACTGAAAATACAAAGTTGAACATGCAAGGAGCAATAAAAATTAATGACAATGAAAAATAAGTGTGTAATTCTAAATAAATGTTGACTGTATAAAATAGTGTCTTCCTGGATTGAATGTATAATCGATAAGATATATGCAAATAGCAATAAAGAGACTGGAGATAAAGGTGACAGAAATAAATTTAGTCAAACTATGTTTTTGGCTTTTTTATGTCTGTGAGGAGAATGTGAACGTTTATCAAGGACCCTGTAATTTCACACCCAGGTATATATATGCATAAGAATTGTAGCAAATGATATGTGAAAGAATGCTCATTGTAGCATTATTCATAATAGCTCAAAAACAAGCTGCCTAAATATATATCAAATAAGGATGGATAAATAATTACAGTAAAATCATAAAATGAAAAGTTATACAGAAGCGAAAAGAAGTGGATCACATGTACATGCAACTGTGGGGTTAAATTTCATATACATAATATTGATTCCAGGAAGCCATGAATAAGAACATATAGGATTGCACCTATAAACATTTCAAAGTGGGCCAAACCAAGCTATTGAGTTTAGGGTTGCATAGCTTGTTGGTAAAGTAAAAAGAAAATTTAAAAAAAGATGATCATAAATTATGGATGTTGCTTATCACAGGAGATATGAAGAAAGGTATAGGGGAAATGGAAAGTGGCATTGAGGTAAACCTAGGCTTTTAGCAATGTTCCATGTCTTGCCCTACATGAAGGTTACATGAGTGTTTATGACACATTGCTATGTTTTCCATTTTTGTTTTGGCTCATTTCTAAGTGTGCAGTCTAGTTATAATATAAAAATTATTAATCAGGAGAAAGATTCCATGAAAATTATTATTACTCTGCTCATTATATACCGAAGGGAAAAATTCACTATTTTTATACATTTATGTATAACTCTAAGCGATTTTAAGTAGAAACTTTCTGATTTTAGTTGCACCTTTCTGAAACTTGACATGATGTTACCTGCCAATCCCAGATTTTTCAATAGGTTTTTCTTTTAGGTTTAATTATCCACTTCATGTGACAAAACTTTGACATTCTCTGTCTATTTTTCCCTTGAATCCTGAATTCCTGACACAACAAGGGTGGACATGTTTCCCATACTCTTGGTTTAGCAGAGTGCCTTTATCACTTAGGTTTTTCTGCAAGAGAAAATCCTCCAAAACTGCTTTAGATATTTGTGTCTCATATGTCTTTGAATTTCATTTTTCTAAGCTAGATTTGGTGGATGGCTCTGGTGACTGGAGACGGGCCATGTACTGCATCTTGAAGCTAGTTTGGCTGATTTAGTGTAGATAAGGCAGTGGCATTCTGACTCCATTAGTTTCTCATTCTTCTTATGGGAACAGTTATTGGCCAGATGATGTCCTCACGGTAAATGGAAAAGAGCAAGAAACTCCAGTATGGAAGCCGTCTTAAATCTCTGCGTAAAGTCTACTAGTTTGCTGTTCACTGAAGCAAATTACATGAGTGAATTCAGAGTCAATGGTCAAGGTAGTCACCCTGCCTGTGGTGGGAGGGTGCTGCAGGATTATATGAAAAAGTGTAGGGCACTTCGAAATATTTACAAAATTGCTGAATATTTTAATTACATAATTAATATTTAAACAAAAAACAGACTTGAGACTAAATTTATCAATGGCCTAAGCATGAGAAACATGTTTGATAAATATTATTCATTGTCTGACAACCCTGAGTGGAATACGAGTAATTCCACCTGGATGACCTCCTGGAAACTCATTTTCCATTTGGGGAATTATAAGAAAATAATTCCTTCCATCCCCTAAAGGTGTGAGTGCATGTGTGTCTATGTGTTTAGGAGCTTATTAACAATGATGTCATATCAATTTATTGGTTATCAGAAACCAGATTTTCAGGTGTATCGGCCTCCCAGGGCTTTCCAAGATAACCTTGGATGATTCTGATAAAAGGTTTAGAATCTGGTATTTAAATCTGGCATAAAAATAAATCCATATTGGTGTGATCCTAGTTATGACCAAGCTCCTTTAACAATTTAGACATTTACTGTATGATATATGTATTTGGTTTTAAAATTTCCCTAAGAAACAACTGAAGATGCTGGATTCAAATTATGGAGAGGTTAAACAAGGAAAAAAATTGCAAAACAATGACAAAGAATATGGCTTTATTTGCATACTAACACATGAAAATTCACTTTTCACTTCAACATGAGTATAAAAAAATTCAGCATGTAGCAGGGACAGATAGTATATGAAGAGGAGTGAATCTGAGCTGTTTTGAGAATAACAATATTTTCTATTTCTATGAAGACAGCTTTGAACTCATCCATTAGCATAGGCTGGTGCTTTCCTGTTGACATTAGTCACAGAATTTAAAGGCAGAAAATGTTATTGCACATTTAGTAATCAAGTGTTTATCGAAGTTAATGTTTGGATATTAAGGGTATCAGAACCAGTGTTATTAAGACTGCAATTTTTTTCTTTTTGTCTGTTCAAACATGGTATATTTTCTGCTCATCATTTTATCAATTCTGGTAGTGTTTGCATTTGTTCTTGGAAATTTTTCCAATGGCTTCATAGCTCTAGTAAATGTCATTGACTGGGTTAAGACACGAAAGATCTCCTCAGCTGACCAAATCCTCACTGCTCTGGTGGTCTCCAGAATTGGTTTACTCTGGGTCATATTATTACATTGGTATGCAAATGTGTTTAATTCAGCTTTATATAGTTCAGAAGTAGGAGCTGTTGCTTCTAATATCTCAGCAATAATCAACCATTTCAGCATCTGGCTTGCTGCTAGCCTCAGCATATTTTATTTGCTCAAGATTGCCAATTTCTCCAACCTTATTTTTCTCCACCTAAAGAAGAGAATTAGGAGTGTTGTTCTGGTGATACTGTTGGGTCCCTTGGTATTTTTGATTTGTAATCTTGCTGTGATAACCATGGATGACAGTGTGTGGACAAAAGAATATGAAGGAAATGTGACTTGGAAGATCAAATTGAGGAATGCAATACACCTTTCAAACTTGACTGTAAGCACACTAGCAAACCTCATACCCTTCATTCTGACCCTAATATGTTTTCTGCTGTTAATCTGTTCTCTGCATAAACATCTCAAGAAGATGCAGCTCCATGGCAAAGGATCTCAAGATCTCAGCACCAAGGTCCACATAAAAGCTTTGCAAACTGTGATCTCCTTCCTCATGTTATATGCCATTTACTTTCTGTATCTAATCACATTAACCTGGAATCTTTGAACACAGCAGAACAAACTTGTATTCCTGCTTTGCCAAACTCTTGGAATCATGTATCCTTCATTCCACTCATTCTTCCTGATTATGGGAAGCAGGAAACTAAAACAGACGTTTCTTTCAGTTTTATGTCAGGTCACATGCTTAGTGAAAGGACAGCAACCCTCAACTCCATAGATTCACAAGGGGTGCATCGTGTGTCTTCTAGCAGAAAACAAACTGATGATGTCTTGAACATTTTATATTTCTATCAGTTTTTCCATAGTGTATGTATTTGAGTAATTTCAGAATAGATATCTATAAAAGTCTTACATATATATATGGTTGTATATGTGTGCATGTGTATAAATAACAACATTGACCATAAACTATGAAGCTGAGTATATTTCACATATACAATGTATGTATATTTTCTTATAGTTCATTGTATAATATTTCATTTGAAGATTTTATTTTCTCTTTTTAAAATTAGGATCTTACAGCTTTTATCAGGAAATTATTGCTGTTTTCCATTGCAATTTGTATCACATATATGTACTTAACTATCATTGGTGAACCCCTAATTGTTTGGATGGTAAAGAAGTTTAATATTAAATCAATGATGAGAATGTATCTTTGGGGTAGGTTTTATTTCATTAGGAATTCTTATTTTACGTTTGGTAGAAAGCAAATAGAATTGTTAGCTAATGATGCACACAATAAAATTTTAGTGACAAAGATATGTAGAGTAAGTTTTATTTATATATACCAAAAACAGTACTAAAGAATACTAAATTTAATACAAGTATGTGCATAGCCTAGAATAAAAATCATTTCTATAATAGGAATGAAAAAACATGATCATGATCCTTTCAGTGCTGTTATAATTTTTTATGTGTAGTTAGAAAAGTCACTTATTCCACTTTTTGAATTAAAGGAAACCTTTTGTGAAGTTGACATCTGATGTCAAGTATTTCCATTTATTTTCTTAGCCACCTCTGAGCTCCTGAATTTCCAATTTTCTCCTTTGTCTCCCATTCCTAATATTCCTCAAAAAAACTCAAATATTCTCTATCTTAAAAAAAGTCCCAAAGAGAGTATAGAAACTATAGATGATAATCAAATGAAACTTTCTTCAAATGTTAAATGTTAAACTTTCGTTAAATGTTAAAAATTATCTGTGAAATCTATATATTGATGATAGGAAATGTATTAATGATATGTTTTATTATAATGGTGTAAATGGTGAAATGACACAAAGTGTGTTGATGTATCCATTGATACCAAGTTCTATTATAAGAAGGAAATGTACAGCCTTGCTGAACAGCTAAATTCTGCATGACTGTGTTAATTCTTGGTGTTATGAGATTTTAACATTGTTATGTAAAACTTAAAATAAGTCAACTCCTCATCTGATATATATATATATATTACATCCACATATATATGTATCAGATCCACATCTGATATATATATACACACACATTTTATTTATCATGCATCTTCCCTAGTACAATGTAATCACCATAAAAAGAGAGGTCATATCTGTCTTGCTTTGTCTGGACTCACGGGATCTAAAAGCCAGCACAAAGAATAGTTGGTCAAAAATGATACGTTAATGAACACATTAGTGGTTGGATAAATGGATAATTTGATGTGGTAAACCAGTGAAAACGAAACTCTTGACAAAATCTGCAGTTGCTTGAATTTTCTAGTTTCAGGTTGAGGTTATAGGCTTATCAAAGAAGAAGCATTTCTCAGAGCAAAAGTTTGGCTATTCCCCAATTCTAGGGGAAGTATCACTGTAATATAGCTTTGATGCAGCTATATCAGGTGTGTGAAGTAGAGACAAGGTGGAATGTCAAAATTAGATGGCACTTATTGTAATACTTTTTGAAAAGCATATAAAGGATTCTGGTATATTTGCACAGGGCCAGGTTCAGCTGTGAGTGCCAGCTGCTCGGGGTTAGCAGACCCCATCACAAGAATGTTAGGGAACTTCCCAGCAGCTGCCAAACACACTCTTGTTTTTAGGGAACATCTCTTTCTCCCTCAGTATGACTTATGCTGCCTTCAATGCTTTGCTGATACAAAAGAAGTGAACACAAAAGAAATGAAAAAAAAAAAAAGCTAGCAAACTTTGCAACTGGTTAAGCTGTTTGTAAATGTACCCAATCACTTTCTACTGTGAATGATATATTTGTATTATGATATTTTCTAGCTGGTTACTATATACACAAAGATGGCATTTCGCTTTTAAAAATTGAGTTAGTAACGAGTCACCTTTCTTACACATTATTTATATATATATTTTAGTATCCTTTCTAAATGAATGTTTTAATTGCCATATTATAAATGCATGGAAAAGTGATGCAACTGAATGTATATCTTAGCTTTGGGTGTCTAGAACTAGAGCCAGTGTCTGAGTTTACAGTGATGACATTTATTTGGGAAGGCAAGTCCAGGGTAGCAATGAGGGGTAAATGTGGAAACTGAGGCAAAAGAAGATGTAAAACCATGTATCATGATGTTGACATGACTTTGCCGTTGTCACTTCACAATGAGGTGAGACAGACAGCATGGTGATCATCAGATACATGCACTTGGCTCCCGGTACTTTTCCAGAAGGGTTACAAGGGGAAACCACAGCAAATATTAGTCCATGGAAGAGAGAAAAGGGAGAATGTATCCTAGCTGTCTTTTGTTTTCTATTTACCTTTGGCCAAAGTTATTTTGTGGCAGAACTACCATCTTTGCTTTTCTTCCTTACATTATCCAACCCCTTGGTGGCTGTTTGGGAAAGTCAGACTAACCAATACCCCCATTTTTCTAAGAGATACTTGTTTTGTTTTTTTTTTAATTTTTTGTCTCTTTTCCTCGCCCCTTTCCCTATGTTTCCCACTTTCTACTTAACTTTTTAGAAATGCACAAAACTGTTTACTATCCCCTCACCAGACAGTCCCTTCGGGCAAGTTCATCTAACTATGTGCTCCAAGAGGGATCTCTCCTTGAGACTTGACAGTTGATTTGCAGACAAAAGTATGCCCTCATGGAACTCTCACCTCCAGCGGTTCCCCTTAGACCTCACACCCATTAGGAGGGGATGTGGAGAGGATGCTCAGGTGGCCACTTTTACAACTGCTGTCCTGCTCATTTCCCTCCCTACTTTATAAAAATGTCCACTTTCTGCTCCAAAGGTGAAGTGTCACATTAGAAGGCAGGATGCTTTATGCTCCTTCCCCAAAACTAATCTCCAAATAAGTTCTCTATTTTTGTATCAGACTGTGCTCTTTTTAATTAGACTTTACATGAAGTGAGCAACTAAGCTTTTCTGTTACAAGACTTCATGCCCACAGATACATTCAAGTCCCAGATGGAAAGGTGATCTGGATCAGGCAAGGTGCTGACCATGGGAACAGGAGAGAGTCAAGGGAATCTGAGGAAGCACATGTTTGTGTCCAATATAGTCCCCTCCTTGTGCCACTCAGATGTGCTCATGCCCTCCAACTGTGGCTGGTTTTATAAGCAGATGCCTTGTGTAGTTGCACGCAGTCTTGTGCTTGAGGGGCTTTTTGCTTGGATTAATGTTCTGCACTTGCATTTTTATTTTTCAGACAGCAGATACTCCTCCGCTGAAGAGGGAATAGTTCTGCAGTAATTCCCTAGGGGTTTGCTTTCTCCTCTCCTACGGGCTTGATGGAGACAGGCACAGAGTCCTATAATGCCCACGATGCATGCCTCTAGCAGCTTTGAATTCTGCTGGATCATCTGACTCAATGGGCAGAGCAGGTTGGGCCACAGCCTATACCTGCTGTAGAGATATCTTATGTTCTGGATTCCACTTGAAACCACTAGTCTTTGCATTCATTCTGTAACCCATCTGGTTTTGGCAGAGGCTAGGTAGGTTAACTGAACAGGGATTTAAAAAGGACTTTATTAACAAGTCAGAGCAATATCCTCTATTGTGGTATTTGTGGACTCCAAAACCCCAAGAGAGTCAATAAACACTGTGCTTCTCTTTTAGTGATAAGAAGTATTTATAGGGCAACAGGCCACTTACTTTAAAAAGGATGTTTCTGCTGGGCATGGTGGCTCACCCCTGTAATCCCAGCACTTTGGGAGGCCAAGGTGGGCAGATCACTTGAGGCCATGAGTTTGAGACCAGCCTGGCTAACATGGTGAAACCAGGTCTCTACTTTAAAAAAAAAAAAAATTGCCAGGCATGGTAGCACATGGCTGTAAATACAGCTAGTAAGGAGGCTGAAGGATTTGAACTGATTGAACCCAGGAGGCGAAGTTTGCAGTGAGCCGAGATGGCACCAGTGCACTCTAGCCTGGGCAACAGAGCAAGACTCTGTCTCAAAAATAAATATATAAATAAATAAATGGATTTTTCGACATGTAGACCAGGAATATGAGACCTTAAAAACAATATCTATGTTGCAGGTTTCCAAATATTATCAGGTGTATCTCTTTCTGCTAGTATTTTATTTCTATTTAACGTTCAAGTATTTTACTATATTTAGGGACCTTTCCATTTCCTGGTTATTGCACCAATTACTGTAACATTATTAATAAATTAACATGATGTTTTGCAAAATGTAAATTAAACTGAGAGCAGAAGTGACATCGCCCTGACATAAAACAGTGAAGCAGCACTTTCGTTCTTACCAAACAAAGGCCAACTGTTTTAATCTCCCGACCCACCCGTGGGTGAAAAACAAGAAATATTCACTTAATCGAGAGCCACATGCAAAGTGCCAGAAGCTCTGCTCTGCTCAGGGAAGATACCACATCCTAGAGAGCATTTGTAAGTAGTGATTTAAATTTATGGAACTCTGCCCTCATTTTATAATGTATCTGATTTTGGTAGAGGCCATTTAGGTTAAGTGGAGAGGGATGTAAAAAGACTACCATCCCCTGTAACTTTCAAGTGTTTTGTCATGGTAGTGATCAATTCCATTCCTTGGAGAATGTGATTATTATTTTTCAATCCTTGTTGCCAGTGGAGGAGAATTTCGCAGGCTTCGCCTTGGTCCTGCTCTAATAGTGTCCCTTACTCTGCAGGTCAGGAAGAAGGTGAGAGTCCTGCCAGCTGCCATGTTTGTCCATTTCAATTACATGTTCAGGAAGAGGTAATAACAGCAAACTGATTAGATCCACCTTGGGATGTACATGAGTCAAAAATCTAGGTAGCATCTGACCTTCAAAAACTCCCAGTGCAGGCTTGGTATGATGGCTCTTGCTTGCAATCCCGGAACTTTGGTAGGCACAGTTGGGAATATCTATTGAGGCCAGGAGTTCCAGACCACCCTGGGCTACATGGTGAGAGCTTGTCTCTACAAAAACTAAAAAAAGAAAAAACAACAACAAAAATTAGTTTGGCATGGTGGTGCTCACCTGTAGTCCCAGTTACACAGAAGGATGAGGCAGGATACTCCCTTGAACCTGAAAACAATATGCGAGTCAGTTGCTGGTGGCATCCAGAATCCAGTTAAAAAGAGTGAGGCCTGGTTCAAAAGTAATGAATTTATTTCAAACCTAGCTTGGGGAAGGGGCACAAAGAGTCCTGCCTTTAAGTGTACCACTTCACCTTTGGAGCAGAAAGCAGACACTTTTATAAGGTAAGGGGGGTTATTGAGCAAGGGTAGAGGGTCCTCCTGCAAGCTTGGTGCCTTTTCTACCATGCAGGGGTCTGTCCAGCAGACCCTGACTCAATGACAGAGGAATAACATACACCGACATGTATGTTTTGCTTGTCAGTCCAGCCGAGCATCCGGGCCACTTAACAGACTCTAAGGAAGAGTGCTGTCAGCTGCCGCCCCAACTTGCTGGCCTTCTTGGCATTTATTTAGAACACATTAAATGACAAAAACTTTGAGTCAACACCATTAGAGGGTAATCAACTCTGTCACCTTCCCCCAGGAGAGCAATCCTGCCTGTGAGTGATGAAAGGTTAGCTTTAGGACTACCTGAGTAAACAAGCTCTTTAGATAAACTACTCTACATTCCTTTGTGTCTGTGCCCAAAGTGCTCTGGCTCTGGCAAAGAGACTGGCTGCCTTCAGCCAAACTATCTGAAGTTATGCAAAAACTTTTGGTCTTCCAAGAAGGTCTTTTTTTTATTTTATAATTTTCCCTACCATTCTGACTGAACCCCTGCACTACCAGATAGTTGAATTGGCACCTGCCTTTGCAGAAATACATTATAAAAGTGGCCAAGTAGGTATGCTTTCCATATGCCCTCCTGTTGGATGAAAGTCCTTAGGTAATTCCTAGAGTGGAGCAGAGCCTGGAATTTCCTGGTCCACTTCCTGGAGGTAAAAATTCTGTGGTGGGTGTGTTTGGTCTGCAAATTGACTGTCAGTTCTCAGGAGAGATTGGTCTCGGAGCACATAGTTAGAAAAATGTGCCCTGCAGGGAATGTCTAGTGAGTGGGGGTGAAAGGTTCTATTTGCATTTATGAATGGCTAAGCAGGATACAGGGAACAAAGGGAAAGGGGAGAGAAGAGAAAATAATAATAAAAATCATAATTCATTCTCTTTTTCTTAGAAAAAAATGGGGCAATCTGTTACAAACCCTGGAATTCAAGGCTGTAGTGAGTAATGATCATGCCACTGTACTAGATACAGCCTGGGTGACAGATTGAGACTGTCTCTCTGAAAAAGCCAACGCAAATAACACAGAAAACAAAAGAAAATTAAAAAGAAAATCTCCTACTCCATCTCATGGACCACAGTGTCTTTTGGGTACCTAGATAATTAGTGTTAGTTCAGGCTCTGCTGGGGTGGCCAATATCTGGTTTACTGGTGGCAATTTCATACGAGTCTGCAGCAACGTCAAGTCTTGCCTCCCCAGAGGAAGGAATTCAACTGAGGGGCATAAGTAAGAAGAGACTGAAGGAAGTTTCTGAGCAGGAATGGAAGTTTATTAAAAAGAGAGCAGGAAAGAAAGGAAGAGACTTTATTGGAAGTCTCTTGGAAGACACTTGGAAGAGACCACAGCGGGCACTTTGGAGATCAAGTGCAGTGTTAGATCTTTGACTTGTGGTTTTATATGTTGGTATACTTCTGGGGTCTTGTGTTCCTTTTCCCATGATTCAGCCCCTTAGGGTGGGCTGCTCACATGTGTGGTAGCCTGCTAACACTTTGGAGGTGAGCATGCGCAGTGTGTTTACTGGAGTTGTACACATGCTTGCCTGAGGCATTCTTCCCTTTTTTGGTGGAATGCCCACAGAAGGTCATATTCCACCATTTTCTCTCTTAACACGCATGCCTTAGCCTACTCACCCTATTCCTGAGCTGCTGACTACCAATTTTAAGCGTTTTTATTTATTGTGAAATTGCCTCTCCCTGGCGCCTGTGACCAATTATTATTTTTAGAGAGGCAGGGTGTCAACTGCCAGGGCATCAGCTGATGGCCACCTGACATTCCTTGTGGGTGGTGGGAGCCCTCTTCTGCCCCACTCATGCCTGACTAACTACGTACTGTAAAAGCCCTATACCTAAAAGTCTCAGATGGTATGGATGTGTGTCCTTTCCTCTGGGTACTGTTTATCTAGGAAATGGCTGCAGGTCTTTGAGAAAGCATCATATAAATACATTCTGAATATTCTGTGGTGAATTTTCAGCATCTGTTATCAAGGGGACTTAAGCTTCCCTTCAATTATTGAATTCTTGTTCTTGGAATTGGCTCAGTCCTGACAACTGGTTGAGGTTTCTTGATTTTCCACTTCAAAGGCCGACCTCAGGAATGAGCTTTTCAGCTCCATTTTGCTCTTGGTTTATAAGTATTTATCAAAGTGTGAAGCCTCTTCAACTATTGGCTTATGAACTCATTCCAATGAAGCTACTGCTGTCATCGTTTCATTGATTCTGACGTTTCCAAGATCACCAGAGTCTATGTTGCCAAGGTTAGTCTTCATGTTGCATGCTCTATTAGCCACATTGAACGTAGTTTATTTGCATTTCAGGATGATGCCCTTTCCTGATTTTATCTTTGTTCACTGGGCACCACTCCACTTCTCATTCTCCTTTGCTAGTTGTCTTTTGTCTCTAAACTGAAAACATGAGATTGCCCAAGATCTCAATTCTACAATCTCTGCAATGATGCCTGTTGTGTTGGTGATCTCATGTATTCTCCTTACTGACAATGTAGCCAAATCAGTTAACAGACAAGCGTAAGGGTGATTATCCATTTATATTAATTATTTATTCACACATCTTGGCATATAGCACATTATGTAAATATTTTTCCTTCAAATGTCAAATTTACATTTAGAAGTAACAGTACCAGGTTGGATGCTGTGGCTCAAGCCTGTAATTGAGCACCTTGGGAGGTTTAGGTAGACAGATTTCTTGAGCACAATTATTGGAGACCAACCTAGGAAACATGGTGAAACCCAGTCTCTAGCAAAAATATGACAATTAGCTAGGTGAGGTGGTGTCCACCTGCAGTCCTAGCTACCTGGGAGGCTAAGGTGGGAGGATAGCTTGAGGCTGGGAGCTGTAGAGAGCAGTGGAGAGCAGTGAGCCAATCCGAAACCACTGCACTCCAGTTGGGGCTACAGAGTGAGACCATGTCTCAAAAAATGAAAAATAGAAGTAATAATACCAAAAATCTAAGGGAAAAGATGGAGTATTAATAATATTTTTGCTTGAATTTCCACTAAATCAGAGTGAGGGTGACCCACCATCTAATTTAGTTTTATTTAAAATAGCATTATACATATTGATAGATTACTATGCAGGGGATTATTATTATTATAGAAATAATGATCTAAGTAGAGAAATATACAGATGGAATTATGGTTGATTAACCCACTTATATTACTTGCAGTTGTACAGGTAGTATGTTTTAGTATCTTAGTTACTAATCTCACCTTTTACGTATAGCTCTATAATCAAATATGAGTTATTTTTTGTGTATGGTATGAAATAAGAATATAAATTTATCTTTATGCATGTCCTCCAAATGTCTTTCAGACCTCCAAATGGATAAACAAATTGTGGCATACTTATACAATGGAATACTATACAGTGATCAAAATTAATGAACTAGACAGACATGTTTACAACAGAATAATACAACAAAGAAAATGAACAAATTTGAGCTACATAGATAATAATACTCACAAATGTGAGAGGAATTATCAAGATGGAAAAATACATTCAGTATAATCTCATTTACATAAAGTTCAAGAAAAATATTTTTAATATATTGTAATTTGTTACATTGGTGATAAAACTCTACAGTGAAACATATGAGTGATCATCATAACAATTGGGATAATCAGGAGGGAGGAGATAAACGGGAAATATCAGCAAGAAGACATATATTGGGAGTGTCTGGATTACTGGCAAATTCTATTTTCTGACCAAGGTGTGGTAACATCGATGTTAATGTTATAATTTTTTCTCTTACTGTTTATTAGGTTTTATTATGCTCCATATGTAAGTTATGCTCCCCAATAAAAAAAAAAAGTTAAAAAAGCAGAAACATAAAATACATTCCTACATATAAAATTAGGGTGATACAGCATATTCTTATAGATACCATTGTTATTAGAGTATTTGCTGAATAAAGGAGAATAGAGCATTATGGTACTAAGAAATCCAAGTTAAAATTTAAAATTTTTCTTATTGTTTTGAGACAGGGTCTCTCTCTGTTGCCCAGGCTGGAGTGCACAAGCAGAATCTTGGCTCAGTGCAACCTCTGCTATCCAGGCTCAAGTAATTCTCCCATCTCAGCTTCCAGAGTAGCTAGGACAACAGGCGTGCACCACCACGCCCTGCTAATTTTTTCTGTTTTTGGTAGAGACAGGGTTTTGGCATGTTTCCCAGGCTGGACTTGAACTCCTGTGCTCAGGCAATCCAACTGCCTCAGCCTTCCAAAATGCTGGGATTACAGATGTGAGCCACTAGACCTGCCCTGAAACTTTTCTTAAATTAATATTTTTTTAAAAAGAAGACATAAGCAAGAACTGTAAATCCACCTTCTTAATGCTAATATGAATTTGAAACATCAAAACTTGAATATTTATGACAGCTAAACACCTTTTTTCTTATTTCCAATTTAATTATTTATAATACACATGTCAAAGTGTCACAAAGTCATGAATTTCCAATAAATTATAGTATGATGGAGGTTAAATATATAGACCTATTATCCCAAAATGTGTCTCTAAATGAAATATTTGTATTCATATTGTTAGCATTCTAATTTCACAATACTAATCATGTGTACACCTGTGTGTTGGGTAAAATATTTTGTTAATATAAATTTTTTGATTCTGCATTGGAGAAAAAAATCATAGAAAGGCAAATTTGTTAAGGTATAAAACATATTTAGCATGATCTTTGAGCATGTTTGTGCATATATAATGCTACTTTCACTGCTATAGTAAAATGATCCAGATTTAGTCACCATAGCTAAGAATGTGAAAAAGGCTTGCAAGAATTTGGCTTGCTAATGATGCTATTAAAAGATGAAATGAAGTTGATATACTGTATTATTGCAGAGAGTATTTTTCTATATTCATATTGAAAAATGCCCAAAAAGCCCCAAAATAGAATCCTAATTATTGGATGTCACTTTTGCTATGAATTTTTAAAATGTAGTAAAAGAAAAAGAAGCAAAGAAATTCTTGAAAATATGTTGGTTTTACATTATTCTTGATGAACTACCACATGAGGATACTTCTCTAGGCCTGATGCTGAGAATCATAGAAGAAACATGAGGCCATGAGGAAGAATAGTAGGGTTCTCTCACTACCCTGAACTCCAGTACTTAAAAAACAAGATGGAAATCACATTTATCAAATAGCATTCTCCCTTTTACCTGCCATAATTATTATCATCATCATCTATATATACATCTATCTCATTAAATGATATATTTTTGAAATATTTAAATACATAATTTGGAAAATAAGTAATTTTTAAAAGACCATCATTGTGGGAAAGTTACAGGAGTAAACAGCAAAGCTTAGTCATGCTCAATACATGTAGATTTAGAAATTAAGTATAGCTTATTTTACAATATATTGCTTAAGCAAATAATTATTTATAGATGAGCTTAAACTAATCTTTGTTTCATTATGATCACTATAGAAACAATTTAGATTTTAGTGTAACTAAAACTAACCAGTAAGAAGGACAAAGCAAATGATACATTTTATGAGCTAGCTTTTATTTCTAAGAGAGGATTTTAGGACCAAATAGTCAAACAGAGTTAAGACCTCAGATCTTCTGTCACACTTGTGTGAGTGATGGTGGAGTTCGAAAGTTATAGTTCTATAAACAAAACTATACTCACGGATAGGGATTAAATGGTGGAATTCTTTAGAAACACCAGATTCAGTTTTGTTTCCATGAGACTTAAAGTTCTTCAATCTTTCATAAACTTGTATGTACTGTTTTACTCTTTGATCTTTTAAAGATTGTTATAAATGAAGAAGTCTTGATTTCTGCTAATAAAAACAGAGTAAAATTTAAATCATGGAATAGAAAGGTGGAGCTGTGGTTGAGATATTATATTTTATTAATTGTAATGACATTTTGAGATCCAGTGCTGCTCACTGAATTTCCCTGTGAGGAGAGTTTGTGGTGATGACCCAGCAACAGACAAGCTACTATCCAAAAAAAGCTACTCACATCAAATCAATTTCCAGTTTCTTCCAAGTTGCAGGAGAATGCGTAGACCATAATTTTAATCTCTTCTGTGACCTAAGTATTACAAAAAGAAGAAAATCACTACAATTTTCATGTCAGGTGTGCTAAAAATTTACAAAAACTATTTTTTAAGAAGTTGGTGTTATAAATACTTTGTTTAGTTTCTCCATTAAAAAATGATTTATAGCAAGAGAATAAAAGTTCATTTCTACCCCTAAAACAATAAGATAAAAAAGAGTAATGAATATTGAGAATCCAATAGACAGAGTTGAGAACCAGTTAAACATAAGAAAGAATTAGTGAATTGGAAGATAACTGCCCAGAATGAAGCATAAAGAGACCAAGAGGTAGAAAATATAAGGCTAGAGGGTCAGAGACATTGAAGCTACAATCAGAACAACTAACATACTTCTGCAGTTCCAGAAGATTAGAAGAGAGAAAATGGGCCAGAAGCATTGTGGAGATTTTTCCAAAAGTGGTAAAGTGTATCAGTTCATATATTTTTAGAAACCATCAAACTTCAGACAAGATAACTAAAACCAAATTAATATAAAATGACAGGACATCAAAGACCAATAAAAAACCTGAAAGGTAACTAAAGGAAAAGACAGATTATGTTAAAGGGAATAACTGTCTAAATGACAACCTGATTTTCAACAGACAAAAATGAAGCTAGAATTCAATGGAATCATGCCTTCAGTGCATTTCAAAAGTAGAATAGACCTTGATAAACAGAAACTTAAAATGATATTTTTTTCAGATAATAGAAAAATTATTATTATTATCAGTATTATTCTATGTGGAGTTGGAGTCTCAATCTGGTGTCCAGGCTGGAGTTCAGTGGTAGGATCATGGCTTACTGCAGTCTGGAACTCCCGGGATCAAACCATCCTCCCACCTCAGCCTTGTGAGTAGCTTCCTTATGCCTGGCTTTTTCATTTATTGTAGACACAGTTTCGCTGTGTTGCACAGGCTGGTCTTGAACTCCTGGGTGTTCCTGACTCAGCCTTACAAAATGTTGAGATTATGGGTGTGAGCCACCCTGCCTTGCCAATAAAAGGACTTTTTGAAACTATTAAATTGAATATGCAAAAAGGAATACAAATTAATGAAGTGGTAAATATGTGCATAATTCTAAATGAATGTTTACTGCATAAAATAATAATGTCTTGTTGGGGTAATTATATAATTGATAAGATACATGCAAATGGCAAAAAATAGAATGGAGGTAAAGCTGACAGGAGTACATTTAGTTAAATTATCTTTTAAACTTTTCTATGTCTATGAGGATATTTTGCACAATGACCCTGTAATTCTACTCAAAGGTATATATACAGAGGAATTGCATCAAATGATATATGAAAGAATGCTCTAGTAGAATTATTCGTAACTGTTCAAAAAAGAAGCTGGCCAAATATATATTAAGGATAGATCAATCATTACAGTAAATCCACACAATGGAACAGTATAGAGAAGTGAAAAAAAATCACATGTACTTGCAACTATGTGACTAAATTTCAGAAACACAATGTTGAGTCCAAGAAGCCACAAACAAGAAGAACATGTAGGATTGCACCTACACGCAGTGCAAAGCAGGCCAGACCAAGCGATGGAGTTTAGGGTTGCATACCTAGTTGGTAAAGTGTAAAGAAAATTAAGGAAATAATCACCATAAATTTTGGATATTGCTTATCTCAGGAGGTATGAAGAAATGTTTAGGGACTTGGAAAGTGGCATGGAGGTGGACCTAGGTTGTGTTTGGTGTTCCTTGTCTTGCCTGCATCATGGTTACTTGAATGTTTATGATACACTGCGGTATTTCCCATTTTTGTTTTGGTTCATTTCTAAGTGTGCATTATAATTTTAATGTAAAATGTTTAATTAGGAGATATGTCTCATAGAAATTATTATTATTCATCTCATTATATACTGATGGCAATAATAAACTATTTGTATACATTGTTATACAACTCTAAGGGAGTTGAAGTGAGCACTTTCTTATTTAGTTGCAACGTGAGGAAATTTGAGATGATGTTATCCTCCAACCCCAGAACTTTCCAATGGATTTCTTCTAGCCTTAATTATCGACCTCACAAGAACAAACCTTTGCAATTTCCCATCTGTTTTTGCTTTTGGCTCCTGAATTCCTGACACAACAAGGTTGTACATATTTCCCACACTCTTGGTTTAGCAGAGTTGATTTATCAGTTATGTTTTTCTGCAAGAGAAAAACCCTCCAAACTACATTAGATGTTTATATCTCACATGTTGTTGGATTTCATTTTTTTTAAGCTGGGTTTGGTGGATGGCTCTGTTTATTTGAAATGGACCAAATTCTGAATCTTGGTAGTAGTTAGAGTTTGGCCAATTTGGTCTGGATCAGGTGGGGGCAATCTGACTTCATTAGTTTCTCACTCTCCTTCTGGGAACAGTGTACTAGCCAGGTGATATTCTCATGGTAAATGGAAAGAGGAAGAATCCCCATTATGGAAGCCATCTGAAATCTCTATGCAAAGTGTAGTAATTTTCTGTTTATCAAAGCAAGTTAAATGGTTGTACTCCAAGTTCAGGGGCAAGGTAGTCAGCCTTCTCAGTGATGGCAGGATACTGCAAGACTATATATCAAAGGGTTGGGTACTCAGGAATTCTTATACAATTGCTAAATGTTTTGTATAGTAATAAATATTTAAACATTAGTCTTGAGAGAAACTTTACCAAAGGCCTAAGAATTAGAGATATGTTTGATAAATAAATATTATTCATGAGCTGAAAGCCCTGAGTGGGAAAATAGGACTAACTTCACCTAGACAACCTCCTGGAAACTCCTTTTTTTATTTTGGAACTGATGAGAAAATAATTTGTTCCATTCGTGAGTGGTGTGCACATGTGTGTGTTTGTGTGTGTATTTATGAGCTTGTGAATAATGAAGTTATACAAACGTATTAGCAGCAACCAGATTCTGAGGTTCTCCAGAAAATCTTAGATATTTTTGATAAAAGCAGTTTGGATTCTGTGTATTTAAATCTGTCATTTAAAAAAGTCCATATAGGTGATGAACTTAATTATGACCAAGCTCCTTTTAAGAATTTAGACATTTACTATATGATCTCTGTATTGGGTTATAAAACTTCCCTAACAACTGAAGTCACTAAAGACAAATGATGGAGAGGTTACACAAGGAAAAATTGCAAACACTGAAAGTGAATATGTCCTTGTTTGCATACTAGCAAATGAGAATTCAGGTTTCATGTCAACTTCAGTATGAATAATTCCAGCCTATAACAAGGACAGACAGTGAATGAATGGGTTAATTTGAGTTGTTTTGAAAATAAGAATATTTTCCATAAAGAGAGCGTTGAACTTACCCATTAGCATGCCATGGTGATTTCTGGCTTGACACTGGTCACAGCAATTAAAAGTAAAAAGAATGTCACAGCACATACACAAATCAGGTGCATATAGAATTTAAGGTCAGGATATTCAAGCAATCACAACCAGTGATATTACACCAGCATTTTAAAAATTTCTTTTTGTCTGTTCAGACATGATAACTTTTCTGCCCATCATTTTTTCCATTCTAATAGTGGTTACATTTGTGATTGGAAATTTTGCTAATGGCTTCATAGCATTGGTAAATTCCATTGAGTGGTTCAAGAGACAAAAGATCTCTTTTGCTGACCAAATTCTCACTGCTCTGGCAGTCTCCAGAGTTGGTTTACTCTGGGTATTAGTATTAAATTGGTATGCAACTGAGTTGAATCCAGCTTTTAACAGTATAGAAGTAAGAATTACTGCTTACAATGTCTGGGCAGTAATCAACCATTTCAGCAACTGGCTTGCTACTAGCCTCAGCATATTTTATTTGCTCAAGATTGCCAATTTCTCCAACCTTATTTTTCTTCACTTAAAGAGGAGAGTTAAGAGTGTTGTTCTGGTGATACTATTGGGGCCTTTGCTATTTTTGGTTTGTCATCTTTTTGTGATAAACATGAATCAGATTATATGGACAAAAGAATATGAAGGAAACATGACTTGGAAGATCAAACTGAGGAGTGCAATGTACCTTTCAAATACAACGGTAACCATCCTAGCAAACTTAGTTCCCTTCACTCTGACCCTGATATCTTTTCTGCTGTTAATCTGTTCTCTGTGTAAACATCTCAAAAAGATGCAGCTCCATGGCAAAGGATCTCAAGATCCCAGCATGAAGGTCCACATAAAAGCTTTGCAAACTGTGACCTCCTTCCTCTTGTTATGTGCCATTTACTTTCTGTCCATAATCATGTCAGTTTGGAGTTTTGAGAGTCTGGAAAACAAACCTGTCTTCATGTTCTGCGAAGCTATTGCATTCAGCTATCCTTCAACCCACCCATTCATCCTGATTTGGGGAAACAAGAAGCTAAAGCAGACTTTTCTTTCAGTTTTGTGGCATGTGAGGTACTGGGTGAAAGGAGAGAAGCCTTCATCTTCATAGATTCACAAGAGCAGCATTGTGTATCTTCTAGCAGAAAACAAACGTGTTATATGAAGCATTTTATATTTCTTACTGTGTTTTCTGTAATGTATGTATATGAATAACTTTCAAGCATGTACCTAGAAAAGTCTTTTACCTAACGTTAGTCTAAAAAAGTGCGTATGTATATATATGTATTTTTGTGTGTATGTTTGTATGAAAAACAAAAGAACATTGACAGTGACATACTCTTTTTTGTTTTTTCACACAAACTGCCAAATTATACAAAATATGACAAAAATTCTTAAGAATTATGAATCCATACCTATTTCATTTATGTATTTTATATTTCATTTGAATAATTTATGATCTATATTTATAATTATTAAGAACTATCAGCTTATCTCAGGAAAGACATTGCTGTTTTCTATTGTTATTTGAACCACACAAATATACCACAGTGTGCTTCGAATTCATTGTTTGAACCTGTAACTTTTTGGATGGTAAGGTCATTCAATTCTAAATCAATAATAAGGATGTGTCTTTGAGGTTTTATTCCATTATGAATTCCTATTTTATGTTTAGTAAAAAGCAATCAGAATTATTGATAGAAAACAATGCACACAATAAAATTTGAGTGACAAGCATATGTAGAGTAAGTTTCAACTATGTCTACCATAAACAGTTCTGAGGAATATTAGATTTAATACAAGCATGTGAATAGCTTAGAAAACAATCTCTTCTATAATAGGGATGAAAAATCATGATTGTGATCTTGATTGCTATTATCAGTTTCCATATGTAGTTAGAAAAGTCATTTCTTCCAGCTTTTGGATTAAAGAAAAGCTTTTTTTTTGAAGTTGAGAGGTGATGTAAACTATTTTAGTATTTTTTTCTAAAGCACTTTTAAGCCCCTGAATTGTTAATTATACCCTTACCTTCCATTTATAAAATTCCTTCTAAACTTCAGGTAACAGAACCCAAATCTTCCTTATTCTAAAAAAAAACTATCAATGTAAAAATAGTATAGAAATTATGGAAAATAAATCAATGAAATTTTTGTAAATGTTAAAATGGCATCTATGAAATCTATGTTTTAATTATAGAATGTGCTTTACAGTTATAATTTTGTTGTCAATGATGAAATGAAAGTGGTTGACATATTCATTAATAGGAAGTTCTATTATGAGATGGAAATGTACAGTCTTGTTCACAGCTAAATTCTACATGACTGTATTAATTTTGGTGTTATGAAATTTTAAAAATGTGATTTAAACCTTAAGATAAATCATCCCCACATGTGATTTATGTGTTTTTTTAAAATCATGTATCTTCCTCAGTACAATGTAAGAACTGTAAAATCAGATCAGAGATGATCTCATCTCTGTCTTGCTTTCTGTTGAATGTAAGATCAGAGAGCAAGATGATCTCATCTCTTTCTTGCTTTCTGTTGACTCCCAGGACCTAGAACCCAGCAACAAGAATAGATGGTCAAAAATGATATTTTAATGAACAAATAAATGGGTGGATAAAATGGGTAAGCTGATGTGGTAAACCAATGAAAGGGAAACTCATCACAAAATCTGCAGTTGCATGAATTCCCCTGTTCTGTTCTCAGGTTAAGGTTACAGGCTTATCCAAGCAGAATCCTTCCGCAGAGGAAAAGTTTGGCTATTCCACAATTTTAGGGGAAATATGACAATAATATAGTCTTGATGCAACTGTATCAGGTGTCTGAATTGGAGACAAGGTAGAACATCAAAATTAGATGGCGCCTATTACAATATTTTTAGAAAGCGTATAAACAACCTTGGTCTATTTGAATATGTATTTTTTTCTATTGTGAATTATATATTTGTATTATGATATTTTCTAGTTGATTATTATTTAAACAAAAATGGCATTTCATTTTAAAAATTGAGTTAGTAACCAGCTACTTTACTAAAATGTTTTTTATGTATTACCTGTTATTAAGGTGATGACATTTATTTAGAAATCAAGTTCAAGACAAAAATGGCAAGGATATGTGGAAATTGAGACAGGAACAAATGTGAAACAATGTGTGGTGATGTCTGGTATGGCTCTGCTGGCAGCCACTTCACAGTGAGGTGAGAGAGACAGCATGACGGTCATCAGATGCGTACACTTGGCTCCCAGCACTTTTCCAGAAGGGCTACAAGGGGAAACCACAGCCGGCATTAGTCCAGGGATGAGAGAGAGGAGGGAGAATGGAGAATGTATCTGCTCAGTTGTCTTCTGTATTTGATTTCCCATTGGCCATTGTTTCCCTGAGGCAGAACTACCATCTCTGCTGTTCTGCCTTCCATCATCCAGTCCCTAGGTGGAGGTTGTGAAAGTCAGACCTCATGCCCACAGTGTGGTGTTCCATTCAAGTCCCAAATGGAAGGATGATCTGGATCAGGCAAGGTGCTGGCCAGGGGAATAGGAGATAGTGAAGGGAATCTAAGAAAGCACATGTCTGTGTCCAATACCACCACTCTTTGTGCCGCTCAGATGTACTCATGCCCTCCAGTCATGGCTGGCTTTATGAGCATATGACTTGCACAGTTGCACAGAGGATACTCCTCTGCTGAAGAGGGAATGGTCTTGCACTAATTCCATAGGGATTTGCTCTCCCCTCTCCCACAGGCTTGTCAGAGACGTGCACAGAGTCCTATAATGCCCACTATGTATGCCTCTAACAGCTTTGAATTCTGCTGGATCATTTGGCTCAGTGGCCATAGCAGTTTGGATCAGAACCTATATCTGCTGTAGAGCCCTCTTTTGTTCTGGGCTCCATTTGAGACCAGTAGCCTATAGAAACTTCATTAATGAGTCAGAGCAATATTCTCAAATGTGGAATATGTTGGCTCCAAAATCCCAGTAGGCCCCCAAAACACTGTGTCTCTTTTGTAGTGATAGGAAATATAGAGAGAGAGCAACATGCCGTTTACTTTAAAAAAGATTGTTTTGACATGTGGACTAGGGACACTGAAAACCTGAAAACATCACCTATGTTGTCAGTCCCTGAATCTTCACATATCTCTTTTCTTCTGGTATTTTACTTCCATTCAATGTTATAGTATTTTACAATATTAAGAATCTTGCCTCTTCCTGTTTATTTTACCAAATAATATATAATTATTATTTGAGACAGGGTCTCATTCTGTCCATGAGGCTGGAGTGCAGTGGCAGGATCATAGCTCATTGCAGCCTCAACCTTCTGGGCTCAGTTGATTCTCCCTCCTCAGCATTGCTAGCAGCTGGGACTGCAGGGACACACCACCTTGCCTGGCTAATTTTGGTATTTTTTGTAGGGCTGGGATTTCACCATGTTACCCAGGCTGGTTTCAAACTCCTGGGCCCAAGTCAGCCTCCTAAAGTGCTGGAATTACAATCATGTGCCACAGGGCCCGGGCTGTAATATTATTAATATATTAAATTAGCATGATGTTTTTAAAAAAATGTAAATTAAACAGAGAACAGAAGTGACATAGTCCTGACATAAAACAGTGAAGCAGTGCTATTATTCTTACAATACAAGGCAAATTGTCTTGATTTTCCCTCATAAAGGGTGTAGATTAACAAATATTCACCAAATGACGAGCCCCGTAAAAAGTGCCAGAAGCTATGCTCTGCTCTGTGAAGACAGTACATCCTAGAAAGCATTTGTGAGTGTTGATTGAAGTTTATGGTAATCTGCACTCATTCTATAATCCATCTGGTTTTGGTAGAGGCCAGATAGGTTAAGTGAATCCGGTTATAGAAAGGACTACCATCCCCTGTAACTTGCAAGTGTTTTGTCACGGCAGTGACCAGTTCCATTCCTTAGGGAATGCGGTTATTATATTTTATACATTGGGTTGCCAGCAGTGGAGAATTTCAGAGGCTTCAACTTGGTCCTGCTATAATAATGTCCCTTACTCTACAGTTCACGAAGAATGTGAAAGTCCTGCCAGCTGCCATACGTATCCAGTTCAATTACACGTTCAGGAAGAGGTAGTAACTACAAACTGATTAGATCCACCTTGGGATGGACATGAGACAAAACTCTAGGTAGCATCTGACCTTCAAAACCTCCCCCTGCAGGCTGGATGTGATGGCTCATGCCTGTAGTCTTAGTAGTTTGGGAGGCCAAGGTGGGAGAATCCCTTGAGAGCAGGAGTTCCCTTTGCAACATATGGAAACTCCATGTCTACAAAAAATTGAAAAATTAGCTGGCGTGGTGCTGCATGCCTATAGTTCCAAATACTTGGGAAACTGAGGCAGGAGGATTGCTTGAGCCCAGGGTTTCAAGGCTGTAGTGGGCTATGATCCTGCCACTGTACTCCAGCTTGGGTAACAGAGGGAGACTCTGTCTAAGAAGAAAAAAAAAAAAAAGTGAAAGTTCTTACTGGTGTCTTAAATATCAAGTAAAACAGGTTCAAATCAATAATTAACAATCTTTGGTTCCTGCCTATAGCAAAAAGGTAAAATGGAAAGCAGTTATACAAATAGTATGTTAACTCATAAGAAAACTAGCCAAAGACAGATTTATTATCATCTGCTTTTTTTGTTGTTGTTTTCTCGAGACGGAGTCTAGCTCTGTCTCCCAGGCTGGTGTGCAGTGGTGTGATCTCGACTAACTACAACCTCCACCTCCTGGGTTCAAATGATTCTTTTGCTGCAGCCATCTGAGTACCTGGGATTACAGACGGGCACCACCACACCTGGCTAATTTTTGCATTTCTAGTGGATATAGAGTTTCACCATGTTGGCCATACTGGTCTTGAAGTCCTAACCTCAGGTGATCCACCTGCCTCAGCCTGCCAAATTGCTGGGAGCCACGGGCCTGGCCAATCATCTGCTTTTTATAGGTGATAATACTGAGGCAGGGAGTAGTTGTAAAATGGAGTCTCAGATCATAGCTATACCAAGCAGGGAATCTGGTTTCCTGTCCTGGCAGTCTGACTCCAAGATCCCCTCTTAGAAACCATCATACTGTAAAAACTGAAAGGAAATAAAAATCCAAGATTGGAGACTGATTTTAACATCTATTCATCTAAACCATTAAGTAATCAAAAATGAATTAAATAGAGGAAAATACAACTGACTATTCATACACAGAGAAGTGTAGACTCTTCAATGGAAAACATGTTTTTTAAGTGCCCAAGGAATAGTTATAAAATTGCTGAGTATTTTAATTAAACAACTAATATTTAAGTATTAGGCTCAAGAGAATAATTTAGTCAAAGTCCTAAATATGAGAGGCTAAGTTTGATAAAGATTGAAAATGCACTGAAAAGCCCAAGTAAGAAAATTATTTTTTCATTTTAGAAATTATAGGACAATAATATTTCCCAACTATGAGGTGTGTGTATGTGTGTGTGTGAACGTGTTTGTGTTAATGAGCTTGTTAACAATAAGTTATACAAAATTATTAGTTGGCAGCAACGAGATTTTTAGGAATATTGGCCTTCCTGGGCTTCCCAAGAAAACCTTGGATGCTTTTGGTAGGAAAAGTTAGGACTCACTAAATCTGGCACAGAAAAGGTGAATCAACAGTGGTCGTGATTCTAGTTTTGACCGAGCTGCATATAACAGTGTAGGCATCTGATGTAGGATCTATGTATTAGGTTAGAAAATTTCCCTTACAACTGCCATTGCTCAGCACAAATTATAGAGAGGTTAAACAAGGAATAAATGGCAAAATGATGAATAAGAATATGACCTGATTTGCATGCTGGCAAATGAGAATTCAGCTTTTACTTCAACATCAGCATGAAACATTTTATCTTATAACAAGGTCACAGCATTTGAATAGGAGTTAATTTGAGCTGTTTTGGAAATTATCATGTTTTCCATTAAGACAGCCTTGAACTCATTCAGTAGCATGGCCCGGTGCGTTCCTGCTTGACATTAGTCAGAGAATTTAAAAGGAACAAGAACATTACTGCACAATCAGAAATCAGGTGCACATAGAAATTAAGGTCAGGACCTTAAAGGGAATATTGCCCATTGATATTAGGCCTGCCTTAAAAAAATTCAGACATGGTATGTTTACTACTCATCATTATTATCCATAACAGTAATGGTAGAATTTGTATTTTCCCATAGGCACCTTCATTACACTTATATACTTATTTGATATTTCAACATATTATTTTCTTTGGGTCCTTTTAAGTAGTTGTTAAACAATGCTGAAAGTTGCCTTACAGTATGCTGTTAACTAATCATATTTTCTCAAAGTCATTTGGCATAATATTTGGTTAAAAGAAGTATGTCTAGTATAATTACATGTGTTCATAACAAAAGAGCATCCTGGCTAACACTCTACTAAAAATACAAAAAATAAGCCAGGCCTGATGGCAGGCGCCTGTAGTCCCAGCTACTCCGGAGGTTGAGGCAAGAGAATGGCATGAACCTGGGAGATGGAGCTTGCAGTGAGGCAGAGCTTGCAGTGAGGCGGAGCTTGCAGTGAGGCGGAGCTTGCAGTGAGGCGGAGCTTGCAGTGAGGCAGAGCTTGCAGTGAGCCGAGATCTCGCCACTGCACTCCAGCCTGGGTGACAGAGCAAGACTCCGTCTCAAAAAAAAAAAAAAAAAAAAAAAAAGAAACATCAGATTCTGAGCATCTGTATTACACTAGACACCTTTTTTTCTTATTTCCAATTTCATTATTTATGATAACATTTCAAAGAGGCAGAAATTAGTGAATTTCCAATAAATTATAGTAATATAGATATTAAATACACAGGACAATTTTTATAAATTTATCTCTAAATGAAATAATTATGCCCATTTTTACCATTCAAAGATTATACCATGCATGTGTACACATATGTGAGGAAAAATATTTTGATAGTACAAAGTTTTTGAATATTAGAGAAGAATTAGTAGAAAGATAATTTTGTTGAGGCATAAAGCATATTTAGTGTAACTACTTTGACTGCTGTAATAAAATCACCCAGATTTTGTGACAGTAGCTGAGATTAAAAATAAACAGTAGAGAGAATTTCACTTGTTAATAATGCTATTAAAAGATGAAGCTTATACACTTTATAATTGCACAGAGTATTTGTGTAAGTTCATATAAAAGTGGAATAAAATTAAACAGCCAAAAAGAGAGTATTCTTTGCTAGAGGTCACTTTTGGGGTAATTTTTAGAATGTGGTAAAAGAAAAAATATCTTGCAAATCATTAGAAATATGTTGATTTTGTGTTACTCTTGATGAAATACTATGTGAGGGTATTTGTCTAGGCCTGATTCTGAGAATAATATAAGAATCGAGCCAGGCACCATGGCTCATGGTTGTAATCCCAGCACTTTGGAAGTTGAGACTGGTGGATCACCTGAGGTCAGGAGTTCCAGACCAGCCTGGCCAATATAGTGAAACCCACTGTCTACTAAAAATATAAAAATTAGCTGGATGTGATGGACAGCACCTGTAATCCCAGCTACTTGGGAGGCTGAGGCAGGAGAATCAATTGAACCTTGGAGGCGGAGGTTGCAGTTAGCTGAGATTGTGCCATTGCACTGCAGCCTGGGTGACAAGAGCGAAACTCCATCTCACACACACACACACACAAAATGTAAAGCCATGAGGATGAATAATAGTGTTCTCCCACCACCCTTAACTCTAGTGCTTTGAAAAGAAGACTCGAATCACAATTATTTAGTAACATTCTCCCTTTCAGGTGACATCATCATCATTATTATCATCATCTACATTTACATCTGTCTTATTAAATGATTTATTTCTGAAATATTTACATACATAATTTGGGTAATGTCTATGTAATTTCCAAGAGATATCATTGTGGGAAAGTTACATTAGTAAACAGCAAAGTTCATGTCAGGCTGAATACATTGAGATTTAGAAAGTTAAGTGTAGTGTAGTGTAGTTTAAAATACATTGCTTAAGAAAACAATTATAGATGATATTAAACTAATCCAAGGAACACTATAAAAAGATTTTGATTTTAGTATAAATAAAATTGCTTAGTAAGAAAAATAAATAAACCATTTCATGATCAAGCTCTTATTTCTAAAGAGAGGATTTTAGGGCTAAATAAATCAAACAGAAGTAAGCTCTCCCCCACATCTTGTCTATATCATTTGGATAATGATGTAATTCAAAGGCACAGAGCACCTTTTCAACAACATAAGCAAAGTGAAAATTATGTCATGGAATACAATGATGTATCTGTGGTTAATGAACTATATTTTATCTATTGCAATGATATTTTGAAATCCAGTGCTGCTCTTTGAGTTCCCTTTGAGCAGAGTTTGTGGTGGGGACCCAGCAACAGACAAGCTAATATCCAAAAAAAGCTACTCACATCAACTTAATTTCCAGTTTCTTTCAAATTGAAGGTAAATTCTAACACAAAGCTTTTATTCTATTCTCTGACTAAAGTGTTGGGAAAAGAAGAAAATTGTTACCGTTTTCATTTCTAACATACTAAAACAAAAAACAAAAAATCAAAAAAATCAGAAACATTTTTAAAAAGAACAGAGTGTTAAGAGTAGTTTGTTCAGTTTTCCTATAGAAAATAATGTTCAGAAAGAGAATAAAAGATTATTCTGAACACTAAAACAATAAGACTAAAAAAATGAAATATCAGTACTGAGAATCCAATAGAAAGAGTCAACCAGTTAGAGCACGAGAAGAGATAATTAGTGAATTAGAAGATAGCTACACAGAATGAAGCATAGAGAGAAAGAAATGGAAAATGCAAGGCTAGAGGGTAACACACTGATGCTATCATCAAAACACCTAACATACTTGTAGAGTTCTGTAAGATTAGAGGAGAGAAAACAGAGCGAGAGAAATGTTGCAGGGATTTTTCCAAAAGTGAAAATGTATCCCAGCATATATCTTTAGTAATCACAAACTTCAGGCATGATAACTAAAATCAAGTTAACAAAAAATAATACAGGACACCAAAGACCAGTAGAAAATCTGAAAAGTAGCTAGAGGTAGAAGATAGAGTATGTTGATAAGAATTGCATTCTAAATACAACCTGATTTTAACAGAAAATATGGAAGGAGGAATTCAAAGGAATCATGTCTTCAGTGTGTTTCCAAAGAGTAGTAGACCTTCATAAACAGAAATTGAAAATGATATTTTTCAGATATAATAAAAATTACTGAAAATACAAAGTTGAACATGCAAGGAGCAATAAAAATTAATGACGAAAAATAAGTGTGTAATTCTAAATAAATGTTGACTGTATAAAACAATATTGTCTTGTTGGATTAAACGTATAATTGATAAGATATATGCAAATAGCAATAAAGAGACTGGAGATAAAGGTGACAGGAATAAATTTAGTCAAACTGTGTTTTGGGCTTTTCTATGTCTGTGAGGAGAATTTGAATGTCATAATCAAGGACCCTGTAATTCTACACCCAGCTATATAAATGCAAAGGAATTGTAGCAAATGATATGTGAAAGAATGCTCATTGTAGAATTATTCTAACAGCTCAGAAAAGAAGCTGCCCATATGTACATCAAATAAGGATGAATAAATAATTACAATAAAATCATAAAATGAAAAAACATAGAGAAGTGAAAAGAAATGAATCACATGTACATGCAGTTATGTGATTACATTTCAGATCCATAATGTTGAGCACAGGAAGCCATGAATACGAACATATAGGATTGTATCTATACAGAGTTCCAAGCAGACCAAACCAAGCTATTGAGTTTAGGGTTGCATACCTAGTTGGTAAAGTATAAAGAAAAATTTTAAAAAATGATCATCATAAATTATGGACGTTGCGTATTACAGGAGGTGTGAAGAAAGGTGTAGAGGGATGGAAACACATTGAGGTAAACCTAGGCTGTTAGCAACATTCCATGTCTTGCCCTACCTGATGGTTACATGAGTGTTTATGACATATTGCTATGTTTTCCATTTTTGTTTTGGCTCATTTCTAAGTGTGCAGTCTAGTTATAATATAAAAATTATTAATCAGAAGAAATGTTCCATGAAAATTATTATTACTCTGCTCATTATATACCAAAGGGAAAAATACACTGTATACATTCATGTACAGCTCTAAAAGATTTTAATTAGAAAATTTTTGATTTTAGTTGTGACTACTGAAAATTTGACAAGATGTTTCCTGCCAACCCCAGATTTTTCAGTAGATATTTCTTCTAGTTTTAATTATCTACTTCATGTGACAAAACATTGACATTTTCCATCTATTTTTCCCTTGGATCCTGAATTCCTGACACAACAGGGGTGGACATGTTTCCCACACGCTTGGCTTAGCAGAATACCTATATCACTTAAGTTTTTCTGCAAGAGAAAATCCTCCAAAACTGCATTAGATATTTGTGTCTCATATGTCTTTGGATTTCATTTTTGTCAGCTAGGTTTGGTGGATGGCTGTGGTGATTGGAGATGGGCCACATTCTGCATCTTGAAGCTACTTTGGCTGATTTAGGCTGGATAAAGCAGTGGCATTCTGACTCCATTAGTTTCTCATTCTTCTTCTGGGAACAGTGTACTCACCAGATGATGTTCTCACGGTGAATGGAAAAGAGCAAGAAACTCCAATATGGAAACCGTCTTAAATCTCTGTGTAAAGTCTACTAATTTCCTGTTCACTGAAGCAAATTACATGAGTGAATTCAGAGTCCAAGTTCCAGGTAGTCACCCTGCCTGTGGTGGGAGGATACTGCAGGATTATATGACAAAGTGTAGCGTACTTAGAAATATTTGCAAAATTGCTGACTGTTTTAATTAAATAATTAATATTTAAACAAAAAACAGACTTGAGAATAAATTTACCAAAGGCCTATGTTGGGCACAGGCCCCCAAATCTGGCCATAAACTGGCCCCAGTAAACTGGCCATAAATAAAATCTCTGCAGCACTGTGACATGTTCGTGATGGCCATGACACCCATGCTGAAGGTTGTGAGTTTACCAGAATGAGAGCAAGGAACACCTGGCCCACCCAGGGCAGGAAACCACTTAAGGGTATTCCTGAGCCACAAACAATAGCATGAGCGATCTGCACCTTAAGGACATATTCCTGCTGCAGATAACTCGCCAGACCCATCCCTTTGTTTCGGCCCATCCCATTGTTTCCCCTGAAGAATACTTTCAGTTAATCTATAATCTATAGAAACAATGCTTATCACTGGCTTACTGTCAATAAATATGTGGGTAAATCTCTGTTTGGGGCTCTCAGCTCTGAAGGCTGTGAGACCCCTGATTTCCCACTCCACACACTATATTTCTGTGTGTGTCTTAATTCCTCTGGCGCCACAGGATTAGGGTCTCCACAACCGAGCTGGTCTTGGCAGGCCCAAGCATGAGAAACATGTTTGATAAATATTATTCATTGTCTGACAACCCTGAGTGGAATATGACTAATTCCACCTAGATGACCTCCTGGGGAAACTCGTTTTCCAATTGGGGATTTATAAGAAAATAATTCATTGCATCTGCTAAGTGTGTCAGTGCATGTGTGTCTATGTATTGAGGAGCTTATTAACAATGATGTCATATAAATGTATTGGTTATCAGAAACCAGATTTTAAGGTGTATTGGCCTCCCAGGACTTTCCAAAATAATCTTGGATGATATTGATAAAAGGTTTAGATTCTGGTATTAAACAAACCATATTGGTATTATCCTAGTTATGACCAAGCTCCTTAAACAATTTAAACCTGTACTGTATGATATGTGTATTGGGTTTTAAAATTTCCCTATGTAACAACTGACGATGCTGGACACAAATTATGGAGAGGTTAGCAAGGACAACAATTGCAAAACAATTAAAAAAATGCCTTTATTTGCATACTAACACATGAGAATTTACTTTTCACTTCATCCTCAATATAAAATATTTCAGCATATAGTAAGACAGACAGTGTATGAAGAGGAGTGAATTTGAGCTGTTTTGAGAATAAGAATATTTTCTATTTCTATAAAGACAGCTTTGAATTCATCCATTAGCATATGATGGTGCTTTCCTGTTGAAATTAGTCATGAATTTAAAGGCAGAAAATGTTACTACACATTTAAAAGTCAAGTGTTTATCGACATTAAGGTCTGGATATTAAGGGAATCACAACCAGTGTTATTAAGGCTGCATTTTTTCTTTCTTTTCATTTGTTCAAACATGATATGTTTTCTGCTCATCATTTTATCAATTCTGGTAGTGTTTGCATTTGTTCTTGGAAATGTTGCCAATGGCTTCATAGCTCTAGTAGGTGTCCTTGAGTGGGTTAAGACACAAAAGATCTCATCAGCTGACCAAATTTCTCACTGCTCTGGTGGTGTCCAGAGTTGGTTTACTCTGGGTCATATTATTACATTGGTATGCAACTGTGTTTAATTTGGCTTCACATAGATTAGAAGTAAGAATTTTTGGTTCTAATGTCTCAGCAATAACCAAGCATTTCAGCATCTGGGTGTTACTAGCCTCAGCATATTTCATTTGCTCAAGACTGCCAATTTCTCCAACCTTATTTTTCTCCACCTAAAGAAAAGGATTAAGAATGTTGGTTTGGTGATGCTGTTGGGGCCCTTGGTATTTTTCATTTGTAATCTTGCTCTGATAACCACGGGTGAGAGTGTGTGGACAAAAGAATATGAAGGAAATTTGTCTTGGATGATCAAATTGAGGAATGCAATACAGCTTTCAAACTTGACTGTAACCATGCCAGCAAACGTCACACCCTGCACTCTGACACTAATATCTTTTCTGCTGTTAATCTATTCTCCATGTAAACATGTCAAGAAGATGCAGCTCCATGGCAAAGGATCTCAACATCTCAGCACCAAGGTGCACATAAAAGCTTTGCAAACTGTGATCTCCTTCCTTATGTTATTTGCCATTTACTTTCTGTGTCTAATCACATCAACTTGGAATCCTAGGACTCAGCAGAGCAAACTTGTATTCCTGCTTTACCAAACTCTTGGATTCATGTATCTTTTGTTCCACTCATTCATCCTGACTATGGGAAGTAGGAAGCCAAAACAGACCTTTCTTTCAGCTTTGTGACAGGTGAAATGCTGAGTGAAAGGACAGAAACCCTCAACTCCATAGATTCACAAAGGGAGCATTGTGTATCTTTTAGCTGAAAACAAACTGACGGTATCTGGAACATTTTATATTTCCATTCGTTTTTCCTTAGTGTATATATTTGAATAATTTCAAAACAGATACCTAGAAAAGTCATCTATCTATCTATCTATCTATCTATCTATCTATACACACACACACACATATATGTGTGTGGGTATATGTGTGCATGTGTGTGAATAACAACATTGACCACAAATTATGAAGCCGAGTATATTTCACATATATATGTAGGTATATTTTATGATAGTTCATCCTATGGTATTTCATGTGAAGAATTTATTACCTCTATTTATAATTAGGAACTTACAGCTTTTATCAGGAAATCATTGTTGTTTTCCATTGTAATTTGTACCACATATATGTACTTAACTATCATTGTTTGAACCTCTAATTTTTTGGATGGTAAAAACATTCAATTCTAAATTAATGATGAGAATGGATCTTTGGGGTAGGTTTTATTTCATTATGAATTCTTATTTTATATTTATTATAAAGCAAATAGAATGGTTGTTAGCTAATGATGCACACAATAAAATTTGAGTGACAAACATACATACATAAGTAGAGTAAATTTTGTATGTGTATACCAAAAACTGTTCTAAAGGATACTGGATTTAATAGTAGTATGTGAATAGATTAGAAAAAAATCATTTCTATAATAGGAATGAAGATACATGATCATGATACTTTCAGTGCTGTTATAATTTTTTAATGTGTAGTTAGAAAAGTTGTTTCTTCCACTTTTTGAATTAAAGAAAACCTTTTTTTTTTTGAAATTGACATCTGATGTCAAGTATTTCCATTTATTTTGCTTAGCCACCTCTGAGCCCTTGAATTTCCAATTTTCCCTTTGTCTCCCATTCTTAATATTTCTCAAAAAAATTCAATTATTCCCTCTCTTAAAATAAACTCAATGTAAACAGGGTATATAAACTATGGATCACAATTGAATGAAACATTCTGCAAATATTGAAAATTATCTGTCTAATCTATATATTGATGATAGGAAATGTATTAATCATATGTTTCATTGTGGGTGGGCAGTGAGCTGAGGCTCCTCAAGCATCTCTTTCTATTTTTATTTTGTTTCTTGACATAGGTTCTCCAGCATTTGGCTCAAGGCCCCAAGGGCACATGTGACAAGAAGGCGCCAGCTTTTTAAACATTGGAAGTTCTTCTGTGTCAGTTCTGTGACAGAACATTTACTTAACACATCATGAAGGCTAGTTTGGATGTGGAGGGGAATAGACTCCATCTATCCATATGAGGTGAGTCAAAGCACTTAGACGTGTTTTCAAACCACTAATCTTGATGATTCAGAAATGTGCTCCCTTTTCCAATTTCATCCTGATACAAATGTATCATCTCCGGATGATGCCAATATTCTCCCCAATTCCATCATGAGCTGTTCTCTATAATTCAGAATCTGTAGACTAAGTTGTAAAACTAATGACTGTCAATGTATTCTACATGAAATAGTGGGCCAAAGAAAGAGGGAAACATGATAAGTAGAAAAATATACATACAACATTTTTTTCTTACACTAAAGATCAAATAAAACCCATAGGACCAAGCCTCCCACAGATACTTTTTATAAATTCTGGATAAAATATTTAAAAAAACAGCCATTCATTGGCAATGGAGAATGAACAAAATAGGCAGATACTAGAGAGAGGTCAGCACTTGGAAGAAGGGAATAGCAAGGAGTGAGTTTCCTGATTTTATAGCTGGCCCTAGTGTGCACCAGGCAGAGGACTAAAACGTCAGAAGAAAACTGTAGACTTACTGGGTTGAAGTAACAGAGGACTGAGTTTGGCATAACACGAGCAGCAGGAGGTCAGGAGAAAATCTGAGAAAGGAGAAGGCCAGAAAAGGGGAGCCCCAACTTCTGAATATAAACTATCCAAAGCTTTGTCTGGTCCCTATACCATGCATGTATAGGGCAGACTTCATGTAGCCCAGCTAAAATAATTAAATTGAGATTTCAGTTATCATCAAGCACAGTGAAGACAGAGATAGCAACAAAACATATTACTTTAGGCAAAGATACTCTATTCTTGAAAACCTAAACTACATTCCATTACCTTTCATAACAGTCATATTCCTTGTCCATTCTGGTTTCTACCTTGGTTCTAACTCCTACTTTTATTAATTACACTAATCAAAGTAATTCTCTTTCAAGGAGAAAACTGGAAGTTATGTAATTGAAGACTATTAAAAATAACTATTTTGGCAGATGTGCAAAATTCTCAAGCGCATATATTACAACTTTCTATAGTCATATACATCCTTTTTACACTTGCTTGAATTGGTCTACAAAACCCCCATGTTTCATAGTGTAATCCAAACAAATAGCCACTCCATAAAATATAAGAATAAAAGTTATATTTATTTATTATATAACCTTTGATTGGTGACCACATTTCAGTATTCCAACTTAACTAGAAATTATCTGAAGATTTTCATCAACTCACTGAATTTAATATTAGTCTAAGGTCTTAAATTGCACCAGGAATCTTGGAAATTAAATTTAAGCTGATAGGCTAGAGAAAATAATTACTGTCAATATGTGGAGTTTTTCATAATTTGTATTCAGTTTATTTGAAAGCATAATTTTACATTTTTTGGTATTTTAACATTATGTGGACATATTAATTTACCTTATCAGTAAACAGATATAGGAAGTTTAGGAATTTCTTTTTTTAAAATGTATTTTTAAGTTTCGTGGATACATACTAGGTGCATACATTTATTGGGTACATGAGATGTGTTGATACAGGCATGCAATGTCACATAATGAAGAATGGGGTAGCCATCCCCTCAAACATTTACTCTTTTTTGTTACAAACAATTCAGTTATACTCTTTCAGTCATTTTAAAATGTACAACTGAATTATCATTGATTATAGTCACCCTGCTGTGCTATCAAATAGTAGGTCTTATTAATTCTTTCTATTTTTTTTTTTTTTTGGTAACCATTAACCAGCCACTCCTTCCCTTTAGCCTCCACTACCTTTCCCAGCCTTTGTTTAGCATCCATGTACTCTCTATGTCCATGCCTTCTGTGCAAACATTGCAGTTGTTTCTGATGTATTCAACTTAACATAATAATCTCCAATTCTATCCATATATTGCTGCAAATGACAGGATCTCATTTTTTAATGGCTCAATTGTACTCCATTGTGTATATGTACCATATTATCTTTATCTATTAATCTGTTGCTGGACACTCAGGTTGCTTCCAAATCATGGCTATTGTGAACAGTGCTACAACAAACATGGGAGTGTAGATACCTGTTTGATACACTTATTTCCTTTCTTTTGGGTATATACACACCAGTGAGATTGGTGGAACATATGGTAGCTCTAATTTTTGTCTTTTAAGAAAACTTTCAATGGTTTTCCATAGTGGTTTTACTAATTTATATTCCCACCTGAGGTGTAGAATGGTTCCCGTTTCTCCACATCTTCACCAGCACTTGTTACATGCCTTTTGGATATAAGCTGTTTTAACGGGGTTGAGATGATATCTATCTCATTTTAGTTTTGGTTTGCATTTCTCTGATGGTCAATGATGTTGAGCACCTTTTCACCTTTTCATATGTGTGTTTGACATTTGTATATCTTCTTTTGAGAAATGCATATTCAAATCTTTCACCCATTGTTTGATCAGATTGTTAGATTTTTTTTTTCCTATACAGTTGTTAAAGCTCCTTTTATATTCTGGTTATTAATCCCTTGTGAGATGAGTAGTTTGCAAATATTTTCTCCCATTCTGTGGGTTGTCTCTTTACTTTGTTGATTGTACCCTTTGCTGTGCAGAAGTATTTTTTAACTTGATGTCATCCCAATTGTGCATTTTTGACTTGGTTCCCTGTGCTTGTGGGGTATTACTACTCAAGAAATTTTTGCTCAAACCAATGTCCTGGGGAGTTTCTCTGAAGTTTTCTTATGGGAGCTTCATGGTTTGAGGTCTTAAAGATACATCTTTAATCCATTTTGATTTGATATTTGTATAGATATATGGGACTAGTTTCATTCTTCTGCATAGGGATATTCAGTTGTCCCAGCACCATTTATTGAAGAGACTGTCTTTTTCCAGTGTACGTTCTTGGCATCTTTTTCAAAAATGAGTTCACTGTAGGTGTGTGGATTTGTTTCCAAGTTGTCTATTCTATTCCGTTGGTCTATGTGTCTGTCTTAATGCCAGTAACATGCTGTTTTGGTTACTACAGCCTCTGTAGTATAATATGAAGTCAGGTAACATGATTCCTCCACTTTTGTTCTTTTTTCTTAGGATACTTTTGGCTATTCTGGGTCAGTTGTGGCTCCATATAAATTTTAGGATTGTTTTCTCTATGTCTGTGAAGAATGTTTTTAGTATTTTGATAGGAATTACATTGAATCTGTAGATTCTTTGGGTAGTATGGCCATTTTAACAATGTTGATACTTCTAATCCATGGACATGGACCATCTTTTCTTTTGTTGGGTGTCCTTTTCAATTTCTTGCATTAGTGTTTTATAGTTTTCATTATAGAGATCTTTCATCTCTTTGGTTGAGTTAATCTTCAGCTATTTAATTTTATGTGTGGCTTTTGTGAGTGGGATTAATTTTTTGATTTTGTTTTCAGATTGTTCACTATTGACATATAGAAATACTACTAATTTTTATGTTAATTGTGTATACTGCAAATTTATTGAGTTTGTTTATCAATTCTAATAGTTTTTTGGTACAGTCTTCAGGTTTTATAAATATAAGATCATATTGTTTGAAAACAGGGATAATTTGGCTTATTCTTTTCCTATGTGGATGCTCTTTATTTATTTTTCTTGCATGATTGCTCTAGCTAGAGCTTCTACTATTATGTTGAATAGCAGCAGTGATTGTGAGCATTTTTGGCATGTTCCAGATCTTAGAGGAAAGTCTTTTAGTTTTTCCCAATTCAGTATGATACTAGTTGTGGGTCTTTCTATATGATTTTTATTATGTTTAGATTTTCCTTCTATATTCAGATTTCTGAGGGTTTTTATCATGAAGGAATATTGAATTTTATCAAATGCTTTTTCAGCATTAATTTAAATGATCATATGGTTCTTGTCCTACATTCTGTTGATATGATGTATTACATTGATTGATTTTGATTTGTGTATGTTGAACCACCCTTGCATCTCAGGGATAAATCCCACTTGGCCATGAGGAATTATCTTTTTAATGTATTATTTAATTTGATTCGCTAGTATATTGTTGAGACTTTAGCATCAATGTTCATCAGGGATATTTACTTGTAGTTTTCCTTTTTCAATGTGTCTTTGTCTGGTTTTGGTATCAGGGTAATAAGATTTTCAAGAATAAGCCTGGGCCGGGCCTGGTGGCTCACGCCTGTAATCCCAGCACTTTGGGAGGCTGAGTTCGGTGGATCACGAGGTCAGGAGATCAAGACCATCCTGGCTAACACAGTGAAACCCCGTCTCTACTAAAAATACAAAAATTTAGCCGGGCGTGGTGGTGGGCGCCTGTAGTCCCAGCTACTCGGGAGGCTGAGGCAGGAGAATGGCGTGAACCCGGGAGGTGGCGCTTGCAGTGAGTGGAGAGCATGCCACTGAACTCCAGCCTGGGTGACAGAGTGAGACTCTGCCTCAAAAAAAAAAAAAAAAAAAAAAAAGAATGAGCCTGGAAGTAGTCCCTCTTTCTCTATTTTTTCAGAAGAGTTTGAGTAGGATTGGCATCAGTTCTTTAAATGTTTGGTAGAATTCAGATCTAAAGCCGTCTGCTCCCAGGCTTTTTTTTTTTTTTTTTTTTAAACTGGGAGACATTTTATTGCAGAATTTATCTCATTACCTGTTTTTGGTCTTATCAGGTTTTGGGCTTCTTTATGGTTCGATCTTTGTAGGTTGTATGTGTCTAGGAATTTGTCCATTTGTTTTAGAGATTCCAATTTATTGATATATAGTTGTTCATACTAGTCACTAATATTTCTTTGAATTTCTGTTGTATCAGTTGTAATATCTCCATTTTCATCTCTGATTTTATTAATTTGGATCTTTTTTTCTTAGTCTGCCTAAACGTTTGTCAATGTTGTTTAACTTTTCAAGAAAACAAGTTTTTGTTTCATTGATCTTTTGTATTGTTTTCTTCATTTCAATTTCATTTATTTCTGCTGTAATTTTTATTATTTGTGTTCTACTAATTTTGGGTTTGGGTTACTTTTGTTTTTCTAGTTCTTTAAGATACACAATTAGGTTGTTTATTTGAATTTTTCTTCTTTTCTGATGTAGGCTTTTATAGCTGTAAATTTCCTTCTTAGTATTGTTTTTGCTGTATTTCATAGATTTTGGTATGTTTTGTTTCCACTATCATTTGTTTCTAGCAATTTTCCATTTCCTTTTAAATTTATTTGTTGACCTACTGGTCATTCAGGAGCATATTGTTTCATTTCCATGTGTTTATATAGTTTCCAAAATTATTCTTGTTATTGATTTCTAGTTTTATCCCATTGTGGCCAGAGTTGATGCTTGGCAATATTTCAGTTTTTTGGATTGTTTAAGACTTGTTTTGTGATCTAACATATGGTCTATCCTTGAGAAAAATCCATGTGCTGAGGAAAAGAATGTTTATTCTGCAACTTTTGGGTGAAATGTTACGTAAGTATCTAATAATCAGTTTGTTCCATAGTGCAGATTAAGTCTGATGTTTCTTTGTTGATTTTCTGTCTGGAGGATCTGTCCAATGCTGAAAGTGGAATGTTGAAGTCTCCATCTATTATTGAATTGAGGCTTTTCTCTTTGCTTTGCTCTAATAATATTTGCTTTATATATCTGGGTGCTCCAGTGTTGAGTGCACATATATTTACAATTGCTATATCCTTTTGGTGAATTGACCCTTTTATCGTTATATGGTGACCTTCTTTATGTCCTCATAGTTTTTGTCTTGAAAACTATTTTGTCTAATATTAGTATAGGTACTCTACTTTTTTGTTTTTTTTTTTTTTTTTTTTTTTGGTTTGCATTGACATGGAATATCTTTTTCCATCCCTTTATTTTCTCTCTGTGCATGTCTTTATAGGCAAAGTGTGTTTCTTAGAGGCAACAGATTGGAGTTTTTTTTTGTTTTGTTTTTCCATTTAGCCAAACTATGTCTTTTGATTGGAGAGTTTAGTCCATTTTCATTCAACGTTATTACTGGTAGTAAGGTCTTACTTCTGTCATTTTATTATTTCTTTTCTGGTTATGTTGTAGTCTGCTATTCTTTCTTTCCTTCCTTCCTATTTTTCATTAGTGAAGGTTATTTTCTCTGGTGATATGATATAGTTTCTTGCTTTTTATTTTTTTGTGTATCCATTCTATGCTGTTAGGTTTGAGATTACCATGAGGCTTGCAAATGCTATCTTCTAACCCATCATTTCAAGCTAATAACCACTTAGTACTGTTTACATAAGCAAACAAACAAGCACAAAAACAAAACAAATGAGGACTCTGCACCTTAACTCCATCTTCTCAGGTTTTAACTTTTTGTTTTCACTATTAATATCTTATTGTACTGTCTATGTCTTCAAAGCCTGTTGTAGCTATTTTTTAAAATTATACTTTAAGTTCTGGGGTACATGTGCAGAACACGCAGGGTTGTTACATAGGTATACATGTGCCATGGTGGTTTGCTGCACCCATCAACCCGTCATCTACATTAGGTATTTCTCCTAATGCTATCCCTAGCTCCCCACCCTCCAAAAGGCCCAGGTGTGTGATGTTCCCCTCCCTGTGTCTGTGTGTTCTCACTGTTCAATTCCCACTTATGAGTGATAACATGTGGTGTTTGGTTTTCTGTTCCTGTGTTAGTTTGCTGAGAATGCTGATTTCCAGCTTCATCCATGTCCCTGCAAAGGACATGAACTCATCATGAACAGATGATTATACTGAGGCACAGAGTAGTTATAAGATGAAGTCTCAGAGCATAGCTATGTGAAGCAGAAAATCTGGTTTCCTGTCTTGGCAGTTTGACTCCAAAATCCTCTCTTAGAAACAATTATACTTTTTAAATGGAAAAGAAATAAAATCCAAGATTGGAGACTGATTTTAACATCTATTCCTCTTAATCCTTTAAGTAATCAAAAATAAATTAAACGGAGAAAAATGAAACCAAATATTCATATACAAAGAACTCTAGACTCTTCAGTGAGAAACATGTGTTTTTCAAGTCACCCAAAATAGTTACACAATTGCTGAGTATTTTAATTAAACAATAAATATTTAAGTATTAACTGGGCTCTAGAGAAAAACTTAGTCAAAGGCCTCAGCATGAGCGATAAGTTTGATAAATATTGAAAATGGTCTGAAAAGCCCAAGTGGAAAAGCAGGGCTATTTCTACCTGGATGATGTCCCTGTAATTAATTTTCCATTTTGGAAATTAGAGGACAGAAATTCCTTCTATCCATGAGGGGGTGAGTATGTATGTATGTGTGTATGTTTGTGAATGTGTTTGTATGAATGAGCTTGTAAACAATAAGTTATACAAAAGTATTAGTAGCCACCAGGATTTAAGGATTATTGGCCTTTCTGAGGTTCCCAAGAAAACCTTAAATGCTTTTGGTAGGAAAAGACGGGATTCATTCTACATATTACTGGCGTTGAAAATATAAATCTACTTTGGTGATGATCCTAGTTATGCCCAAGCTCCCTTTACCAGGTAATAAAACCAATGTGTCATCTGTGTATTGGGTTGTTAAATTGCTGAACACAAATTATGGAGAGTTTAAACAAGGAAAAAATTGCAGAACATTTAAAAAACTCTTCATTGGCATGCTAGTAGATGAGAATTCAGGTTTTACTTCAACAACGATGTGGAAAATTTTATCTTACAGCAAGGACATTGTGTTTGAACAAGAGTTAATTTGAGCTGTTTTGGAAATTATCATATTTTCCATAAAGAGAGCATTGATTACATCCGTTGGCCTATTGAGATGCTTTCCTGTTTGACATTGGTCACAGAATTTAAAAGGAAAAACAACATTACTGCACACTTAGGAATCAGGAATAGAAGTAAAAGTCAGGTAAAGGGAATCTCGTCAGGATATCAGGCCTGCCTTTAAAAAAATTCAGACATGATAAGTTTACTACCAATCATTTTTTCAATAACAACAATAATATATTTATATTTTCCCATGGACACCTACATTAAGCTTGTAGACTATTTTTATATTTCAATATTTTTTTCTTTGAGTCCTTTTAAGAGTTGTTCAACAATCCTGAAATATCCCTTACAGTATGCTGTTAACTAATTATATTTTTTCAAAGTCATTTGACATAATGATTGATTAAAGGAAATATCTCCAGTATAAGTACACTTGCTTATAACAAAAGAGTATTTGAAATTGACATTACTTATTTTGGAAAGGATACGACACAATGGGAATTTTCATACACCACTCCTAGAATTATAAATCTGTGACATCATTTCGGCCGAGTATGGCATTATCTGATTAAGATGAAGGATCACATCCTAAGACCCAGCATTTATACTCTTATCAGAATACATATACATTCACATGCATATCACTGAGTTTCAATAGCTAAAGTTGAGAAGTCCTCCAAATGTCTATCAGTCCTCCAAATGAATAAACAAATTGTGGCATACTTATACAATGGAATACTATACAGTGATCAAAATTAACAAACAAGACTGACATGTTTACAACAGAATAATACAACAGAGAAAATGAACAAATTTGAGCTACATAAATAATAATACAGATATGAGAAGAATTATCAAGATGGAAAAATACATTTAGTATAATCTCATTTACATAAAGTTTGAAAAACATTCTTTTTAATAATTGTAATTTATTACATTGGTGATAAAACTCTGTAGTGAAACATATGAGTGATCATCATAACAACTGGGATAGTCAAGAAGGAGGAAAATGTCAGCAAGAAGACATATATTGGGATTATCTGGATGGCTGGCAAATTCTTTTTTCTTGCCAATGTGTGGTAACATCCATGTTAACGTTACAATTTTTTCTCTTTCTGTTTCTGTTGTGTTATTACTCTCTATGTGTATGTTATGCTCCACAATAAAAAATGTTAAAAAAGCAGAAACATAAAGTATATTTCTAAGTATAAAATTAGGGTGATACAGCATATTCTCATAGATACCATTGTAATTAGAGTTTTTGCTGAATAAAGGAGAATAGAGCATTATGGTACTAAGAAATCCAAATTAAAATTTAAAACTTTTCTTTTTTTATTTTGAGACAGCGTCTCACTCTGTTGCCCAGGCTGGAGTGCACAAGCGCAATCTTGGCTCAATGCAACCTCCGCCACCTGGGCTCAAGTGATTCTCCCATCTCAGCCTCCTGAATATCTAGGACAACAGGTGTGCACCACCACACCCTGCTGATTTTTTCTATTTTTTTTTAGAGGCAAGGTTTTGCCATGTTGCCCAGGCTGGGCTTGAACTCTTGTGCTCAGGCAATCCACCTCCCTCAGCCTTTCAAAATGCTGGGATTATAGGTGTGAGCCACCACACCTGACCTAAAACTTTTCTTAAATTAATTTTAAAAAAGGAGAGATAAGCAAGAACTGTAAATCCACCTTCTTAATGCTAATATGAATTTGAAACATCAAAATTTGAATATTTATTATTGATAGACACTTTTTATTTCCAATTTGATTATTTATGATACACATTTGAAAGTGTTAGAAATTCATGAATTTCCAATAAATTATACTACGATGGATATTAAATTAAATAAATATATCCAAAAATGTGTCTCTAAATGAAATATTTATACTCATATTTTTAGCATTTTAATTTCACAATACTATTCACATGTACACCTGTAAGTTGGGTTAAATATTTTGTTACTATAAATTTTTTGGCTCTACATTAGAGAAAAATACCATAGAAAGGCAAATTTTTTAACGTATAAAACATATTTAGCATGATCTTTGAGTATGTTTGTGCATATATAATTCAACTTTGACTGCTATAGTAAAATGATCCAGATTTAGTCACCATAGCTAAGAAGGGGAAAAAGCATTTGCAAGAATTTGGCTTGCTAATGATGCTATTAAAAGATAAACTAAAGTTGATATACTGTATTATTGCATAGACTATTTGTCCATGTTAGTGTTCAAAAATGCCAAAAAAAATCCCAAAATAGAATCCTAATTGTTGGAGGTCGTGTTTCTTATCGAATTTTAAAATGTAGTAAAAGAAAAAAAAGCAAATAAATCGTTGAAAATATGTTGGTTTTACATTATTCTTGATGAAATACCATGTGAGGGTACTTGTCTAGGCCTAATGCTGAGAATCATAGAAGAATCATGAGGCCATGAGGAAGAATAGTAGTGTTCTCTCATCACGCTGAGCTCCAGTACTTAGAAACAAGCCTGAAATCACACTGATCAAATAGCATTCTCCCTTTCACCTGCCATCATCATTATCATCATCGTCTATATCTTCATCTATATCATGAAGTGGTTTGTTTTTGAAATATTTAAATACATAATTTGGAAAATAAGTAATTTTAAAAAGATCATCATTGTGGGAAAGTTACAATAGTAAACAGCAAAGTTCAAGTCAAGCTCCAATACATTTAGATTTAGAAATTAAGTGTAGTTTATTTTACAATACATTGCTTATGCAAATAATTATTTATGGATGACCTTCAATGAATCCTCCTTTCACTATGATCATGATAGAAACAATTCAGATTTTCGTGTAAATAAAATTCCTTAATAAGAAAGATAAAGCGAGTAACACATTTTTTGAGCACGCTTTTATTTCTAAAGAGCGGATTTTAGGACCAAACTGTCAAACAGAGGTAAGACCCCAGATCTTCTGTCACACTTGAGTGAGTGATGATGGAGTTAGAAGGTTGTAGTTCTATAACCAAAACTATATTCATGGATAGGATTAAATGGTGGAATTCCATAGAAGCACCAGATTCAGTTTTGTTTCCATGGGACTTAAAGTCTACTTATGTCAGATGTCCTTCATTTTTTGATAAACTCGTAAGTACTGTTTTACTATTTGATCTTTCAATGATTGTTATAAACTAAGAAGTTTTGATTTCTGCTAATTAAAACAGCATAGGGCGGGCGCGGTGGCTCACGCCTGTAATCCCAGCACTTCGGGAGGCCGAGGTGGGTGGATCACGAGGTCAGGAGATGGAGACCATCCTGGCGAACACAGTAAAACCCTGTCTCTACTAAAAATACAAAAAATTAGCCAGGCGTTGTGGCAGGCTCCTGTAGTCCCAGCTACTCCGGAGGCTGAGGCAGGAGAATGGCGTGAACCCGGGGGACAGAGCTTGCAGTGAGCCGAGATCGCGCCACTGCACTCCAGCCTGGGAGACAGCGACACTCCGTCTCAAAAAACAAAACAAAACAAAGCAAAAACAGCGTAAAATTTAAATCATGGAATAGAGTGGTGGAGCTGTGGTTGAGATGCTCTATTTAATTAATTTTAATGACATTTTGAGATCCAGTGCTGCTCATTGAATTTGCCTGTGAAAAGAGTTTGTGGTGATGACCCAGCAACAGATAAGATACTATCCAAAAAAAGCTACTGACATCAAATCAATTTCCAGTTTCTTCTAAGTTGCAGGAGAATGCCTAGATCTTGCTTTTATTCTCTTCTTTGACCAAAGTATTACAAAAAGAAAAATATGGTTACCATTTTCATGTCAGGTATACTAAAAGTTTAAAAAAACTCTTTTTTTAATAACTTGGTTTTAGGAATACTTGGTTTAGTTTCTCCGTTAGAAAAATGATTTATATAAGGAGAACAAAAGTTCATTTCTACTTCTAAAACAATAAGACAAAAACAAAAAGAGTAATCAATTTTGAGAATCCAATAGAGTTAAAAACCAGTTAAACATAAGAAAGAATTAGTGAATTTGAAGATAACTACCCAGAATGAAGATAAAGAGACGAATAGATAGAAAATATAAGGCTAGAGGGTCAGAGACAGTGAAGCTACAATCAGAACAACTAACATACTTCTGCAGTTCCCGAAAATTAGAAGAGAACAAATGGGGCAGAAGCAATGTGGAGATTTTTCCAAAAGTGATAAAGTATATCAGTTCATATATTTTTAGAAACTATCAGACTTCAGACACGATAACTAAAACCAAATTAACATAAAATGACAGGACATCAAAGACCAATAGAAAACCTGAAAAGTAACTAGAGGAAAAGATAGATTATGTTAAAGGGAATAACTGTCTAAACGACAAGCTGATTTTCAACAGACAAAAATAAAGCTAGAGTTCAATGGATTCATGTCTTCAGTGTATTTCAAAAGTAGAATAGATCTTGATAAACAGAAACTTAAAATACATCTTTTCAGATAGAAGAAAAATTATTATTAATATTATTATTATTATTTTTGTTGGTAGAGTTGGAGTCTCACTCTGTTATCCAGGCTGGAGTTCAGTGGTAGGATCATGGCTTACTGCAGTCTGGAACTCCTGGGCTCAAACCATCCTCCCACCTCAGCCTTGTGAGTAGCTTCACTATGCCTGACTAACTTTTTCATTCATTGTAGAGGCAGTTTTACTGTGTTGCACAGGCTGGTCTTGAACTCCTGGGTGCTCCTGCCCCAGCCTTACAAAATGTTGGGATTATGGGTGTGAGCTACCCTGCCTGGCCAATAAAGGGTCTTATTGAAAATATTAAGTTGAATATGCAAGAAGGAATACAAATTAATGAAAGTGGTAAATATGTGCATAATTCTAAATGAATGTTTAGAAAATAATAATGTCTTGTTGGGGTAATTATACAATTGATAAGACATATGCAAATGGCAAAAAATAGAATGGAGGTAAAGGTGACAGGAGTAAGTTTAGTTAAATTATTTTCTGAACTTTTCTATGTCTATGAGGAGATTTTGAACAATGATAATATAATTCTACTCATAGGTATATATGCAAAGGAATTGTATCAAATGATATATGAAAGAATGTTCTAGTAGAATTATTCATAACTGTTCAAAAAAGAAACTGGCCAAATACATATTAAGGTTGGATGAATCATTACAGTAATTCCATGCAATGGAACAATATAGAGAAGTGAAAAAAAATCACATGTGCTTGCAACTATGTGACTAAATTTCAGAAACATAATGTTGAGTTCAGGAAGCCACAAACAAGAGGAACATGTAGGATTGCACCTATACAGCGTTCAAAGTAGGCTAGACCAAGCGATGGAGTTTAGGGTTGCATACCTAGTTGGTAAAGTATGAAGAAAATTGAGGAAATAACCATTATAAATTATGGATATTGCTTATATCAGGAGATGCGAAGAAGGGTTTAGGGACTTGGAAAGTGGAATGGAGGTGGATCTAGCCTGTTTTAGGTGTTCCTTGTCTTGCCCTGCATCATGGTTACTTGAGTGTTTATGATACACTGTGGTATTTCCCATTTTTGTATTGGTTCATTTCTAAGTGCGCATTATAACTTTAATATACAAATTTGTAATTAGGAGAAATATCTCATAGAAATTATTATTACTCGTCTCATTATATACTGAAGGGAAATATCAATTATTTGTATACATTCCTATACAACTCTAAGATAGTTGAAATAGGAACTTTCTTATTTAGTTGCAACATGAGGAAATTTGAGATGATGTTATCTGCCACCCCCAGATCTTTCCAAAGGATTTCTTCTAGCCTTAATTATCGACCTCACAGGACAAACCTTTGCCATTCCCCATCTATTTTTTCTTTCGGCTCCTGAATTCCTGACACAACAAGGTTGTACATATTTCCCACACTCTTGGTTTAAGAGTTCTTTTATCAGTTATGTTTCTCTGCAGGAGAAGACCCTTCAAAACTACATTAGATATTTATATCTCACATGTCGTTTGATGTTGGTTTTTTGTTTTGTTTTGTTTTGTTTTGTTTTGTTTTGTTTTTTGACAGAGTCTTGCTGTGTCGCCCAGGCTGGAGTGCAGTGGCATAATCTCAGTTCACTGCAACCTCCGCCTCCCGGGTTCATGCCATTCTCCTGCCTCAGCCTCCCGAGTAGCTGGGAATACAGGTGCACACCACCATGCCCTGCTAATTTTTGTATTTTTAGTAGAGATGGGGTTTCACCATGTTGGCCAGGATGGTCTCCATCTCTTGACCTCGTAATCTGCCTTCCTCAACCTCGCCTGCGCTGGGCCTGGATTTTATTTTTCTAAGCTGGGTTTGGTGGATGGCTGTGGTGATTTGAGATGGGCCAAATTCTACATCTTGGAGGACGTTAGAGTTTTGCCAATTTAATCTGGATCAGGTGGCAGCAATCTCACGTCATTAGTTTCTCATTCTTCTTCTGGGAACAGTGTACTAGATAGGCCATACTCTTATGGTAAATGGAAAGAAGAAGAATCCCCAGTATGGAAGCCATCTCAAATCTCTATGCAAACTGTAGTAATTTTCTGTTTATCAAAGTAAGTGAAATGATTGAACTCCAAGTTCAGGGGCAAGGTAGTCAGTCTTCCTGTGATAGGATACTGCAGGATTATATATCAAAGGGTCTGGTACTGAGGAATTCTTATAAAATTGCTAAATATTTTTTATAATAATATTTAAACATTAGACTTGAGAGAAACTTTACCAAGTCCTAAGAATTAGAGATAATGTTTTTGATAAATAAATATTATTCATGGGCTGAAAACCCTGAGTGGGAAAATAGGACTAATTTCATCTGCACAGCCTCTTGGAAACTCATTTTTTATTTTGGAAATTACAAGAAAATAATTTGTTCCATTCATAAGTGGTGTGCACATGTGTATATTTGTGTGCATATTTATGAGTTTGTGAATAATGAAGTTATACGAAAGTGTTAGCAGCAACCAGATCTTATGGAGTAGTGGCCTGCCTGTGGTTCTCAAGAAAATCTGAGATGCCTTTGATAAAAGCAGTTAGGATTCTGTGTATTTAAATCTGTGATTTAAAAAAGTCCGCATTGGTGATGATCTTAGTTATGACCAAGCTCCCTTTGAGAATTTAGATATTTACTATATGATATATATATTGAGTTACAAAACTTCCCTAACAACTGAAGTCACTAAAGATAAATGATGGAGAGGTTACACAAGGAAAAATTGCAAACACTGAAAGTGAATATGTCCCTATTTGCGTACTAGCAAATGAGGATTCAGGTTTCACGTCAATTTCAGTGTGAATAATTCCAGCCTATAACAAGAACAGACAGTGAATGAATGAGTTAATTTGAGTTGTTTGAAAATAAGAATGTTTTCCATAAAGAGATCATTGAACTCATCAGTTAACATGCCATGGTTATTTCTGGCTTGACACTGGTCACAACAATTAAAAGTAAAAAGAATGTCACAGCACATTCACAAATCAGGTGCATATAGAATTTAAGGTCAGGATATTCAAGCAATCACACCCAGTTATATTACATTGAGAGATGAAGCGAGCTATACTTTCTGAATCGAGTGGGGACTTGGAGAACGTTTCTGTAGCTAGCAAGGGGATTGTAAAATGCACCAAACAGTGCACTGTAAAACCACAGCAATCAGCGCTCTGTAGCTAGCAAGAGGATTGTAAAATGCACCAATCGCTCTAAAATACACCAAGCAACAGGATCCTAAAAGTAGCCAATGGCAGGGAGGATTGAAAAAAGGGCACTCTGATAGGACAAAAAAAGGAAAATGGGAGGGGACAAATAAGGGAATAAAAGCTCATGGCTTCAGCCAGCAGCAGCAACCTGCCTGGGTCGCCTTCCTCCCGGTGGAAGCTTTGTCCTTTCTCTCTTCTCAATAAACCTTGCTGTTGCTCACTCTTTGGGTCCATGCCATCTTTAAGAGCAGCAACACTCACCGTGAAGGTCGGTGGCTCCATTTTTGAAGTCAGGGAGACCACGAACCCACCTGCAGGAACCAACTCCGGACACAACACCAGCATTAAAACAATTTTTTTTTGTCTGTTCAGACATGACAACTTTTATACCCATCATTTTTTCCAGTGTGGTAGTGGTTCTATTTGTTATTGGAAATTTTGCTAATGGCTTCATAGCATTGGTAAATTCCATTGAGCGGGTCAAGAGACAAAAGATCTCTTTTGCTGACCAGATTCTCACTGCTCTGGCGGTCTCCAGAGTTGGTTTGCTCTGGGTATTATTATTAAATTGGTATTCAACTGTGTTTAATCCAGCTTTTTATAGTGTAGAAGTAAGAACTACTGCTTATAATGTCTGGGCAGTAACCGGCCATTTCAGCAACTGGCTTGCTACTAGCCTCAGCATATTTTATTTGCTCAAGATTGCCAATTTCTCCAACCTTATTTTTCTTCACTTAAAGAGGAGAGTTAAGAGTGTCATTCTGGTGATGCTGTTGGGGCCTTTACTATTTTTGGCTTGTCAACTTTTTGTGATAAACATGAAAGAGATTGTACGGACAAAAGAATATGAAGGAAACTTGACTTGGAAGATCAAATTGAGGAGTGCAGTGTACCTTTCAGATGCGACTGTAACCACGCTAGGAAACTTAGTGCCCTTCACTCTGACCCTGCTATGTTTTTTGCTGTTAATCTGTTCTCTGTGTAAACATCTCAAGAAGATGCAGCTCCATGGTAAAGGATCTCAAGATCCCAGCACCAAGGTCCACATAAAAGCTTTGCAAACTGTGATCTTTTTCCTCTTGTTATGTGCCGTTTACTTTCTGTCCATAATGATATCAGTTTGGAGTTTTGGGAGTCTGGAAAACAAACCTGTCTTCATGTTCTGCAAAGCTATTAGATTCAGCTATCCTTCAATCCACCCATTCATCCTGATTTGGGGAAACAAGAAGCTAAAGCAGACTTTTCTTTCAGTTTTGCGGCAAGTGAGGTACTGGGTGAAAGGAGAGAAGCCTTCATCTCCATAGATTCATGAGAGGGGCATTGTGTGTCTTCTAGCAGAAAACAAACTGGTGGTGTATGAAACATTTTATATTTCTTACTGGTTTTTCTATACTGTATGTGTATGAATAATTTCCCAACGTATACCTAGAAAAGCCTTTGACCTAATATTAGTCTAGAAAAAAAAATATATATATGTGTGTGTTTATGTGTGTATGAAAACTTAAGAACATTGACAATAACATGCTCTTTTCTGTTTTTTTCATACAAACTGCCAAATTATACAAAATATGACAAAAATTTCTTAGAATTTTGAAGCCATGTATATTTCATTCATGTATTTTATATTTCATTTGTAGAATTTATGATGTCTATTTATAATTATTAAGAAGTAACAGCTTATCCCAGGATAAATATTGCTCTTTTCTATTGTTATTTGAACCACAGGAATACACCACATTGTGCTTAGAATTCATTGCTTGAACCTCGAATTTATTGGATGGTAAAGTCATTCAATTCTAAATCAATAATGAGGATGTATCTTTGGTGTTTTATTCCATTATGAATTTCTATTTTATGTTTAGTAAAAAGCAATGAGAATTATTGTTAGAAAAGAATGCACACAGTAGAATTTGAGTGAGAAGCATATGCAGAGTAAATTTAATGTATGTCTACCATAAGCGGTACTGAGGAATATTAGATTTCATATGTGAATAGCTTAGGAAAAAATCCCTTCTCTAATAAAGGGATGAAATATCATGATCATGATCTGGATTGGTATCATCAGTTATGCATATGCAGTTAGAAACGTCATTTCTTCCGCTTTTGAATTAAAGAAAAGCTGTTTTTGAAGTTGAGATCTCATGCAAATTATTTTAGTATTCTTTCTAAAGCACTTTTAAGCCCCTGAATTGCTAATTATATCCTTACCTTCCATTTATGAAATTCCTTCTAAACTTCAGATAAGAGAACTCAAATCCTCTCTTTTTGAAAAATAAAATCAATGTAAATATAATATATAAATTGTGGAAAATATTTCAGTCAAACTTTTTGTAAATGTTAAAAAAGTATCTATGAAATCTGTGTATTAATTATGAGATGAGCCTTAACGTTGTAATTTTGTCATCAATGATGAAATGAAAGGGTGTTGACATATTCTTTAATAGGAAGTTCTATTATAAGAAAGAAATGTACAGTCTTGTTCACAGCTAAATTCTACTTGACTGTATTAATTCTTGGTGTTATGAAATTTAAACAATGTGATTTAAACCTTAAGATGAATCATCCCCCCACCTGATTTGTGTATTTTTTTAATCATATATCTTCCTCAGTACAATGTAAGGACTGTAAAAAAAGAGATAATGTCTGTCTTGCTTTCTGTTGACTCCCAGGAACTCGAAACCAGCACCAAGAATAGATGGTCAAAAATGATACTTTAATGAACAAATAAATGGGTGGCTAAAATGGATAAGTTGATGTGGTAAACCAGTGAAAAGGAAACTCACACAAAATCTGCAGTTGCATGAATTCCCCTGTTCCAGTCTCAGGTTAAGATTACAGGCTTATCCAAGCAGAATCCTTCTCCTAAGGAAAAGTTTGGCTATTCCACAATTTTAGGGGAAATATGACAATAATATAGTCTTGATGCAGCTGTATCAGGTGTCTGAGTTGGAGACAAGGTAGAACACCAAAATTAGATGGCACCTATTATAATAGTTTGAAAAATCATATAAACAACTTTGGTCTATTTGAATATGTATTTTTTTCTATTGTCAATTATTTGTATTATGATATTTTCTAGTTGATTATTTAAACAAAAATGACATTTCATTTCAAAAAATTGAGTTAGTAACCAGCTACTTTACCAAAATGTTTTTAATGTAATACCTGTTATTGAAGTGCTACCATTTATTTAGAAGTCAAGTTCAAGACAAAAATGGCAAGGACGTGTGGAAATTGAGACCGGAACAAATGTGAAACAATGTGTGGTGATGTCTGGTATGACCCTGATGGCAGCCACTTCACAGTGAGGTGAGAGAGACAGCATGATGGTCATCAGATGCATGTACTTGGCTTCCAGCACTTTTCCAGAAGGGCTACAAGGGGAAACCACAGCTGGCATTAGTCCATGGAAGAGAGAGAGGAGGGAGAATGTATCTGCTCATCTGTCATTAGTCTTCTATTTCCTATTGGTCAGGGTTTCCTTGAGGCAGAACTATCATCTCTGCTGTTCTGTCTTACATCATCCAGTCCCTTGGTGGTGGTCATGAAAGTCAGACCTCATGCCCACAGTGTGGTGATGCATTCAAGTCCCAAATAGAAGGATGACCTGGATCAGGCAAGGTGCTGGCCAGGGGAATTGGACATAGTGAAGAGAATCTGAGAAAGCACATGTTTGTGTCCAGTACCGCCACTCCTTGTGCCACTGAGGCGTGCTCATACCCTCCAGTCATGGCTGGCTTTATGAGCATATGACGTCCACAGTTGCATAGGGTTTTGTGCTTATAGGGACTTGTGCTTAGAGGGACTCTATGCTTGGATTAATATTCTGCACTTGCTATTTTGTTTGTCAGACAGAGGATACTTGTCTGCTGAAGAGAGAATGGTCTTACACTAATTCCATAGGGATTTGCTCTCCCCTCTCCAACAGGCTTGTCAGAGACATGCACAGAGTCCTATAATGACCACTATGTATGTTCTAGCATCTTTGAATCCTGCTGGATCATCTGGCTCAGTGGCCAGAGCAGCTTGGAGCAGAGTCTATATCTTCTGTAGAGCCCTCATTTGTTCTGGATTCCACTTGAGACCAGCAGCCTGGGAAACTTCATTAATGAGTCAGAGCAATATTCTCAAATGTGGAATATGTTGTCTCCAAAATCCCAATAGGCCCCCAAAACATTGTGTCTCTTTTGTAGTGATAGGAAATTTATAGAGAGAGCAACATGCCATATACTGTAAAAAAGATTGTTTCAACGTGTGGTCTAGGGACACTGAATGCTTTAAAACATCACCTATGCTGTAGGTCCCTGAATCTTCTCAGGTTGATTTCTTTTCTTCTGGTATTTTACTTCCATTCATCGTTAGAGTATTTTACTATAGTTAAGAAACTTGCCACTTCCTGATTATTGTACCAAGTAATATATTATTATTATTATTGCTATTATTTTGAGACAGGGTCTCATTCTGTCCCTGAGGCTGGAGTTCAGTGGCAGGATCACAGCTCATTACAGCCTCAACCTTCTGGGCTCAAGTGATTCCCCCACCTCTGCATTGCTAGCAGCTGGGACTGCAGGGGCACAACATCACGCCTGGCTAATTTTTGTATTTTCTGTAGGGCTAGGATTTCACAGTGTTACCCAGGCTGGTCTCAAAATCCTGGGCTCAAATGATCTTCCCGTGTCGGCCTCCTAAAATGATGGGATTACAGTCATGTGCCACAGGGCCTGGTCTGTAATATTATTAATATATTAAATAATCACGATGTTTTAAAAAATGTAAATTAAACAGAAGTGACATAGCCGTGATATAAAACAGTGACACAGTGTTATTATTATGATACAAGGCAAATTGTTTTGATTTTTCCTCATAATGGGTGTAGATTAAGAACCATTCAGCAAATCACAAGCCCAGTAAAAAGTACCAGAAGCTCTGCTCTGCTTAGTGAAGACAGCACATCCTGGAAAGCATTTGTGAGTGTTGATTTAAGTTTCTGGTAGTCTGCATTCATTCTATAACCCGTCTGGTTTTGATAGAGGCCAGATAGGTTTAGTGAATCGGCTTATAGAAAGGACTACCATCCCCTGTAACTTTCAAGTGTTTTGTCACGGCACTGACCAGTTCCATTCCTTAGGGAATGCGGTTATTATATTTTATATATTTTGTTGCCAGTAGAGGAGAATTTCAGAGGCTTCCCTTTGGTCCTGCTATAATAATGTCCTTTACTCTACAGTTCACGAAGAATGTGAGTCCTGCCGGCTGCCATACATATCTATTTCAATTATACTTTCAGGAAGAGGTAGTAACTACAAACTGATTAGCTCCACCTTGGAATGGACATGAGCCGAAGCTCTAGGTAGTATCTGACCTTCAAAAACTCCCCCTGCAGGCTGGATGTGATGGCTCATGCCTGCAGTCCTAGCACTTTGGGAGGCGAAGGTGGGAGGATCCCTTGAGAGCAGGAGTTCCCTTCACAACATGTGGAAACTCCGTCTGTACAAAAAATTTAAAAAATTAGCTGGTGTGTTGGTGCATGCCTATAGTTCCAAATACTTGGGAAGCTGAGGCAGGAGGATTGCTTGAGCGCAGGAGTTCCAGGCTGCAGTGGACTATGATCCTGCCACTGTACTCCAGCTTGGGTAACAGAGGGAGACTGTGTCTCAGAAGAAGAAAAAAAAACAAGTATAAGTTCTCACCGGTATCTTAAACATCAAGTAAAACAGTATCGAGTAAAACAAAAAACTAAAAACTCCAAAAGTCAAAAACACTTTTAAAAAGAACATGGTGTTAAGAGTAGTTTGTTCAGTTTCCCCATAGAAAATGATTTATGGAAGGAGAATAAAAGATTATTCTGAACACTAAAACAATAAGACTGAAAAAATGAATTATCAATATTGAGAATCCAATAGACAGAGTTAACCAGTTGGATACAGTACAAGAGAGAATAAGTGAATTGGAAGATAGCTACACAGAATGAAGCATAGAAGGGAAGAGATGGAAATACACAGAGCTAGAGGGTAACACATTGATGCTACAGACAGAACACCTAACATACTTCTGGAGTTCTGTAAGATTAGAGGAGAGAAAATAGAGCAAGAGAAATGTTGCAAGGATTTTTCCAAAAGGTATAAAATGTATCCCTGAATATATTTTTAGTAATCTCAAACTTCAGGCATGATAACTAAAACCAAATTAACATAAAATAATACAGGACGCAAAAGACCAATAGAAAATCTGAAAAGTAGCTAGAGGTAGAAGATAGAGTATGTTGAAAAGAACTGTATTCTAAATACAACCTGATTTTAACAGAAAACATGGAAGCAGGAATTCAATGGATTAATGGGAATCATGTCTTCAATGTGTTTCCAAAGAGTAGTAGACCTTCATAAACAGAAATTGAAAATGATATTTTTCAGATAAAATAAAATTACTGAAAATACAAAGTTGAACACGCAAGGAGCATTACAAATTAATGACAATCCATGCTGGCTAACACGGTGAAACCCCGTCTCTACTAAAAATAAAAAAAAATTAGCCTGGCGTGGTGGCGGGCACCTGCAGTCCCAGCTACTCCGGAGGCTGAGGCAGGAGAATGGCTAAACCCGGAAGGCGGAGCTTTCAGTGAGCAGAGATCGTGCCACTGCACTCCAGCCTGGGTGACAGGGAGACTATGTCTCAAAAAAAAAAAAAAAAATTAATGACAATGAAAACTAAGTGTGTAATTCTAAATAAATGTTGACTATATAAAACAATAGTGTCTTCTTGGATTGAATGTATAATTGATAAGATATATGCAAATAGCAATAAAGAGGCTGGAGATAAAGGTAACAGGAATAAATTTAGTCAAACTGTGTTTTGGGCTTTTCTATGTCTGTGAGAAGAATTTGAACATCATAATCAAGGACCCTGTAATTCTACACCCAGATATATATACACAGAGGAATTGTAGCAAATGATATGTGAAAGAATGTTCATTGTAGCATTATTCATAAAAGCTCAAAAAATAAGCTGTCCAAATATATATCAAATAAGGATGGATAAATAATTACAGTAAAATCAAAAAATGAAAAAAATATAGAGAAGTGAAAAGATATGGATCACATGTACATGCAATGATGGGGTTAAATTTTGGATACAAAATGTTGATTCCAGGAAGCCATGAATAAGAACATATAGGATTGCACCTATACATAGATCAAATCAGGCCAAACCAAGCTATTGAGTTTAGGGTCGAATACCTTATTGGTAAAGTATAAAGAATATTAAAAAAAGACCATCATAAATTAGGGATGTTGCTTATCACAGGAGACATGAAGAAAGGTGTAGGGAATTAGAAAGTGGCATTGAGGTAAACTTAGGCTCTTAGCAATGTTCCATGTCTTGCCCTACATGATGGTTACATGAGTGTTTATGACACATTGCTATGTTTTCCATTTTTGTTTTGGTTCATTTCTAAGTGTGCAGTCTAGCTATATGATAAAAATTATTAATTAGGAGAAATGGTCCATGAAAATTATTATTACTCTGCTCATTATATACTGAAGGGAAAAATCCACTATTTGTATACATTCATGTGTAACTCTAAGAGATTTTAAGTAGAAACTTTCTGATTTTAGTTGCAACTTTAGGAAACTTGACATGATGTTACCTGCCAACCACAGATTTCTGAATAGGTTTTTCTTTTAGGTTTAATTACCCACTTCATATGACAAAACTTGGACATTCTCTATTTTTTCCTTCGATCCTGAATTCCTGACACAACAATGGTGGGCATATTTCCCACACTCCTGATTTAGCAGAATACCTACATCACTTATGTTTTTCTGCAAGAGAAAACTGAGTTAGATAATTGTGTATCATTATGTCTTTGGATTACATTTTTCTAACCTAGGTTTGGTGGATGGCTCTGGTGATTGGAGATGGGCCACGTACTGCATCTTGCCGCTAGTTTGGCTGATTTAGGGTAGATAAGGCAGTGGCATTCTGACTCCATTAGTTTCTCTTTCTTCTTCTGGGAACAGTGTGCTAGCCAGATGATGTCCTCATGGTTAGTGGAAAAGAGCAGGAAACTTCAATATGGAAGCCATCTTAAATCTCTGTAAATTCTACTAATTTCCTGTTGACTGAAGCAAATTACGTGAGTGAATTCAGAGTCCAAGGTCAAGGTAGTCACCCTGCCTGAGGTGGGAGGGTACTGCAGGATTATGTGACAAAGAGTAGGGTACTTAGAAATATTTACAAAATTGCTGAACATTTTAATTAAATAATTAATGTTTAAACAAAACAGACTTGAGTGTAAATATACCAAAGGCCTAAGCTTGAGAAACATGTTTGATAAATATTATTCATTGTCTGACAGCCCTGAGTTGGAAAATAAGACTAATACCACCTGGATGAGTTCCTGGAAACTCATTTTCCATTTGGGGAATTATAAGAAAATAATTCCTTCCATGCCCTAAGGGTGTGAGTGCATGTGTGTCTATGTGTTTAGGAGCTTATTAACAATGATGTCATATCAATTTATTGGTTATCAGAAACCAGATTTTAAAGTGTATCAGCCTCCCAGGGATTTCCAAGATAATCTTGGATGATTTTGATAAAAGGTTTAGAATCTGGTATTTAAATCTGGCATAAAAATAAGTCCATATTGGTATGATCCTAGTTATGACCAAGCTCCTTTAACAATTTAGACATTTACTATATGATATATGTATTGGGTTTTACAATTTCCCTATGGAACAACTGAAGATGCTGTATACAAATTATGGAGAGGTTAAACAAGGAAAAAAATTGCAAAACAATGAAAAATAATATGCCTTTCTTTGCATACTAACACATGAGAATTCATTTTCCACTTCAACCTCAGTATAAAAAAGTACAGCATATAGCAAGGAGAGAATGTATATGAAGAGGAGTGAATTTGAGCTGTTTTGAGAATAATGACCTTTTCTATTTCTATAAAGACAGTTTTGAATTCATCTATTAGCATATGCTGGTGCTTGCCTGTTGACACTAGTCACTGAATTTAAAGGCAGAAAATGTTATTGCACATTTAGTAATCAAGTGTTCATCGAAGTTAACATCTGGATGTTAAAGGACTCAGAACAAGTGTTACTAAGCCTGCATTTTTTTATCTGTTCAAACATGATGTGTTTTCTGCTCATCATTTCATCAATTCTGGTAGTGTTTGCATTTGTTCTTGGAAATGTTGCCAATGGCTTCATAGCCCTAGTAAATGTCATTGACTGGGTTAACACACGAAAGATCTCCTCAGCTGAGCAAATTCTCACTGCTCTGGTGGTCTCCAGAATTGGTTTACTCTGGGTCATGTTATTCCTTTGGTATGCAACTGTGTTTAATTCTGCTTTATATGGTTTAGAAGTAAGAATTGTTGCTTCTAATGCCTGGGCTGTAACGAACCATTTCAGCATGTGGCTTGCTGCTAGCCTCAGCATATTTTGTTTGCTCAAGATTGCCAATTTCTCCAACCTTATTTCTCTCCACCTAAAGAAGAGAATTAAGAGTGTTGTTCTGGTGATACTGTTGGGGCCCTTGGTATTTCTGATTTGTAATCTTGCTGTGATAACCATGGATGAGAGAGTGTGGACAAAAGAATATGAAGGAAATGTGACTTGGAAGATCAAATTGAGGAATGCAATACACCTTTCAAGCTTGACTGTAACTACTCTAGCAAACCTCATACCCTTTACTCTGAGCCTAATATGTTTTCTGCTGTTAATCTGTTCTCTTTGTAAACATCTCAAGAAGATGCGGCTCCATAGCAAAGGATCTCAAGATCCCAGCACCAAGGTCCATATAAAAGCTTTGCAAACTGTGACCTCCTTCCTCATGTTATTTGCCATTTACTTTCTGTGTATAATCACATCAACTTGGAATCTTAGGACACAGCAGAGCAAACTTGTACTCCTGCTTTGCCAAACTGTTGCAATCATGTATCCTTCATTCCACTCATTCATCCTGATTATGGGAAGTAGGAAGCTAAAACAGACCTTTCTTTCAGTTTTGTGGCAGATGACACGCTGAGTGAAAGAAGAGAAACCCTCAACTCCATAGATTCACAAGGGGAGCATCGTGGGTCTTCTAGCAGAAAACAAACTGATGGTGTCTGGAACATTTTATATTTCTATCAGTTTTTCCATAGTGTTTGTATGTGAGTAATTTCAAAACAGATACCTAGAAAAGTCATATATATATTTATGGGTGTATATGTGTGCATGTGTGTGAATAACAACGTTGACCATAAATTATGAAGCTGAGTATATTTCACATATATAGTATTTATATTTTATTATAGTTCATTGTATAGTATTTCATTTGAAGAATTTATTATCTCTCTTTATAATTAAGAACGTACAGCTTTTATGAAGAAATCATTTCTCTTTTCCATTGTAATTTGTACCACATATATGTGCTTAACTATCATTGGTGAACCTCTAATTTTTTGGATGGTAAAGACATTCAATTTTAAATCAATGATAAGAATGGATCTTTGGGGTAGGTTTTATTTCATTATGAATTCTTATTTTATGCTTAGTAGAAAGCAAATAGAATTGTTGTTAGTTAATGATGCACACAATAAAATTGGAGTGAAAAACATATGTAGAGTAAATTTTGTATATGTATACCAAAACAGTACTAAAGAATACTAGATTTAATACCAGTATGTGAATAGCCTAGAATAAAAATCATTTCTATAATAGGAATGAAGAAACATGCTGATGATCATTTCAGTGCTGTTATAATTTTTTTATCTGTAGTTAGAAAAGTCATTGCTTCCACTTTTTGAATTAAAGGAAACCTTTTGTGAAGTTGACATCTGATGTCAAGTATTTCCATTTGTTTTTCTTAGCCACCTTGAGCCCCTGAATTTCCAATTTTCTCCTTTGTCTCCCATTCCTAATATTCCTCAAAAAAACTCAAATATTCTCTATCTTAAAAAAACAGGCCAATCAAAGGAGGGTATAGAAACTATAGAAGATAATCAAATGAAACTTTCCTCAAATGTTAAAAATTATGTAAAAATTACATAAAAATCTGTGAAATCTATATAATTGATAGGAAATGTATTAATGATATGTATTATTATAATGGTGTAAATGGTGAAATTACACAGTGTGTTGATGTATCCATTGATACCAAGTTCTATTATAAGAAGGAAATGTACAGCCTTGTTGAAGAGCTAAATTCTGTGTGACTGTGTTAATTCTTGGTGTTATGAAATTTTAACATTATTATGTAGAACTTAAAATAAGTTAACTCCACATCATATATATATCTATGTATCTATATCTATATCTATAGACATATATATATATATATATATATATATATCGCTTATCATACGTCCTCCCTAGTACAATGTAATCACCATAAAAAGAGAGGTCATATCTGTCTCGCTTTCTCTTGACTCACAGGACCTAAAAGCCAGCACAAAGAATAGTTGGTCAAAAATGATATGTTAATGAACACATAAGTGATTGGATAAATGGATAATTTGATGTGGTAAATCAGTGAAAATGAAGCTCATCATAAAATCTGCAGTTGCTTGAATTTTCTATTTTCAGGTTGAGGTTATAGGCTTTTTGAAGAAGAAGCATTTCTCAGAGCAAAAGTTTGGCTAGTCCACAATTCTAGGGGAAATATCACTGTAATATAGCTTTGATGCAGCTATATCAGGTGTGTGAAGTAGAGACAAGGTGGAACGTCAAAATTAGATGGCACTTATTCTAATGCTTTTTGAAAAGCATATTAAAGATTTTGGTATATTTGCACAGGGTCAGGGTCACCTGTGAGTGCCAGCTGCTCGGGGCTAGCAGACCCCATGACAAGAATGTTAGGGAACTTCCCAGCAGCTGCCAAACACACTTTTGTTTTTAGGGAACGTCTCTTTCTCCTTCAGTATGACTTATGCTGCCTTCAATGCTTTGCTGATACAAAAGAAGTAAACTCAAAAGAAGTAAAAATAAAAGCTAGCAAACTTTGCAACTGATTAAGTTGGTTGGAAATGTACCTAATCACTTTCTACTATGAATGATATATTTGTATTATGATATTTTCTAGCTGGTTATCATATACACAAAAAGGCATTTCATTTTTAAAAATTGAGTTTGTAACCAGTCACCTTTCTTACACATTATTTGTATATTTTTTTAGTATCCTTTCTAAATGAATGTTTTAATTGCCATGTTATAAACGCATGGAAAAGTGATGCAACTGAATGTATATCTTAGCTTTTGGTGTCTAAAACTAGAGCCAATGTCTGAGTTTACAGTGATGACATTTATTTGGGAAGGCAAGTCCAGGGCAGCAATGAGGGGTAAATGTGGAAACTGAGGCAAAAGAAGATGTAAAACCATGTGTCGTGATGTTGATATGATTTTGCTGGTGGCCACTTCACAATTAGTGAGACAGACAGCATGGTGGTCATCAGATGCATGCACTTGGCTCTCCATACTTTTCCAGAAGGGTTACAAGGGGAAGCCACAACAAATATTAGTCCGTGGAAGAGAGAAAAGGGAGAATGTATCCTAGCTGTCTTCTGTCTTCTATTTCCCTTTGGCCAAAGTTTGTTTGAGGCAGAACTACCATCTTTGCTTTTCTTCCTTACATTATCCAACCCCTTGGTGGCTGTTTGGGAAAGTCACACTAACCAATACCCCCATTTTTCTAAGAGATAGTTTTTTTTTAATTTATTTTTTCTCTTTTCCTCTCCCCTTTCCCTATGTTTCCCCGCTTTCTACTTAACTTTTTAGACATGCACATAGAACTGTTTACTTTCCCCCCACCAGACAGTCCCTTCGGGCGAGTTCATCTAACTATGTGCTCCACGAGGGATCTCTCCTTGAGACTTGACAGTTGATTTGCAGACAAAAGTATGCCCTCATGGAACTCTCACCTCCAGGGGTTCCCCTTAGACCTCACATCCATTAGGAGGGGATGTGGAAAGGATGCCCACGTGGCCACTTTTACAACTGCTGTCCTGCTCATTTCCTTCCCTACTTTATAAAACGTTCACTTTCTGCTCCAAAGATGAAGTGTCACGTTGGAAGGCAGGATGCTTTGTGCCCCTTCCAGCAAGCTAACTTCCAAATAAATTCTCTATTTTTATATCAGACCTTGTTCTTGTTAATTAGACTTTACATGAAGTGAGCAACTAAGCTTTTCTGTTACAAGACTTCATGCCCACAGATACATTCAAGTCCCAGGTGGAAGGATGATCTAGATCAGGCAAGGTGCTGACCATGGGAACAGGAGACAGTCAAGGGAATCTGAGGAAGCACATGTTTGTGTCCAATATAGTCCCCTCCTTGTGCCACTCAGATGTGCTCATGCCCTCCAACTGTGGCTGGTTTTATAAGCAGATGCCTTGTGTAGTTGCACGGGGTCTTGTGCTTGAGGGGCTTTTTGCTTGGATTAATGTTCTGCACTTGCATTTTTATTTTTCAGACAGCGGATAATCCTCCACTGAAGAGGGAATAGTTCTGCAGTAATTCCCTAGGGGTTTGCTTTCTCCTCTCCTACGGGCTTGATGGAGACAGGCACAGAGTCCTATGATGCCCACGTTGCATGCCTCTAGCAGCTTTGAATTCTGCTGGATCATCTGGCACAATGGGCCGAGCAGGTTGGGCCAGACCCTGTATCTGCTGTAGAGATATTATATGTTCTGGATTCCACTTGAAACCAGGAGTCTTTGCATTCATTCTGTAACCCATCTGGTTTTGGCAGAGGCTAGGTAGGTTAACTGAACAGGGATTTAAAAAGGACTTTATTAACACATCAGAGCAATATCCTCTACTGTGGTATTTTTGGACTCCAAAATCCCTAGAGGCTCAATAAACGCCGTGCTTCTCTTTTAGTGATAGGAAGTATATAGGAAGCCATTTACCTTAAACAGGATGTTTCTGCTCGGCATGGTGGTTCACGCCTGTAATACCAGCACTTTGGGAGACCAACGCAGGCAGATCACTGGAGGCCAGGAGTTTGAGACTAGCCTGAGCAACATGGTGAAACCCCATCTCTACTTAAAAAAAAATACAAAAAAATTTAGCCAGGCATGGTGGCCAATGCCCGTAAACCCAGCTACTCAGGAGGCTGAAGGATTTGAATTGATTGAACCCAGGAGGCGAAGTTTGCAGTGAGCCGGGATTGCAACACTGCATTCCGGCCTGGGCAACAGAGCGAGACTCTATCTCAAATATAAATAAATAAATTAATTAATTGATTTTTCAACATGTGGACCAGGAATATGGGACCCCTGAAAACAATATCTGCGTTGGTGTTCTCTAAATATTTTCAGGCATGTCTCTTTCTTCTGATATTTTATTTCTATTTAATGTTTAAGTATTTTACTATAATTAGGTAACTTTCCATTTCCTGGTTATTGTACCAATTACCGTAACATTATTAATATATTAAATTAACATGATGTTTTCCAAAATGTAAATTAAACTGAGAGCAGAAGTGACAAAGCCCTGACATAAAACAGTGAAGCAGTGCTCTTGTTTTTACCACACAAAGGCCAATTGTTTTAATCTGCTGACCCACCCATGGGTGTAAAATAAGAAACATTCACTAAATCAAGAGCCACATGCAAACTGCCAGGAGCTCTGCTCTGCTCAGGGAAGATACCACATCCTAGAGAGCATTTGTAAGTAGTGATTTAAATTTATGGAAATCTGCATTCATTTTATAGTGTATCTGGTTTTGGTAGAGGCCAGATAGGTTAAGTGGATAGGCATATAAAAAGACTACCATCCCCTGCAACTTTCAAGTGTTTTGTCATGGTAGTGATCAATTCCATTCCTTGGAGAATGTGATTATTATTTTTCAATCATTGTTGCCAGTGGAGGAGAATTTCACAGGCTTCCCCTTGGTTCTGCTCTAATAATGTCCCTGACTCTACAGGTCAGGAAGAAAGTGAGAGTCCTGCCAGCTGCCATGTGTGTCCATTACACATTCAAGAAGAGGCAATAACGGCAAACTGATTAGATCCACCTTGGGATGGACATGAGTCAAAACTCTAGGTAGCATCTGACCTTCAAAACTCCCTCTGCAGGCTGGGTATGATGGCTCATGCCCGCAGTCCCCGCACTTTTGGAGGCGGAGGTGGGAATATCTCTTGAGGCCCAGAGTTGCAGACCACCTTGGGCTACACAGTGACAGCCTGTCTGTACAAAAACTAAAAAACAGAAAAAACAACAACAAAAAATTAGTTTGGCATGGTGGTACTCACCTGTAGTCCCAGTTACCCAGAAAGATGAGACAGGAGACTCCTTTGGACCTATAACCAATATGCGAGTCCGTTGCTGGCCGCATGCAGTGTCCAGTTAACAAAAGTGAGGTCTGGTACAAAAGTAATGAATTTATTCCAAACCTAGCTTGGGGAAGGAGCACAAAGTGTCTTGCCTTTAAGTGTACCACTTCACCTTTGGAGCAGAAAGCAGACACTTTTATAAGGTAAGGAGGGATACTGAGCAAGGGTAGAGGGTCCTCATGCAGGCTTGGTGCCTTATCTATCAGACAGTTGAATTGGTGCCTTCCTGTGCAGAAGTAACTTGTAAAAGTGGCCAAGTGGGTATGCTTTCAATATGCCCTTCTGTTGGGTGAAAGTCCTCAGGCAACTCCCAGAGTGGAGCACAGTCTGGAAGTTCCAAGTCCATTTCCTGGAGGTAAACATTCCTTGGTGGGTGTGCTTTGGTCTGCAAATTGACTGTCAATTCTCAGAAGAGATCTGTCTTGCTGCACATAGTTAGAAGAACGTGCCCTGCAGGGAATGTCTAGTGAGTGGGGGTGAAAGGTTATATTTGCATTTATGAAGGGCTAAGCAGGAAACAGGGAACAAAAGGAAAGGGGAGATAAGAGAAAATAATAATAAAAAAATAGTAACTCATTCCCTGTTTCTTAGAAAAAATGGGGCACTCTGTTACAAACCCAGGAATTCAAGGCTGTAGTGAGTTATGATTTGCCACTGTACTACATACCTCCTAAGTGAAGGATTGAGACTGTGTATCTAAAAAACCCAAATGCAAATAACACACACACAAAAAGAAAATTTTAAAAAATCTCCCACTTCATCTCATGGACTGCAGTGTCTTTTGAGTACCCAGATATTACTGTTAGTTCAGGCTCTGTTGGAGTGGCCAATATCTGGTTTACTGGAGGCAATTTGGTACGAGTCTGCAGCAACTTCAAGTCTAACCTCCTCAGAAGAAAGAATTCAACTGAGGGGCATAAGGCGGAAAAAGAGACTGAGGGAAGTTTCTGAGCAGCAATGGAAGTTTATTAAAAAGATTTAGAGCAGGAAAGAAAGGAAAGTACACTTGGAAGAGACCACAGTGGGCATTTTGGAGGTCAAGTGCAGTGTTAGACCTTTGACTTGTGGTTTTATATGTTGGTATACTTCTGGGGTCTTGTGTTCCTTTTCCCACGATTCTTCCCTTAGGGTCTTGTGTTCCTTTTCCCATGATTCAGCCCCTTAGGGTGGGCTGCTCACATGTGTGGTGGCCTGCTAACACTTTGGAGGTGAGCATGCGCAGTGTGTTTACTGGAGTTGTACACATGCTTGCATGAGGCATTCTTCCCTTTTTTGGTGGAATGCCCCCAGAAGGTTGTTTTCTACCCTTTTCTCTCTTAACACGTATGCCTCAGCCTACTCGCCCTATTCCTGAGCTGCTGACTAGCAATTTTAAGCATCTTTACTTATTGTGAAATTGCCTCTCCCTGGTGCCTGTGAGCAATTATCATTTTTAGAGAGGCAGTGTGACAACTGCCAGGCCATCACCTGATGGCCACCTGACATTCCTGGTGGGTGGTGAGAGCCTTCTTCTGCCCCGCTCATGCCTGACTAACTATCTACTGTAAGAGCCCTATACCTAAAAGTCTCAGATGGTGTGGATGTGTGTCCTTTCCTCTGGGTACTGTTATCTGGGAAATGGCTACAGGTCTTTGAGAAAGCACCGTATGAATACGTCCTGAATATTCTTGTGGTGAATTTTCAGCATCCTTTTCAAGGGGACTTACACTTTCCTTCAATTATTGAATTCTTGTTCTCGGAATTGGCTCAGTCCTGACAACAGGTTGAGGTTCTTTGATTTTCCACTTCAAAGGCTGACCTCAGGAATCAGTTTTTCAGCCTTTGAAGTGAAAAGGCTTGCTCTTGGTTTATAAGTATTTTTCAAAGTATGAAGCCTCTTTAACTATTGGCTTATGAACTCATTCCAAGAAGCTGATGCTGTCATCAGTTCATTGATTCTGACATTTGCAAGATCACCAGAGAGTCTATGTTCCCAAGGTTAGTCATCATGTTGCATGCTCTATTAGCTGCATTGAACTTAGTTTATTTAGATTTCAGGATGCTGCCCTCTCCTGATTTTATCCTTATCCACTGGGCACTACTTCTCAATCTCCTTTGCTAGTTCTCTTTTGTCTCTAAACTGAAAATATCAGACTGCCCAAGGTCTCAATTCTTCAATCTCTACAATGATGCCTGTTGTGTTGGTGATCTCATGTAATCTCTTTACTGACAATGTAGCCAAGTGATTCAACAGACAGGAATAAGGCTGATTATCCATTTATATTATTTATTTATTCACGCATGTTGGCATATAGCACATTATGTAAATATTTTTCCTTCAAATGTCAAATGTACATTTTGAAGTAACAGTACCAGGGTGGATGCTGTGGCTTAAGCCTGTAATTGAGCACCTTGGGAGGCTTAGGCAGGCAGATTTCTTGAGCCCAATTATTGGAGACCAACCTGGGAAACATGGTGAAACCCAGTCTCTAGTAAAAATACAACAATTAGCCAGGTATAGTGGTGTCCACCTGTAGTCCTAGCTACTTGGGAGGCCAAGGTGGGAAACAGATTGAGGCTGGGAGCTATAGATTGCAGTTAGCCAATCTCAAACCACTGCACTCCAGTTTAGGCTCCAGAGTGAGACCATGTCTCAAAAAATAAAAATCTAGGGAGAATCAATAATATTTTTGCTTGAATTTCCACTAAATGAGATTGAGGGTAGCCCAGCATCTAATTTAGTTTTATTTAAAATAGTAATTTTAATATCAATAGATTGATAGGCAGGGGATTATTATTATTATAGACATAATGATCTAAGTAGAGAAATACACAGATAGAATTATGGTTGATTAACCCACTTGTATTACTTGCAATTGTACAGTTAGTATGTTTTAGTATCTTAGTTACTAATCTCACTTTTTACATTTAGCTCTATAATCAATTAAATATGAGTTATTTTTTGTGTATGGTGTGAAATAAGAATAGAAATTTATCTTTATGCATGTGGATATTCAATGTTCTCAGTATCATTTGTTGAAAAAATGATTAATTCCTATTGAACTGCAGTGGTACCATTTTTGAAATCAATTACCATCAATGTCAGTGTTAATTTCTGGACTCTCAGTTGTGTTTCATTGTTCTTTTGTCTACTGTAATGCCAGTACCACAGAATTCTGATTAGTGCAGCTTTGTAGTTAGCTTTGAAACCAGAAAGTGTAATCCTCCAAATGTGTTATTTTATCAAGATTTATTTTGGTGATCTGGTCACTGGGTATTTTCAGATATATTTTAGGACTGGTTTTTCACTTTTTGCAAAACAGGCTTGTTGGGATTTGATAGGGATTGCACTGAGTATATAAGTTGACCCTTCACCTGCAAAGACTCTCCTTGTGCTGGATTTCAGTTCAGCTGGCCCTCCTTGCTTGTACAACTCTGTGATGAATTGAATATATAATTTTTGCCTTTTATTACTCTTATCCTAGTTGTTGCAGAAGGATATCTTGCCTTTCTGAACCTTCTGTATTCTGCTCAAAAATGGAAGTTCTCAGCTAGGTGCAGTTCACGCCTGTATCCAAGCATTTTGGGAGACCAAGGTGGGAAGATCGTATGAGCCCATGTTTTCAAGACCATACTGGGCAACATAGGGAGACCCCATTTCTACAAAAAAACTGAAAAATTAGCTGGCTGTGTTGGTGCACGCCCATAGTCACAGCTACTCCAGAAGCTGAGGTGGGAGGATCTCTTGAGCCCAGGAGTACAAAGCTGTAGTGAACTACCACTGCACTCCAGCCTAGGCGACAGAGCAACATCCTTTCTCAAAACAAAAAAGGAAAAGTGGAAGTTTTCACTGGTATCTTTTAAGTATCAAGTAACACAGAATCGAAAGAATAACTAATAATCCTCGGTTCCTGCCTGCACTGAACATGTAAAATTGAAAGCAGTTATACATATACTATACTAGCACCTCATAAGGACTACCCAGAGTATTATTATCATCTGCGTTTTATACATAATTATACTGAGGTAGAGAGAATTCGTAAAATGGAGTCTCAGATCATAGCTATATAAAGCAGAAAATCTGGCTTCCTGTCCTGGCAGACTGACTCCAAGATCTTCTCCTAGAAACAATTATACTATAACAACTGGAAAGAAATAATATCCAATATTGAAGACCGATTTTTAACATCTATTCATCTTAAACCATTAAATAATAAAAAATACATTAGAGAAAAATAAAAGTGAAAATTCACATACAGAGAAGTGTAGGCTCTTCAATGGAATACACATGTTTTTTAAGTGCCCAAGGAATATTTACAAAATTGCTAAATATTTTAATTAAACAATTCATATTTAAATATTAACTAGACTCAAGAAAATGACTTACTCAAAAGCCTAAGCATGAGACACAAGTTTATAAATATTGAAAATGGGCTGAAAACATGATTGGGAAATTAGGGCTATTTCAACTTGGATGACCTGCCTGAAATTCATTTTCCATTTTGGAAATTACAGGACAATAATTCCTCCCATCCATGAGGAGCATGTATGTGTGTGGGCACATAAGTTTGTGTTAATGAGCTTGTTAAGAATAAAGTTATACAAAAGTATTAGTTAGCAGCAACCAGATTTTAAGGAATGTTGGCCTTCCTGGGCTTCCCAAGAAAACCTTGGAGTCTTTTAATAAGAAAACTTTGGATTCTGTCTACATAAATCTGACATTGAAAAAATAAATTCACAGTGGTCATGATTCTGGTTATGACCAAGTTCCATATGACAGTTTAGACATCCAATGTAGGAATTATGAGTTGGGTTTTAAAATTTCCATAACAACTGACATTGCTGAACACAAATTATGGAGAGGTTAAACAAGGAAAAATATTGCAAAACAATGAAGGAAAATATGTCTGTATTTGCATGCTAGCAAATGAGAATTCACCTTTCACTTCAACAACAGCATGAAAAATTTCATCTTATAGCCAGGACATAGTGTTTGAATAGAAATTTAATTGAGCTGTTTTGGGAATTATTGTGTTCTCCATAAAGACAGCCTCAAACTCATCCATTAGCACACCCTGGTGCTTTCCTGTTTGACACTGGTCAGAGAATGTAAAAGGAAAAAGAACATTACTGCACATTCAGAAATCAGGTGCACATAGAATTTAAGGTCAGGACCTTACAGAGAATCTTGTCCAGTGATAATACGCCTGCCTTAAAAAAATTCAGACATGGTAGGTTTATTACCAATCTTTTTTTGTGCTAGTAATGGTAGAATTTATTTTTTCCTGTGGACACCTACGTTAAACTTATAGACTACTTTTACATTTTAACATTTTTTTCCTTTGAGTTCTTTTAGGAGTTGTTAAACAATCCTGAAATTTCCCTTACAATATGCTACAAACTAATCATAATTTCTCAAATTCATTTGACATAATGATTGATTAAAGAAATATGTGTAGTATAATTACACCTGCTCATAACAAGAGTATTTGAAACTTCAAGAAAAAATAGAGAAATTAATAAAGAAATATGAATAAATATATGGAATATATAATTCATTCTTAATAAATGTGCATGAAATCAGTCATGTAATTAAAAAGCAACATAATTTTTTGAACTAAAAATACATTCTGAATTATAATAGAAAAATGTTTCTAAAATGTTAACTTTAATAATAGTGTATGTAAATATCAGTGTAAAATTTAATCTGATGTTACTAATTTTGGAAAGGATATGACACAATAGAAATTTTCATACACTACTCTTAGGATTATAAAGTACAATTACTTTGGCTGAATATGGCATTACCTGATTAAGGCGAAGTATTTTTTATTGTACCACACTTTAGAATGTGGTAAAATGAAACAATATCAAGTAAATCATTGGGAATATGTTGGTTTTAAGTTATTCTTGATGAAATATTACCTGAGGGTGTTTGTCTAGACCTGATACTGAGAATAATATAAGAATTATAAGGCCATGAAGAAAAATTAAAATAGTGTTCTCCCATTGCCCTGAATTCCAGCACTTAGGAAACATGATTGAAGTCACATTTACAGAATAAAATAGTCCCTTTTAGCTGACATCAACATCATCATCAATCATCTACACCTATCTCATTAAATGATTTATTTTTCATTGTACATGATTTTGATAATGTCTAAGACATTTTTAAAAGATTATCATTTTGGGAAATTTGCATTAGTAAAAGCAAAGCTCAAGTCAAGCTGAATACATTTAGATTTAGAAATTAAGTGAAGTTTAGTTTAAAATGCATTGCTTAAGCAAGTAATTGTAGATGACCTTAAACTAATCCATTGAAGGCTATAAGAAAGAGTTTGATTTTAGTGTAAATAAAATTCCTTAATTAGAAAGGCAATTAAACTGTTTCATGATCAAGCTCTTATTCCTAAAGAGAGGATTTTAGATTAAATAAATCAAACAGAAGTAAGCCCTCACATCTTCTCTATCTCGCTTGGGTAATGATGGAGTTCAAAGTCACAGAGCCCCATTTCTACAACATAAACAAAGTAAAAATTAGTTCATAAAATAGAATGATGTAGTTGTGGTTTAGGGACTATTTTTTATTTATTGGAATTGCATTTTGAGATCCAAAGCTGCTTATTGAATTTCCATATGAGGAGAGTTTGTGTGAGGACCCAGCAACAGACAAGCTGTTTTCCAGAAAAAGCTACTCACATCAAATTAATATCCGGTTTCTTTAAAATTGCAGGAACATGGCTAGACCAAGCTTTTATTCTATTATCTGACCAGAGTTGGGAATAGAAGAAAATTGTTACTATTTTCATGGCTAGAGTACTAACAACTCCAGAAAAATACAAGGCTGGAGGGTAAGAGACACTGACGCTATGGTCAGAATATCTAACATACTTCTGGAGTTCTGGAGGATTAGAGATGAGAAATGGGGCAAAAGCAATGTTTGGGAAATTTTTCCAAAAATGATGAAATGTATATATTTCCATCTCTATATATTTAGGAGCCATCAAATTTTGGACAAGATAACTAAAAAATTTAAAATAAAATGACACAGGACATCAAAGACCAATAGAAAATCTGAAAAGTAGCTAGAGGTGAAAGGTAGATTATGTTAAAAAGAGCCACATTCTAAATAACAAACTGATTTTCAACAGAAAATATGAAAGCGGGAATTCAATGGAATCATATCTTCAGTGTGTTTCCAAGGAACAGTAGACTTTTATAGACAGAAATTAAAAATGATATTTTTTCAGATAAAATATAAACTACCAAAAATACAAAATTGAGCATGCAAGAAGGAATAAAAATTAATGAAAATGATAAATATGTACATAATTATAAGTGAATGTTTACCATCTAAAATAATAGTATCTTCTTGTTGGACTAAAGGTGTAATTGATAAGATATATGCAAATAGTAATAAAGAGACTGGAGTTACAGAAATAAATTTAGTTAAAGTATTTTTTGGACTTTTCTATGTCTGTGGGCAGAATTTGTACATCTTAATCAAGGACCCTATAATTCTATACCTAGGCATATATGCAAAGGAATTGTAGCAAATGTATATGAAAGAATGCTCATAGTAGCATTATTCATAATAGTTCATAAAAGAAGCTGTCCAAGTATATATCAACTAAGGATAGATAATTATAGTAAATTCATAAAATTAAACAATATAGAGAAATGAAAAGAAATAAATCACATGTACATGCATCTGTCTGATTAAATTTCAGATTCATAATGTTAAGTCCAGGAAGCCATGAATAAGAACATATAGGATTGCACCTATACACAGTTCAAAGCAGGCCAAACCAAGCTATTGAGTTTAGGGTTGCATACCTTGTTGATAAAGTATAAAGAAAATCAAGGAAATGATCATCACAAATAATGGATATTGCTTACCTCAGGAGATATGAAGAAAGGTATAGAGGCTTGGAAAGTGTCATGGAGGTGGAACTAGGCTGTTTGCAGTGTTCCTTGTCTTGCCCTACATGATGGTTACTCGACTGTTTATGATACATTGCTCTATTTCCCAGTTTTCCAGTTTTGTTTTGGCACATTTCTATGTATGCATTATAATTTTAATATAAAAATTTTGAATTAGGAGAAATGTCTCATAGAAATTATTAATCTTCTCATTACGTACTAAGGGGAAAAGAAACTACTTATATGCATTCTTATACAACTCTAGAGAGTTGAAGTAGAAACTTTCTTATTTTAGTTACAACTTGTAGAAATTTGACATCATGTCACCTGCCAACCCCGTATTTTTCCGTAGCTTTATTTCAGTTTTTTTCTTTCAGCTTTAATTATGCACCTCACATGACAAAACTTTGATATTCCTCATCTATTTTTCCCTTGGCTTCAGGATTCTTGACACAACAAGGGTAGACATATTTCCCACTCTCTTGGCTTAGCAAAGTATTTCTATCATTTAGCATCATTTTAAAAAGAAACTTCTCCAAAACTACATTAGATATTTATATCTCACATGTCTTTAGATTCCATTTTCCTAAGCTGGGTTTGGGTGGATCACTCTGGTAATTTGAGATGGGCCATGTTCTGCATCTTGAAGTTAGAGTTTGGCCAATTTAGGCTACATCTGGAGGGGGTGATCTCATTCTCATTCTGCTTCTGGGAATGGTGTACTAGTGTGGGGATGTGCTTGTGGTAAATGGAGAAGAGCAAGAAACTCCAATGTGGAAGCCATCTCAAAGACGTATACAAAATTTACTAATTTCCAGTTCATCAAAGCAAATTACATGAGTGAGCTCAGATTCCAAGGTCAAGGTAGTCACCCTGCCTATGGCAGGAGGACACTGCAAGATAATATATCAAAGGATGAGGGAGTCAAGAGTATTTACAAAACAGCTGAATAGTTTAATTAAATAATTAATATTTAAACATTAAATAGACTTGAGAGTAACTTTACCAAAGGCCTAAGCATGAGAAATATGTTTGATAAATATTATTCTGGTCTGAAAACCCTGAGTGGGAAAACAGAACTAATTCCACCTGGATGACCTTCTGGAAACTCATTTTTTCATTTTTTTAAATTAAAAGAAAATAATTCCTTCCAACCCCAATGGGTTTAAGTGTGTGTTTTTGTGTTTATGAGCTTGTTAACAATAAAGTCATATAAAAGTATTGGTTAGCAGCAACCTGATTTTAAGGCGTATTGGCCTTCTTGTGGTTCCCAAGAAAACCTTGGATGATTTTGATAAAAGGTTTGGGTTCTGTATATTTAAATCTAGCATTAAAAAATAAATCCATATTTATACGATCCTAGGTATGACCAAGCTCTTTTAACAGTTTAGACATTTACTGTATGACATATGTATTGGGTTTTAAAATTTCCCTATGAAACAACTGAAAATGCTGAATACAAATTATGGAGAGGTTAAACAAGGAAAAACATTGCAAAACAATGAAAAAGAATATGTCTTTTTTTGCATACTAGCAAACGGGAATTCACCTTTCACTTCAACATCAGTTTTAAAAATTTCAGCGTATAGCAAGAACAGACAGTGGAATAGGATTCAATTTCAGCTATTTTGGGAATAAGAAAATTTTCCATAAATGCAGCATTGAACTCATCCATTAGCATATGCTGGTGCTTTTCTGTTGACATTAGTCAAATAATTTAGAAGCACAAAGAATATTATTACACATTTAGGAATGAAGTGTATATCCAATTTAAGGTCTAGATATTAAAGGAATCACAATCTGTGTTATTAGGCCTGCATTTTTCCTTTCTTTTTGTCTCTTCAGACATGTTAAAATTTCTACTTATCATTTTGTCAACTCTGTGTGTTTGCATTCGTTCTTGGAAATTTGTCTCCACAAAAATGTTAAAATTAGCAGGCTTGGTGGTGCATGCCTGTAGTTCCAGTTACTTGGCAAGCTGAGGCAGGAAGGCAAGAGTATCACTTGTGTCCAGGAGTTCAAGACTACGGCGAGGTATGATTGTGCCACTGCACTCCAGCTTGGGTGAGAGAGCAAGAGCCTGTCTCAGAAAAAAAAAAAAAAAAAAAGAAAAGGAGAAAAGAAATGGAAGTTTTCACTGGCACCTTCTAAATATCTAGTAACACAGGATCAAATCAGTAACTAACCATCTTTGTTTTTTCCTGTCCCAGACAGGTAAAATGGAAAGCAGTTATACAAATGCTATACTAACTCCTCACAAAGACTACCCAAAGATAATATTATCATCTGTGTTTTTTGGTGATCATACTGAGGCAGAGAGCAGTTGTGAAATGGAGTCTCAGAATCGTCGGTATATGAAGCAGAAAAACTGGTTTCCTCTCTTGGCAGTCTGACTCCAAGATCTCTTAGAAACAATTATACTGTAAAAACCTGAAAAAGAAGTAAAAAACAAGATTGGAGACTAATACTAACATCTATTCTTCTTAATAGCATAATCAAAAATAAATTAAACAGAAAAATAAAAGTGAATATTCATACCAAGGGAAGTCTAGAGTCTTCAGTGGAAAATACATATTTTTTAATAAGTGCCCAAGGAATATTTTAAAAATTGCTGAATATTTTAATTAAACAATTCATATTTAAATATTAGCTAGATTCGAGAGAATAACTTATTCAAAAGCTTAAGCACGAGAGATAAGTTTATAAATATTGAAAATTGACTGAAAAGGGTGAGAGGGAAAATAGGGCTATTTCAACCTGGACGACTTGCCTGAAATTGGTTTTCCATTTTGGAAATTACAGCACAATAATTCCTCCCATCCATGAGGGGCGTGTATGCATGTGTGTGTTTGTGTTAATGAGCTTGTTAACAATAGACTTATACAAACATATTAGCAGCAAGCAGATTTTAAAGAGTATTGGCCTTTTTGCACTTTCCAAGAAAACCTTGGATTCTTTTGATAAGAAAACTTTGGATTCTGTTTACATAAATCTGACATTTAAAAAATCAATCCACAGTGGTCATGATTCTAGTTACAACAAAGTTCCTTTTAACAATTTAGATATCCAATGTAGGAACTATGTGTTGCTTTTTAAAATTTCCCTAACAACTGACATTGCTGAACACAAATTATGGAGAGGTTAAACAAGGAAAAGTACTACAAAACAAGGAAACAGAATATGTCTTTATTTGCATGCTAGCAAATGAGAACTCATTTTTCACTTCAACATCAGTATGAAAAATTTCATCTTATAGCCAGGACATAGTGTTTGAATAGAAGTTAATTTGAACTGTTTTAGAAATTATCATGTTTTCCATAAAGACAGCATTGAATTCATTCATTAGCATGCCCTGGTGCTTTCCTGTTTGACACTGGTCAGAGAATTTAAAAAGAACAAGAGCGTTAATGCACATTCAGAAATCAGGTGCACATAGAATTTAATGTCAGGACCTTAAAGGGAATCTTATCCAATGATATTAGGCCTGCCTTAAAAAGAATTCAGACATGATATGTTGATACCAATCATGTTTTCCATACTGGTAATGGTAGAATTTGTGTTTTACCATGGACAGCTATTATTAAACTTATAGACTATTTTTATATTTTAATATTTTTTCTTTGTTTCCTTTTAGGAGTTGTTAAACAATCCTGAAATTTCCCCTACAATATGCCATGAACTAATCATATTTTCTCAAAGTCATTTGACGTAATGATTGATTAAAGGAAATATCTCCAGTATAATTACACTTGTTCATAACAAAAAAGTATTTGAAACTTCAAGAAAAAATTAGAAAAATTAATAATGAAATATGAACAAATAAATGTATGAAATATATAATTAATCCCTAATAAATGTGCATGAAATTATAGTCATAGAATTAAGAGTGATGTAATTTTTCAACTAAAGATGCATTCTGAATTATAATAGAAAAAGGTTTGTAAAATGTTAAGTTTAATAATATTTTATTTATTTTTGAGACAGTCTCACTTCGTGGTCTAGGTTGGAGTGCAGTGGTGTGATCTCAGCTCACCGCAACCTCCGCCTCCGGGTTCACTCAATTCTCCTGCCTCAGCCTCCTGAATAGCTGGGATTACAGGTGTGCATCACCACACCAGGCTAATTTTTGTATTTTTAGTATTTTTTGTATTTTAGTATTTTTTCACCATCTTGGCCAGGCTGGCCTTGAACTCCATACCTGAGGTTATTCACCCACCTTGGCTTCCCAAAGTGCTGGGATTACAGGCGTGAGCCACCGTGCCTGGCCAAGTTTAATTATATTTTATATAAATATGAAAGTGCAAAAATTACTCTACTAATTTTGGAGAGCATATGAAGCAGTGGGAATTTTCATACACTGCTCCTAGGATTATAAATCAGTGCAATTACTTTGTCTGAGTGTGACATTATTTGAATAAGATGAAGGATCACATCCTAAGACCCAGGATTTGCACTCATATCAGAATACATATACAAGTATATATCGCTGAGTTTTAATAGCTAAAGTTGAGAAGTCTCCCAAATGACCATCAGTAATAAAATGGATAAATAAATTATGACATACTTACAGAATGCTATACAGCAATCAAAATGAACAAACTAGAGGGACATGTTTACAAAGAATATATATGAAAAGGAAAGTGAATAAATTTGATTTACATGGATAGCATAGTAATATATACAGATATAATAGTAATTATTAACATCAAAAACATTCAATATAATCACATTTATATGAAATTTGCAAGAATATTTTTGTATTTTTGCAAATAAATTCTTATAATTGCTTATAAAAGAAATTATAAATTCTTATAACTCCTTACCAAAGAAATTATAACATTTTATAAAAGAAATTATAACTTCTCATAAAAGAAATTTTATTTTAAGTTTTTATAATTCTTATAATTTGAAATAAATTCTTATAATTTATTACATTGGTGGCAAAACTGTAAAGCGAAACATATAAGTGATTATCATAACTGGGATACTTGGGAGGGAGGAAACAAAAGGGAAATCATATCAACAAGAAAGCATATATGGGGAATGTCTTCATTGCTGGCAAATTCTACTTTTTGACGAAAGTGTGGAATATGAGTGTTAATGTTACATTCTTTTTTCCTTTTACTGTGCATTTAGGTTTTATTGCTTTCCCTACATATGTTAGGTTCCCGAATAATGAAAATATTTTAAAAGCAGAAATATTAAGTAAATTAATGAATATAAAACTAGGCTGAAACAATATATTCTTACATGTACCATCGTAATTAGAGTTTTGCTGAATAAAGAATACAGCATTATAGTAGTAAGAAATAGGGATAAAATTTTATACTTTTAAAAATTAATTTAAAAAAGAAAGATATAAGCAGGAAGTGTACATCCACATTCTTAATGCTAATCTTAATTTGAAACAATAGATTTTGAACAACTATATTGCAATAGACTTTTTTCTTGTTTCCAATTTAATTATTCATGATACACGTTTCAAATTGGCAGCAATTAGGGAATTTTTCATAAGGTACAAATATTAAAGTATGTAGGACTATAGATATTAAGTGTATAGGACAATTTTTGCTACATTTATCCCTAAATGAAATAATTATACTCATGTTGTTCCCATTCAAAGATCACAATACTATGCATGTGCACAGCATATGTGTTGGGGAAAATATTTTGTTACTATAAATTTTTCAACTGTATTAGAGAAGAAAACATAGAAAGATAACTGTTAAGCTATAAAACATATTTAGTGTAATCTTTGAGTGTGCTTGTGTATATGTAGTATTACTTTGACTGCTATAGTAAAATAACCCAGATTTAGTGACAGTAGCTGAGATTGTAAATAAGCAGTTGAGAGAATTTTGCCTGCTAATGATACTATTAAAAGATAAAATACAGTTTGTATGCTATATAATTGTATAGAGGATTTGTATATATGAAGTTCATATGAAAGTACAGTGAAAATTAAACAGCCCAAAGGAGAATACTCTTTGTTGTAGGGCACTTTTGTCATGATTTTCAGAATGTGGTAAAAGAAAAAAAAATAGCCAGTAAATCATTGGAAATACATTGGTTTTAACTTATTCTTAATGAAATACTGTCTGAGGATCTTTGTCTGTGCCTGATGCTGAGAATAATATAAGAAACAAGTTCATGAGCCCATCACCCTGAAACGCAGCACTTAGAAAACATGATTGAAGTCACATTTATAGAAGAGCATGGCCCCTTTTAACTGACATTATCATCATCACCAATCATCATCTATATCTATCTCATTAAATGATTTATTTTTGAAATGTTTACATAAATAATTTGGATAATGTCTAATAAATGTTTAAAAGATTATTATTATGGGAAAGTTAGATTAGAAAATGGAAAATTTCAAGTTGAACCAAATACATTTTTAAGTATAGTTTAGTTTAAAATACATTGCTTAAGCAAATCATTATAGATAACCTTAAACTGATCTTAGGAACACTATAGGAAAGATTTAGTTGCGGTGTTAATAAAATTCCTTAATTAGAAAGATAAATAAGCCACTTCATGATCAAGCTCTTACTTCTAAAGTGAAGGTTTTATTTTATTTATTTTTTAACCTTTCCACATTTTATTGACAAAGAATTAATAGTATAAATTACGTTTATATTGCAAAGTTTATTTATGGAAATTTGATACGTGTACTTCTACTCCTTTTTACACCTTACATGAATATTTAAATAATTGATTTATAACACTCCCTGATGCCAGGTAAAGTAAAGCCTAATCGCAGTTCAGAAACTCACATGTACAACAAATTTAACTTTCTGGATATTTTTAAAACTCAGCTTAATTTCCCTAGGTGCTCCATTAACCTGATGGCAGAAATTAAATCTTAAGCAACTCTGGGTTCTCCCACAAGCACACTTTGCTTCAGAGTTGTGCTGAAGTTTTGAGGAGGATGGGAGGAGGCAAGGAGGTGTCCAGTCCTTTGTGCATCTATCCCCTGGCATTCTCCCATCCTGCCCCAAGTCATCAGCCCACACAGGTTGCTGGCACATCTAAAGTGAGAATTTTAGGACTAAATAAATCAAATAGAAGTAAGCCCTCACATCTTCTATATCTCACCTGATAGTGAAGAAGTTTGAAGGTACAGAGCTCCACTTCTGCTAATAAAAAAAGAGTAAAATTTAATTTGTAAAATAGAATGGTGTAGCTAGGGTTGAGGTGCTATAATTTATTTATTGGAATGGCATCTTGAGATCCAGCACAGCTCATTGAATTTCCCTGTGGGGAGAGTTTGTGGTGAAGACTCATCAACAGACAAGCTGCTATCCCCCCCTAAAAAAAAAAGCTACTAACATCACATCAATTTCCAGGTTCTTCCAACTTGCGGAAGGATGTGTAGACCAAGCTTTTATTCTATTTTGTGACCAAAGTCTTGGGAAAAGAAGAAAATTGTTAGCATTTTCATGTCAAGCATACGAAAAACAAAAAAACAAAGCCAACCAACTGAACAAAGAACCCAACTTTTTTTAAAAAACTTGGTGGTAAGAGTGCTTTGTTCTGCTTCTCCATAGATAATGATTTATAGAAGGAGAACAAAATATAATTTCTGCTACTAAAACAATAATAGCAAAAAATAAATAATCAATATTGAGAATCCAATAGACAGAGTTAACAACCAGTTAGACATAGAAGAGAGAATTAGTGAATTGGAAGACAACTATAAAGAAAGAAGCCTAAAGAGACCACAAGACAAAGAATGCCAAGCTAAGAGGATAAGAGGCATTGATGCTACAATCAGAGCATCTAACATACTTCTGGATTTCTGGAAGATTAAAAGGGATAAAATAGGGCAGAATCAATGTTGTGGAGATTTTCCCAAAAGTGATAAAATGTATTAATCCATATATTTTTAGTAACCATCAAAGGTCAGACAAGATAACTAAAAACAAATTAACATAAAATGTCACAAGACATCAAAGACCAGTAGAAAATCTGAAAAGTAGCCAGAGGAAAAGATAGATTATTTTAAAAGGAACAACTTTCTAAATGACAACCTGATTTTCAACAGAAAAATGGAAAGTAGAATTCAATGGAATCATGTCTTTAGTGTGTTTCAAAAGAATAGAGGACCTTCATAAACAGAAATCCAAATGATATTTTTCAGATAAAAAATATTGAAAATACAAGGTTAAGCATGCAAGAAGGAATAAAAATTAACAGAAATGATAAATATGTGCATAATTCTAAATGAATGTTGACTGAATAAAATAATAGCGTCTTGCTGAGTTAAATATATTATTGATAAGATATATGCAAATAGCGATAAAGAGACTGGAGGTAAAGGTGACAGGAACAAATTTAGATAAATTATTTTTTGCACTTTTCTATGTCTGTGAGGATAATTTGAACACCACATTTAATGACCCCATAATAGGAATTGCATCAAATGATATGTGAAATAATGCTGATAGTAGTATTATTCATAATAGCTCAAAAATAGACTGCCCAAATATATATTAACTAAGGATGATTGAATGATATGAAAGATTACAGTAAATCCATACAGTGGAACAGTATATAGAGGTGAAAAGAAATGAATCACATGTACATGCAACTATGTAACTAAATTTCAGAAACATGATATCTAGTGCAAGAAGCCATGAACAAGAAGAACACACAGGACTGCACCTATACACAGTTCAAAGCAGGACAGACCAAGCTGTGGAGTTTAGGGTTGTGAACCTAGCTGGTAAAGTATAAAGAAATTCAAGCAAATGATCATCATAGATTATGAATATTGCTTATCTCAGGAGATGTGAATAAAGGTTTAGGGGCTTGGAAAGTGGCCTGGAAGTGGACCTAGTCTGTTTGCAGTGTTCCATGTCTTATCCTGCATGATGGTTACATAAGTGTTTATGATACATTGCTCTTACCTATTTTTGTTTTGGCCCATTTCTAAGTGTGCATTATAATTTTATTTAAAAAATTACAAATTGGGAGAAATGTCACGTAAAAATTATTAATTGCTCTGCTCATTATATACCTAGGGGGAAAATCCACCATTTACGTACATTCTTATACAACTCAAGAGAGCTAAAGTGAATTCTTATTTTAGTTGCAAAATGGAGAAATTTGAGATGCTGTTACCTACAGCCTCCAGATCTTTCCAAAAGTTTTCTTCTAGTTTTAGATATTCACCTCATATTACAAAAACTTTGATATTTCCAACCTATTTTTCCTTTGGCTCCTGAATTTCTGACACAACAAGGGCGCACATATTTCTCAAACTCTTGGATTAGCAGAGTACCTATATCACTTAGCTTTTTCTGCAAAAGAAACTTCTCCAAAACCACATTAGATATTTATATCTCACATGTTTTTGGATTCTGTTTTCTTAAGCTGGGGTTTGGTGGATGGCTCTGGTGATTTGAGATGGTCCAAGTTTTGCCTCTTGGATCTAGTTAGAGTTTGGCCGATTTAAGGCTGGATCAGGCAGGAGCCATATGATTCCATGAGTTACTCATTCTTATTCTGGGAACAGTGTGTTAGTGTGGACATGTTCTCATTATAAACCGGAAAGGAACAAGAAAGCCTAATGTGGAGGTCATCTCAAATTTCGATGTAAAGTGTAGTAATTTTCTGTTCATCAAAGCAAATTACATGATCGAACTCAGAGCCCTAGTGCAAGGTTGTCACTATGCCTGTGGTGGGAGGACACTGCAAAATTATGTGACAAAGGTCTGGTACTCAGGAATGTTTACAAGCTTGCAGGTAGCATTACCAAAAGCCTAAGCATGAGAGATATGTTTCATGAATATTATTCATTGGCTGAAAATCTGGCATGGGAAAAATAGGACTAATTCCACCAGGACGAGCTCCTGGAAACTCATTTTCCATGTCATAAGTTACAAGAAAGCAATTCCTTCCATCCTTGAAGAGTGAAAGTGTGTGTGTGTCTGTGTGTGTGTTTATGAGCTTGTTAATAGTGATGCCATATAGAAGTATTGGTTAACAGCAACCAAATTATAAGGAGTATTGGCTTTCCTGTGGTTTCCAAGAAAATCTTAGGTGATTTTGATAAAAAGTTTAGATTCTGTGTATTTAAATCTGGCTTTAAAAATAAATCCATAGTGATTTTGATCCTAGATTTCACCAGGCTCTTTTAACAATATATTTTTTGTGTCATCTATGTACTGGGTATTAAAATTTCCCCAACAACTGAAGGGCTGAACACAAATTATGGAAAGGTGAAACAAGGAAAAAATTGCAAAGCAATGAAAGAGGATATGTCTTTATTTGAATGCTAGCAAATGAGAATTCAGCTTTCCCTTCAACATCAGTATGAAAAATTTCAGCCTATAGCAAGAATAGAGACTTTATGAATAAGAATTAATTTGAGTTGTTTTGGGACTAACAGTATTTCCCATAAAGGCAGCATTGAACTCATTCATTAGTTTAAGCTGGTGCTTTTCTGTTGACATTGTTCACAGAATTTAAAAGTATAAAGAATGTTATTGGACATTCAGGAATCAAGTGCATATTTAACTTAAAGTCTTGAATATCAGAGGAGTCACCATCAGTGACATTAGGCCTGAATTTTTTACTTGCTTTTTTGTTTAGACATGATGAGTTTTCTACACATTGTTTTTTCCATTCTAGTAGTGGTTGCATTTATTCTTGGAAATTTTGCCAATGGCTTTATAGCACTGATAAATTTCATTGCCTGGGTCAAGAGACAAAAGATCTCCTCAGCTGATCAAATTATTGCTGCTCTGGCAGTCTCCAGAGTTGGTTTGCTCTGGGTAATATTATTACATTGGTATTCAACTGTGTTGAATCCAACTTCATCTAATTTAAAAGTAATAATTTTTATTTCTAATGCCTGGGCAGTAACCAATCATTTCAGCATCTGGCTTGCTACTAGCCTCAGCATATTTTATTTGCTCAAGATCGTCAATTTCTCCAGACTTATTTTTCATCACTTAAAAAGGAAGGCTAAGAGTGTAGTTCTGGTGATAGTGTTGGGGTCTTTGTTCTTTTTGGTTTGTCACCTTGTGATGAAACACACGTATATAAATGTGTGGACAGAAGAATGTGAAGGAAACGTAACTTGGAAGATCAAACTGAGGAATGCAATGCACCTTTCCAACTTGACTGTAGCCATGCTAGCAAACTTGATACCATTCACTCTGACCCTGATATCTTTTCTGCTGTTAATCTACTCTCTGTGTAAACATCTGAAGAAGATGCAGCTCCATGGCAAAGGATCTCAAGATCCCAGCACCAAGATCCACATAAAAGCTCTGCAAACTGTGACCTCCTTCCTCATATTACTTGCCATTTACTTTCTGTGTCTAATCATATCGTTTTGGAATTTTAAGATGCGACCAAAAGAAATTGTCTTAATGCTTTGCCAAGCTTTTGGAATCATATATCCATCATTCCACTCATTCATTCTGATTTGGGGGAACAAGACGCTAAAGCAGACCTTTCTTTCAGTTTTGTGGCAGGTGACTTGCTGGGCAAAAGGACAGAACCAGTCAACTCCATAGATTCACAAGAGGTGCATTGTGTGTTTTCTAGCAGAAAACAAATTGATGGTGTCTGGAACATTTTATATTTCCCACAAGTTTTTCCGTAGTCTATGTATTTGAGTAATTTCCAAAAGTTGACATAGAAAAGTCTTTTACCTAAGTTTATTATATAAAAGTATATATATATAATATACATTTGCGTGTGTGTGTATGTCTGAATGTATATGAAAATTTAATATTTACCATAACATACCTTTAATCAACTTTTCATATAAACTGTTCAGTTATACCAAAGTAGGATAAGAAATTTCTCAGAATTATGAACCCATGTGTATTTCACACATTTTTTTATATGATATTTCATTTGAGGAATTTATGATCTCTATTTATAATTAAGAACTGACAGCTTATATCAGAAAATCATTGCTGTTTTTCGTTGTAAAATCATTGCTGTTTTTCGTTGTAATTTGTATCACGTATATGTACCATAGTGTGTTTAACTGTTTAACTATCATTGTTTGAACCTCTAATTTTTTGGATGGTAAGGACATTTAATTCTAAATCGATGAGAATGTGTCTTTGGGGTAGGTTTTTTTGTTTTTTTTTTAATCATGAATTCTTTTTTTCTTTTTTTTGAGATGGAGTCTTGCCCTGTTGTCCAGGCTGGAATGCAGTAGCACAATCTTGGCTCACCACAACGTTCACCTCTGGGGTTCAAGTGATTTCCATGCGTCAGCCTCCTGAGTGGCTGGGACTCCAGGCATGCGCTACCACACGTGGCTAATTTTTTGTATTTTTCTTTTTTTTTTTAGTAGAGATGGGGTTTCACCATGCTGGCCAGGCTGGTCTCGAACTCTTGACCTCAAGTGATCCACTGCCTCAGCCTCCCAAAGTGCTGGGATTATAGACATTCATGATGAATTCTTATTTTATGTTTAATATAAAGCAAATACAATTATTGTTAGATAACAATGCACAAAATAAAATTCAAGGGTGAAAAATATATCTAGTGTACATTTTTATGTGTATCAAAAGCAATACTGAGGAATATTATATTTAATATAGTATGTTAATAGCTTAGAAAAAATCATTTCTATAAAAAGGATGAAGAAACATGATCATGAGCTCTTTTCAGTGCTGTTATAAGTTTCCATACGCAATTAGAAAAGTCATCTCTTCCAGTTTTTGAATTAAACAAAAACCTTTTTGAAGTTGAGATCTGATGTTATATATTTCAGTTTTTTGTCTAAGCCACCTCTGAGCTCCTGAATTGTCAATTTCCTCCTTTATCTTCCATCCTTAAAATTCCTCAAAAAGCTCAAATTTTCCTTACTTTAAAAAGAAGCTCAATCTAAAGAGGGTATAGAAACTATGGCATCTATGAAATCTATATATTAATGATAGGAAATGTCTTAAAGATATGTTTTATTATAATCTTGGTGTAAATAATGAAATGAGAGAAAGTGTGTTGACATATTCACTAATAGCAAGTTCTATTACAAGAAGAAAATGTATAACCTAGTTCAACAGCTAAATTCTGTGTGACTGTATTAATTTCTGGTGTTATGCAATTTTAACAATATTATCTAAACCTTAAGATAAATCATCTCCACATCTGATTTGTTTGTTTATCATATATCTTACCTGGTACAATGTAAATACCATAAAAGTAGAGATCATATAGATCTTGCTTACTGTAGACTCCCAAGACATAAAGATAGCACATAGAATAGGTATTGAAAAATGATACTTTGATGAACAAGTTAATTGGTGAATGAATGAATATGAACTATATTGGGGTGGTGAACCAATGAAAATGTAACACATCACAAAATCTACAGTTGGGTGCACATTTCTGTTCTGGTTTCAGATTGAAGTTACAGGATTATCCAAGAAGAAGAAGAATTTCTCAGAGCAAAAGTTTGGCTATTCCACAATTCTAGGGGAAATATCACTATAATATAGCAGTGATGCAGCTATATCAGATGTGTGACACAAAGACAAAGTGGAAAATAAAAAGATGGCATTTATTACAATACTTTTTACTAAGCATATAAAAGATTTTTGTATAAGTGCACATATCTTTTCTATTGCGAATGATATATTTATATTGTGGTATTTCTAGCTGGTTATTATATAAACAAAAATGACATTTCATTTAAAAAATTTAGTTACCAACTATCTTACTAAAATATAATCTTTATTTAGTATTTTTAATATCCTTTCTAAATGACCACTTTAATCACCATATTATAAACTGATGGAAAAATGAATGAATAATAATTATAACACTGAATGAATATCTTATCAGGGGTCTAGAAGTAGAGCAAATGTCTGATATTAAAGTGATGACATTTATTTGGAAGGAGGTCCACTGCAGAAATGGCTGGGACATGTGGAAATTGAGTCAAGAGAAGATGTGACACTATGTGCTGTAATGTGTGATATGACTCTGCTGACGACCACTTCACAATGATGTGAGAGAGACAGCATGGTGGTTATCAGATGCATGCACTTGGCTCCCAGGACTTTTTCAGAAGGGCTGCGAGAGGACAACACAGCCAGCATTAGCCCATGGAAGCAACAGAGGACGGAGAATATATCTGCTCAGCTGTCTTCTGTCTTCTATTTCCCACTGGCCAGGGTTTCCCTGAGGCAGAACTACCATCTCTGCTGTTCTGCTTTCCATCATCCAATCCCTTGATGGAGGTTATGAAAGTCAGACCTCATGCCCACAATGTGGTGATCCATTCAAGTCCCAAATGGAAGGGTGATGTGGGTCAGGCAAGGTGCTGACCAGGGGAATAGGAGACAGTCAAGTAAATCTGAGGAAGCACATGTTTGTGTCCCATGCAGTCCACTCCTTGTGCCATTCAGATGTGCTCATGCCCTCCAATCATGGCTGACTATGAGCATATAATTTCCACTGTTGCACAGGGTCTTGTGCTTAGAGACGCACACGCTTAGAAGGGCTTTATACATGGGTTAATTTTCTGCACCTGCTGTTTTGTTTTTGAGACAGAGGGCACTCCTCTGCTAAAGAGGGAATGGTCTTGCACTAATTGGCTAGGGGTTTGCTCTCCCCTCTCCTGTGGGCTTGTGAGAAGCATGCACAGAGTCTTATAATGCCCACTATGCATGCATGCCTCTAGCGGGTTTGAATTCTGCTGGATTATCTGTCACAATGAGCACAGCAGCTTGGACTAGAGCCTACATTTGCTAGAGGCATTTTTTGTTCTAGTTCCACTTGAGACCAGTAGCCTTTGGCAACTTCATTAGTGAATCAGAGCAGTATCCTCAAATGTGGAATACGTTGGCTCCCAAATCCCAGTAGGCCCAACAAATATTGTGTCTCATTTTTAGTGACAGGAAATAGATGTATAGAGAGCAACATGCTGTTTACTTTAAAAGGGTGTTTCAGCATGTGGACTAGGAGCACTGGACCCCTAAAATCATCATCTATGTTATAGGTCACTGAATCTTCTTGTTCATCTTTCTTCTTCTGGTATTTAGTTCTGTTCAATGTTATGGTATTTTACTATATTTGAGAAACTCATCACTTCCTGCTTATGGGTAACAGTTAATGCAATATTATTAATATATTGAGTTAGCATGATGTTTTGCAAAATGCCAATTAAACTGAAAACAGAAGTGACGTAGCCATGACATAAAACAGTGAAGCAGTGCTTTTGTTCTTACCTCACCAAAACAAATCATTTTGATTTTCTCTCCCAATCGATGTAGATTAAAAAGCATTCACCAAATCAAACGCCTCATACAAAGAACCAGAAACCATGTTTTCTCAGTGAAGGTACCACATCCTAGAGAGCATCTGCAAGTGTGATTTAAGTTTATGCTAATGTGCATTCATCTGATAATCCATCTGGCTTTGGCAGAAGCCAGATAGGTTAACAGAATAGGGATCAAAAATGGACAACCACCTCCTGGAACTTTTGAGTTTTTTGTCATGTCGGTGACCAATTCTATTCCTTGGACAATGCGGTTAGTATGTTTTACTCATTTTCTTGCCAGAAGAGGAGAATTACCGAGGACTCTTTTTGGTCCTACTTACAGTAATGTCCCTTAATATACAGGTCTGGAAGCAATGTGAGAGTTCTGCTAGCTGTTGAAACTGTTAATTTCATTTAACATTCTGGAAGAGATAATAAATATAAACCCATTACATCCACCTTAGGTTGAACATGAGCCAAAGCTTTATGCAGCATCTGACTTTCAAAAACTCATACTCCAGGACTGGTGAGGTGGCTCACACCTGTAATCCAAACAATTTGGGAGGCTGAGGTGGGAGGAGCACTTGAGGCCAGGAGTTCCAGATCAGCCTGGGCAAGACAGCAAGACCCTGTTTGTTAAAGAAAATAAACTGATTGTAGTACTGCGTGCCTGTAGTTCCAACTACCCAGGAAGTTCTGGCAGGGGGATCAGTTTAGCCCAGGAATTTGAGTCTGCAGTAAGCTATGATTGTGCCATTTCACTCCAGCCTGGGCTGCACTCTAGCCTGGGCAACCAAACAAGACTCTGTCTCTAAAAACAAAAAAAAACGAACAACCGAAAACAAAGCCTCCCACTCCATTCTGTGAAACACAGTGTCTTTTTTTAGTTCTCAAATATTATTAGTGTTAGTTCAGGCCCCATGTTTAAAATTCTGAGAGTATGGATATATGTCCTTTCCTCTGGGTACTGTTATGGCTACAGGTGAAATGGCTACAGGTGCTTGAGAAAGGGTCAAGTGAATATTTCCTGAATATTTTTGTGGTGAATCTTCAGTGTTGTTTACCGAGGGCATGTAAGCTTTCCTTCAATCATTGAACTCTGCTTCTCTGAACTGGCTCAGTCCAGAGAACTGGCTAAGGGTTTTTGATTTTCAATGTCAAAGGCTGACCTCAGGAGTCAGCTTTTGCAACTCTTGTCCCCTCTTGGTTTATAATTATTTAGCAAAGTATGAGGCCTCTTCAACTATCGGTCCATCAACCCATTTAAATGAGGCTGTTACTGTCACCACTCCATTAAATCTGACATTTGCAAGATCACCGATAAGTCTGTGTTGCCAATGGTTAGTTTTCATGTTGCATGCTCTATGAGCAGCACTGAACCTGGTTTATTTGCATTTCAGGATGCTGCCCTCTCCTGATTTTATCCTTGTTCACTGGCACAATTTCTTAGTCTCCTTTGCTAGTTCTTCCTCTTGTCTGTAAACTGAAAATATCAGATTGCCCAAGGTCTAAATTCTTCAATCTCTAATCAATTATGTCTGGTTTTTTTGGTGATCTCATGCAGTCTCCTTACAGATAATGTAGCCACATGGTTCAATAGAGAGGAATAAGGCTGATTATTCATATATGTTATTTATTTATATACATATAGTTACATATATCAAATTATGTAACCCTTTTTTTCAAATGTCAAAGTTACATTTAAAAGTCACAATACTAAAAATCTATGGAGAAGGTCGGAGCATCAATAATGTTTTTACTTGAATTTCTGCTAAATCAGAGTGATGGTGACCAGATAGCTAATTAAGTTTTATTTAAAATAGCCATGTAGATTGATAGGCAGGGGATTATCATTATAGAAAAAAATGATATAAGTAAGGAAATATACAGATAGAATAATGATTGATTAACCCATTTTGACTTATTGTACTTGGTACAGTTAATGTCTTAGTATCTCAGTAATCTGTTTTTATATTTTTCTCTATGATCAATTAATTATGAGTTAATTTTTATATATGGTATGAAATAATGGTCTACACTCATGTTTTTATCATTCTGTTTTTACTCCCACTTCTTAGGTAAGTTCATCTAGTCATAACCTTAGTTACTTTCTGTGTGCTGTTGATGCCAATATTTAATTCTTCAGCTCAGAAGTCAATCCTGGTCTCTAGAATCCTTTCTCTAAGAAGTCATTTGACATCTTCATTTGGATGTCGTAACAAGAACTTGAACTAACATGTCCAAATCAAAATAGTGATCTTCCCTCTAGTCTCCAGCGTTGTTTCTTCTATAGCCTTTCCCTCTTCTGTTAATGACCACTTCAGTCTTTCAGATGCTTAGACCAAAAACACGGAGTTAACATTTTCTCTCTTTCAGAACTCATCTCTAAGGCATCAGCAAATTTTGTTGGTTCTACCCTCTTGTTGGTTCTACCCTCAAAAACATACAGAATCCAATCCCTTGTCATCACTTTTGCCATACTCATCTAAACTGCTGCCATACCTAGCCAAGATAATTGCCATCAACTCCTAATTATTCTTTCTAGTTCTGCACATCATTTTCTCCTGATGTACTCTCAAGATAGCAGCCAAAGAGAGCCTATGAAGATGCAAATTTGATCATGCCATTCTTCAGCTTTAGATTTTTCAGTGGCTTCTCATCTCATTAGAGTAAGGCCAAAATCCTTACAAAGTCCTATAATCATTTGAATGATCGGATTTTGTCTGCCTGTCTGTCCTAAAATGCCTGGCTATCCCATGCTAGCAACACTGGACTTTGTGTAATTTCTTGAATGTACCAAGAATTGCCTCAGGGACTTCGTACTTGTGTCCCTTCTTCTCGGAATGCTCTTTCTCAGAAATCAACACTAAACACTATCACTCATCAAACATCACTGAATCATTGAGGCCTCCTTGATTTGATCTTTGTATATGGTGATAAATAGGCATCTAGTTTCATTTTTCTGCAAATGGATATCCAATTTTCCCAGCACCATTTAGTGAAGAGACTGTCCTTTCCCCAGAGTATGTTCTTGGCACCTTTGTCATGAGTTCTCTATAGGTGTGGATTTGTTTCCACATTCTCTATTCTATTTCGCTGCTCTATGTGTCTGTTTTTATGCCAGTACCATGCTGTTTTGGTTACTATAGCTCTGTAATATACTTTGAAGTCAGGTGATGTGATTCCTCCAGTTTTGTTCTTTTTGCTCAGGATAACTTTGGCTATTCTGAGACATCCGTATATTTTCAGAAGCCATTAAAATTTAGATGAGATAACTAAAACCAATTAAAAACAAATGCCACAGGATATCAAAGACCAATCGAAAATCTGAAAAGTAGGTAGAGGAAAAACTTTATGTAAAAAGAAACAACTGTCTAAATGACAATCTTATTTTCAACAGACAAAATTGAAGCTAGAATTCAATGGAATCATGTCTTCAGTGTGTTTCAAAACCATAGCGGACTTTAACAAATAGAAATTCAAAAGAATATTTTTTAGATAAAAGGAAAATTACTAAAAATATAAAGCTGAACATGCATGAAGGAATAATAAATAATAGAAGTGGTAAATATGTGCATAAGTCTAAATAAATTTTGACTGTATAAAGTGGTGGTGTCTTTTTGGGTTAAGTATTTAATAAGATATATAGAAATAGCCATATATAGTCTGTAAGTAAAGGTATCAAAAAGTGAATTTAGTTAATTTAAATTCGGAATTTTCTATGTCTGTGAAGAGAATTTGAAAGCTATATTTGATGACCCTGTAATTATCTTTCTATGTATATATCCAAAGGAAATGAATCAAATGATATATGAAAGAATGGTCATACTAGAATTATTCATAACTCTTCAAAAAAGAAACCCCCCAAATATGTATCAACTAAAGATGAATGAATCATTACAACACATTCATACAATGGAATAATATAGAGAAGTGAAAAGAAATGAATCACATAAAGATGCAAGTATGTGAGTAAATTTCAGAAACGTAAAGGTGAGTCCAAGAAGCCATGAACAGGAACATACAGGACTACACCTACATATGGCTTAAAGGTTTAAAGTAGGTAAAACCGTATCATAGAGTTTAGGGTTGCATACCTAGTTGTTAATGTATAAAGAAAATCAAGGCCAGGCGCGGTGGCTCACGCCTGTAATCCCAGCACTTTGGGAGGCCGAGGCGGGTGGATCACCTGAGGTCAGGAGTTCAAGACCAACCTGGCCAACATGGCAAAACCCTGTCTGTACTAAAAATACAAAAAGTTAGCTGGGTGTGGTGGCATGCGCCTGTAGTCCCAGCTACTTGGAAGGCTGAGGGAGGAGAATTGCTTGAACCCGGGAGGTGGAGGTTGCAGTGAGCTGAGATCGCGCCACTGCACTCCTGCCTGGGTGATAGAGCGAGACTCTGTCTCAAAAAAAAAGAAAATCAAGGAAATGATCATTCTAAATTATGGCTATTGCTCTCCTCAGGGTATGTGAAGAAAGGTGTAGGGGCTTGGAGAGTGGCATGGAGGTGGACCTAGGCTATTTGCAATGTGACATGTTTTGCCCTGCTTGATGGTTGCATGAGTGTTTATGACACATTGCTATGTTTACCATCTTAGTTTTCACCCATTTCTAAGTGTGCATTATAATTGTATTTAAAAATTATTAACTGGAAAAATGCTCCATAAAGAATATTAATTATTCTGCTCATTGTATACCTTGCAAAAAATTCACCATTTATACACATTTTTATACAACTCTTAGAGAGTTGAAGTAGGAACTTTATTTTAGCTGCAACATATGGAAATTTCAGATGATGCTACCTGCAGCACACAAATCCTTTCAAACATTTTTTTATTACCTTTAATTATCTACCTCACATGACAAAACTTTGCCACTCCCCATCTATTTTTCTTTTGGCTCCTGAATTCCTGACAAAACAGGGGCAAATATATTTCCCCACACTCTTGGTGTAGCATAGTAGCTGTACCAGTTAGGTTTTTCTACTAGAGAAACCCTCCAAAACTACGTTAGATATTTTTATCTCATATATCTTTGGATTCAGGTTTTCTAAGCTGGGTTTGGTGGATAGCTCTGGTGACTTGAGATGGGCCAAGTTCTGCATCTTGGAGCTAGTTAGACTTTGGCCAATTTAGGATGGATCAAGTGCAGGCAAACTGACTCCATTAGTTTTCATTCTCATTCTGAAAACAGTGTACTAGCCAGGTGATAATCTCATGATCAATGGAAAAGAGCAAGAAACCCCAATATGGAAGCCATCTCAAACCTCGGTGTGAAATCTACCAATTTTCTGTTCATCAAAGAAAGTTGTGTGAGTGAGCTCCGAGTCCAGGGGACAGATAATCAACCTGCTTATGGTGGGAGGATACTGCAAAATTATGTGTCATAGGGTGTGGTACTCAGGAATATTTACAAAATTGTTGAACATTTTAATTAAATAATAAATACTTAAACATTAAATAGACTTGAGAGTAAGTTTACCAAATGCTTAAGCATGAAAGATATGTTTGATGTTTGATACATTTTTTTGGGGGGGGTCTGAAAACCCTCAGTTTTCACTGGGAAAATAGGACTAATTTCACGTGGATGGCCTCCAGGAGACTTACTTCCCATTTTGGAAAGTATAAGAAAATAATTCCTTCCATCTCTTAGGGGTGTCACAGTCTCTCTCTCTCTCTCTCTCTCTCTTTCTGTGTTTGTATCTATTTATGAACATGGTAACAATAAATTCACACAAAAGTATTGGGTTAGCAGCAACCAGATTTTAAGGTGTTTTGGTCTTCTTATGGTTCCCAAGAAAACCTTGGATGATTTTGATTTAAAAGTTTGGATTCTGTCTGTTTAAATGTAGCATAAATAGTAAATCCGTTATGGTGGTGATCCTAGTTATGACTAAGGTCTTTTAAAGAACTTAGACATTTACTGTATGAACGATGGACTCGGGGGTAAAATTTCCCTATCTAACAGCTGAAGTTGCTGAACACAAATTACGTATCGGTTAAACAAGGAAAACATTGCAAAATATTGAAAGAGAATATGTCTTTATTTGCATGCTGGTAAATGAAAATTTAGGTTTCACTTCAACTTCATTATGAATAATTCAAGCCCATCACAAGAACGGACATTGAATGAATGAGTTAATTTGAGCTGTTTTGAAAATAAGAATGTTTTCCGTAAAGATGACATCAAACTCATCCATTAGCATAAGCTGGTACTTTCTTGTTTGACACTGGTCACAGTGTTTAAAAGTAAAAAGAATGTTACTGCACATTCAGAAATCAGATGCACATAAAATTTAAGGTCAGAGTATTAAAGAAATCACAACCAGTGATATTAGGCTTGCATTTTCTTTCTTTTTTTCTGCTCAGATATGATAACTTTTCTATACATTTTTTTTTCAATTCTAATAATGGTTTTATTTGTTCTCGGAAACTTTGCCAATGGCTTCATAGCACTGGTAAATTTCATTGACTGGGTGAAGAGAAAAAAGATCTCCTCAGCTGACCAAATTCTCACTGCTCTGGCGGTCTCCAGAATTGGTTTGCTCTGGGCATTATTATTAAATTGGTATTTAACTGTGTTGAATCCAGCTTTTTATAGTGTAGAATTAAGAATTACTTCTTATAATGCCTGGGTTGTAACCAACCATTTCAGCATGTGGCTTGCTGCTAACCTCAGCATATTTTATTTGCTCAAGATTGCCAATTTCTCCAACCTTCTTTTTCTTCATTTAAAGAGGAGAGTTAGGAGTGTCATTCTGGTGATACTGTTGGGGACTTTGATATTTTTGGTTTGTCATCTTCTTGTGGCAAACATGGATGAGAGTATGTGGGCAGAAGAATATGAAGGAAACATGACTGGGAAGATGAAATTGAGGAATACAGTACATCTTTCATATTTGACTGTAACTACCCTATGGAGCTTCATACCCTTTACTCTGTCCCTGATATCTTTTCTGATGCTAATCTGTTCTCTGTGTAAACATCTCAAGAAGATGCAGCTCCATGGAGAAGGATCGCAAGATCTCAGCACCAAGGTCCACATAAAAGCTTTGCAAACTCTGATCTCCTTCCTCTTGTTATGTGCCATTTTCTTTCTATTCCTAATCGTTTCGGTTTGGAGTCCTAGGAGGCTGCGGAATGACCCGGTTGTCATGGTTAGCAAGGCTGTTGGAAACATATATCTTGCATTCGACTCATTCATCCTAATTTGGAGAACCAAGAAGCTAAAACACACCTTTCTTTTGATTTTGTGTCAGATTAGGTGCTGAGTAAAAGACCTGAAACTCTCAACTCTCTAGATTCACAAGTGGGACATTGTGTGTGTATTCTAGGAGAAAACAAACTGATAGTGTCTGGAACATTTTATACTTTTTACTGTTTTTTCTGTAGTGTATGTTTTTGAGTATTTTCTGAAAGCATACCTAGAAAAGTCTTTTACCTAAAGTTAGTCTAAAAGTGTATCTATGTGTGTGCATCTGTATATGAAAGACTTAAAAGACATTGACAATAACATAATGTTAATCATATTTTCACAAGATGCCAAATTATAGAAAATATGGTAAGAAGTTTTTCAGAATCATGAACCCATGTATATTTCACATATACATTTCATATTATCATGTTTCACTTGAAAACTGTGTGATCTTTACTTATAATTGTTAAGAAGTGACACATTATCTCAAAATCTTTGCTCTTTTCCACTGATTTTTACCACACATATGTACCACAGTGTGCTTAAACATCTAAATTTTTTGATAGTAAGCACACTCAATTCTAAATCAATAATGAGGTTTCATCTTTGGGGTAGTTTTTATTTCATCATGAATTCTAATTTTATGTTTAGTTTATAGCCAGCATAATTATTTTCAGAAAAAGATGCACAGAATAATATTCAAGGATGACAAATATATTTAGAACACATTTTGTATATGTCTACCATAAACAGTACTGAGGAATAATAGACTTAATACAAATATGTGAACATTTGAGAAAAAAGTCATTTCTATAATAAGGATGAAGAAAGAAACACCGTGATGACTTATGTTGTCATAAGTCTCAACATGCAGTTAGAAAAGTCATTTCTTCCAGTTTTTGAGTTAAAGAAAACCTTTTTTGAAGTTGAGATCTGATGTCAAGTATTTCAGGTTTTTTTTTCTAAACCACCTCAGAGTCCCTGAATTGCCAATGATCTCCTCTATCTTCCATACTTGAAATTCTTTTTAAACTTCACATAAAAGAACTTGAGTCTTCCCTACCTTAGAAAAATACTCTATGTAAAAATAGTATAGAAATTATAAAAATCATTTGAATTAAACTTTTTGCAAATGTTAAAATGGCATCTATGAAATCTATGTATTAATGATAGAAAACATCTAAAATATATGTTGTATTATAATCTAGTTGCAAATAATACAATGAGACAGTGTGTTGATATATTCAGTAATAGCAAGTTCTATTATAGGAAGAAAATGTATAACATCATTAAACAATTAAATTCTATAAACTGTATTAATTCTTGGAGTTATGAAATTTTAACAATATTATCTAAACCTTGGGACAAATCATCTCTACATCTGATTTAGTTATTTGTTTGTTTATCATATATCTTTCCTGGTACAATGTAAGCACCATAAAAGCAGAGATCATATAGATCTTGCTTACTGTTGACTCCCAGGGCCTAAAAGACAACACATAGAATAGGTATTTAAGAATATTTTGATGAACAAGTAAATTGGTGAATAAAGCAGTAAACTAACTATATGGGAGTGGCAAACCAATGAAAATGAAACTTCATCACAAAATCCAAAGTTGCATAAATTTTTATTTTCTGGTTTCAACTTGAGGTTACAGAATTATCTAAGAAGAAGTATTTCTCAGAGCAGAAGTATGGCCATTATACAATTGTAGGGGAAATACCACTCTAAGATAGCCCTGATGAAGCCATATTCGATGTGTGATGGGAAGATAATGTGGAACATCAAAATCAGCTTGTACCTATTGTGATACATTTTAAAAAGCACATCAATATAAAAGATTTTGGTATCTTTGCATACAATTTTTCAGTTGTGAATGATATATTTGTATTGTGATATTTCCAGCTGGTTAGTGTATAAACAAAAATGGCATTTCATTAAAAAAAACTGAGTTAGTTACCAACTACCTTACTAAAACGTGACTTTTATAGAATATTTTAAAACCCTTTCTAAATGAACATTTAAATTGCCATATTAAAAACCCACAGAAAAATGCATAAATAACAATTATAACACTAAACGAGTATCTTAGCCTTGGGTGTCTAGAACTAGAGCCAATGTCTGATGTTAAAGTGATAACATTTATTTGGAAGATAAGTCCAGGGCAGCAATGGCCAGGACATGTGGAAATTGAGGCAAAGCAAATGTGAAACCATGTCTTGTGATGTATGATATGACTCTGCTGATGACCACTTCACAATGAGATGAGAGAGACAGCATGGTGGTCATCAGATGCGTGGACTTGACTCCCAGTACTTTTCCAGAAGGGCTGCAAGGGGAAACCACAGCCGGCATTAGTCCACGGAAGAGAAAGAGAAGAGAAAATGTATCTGCTCAGCTGTCTTCTGTCTTCTATTTCCCATTGGCCAGGGTTTCCCTGAGGCAGAACTACCATCTCTGCTGTTCTGCGTTCCATCATCCAGTCCCTTGGTGGTAGTTATGAAAGCCAAACCTCATGCCCCCAGTGTGGTGTTCCATTGAAGTCCCAAATGGAAGGATGATCTGGATCAAGCAAGGTGCTGACCAAGAAAAGAGAAGACAGTCAAGATAATCTGAGGAAGGATATGTTTGTGGGCAATACTGTCCACTCCTTGTGCAACTCAGATTGGCTCATGCCCTCCAATCATGGCTGGCTTTATAGGCATATGACTTCACAGTTGCACAGGGTCTTGTGCTTAGAAGTGCTTATGCTTAGAGGGGCTTTATGCTTGGATTAATCTTCTGCACTTGCTGTTTTGTTTTTCAGACAGAAGGTAGTCCTCTGCTGGAGAAGGAATAGTCTTCCACTAATTCGCTAGGAGTTTGCTCTCCCCACTCCTATGGGCTTGTGAGAGGCATGCACAGAGTCCTATAATGCCCACTATGCATGCCTGTAGCAACTTTGAATTCTGTTACATCATCTGGCACAATGGCCAAGCAACTTGGGCCAGACTCTATATCTGCTATAGAGCCCGTTTTTGTTTCGGGTTTGACTTGAGACAAGCAGCCCTTGCAAACTCCTTTAGTGAGTCAGAGAAATATCCTTAAATGTGGTATATGTTGAATTCAAAACCCCAATAAGCCCCCATAAAACTGTATTTCCCTTTTAGTGATAGGAAGTATATATATATAGGGCAACATGCCATTTACTGTAAAAAGGATGTTTTGACAAAAGGACCAGAAGCATTGGACCCCTATAAACTTCATCTATGTTATAGGTCTTTGAATCTGCTGAAGTTTATGTCTCTTCTTCCAGTATTTTACTTCTGTTCAATGTTATAATATTTTACTATACTTAAGGAACTTGCCACTTCCTGCTTATGGGTACCACTTTATGTAATATTATTAATATATTGAATTAACATGATGTTTTGCAAAATGTCAATTAAACTGAAAGCAGAAGTGACAGCCCTGACAGAAAACAGTGAAGCAGTGTTCTTGTTTTTACCACACCAAAGCAAATTGTTTTGATTTTCCTCCACAATGTGTGTAGATTAAAAAGCATTAGCTAAATCAAAAGCCGCATACAAAGTGCTGGAAACCACATTCTGCTCAGTGAAGATACCACATCCTAGAGCGAATGTGCAAGTGTGACTTAAGTTTATGCTAATGTGCATTCATCCTATAATCCATCTGGTTTTGACAGAGGCCAGTTAGGTTAACTGAATAAAGATATAAAATGGACGACCGCCCCCTGGAACTTTTGAGTTTTTTGTTGTGGCAGCGACCAATTCTGTTTCCTGGAGAATGCAGTTATTATGTTTTATTCATTTTATTGCCAGGAAAGTAGAATTTCAGAAGCCTCCCCTTGGTCCTGCTTACAATAATGTCCCTTGGTATACAGGTCAGGAAGAAATGTAAGAGTCCTGACAGCTGTTGAACCTGTCAACTTCAATTACACTTTCAGGAAGGGGTAACTACGATGAACTCATTAGAACCCCTTTGGGTTGGACATGGGCCAAAGCTCTATGTACCATCTGATCTTCAAAAACTCATACTCCAGTCCTATTGAGGCAGCTCATACCTGTAATCCTAATAATTTAGGAGGCCGAAGTGGGAGGATCACTTTAGGCTGAGAGTTTCAGATCAGCCTTGGCAACATAGTAAGAATCTGTAAAAAAAAAAAAAAAAATTAGTTGTTTGTGGTAGTGTGTGCCTGTAGTTACAGCTACCCAGAAGACTCAGGCAGGAGGATTGCTTTAGCCCAGGAATTCGAGTTTGCAGTGAGCTATGATGGTGTCATTGCACTCCAGCCTGGGCAATCAAGCAAGATCTTGTCTCTAAAAAGAAACAAACAAAAACAACAAACAAAAGCCCAAAAAGGGCCTGGTGCGGTGGCTCATGCCTGTAATCCCAGCACTTTGGGTGGCTGAGTGGTTGGATCACTTGAGGTCAGGAGTTCGAGATCAGCCTGGCCAACATGGTGAAACCCCACCTCTACTAAAAATACAAAAATTAGCCAGGTGTGGTGGTGTTGCACCTGTAATCCAAGCCACTTGGGAGGCTGAGGCATGAGAATCACTTGAACCCGGGAGGCAGAGGTTGCAGTGAGCTGAGATCATGCCACTGAACTCCAGCCTGGGCGACAGAGCGAGTCTCCACCTCAAAAAAAAAAAAAAAAAAAAAAAAAATCCAGAAGTAAAAATTTGCCACCGTATCCCATGGACCACTGTGTCTTTTGGGGTACCCAGATATTAGTGTTAGTTCAGGCTCCAAACTTAAAAGTCTCAGATAATATGGACGTGTGTTCTGTTCTCTGAGGACTGTTTTCTGGGGAATAGCTACAGGTCTTTGAGAAAGCAACATATGATACATCCTGAGTGTTCTTGCAGTGCATTTTCAATGTCCATCATCAAGAGGACTTAAGATTCCCTTCAATCATTGAATTCTGCTTCTCTGAATTGGCTCAGCCCTGAGAACTGGCTGAGGGTTTTCCATTTTCAATGTTAAAGGCTGACCTCAGGAATCAGCTTTTTCAACTCTTTCCCCCTCTTGGTTTATAATTATTTAGCAAAGTATGAAGCCTCTTCAACTATTGGCCTATCAACCCATTTCAATAAGGCTGTTGTCACCACTTCATTGAATCTGACATTTGGAAGATCACCAGGGAGTCTGTGTTGCCAATGGTCGGTCTTCATGTTGCATGCTCTGTGAGCAGTACTGAATATAGTTTATTTGCATTCCAGGATGCTGCCCTCTCCTGATTTTTTCCTTATTTACTGGGCACCACTTCTCAGTCTCCTTTGCTAGTTCTCTCTTGTCTCTAAATTGAAAATATCACACTGCCCAAGGTCTCAGTTCTTCAACCTTTAATCAATCGGGCTTGTTTTGTTGGTGATCTCATGGAGTCTCCTTACTGATAATGTAGCCAAATGGTTCAATAGAGAGGAATAAGGCTGATTATTCATATGTATTTATATATATTATTTATTTATGTACATCTATTTACATATTTCTCATTATATAAAGCTTTTTTCTTCAAATGTCAGTTACATTTAAAAGTAACATGACCAAAAATCTAGGGAGAATGTGGGAGGATCAATAATGTTTTCACTTGAGTTTCTGCCTATTCAGAGTGATAGTGACTCAGTATCTAATTTAGTTTTATTTAAAATAGCAATGTAAATATTGATAGATTGATAGGCAGGGGATAATCATTATGGACATAATGATCTAAGTAAAGAAATACATAGATAGAATTATGATTGATTAACCCATTTTTTATTTCTTGCATTTGGTACAGTTAGTGTCTCAGTATCGCAGTAATCATAGTTCTTAAGTTTTTGCTCCATGATCAATGAATTATGAGTTAATTTTTGTGTGTGGTATAAAATAAGGGTCTAAATTTATGTTTTTTCTTTCTCTTTTGGCTCTTACTTTTTAGGTAAGTTCATCTGGTCATGGCCTTACTTTCTGTGTGCTGATGATGTGAACATTTAATCCTTCAGCTCAGAACCCAACCCTGGTCTCCAGAATCCTTTCTCTAATAGCATATTTGACATCTTCATTTGGATGTCTGACAAGAACTTAGAACTAAGTTGTCTAAACCAAATTACTCATCTTTCCTTCCATCCCCAAATCTGTTTCTCCTACAGTCTTTCCTTTTGTTAATGAAGACTTCAGACTTTCAGATATTTAGACAAAAAACATAGAGTCCACGTTTTCTCTCCTTCACATCTCATCTCAGCAAATTTTATAGACTCTGTCTTCAAAAACATACAGAATCCAATCCCTTGTCGTCACTTCTGCCATACTCATCTAAATTTCTGCATTTCTTGCCAAGATAATTGCTATCAACTCCTAATAATTTTTTCTAGTTCTGCACATTCCCCTGATGTATTCTCAATGTAGCAGCCAGAGAGAGCCTGCAAAAGTGCAAATTTGATCATGCTGTTCTTCTGCTCCAGATTTTTCAGTGGCTTCTCAACTCATTCAGAGTAAGGCCAAAATCCTTACGAAGTCCTATAATCATTTGAATGATCTGTTTTTGTCTGCCTGTCTGTCCTAAAACACACCTGGCTCATCCCATGCTAGCAACATTGGCCTTTGTGTCACTTCTTGAATATGCCAAGCATTGCCTCAGGGACTTCATACTTGTGTCCTTTCTTCTTGGAATGCTCTTTCTCAGATATCAACACTAAACACTACCACTCCTCAAATATCACTAAATCACTAAATCAATCCTGCCTTATTTAAAGAGAAATCTCACTTCTCTCTGCAGTTTTAAATTTTTTTTAGATTTTATTTTAGGTTCAGAGGTATATGTGCAGGTTTGTTATATAAGTAAATTGCATGGCATGGGAACTTGCTGTATAGATTATTTCATCACTGGGGTGATAAGCAGAGTACCTGATAGGTAACTTTTTGATCCTCACCCCCCTCCTGCCCTCCGTCTTCAAGTGGGCCCTGGTGTCTGTAGCTCCCTTCTTTGTGTCCATATGTATTTAATGTTTAGCTCCCACTTGTAAGTGAGAACATGTGGTACTTGCTTTGCTGTTTCTGTTTTACATTCCCACCAGCAGTATAAAAGCATTCCCTTTCATCACAACCTTGACAGAGTCTGTTTTTGTTTGTTTGTTTGTTTGTTTGTTTGTTTTGTAATAGGCATTCTGAGGGGTGTGAGAGGTTATCTCGTTGTGGTTTTGATTTGCATTTCTTTAATGATTCATTCATATTGAGCATTTTTTCATATGCTTGTTGGCTGTGTGTATGTCTTCACTTGAAAATTGTCTATGCCTTTTATTCATTTTTAAATGGAGGTGTTTGTTTTTTGCTCGCAAAATCAAGTTCCTTATAGATTCTGAATAGGACTTTGTCAGATGCATAGTTAGCAAAATATTTTCTCCCATTCTGCAGGTTGTCTGTTTACTCTGTTGATAATTTCTTTTCTTGTGCAGAAACTCTTTAGTTTAATTAAGTTTCATTTATCAATTTCTGTTTTTGTTGCAATTGCTTTTGGCATCTTTGTCATGAACTCTTTGCCAGGTCCTATGTCCAGAAAGGTATTTCCTAGGTTATTTTTCAGGTGTTATTTTTCTTTTTACAGTTTTAGGTTTTACATTTTAGTATTTAATCCAGCTTGCTTTGATTTTTGTATATGTATTAGGAAAGTATCCAGTTTGAATCTTCTGCATGTGACTAGCCAGTTATCTCAGCATTATTTGTTGAATAGGGGGTCTGTCCCCATTGCTTGTTTTTCTTAACTTTGTTGAAGATCAGATGGCTGTAGGTGGGTGGCATTATTTCTGGGCTCTCTATTCCATTTCCTTGGTCTATGTGCCTGTTTTTGTACCATTGCCATGCTGCTTTGGTTACTGTTGCCTTGCAGTGTGGTTCAAAGTTAGGTAATGTGCCTCCAGCTTGTTCTTTTTCCTTGGGATTGCCATGGCTATTTGGGCTCTTTCTTTTTTTTTTTTTTATTCCATATGAACTTTAAAATAGTTTTTTTCTACTTTGGTGAAGAATGTCACTGGTAGTTTGTCAGAAATAGCACTGAATCTGTAAATTGCTTTAGGCAGCATGGGCATTTTAGCAGTATTGATTCTTTCTATCCATGAGCTCGGAATCTTTTTCCACTTGTCTGTGTCATATTTGATTTCTGTGAGCAATGTTTTGTAATACTCTTTGTAGCGATATTTCACCTCCCTGGTCAGCTGTATTCCTCTATATGTTGTATTCCTTTGCTGCTATTGTGAAAGGGATTGCTTTCTTTATTTGTCTCTGTTTGGATGTTGTTGATATATAGGAATGTTACTAATTTTTGTACATTGATTTTTGTATCCTGAGAATTTGCTGAGTTTGTTTGTAAGATCAAGGAGATTTTGGGCAAATACTGTTGGGATTTCTAGGTATAGGATTACATTGTCTGCAAACAGGGATAGTTTGACTTCTTCTCTTCCTACTTAGATGACTTTTATTTCTTTCTGTTGCCTGATTGCTTTGGCCAGGACTTCCAGTAATTGATTAAGAGTGGTGAGGGAAGATATCCTTGTCTTGTTCCTATCTTCCAGGGGAATACTTCCAGTTTTGCTCATTCGGTATGATGTGGCTTTGTTTGTCATAGGTGGTGCTTATTATTGTGAAGTATATACCTTCAATTCCTAGTTTGTTGAGAGTTTTTAATATGAAGAGATGTTGAATTTATTGAAAGCCTTTTCTGCATCTATCGAGATGATAATGCGATTTTCGTTAATTAGTTCTGCTTATGTGATGAAGCACACTTATTGATCTGCATATGCTGAAACAACCTTGTATGTTAGTGATAAAGCCTACTTGATTATGGTGGATTAGCTTTTTGATGTGCTGCTGGATTCAGTTTGCTAGTATTTTTTGAGTACTTTTTCATCTGTGTTTATTAAGGATATTGGTCTGAAGTTTTCTATTTTTTGTTGTGTCTCTGAAAAGTTTAGGTATTAGGGTGCTGCTGGCTTTATAGAATGAGTTATGGAGGAGTCCCTTTTCCTCAGTTTCTTAGAATAGGTTCTGTATAAATCATACCAGTGCTTTGTTATACATTTGATAGAATTCAGCTGTGAATCTGTCTGGTCCTGGGCTTTTTTTGGTTGGCAGGCTTCTTATTACTGATTCAATTTTGGAACTCATCATCGGTTTATTTAGGGATGCAATTTCTTCTTAGTTCAGTCTTGGAGGTTGTATATGCCCGGGAATTTATGCATTTCTTCTAGGTTTTCTAGCTTGTATGCATAGAGGTGTTGATAGTAGTTTGTGAAGGTTGTTTGCATTTCAGTGGGGTCAGTGGTAATGTCCCCTTTGTCATTTCTGAAAGTGTTCATTTGTATATTCTCTCTTTTTTCTTTATCATTGTGGCTAGTGTTCTATCTATCTTAATTTAAAAAAAAAAAACTCCTCAGCCCACTGATCTTTTGTATGATTTTATGCATTGCAATTTCCTTCACTTCAGCTCTGATGTTGGTTATTCCTTGTCTTCTGTTAGCTTTGGCATTGGTTTGCTCATGGTTGTCTAGGTCTTTTTGTTGGGATGTTAGGTTGTTAATTTGAGATCTTTCTAACTTTTCAATGTGGGCATTTAGTGCTACAAACTTTCCTCTTAACACTGCCTTAGCTATATCCCAGAAATTCTGGTATGTTGTATCTTTTTTCTCATTAGTTTCAAAGAATTTCTTGGTTTCTGCCTTAATTTCATATGTACCCAAAATTCATTCAGGAGAGGGTTGTTTAATTTCCATGTAATTATATGGTTTTAAGCTATTGTCTTAGTATTTACTTACATTTTTATAGGGCTGTGGTCCAAGAACGTGACTGGTATATTTTTTGTTGTTTTGTATTTGCTAGGAATTGTTTTATGTTAGATTGTGTGGTTCATTTTAGATTACATGCCATGTACAGATGAGAAGAATGTGTGTTCTGTTCTTTTGGGGTGAACTGTTCTGTGGTGGTCTATTAGGTTCGTTTGGTCAAGTGTTTAGTTCAGATTCTGAGTACCTTTGTCAGTTTTCTGTCTTGATCATCTGTCTAATGCTGTCTGTGGGGTGTTGAATTCTCCCACTAGTGTTGTGTGTTTATCTAAGTCTTTTCATAGGTCTCTAAGAACTTGCATTATGAATCTGGGTGTTCCTATGTTGGCTGCATATATATTCAGAATAGTTAGGTCTTCTCGTGAATTGAGTCTTTTACTTTACATAATGCCCTTCCTTGTCTTTTTTGATCTTTGTTGATTTAAAGACTTTTTTTATGAAATTAGAATAGTAACTCTGTTTTTTTTTTTCTATTTTTTATTTGCTTGGTAGATTTTTCTTCATTCCTTTACTTCGAGCCTATGCGTATCATTACACGTGAGATGGGTCTCTTAAGGACAGCATACCATTAGGCTACGCTTTTTTATCCAACCTGCCACTCTTTGCTCTTTAACTGGGGCAATTAGCCTTTTTACATTCGAGGTTAGTGTTGATATGTGAAGATTTGATTGTTTCATCATGTTGTTAGCTGGTTATTATGCAGATTGGGTTGTGTGGTTACTTTATAGTGTTACTGGTCTATGTACTTAAGTGTATTTGTGTTGTCAGTGAAGATCTTTTCTTTCCATGTTTAGTACTCCCTTCAGGACCCCTTGTGAGGCACGGCTGGTGGTAATGAAATCCCTTAGCATTTGCTTGTCTGAAAAGATCTTATTTCCCCTTCACTTATGAAGCTTAGTTTGGGTGGATACGAAATTCTTGATTAAAAATTCTTTTTAAAAAACAAAACTGCTGAATGTAAGCCCCCATTCTCTTTCTGTTTGTAGGGCTTCTACTAAAAGGTCCATTGTTAGCCTGATGGGGTTCCCTTTGTAGGTGATCTGTCCTTTCTCTTCCAGTTGACTTTAGCATTTTTTCTTTTATTTTGAGCTTGGAGAAGCTGATGACTATGTGCCTTGGGGATGGTCTTCTTGTGAGTTTTTAGTTCAGTCAGATCAGTTTGGTTCCTTCGTTGATTCTTTCCCCAGCTTGCTCAATTATGCCGTGAATACTTTCCATTGTGTTCTGAAATTCTTGATGTTAGTTTTTCAGTTCTGTCAGAACACTTTTTTTTCTTTTTTAAAATAACCGTTTTGTATTTCAACTTCTGCATCATTTTATTGCATTCCTTAAAAACTTTGGATTTGGTTTTTACTTTCTCCTGAATCTCATTGATCTTCATTCCCATCCATATTCTGAATTCTATTTCTGTCATTTCTGCCTTTTCAGCCTGGTCAAGAACCATTGCTGCTGAACTAGTGTGGTTGTTTGGAGGTAAGAAGACATTCTCTGGCTTTTCGTGTTGCCAGAGTTCTTGTGCTAATTCTTTCTCATCTGTGTGGGCTGATGTTCCTTGAATCTTTGAAATTGCTGTACTTTGGATGGGTTCTTTTTTTTTCTTTTATCTTCTTTGATACCCTTGGGGGTTTGATTTCGGAATAAGGTGGGTTTCATTTACTAGCTTTGTTTATGGTAGATTTTGGGGGTGCCAAGGATCAGCTCAGCACTCCCGCGCTGAATGCCGTAACTCTGGGAGGCTAGTATTGGGCCCCTGGCTTTGCTCTCTTTCCCCTTAAGGTTGGGAATCTGCTATGCTGGAAGGGCTATTGTGTTCCTGGATTGCTGGTTACGATACTCTGAAGGATGGTGCCAGCCTAAGCACTTTGTTGGGCAGTGGCATTGTGGCTCATCCTTGTTCACACATGCCAGCAGCATCAGTAGTGTGGCAGAGTACACACTCGTAGACTGGGGTGGGGTGCAGGTGGATCCAAGGCTGCTAGCCTCTATATGGACATTGGCAGTAGCCTAAATTCATCTTTATGCATGAGAATATTCATTTTGTCTAGCATCATTTATTGATAAAAATGATTCTTATTTAATTGAAATGGTATGGTTTTTGAAATTAGCTGATAATAAATGTTGTTACTAATTTGTGGACTCTTAATTGTGTTTCATTATTCTTGTCTATAGTATTAAAAATGCCAGTGTCCTGATGATTAGTCCAGCTTTTAGCAAACTTTGAAATGAGAAACTGTAATCCCCCCACTTTGTTCTTTTTAAATTATTTCTCTAGGTGCTCTTGTCACTTGGCATTTCCAGATACATTTTAGGAGTAGTTTTTTATGGTCTACCAAAAAAGCCCGCCAGAATTTGATAGAGATTGCATTAAATATATAAGTTGACTCTTCACCTATAAAGACTCTCCTTGTGCTGGATTTTAGTTTAGCTGGCCCTCCTTGTTTGCACAGCTCTCCGATGAATTGAAAATATAATTTTGGCCTTTTATTTATCTTATCCTAGCTGCTGCAGAAGAATATTTTGCCTGCTGGAACCTGCTGTATCTACTCAAGAGTGGAAGTTTTCACAGGTAACTTCTACATATCAAGTAACACAGGATCAAATGAAAACCTAGCAACACTTGGTTTCTGCCTGTATCAGACAGGTGAAATTGCAAGCAGTTATACAAGTAGTGTACTAACTTCTCATAAAGCCTACTCAAGGAGGGTATTGTTATTGTGTGCGTTTTACAGATGGCTATCCTAAGGCTGATAGTAGTTGTAAAATATAGTCTAAGTTCATATCTATATGAAACAGAGTATCTGGGTTTCTGTCCTGGCCATCAGACTTGAAGATCATTTCTTAGAAACAATTATATTATCAAAACTGAAAAGAAATACAATCCAAGGTTGGAGTCTTATTTTAGCATCTATTAATCTTAAGCCATTAAGTAATCAAAAATAAATTAAAAAGAAAAAAATATATTCAAATATCACATGTAGAGAAGTCTAGTTTCTTCAGTGGAAAACACATGTTTTTTAAGTGCTCAAGGAATATTTACAAAATTGCTTAATATTTTTAATTAAATAATTAATATTTAAAGACTTAATAGACCCAAAAGGATAACTTACTTATAGACCTAAGCATGAGAGATCAGTTTGATAAATATTGAAAATGGGCTAAAAAGCATGAGTGGGAAAATAAGGACTTTTCAACCTACATGACCTCCCTGAAATTTATTCTTCATTTTGAAAATTATAGGACAATAATTTCTCCCATCCATGTGGTGTGTGTGTGGGCGGGCGGGGGGGGTGGGTTGTGGTGCTTTGTACGTGTTAATTGGCTTGTTACCAATAAGGTTATACAGAGGTATTAGCAGCAACCAGATTTTAAAGAGTACTGGCCTTCCTGGGGTTCCCAAAAAAATCTTGAATGCATTTGATAGGAAAAGTTGGATTCTGTCTACATAAATCTGGTACTGAGGAAAACAAATTCACTTTGGCCATGATTCTAGTTACGACCAAACTCCCTTCAAAAATGTAGATATCCAATATATAATCTATGTATTGGGTTTTAAAATTTTCCTAACAACTGATGTTGCTGAACAAAAATTATGGAGAAGTTAAAGAGGGAAAAAATTGCAAAACAATGAAAGAGAATATGTCTTCATTTGCATGCTTGCAAGTGAAAAATCAGCTTTTACTTCAACGTCATTATGAAAAATTTTATTCAAATTTTTTCAAAAGAAAAAATAGAAAGAACAGTGTATGAATAGTAGTTAACTTGAGCTGTTCTGAGAATAACATATTTTCCATAAAGACAGCATTGAACTCATCTATAAGCATGTGCTGGTGCTTTACTGCTTGACATTGGTCACACAACTGAATTTAAAAGCATCAAAAATATTAGTGCACATTCAGAATTCAGGTACACATAGAGTTTAAGGTCAGGACCTTAAGGGGGATCATGCCCAGTGATATTAGACTTGCCTTTTTTTAAGGTGTGTTTGTTCAGTTCATGGGAAGTTTACTACCAATCATTTTTTTCCATACTAGTAATGGTGGAATTTGTATTTTCCCATGACACCTATATTAAATGTATAAACATTTTTATATTTCAACACTTTGTATGAGTCCTTTCAGGGCCTGTTAAACACTCCAAATTTCCCTTGCAACATGCCAATAACTAATCATATTTTCTCAAAATGATCTGACATAATGTTTGACTGAAGGCATATCTCTGGTATAATTCTATTTGCTGATATCAAATGAGAATTTGAAACTTCATGAAAAATGATTAGAAAATTTAATAATAGAATACGAATAAGTGCATAAAATATACAATTCATTCTTGAGAAATGTGTATAAAATCACAATCATAGAATGATAAAAGAGTAATATGTAATTTTTGAACTAAAGTTACGTTTTAAAATTGAATAGAAAAAGAATTATAAAATGTTAAGTTTAATAATTTTTATATAAATATAAAAGTGTGAAAATTATTCTGATATTACTCATTTTGAAAAGAACAAGAAGTAATGAGAATTTTCAAACACTGCTCCTAGAAGTATAAATTAATATAATTCTTTGGCTTAGTATGGCATTATCTGATGAAGATGAAGGAGCACATCTTAAGACTCAGTACAGGTACTCTTACCAGAAAATGTATACACACACATGAATATCACTGTGTTTTCATAGCTAAAGTTGAGAAGTTTCTCAAATGTCTATCAGTGATAAAATAGATAAATAAATTATGGCATACCTATATAATAGTATAGTACTATACAGTAATCAAAATGAACCAACTAGAGAGACATGTTTACAAGAAATGTATATAACAAAGAAAATAAACAAATTTGAGCTGATTAGATAATACTCACAAGTGTAAGAGGATCTATCCATAGTGAAAAACATTCATTTTAATTCCATTTATATAAAGTTTTCAAAAATATATCTTTAATACATTGCAATTTATTACATTGGTGACAAAACTCTAAAGTGAAACATATGAGTGACTATTACAACAATATGGATAGTAGGGAGGAGGAAAACAAGAGGAGAATGGGATCAACAGAAGGCATATATGGGGAGTGTCTGGATGGCTGGAAAATTCTATTTTTTGACCAAGATGTGGTAAACACGGGGAGTAAAGTTATAACTTTTTCTCTTACTGTGCTTTTAGGTTTTGTTGCTTTCTGTCTGTATGCTATGTTCCACAATAATAAAAATATTTAAAAGGCAAAAAAAGTAAAATAATGAATATAAAATTACACTGAAACTACATATTCTCATAGATAGAACTGTAATTATTAGAGTTTTTGCTGAATAAAGTCAAATAGACTATTATAGTAGTTATAAACACAAGTTAAAATTTTAGGGCCGGGCAAAGTGGCTCACGCCTGTAATCCCAGCACTTTGGGTGGCTGAGCGGGTGGATCACCTGAGGTCAGGTGTTCAAGACCAGCCTGGCCAACATGGTGAAAGCCCGTATCTACTAGAAAATACAAAAAATTAGCTGATTGTGGTGGCGGGCTCCTGTAATCCCAACTACTAGGGAGGCTGAGGCAGGAGAATCGCTTCAACCTGGGAGGCGGAGGTTGTAGTGGGCTGAGATTGTGCCATTGCACTCCAGCCTGGGCAACAAGAATGAAACTCCATCTCAAAAACGAAAAAAAAAAACAAAAAAACTTTTCTTTAATTTTAAAAATAATATATAAGCAAGAACTATAAATTCAAATTCTTAATGCTAATCTTAATTTGAAACATCAAATTTTGAATATTGATACATTGCTGGACACCTTTTGTTCTTATTTCCAATTTATTTACAATGCACAAAGTGACAGAAATTACTGAATTTTCAATAAATTATGGTACTGTAGATATTAAATTATACGGATGATTATCCCTAAATTTATCCTTAAATAAAATAATTTCAGTCATATTGTTACCATTCAAAAATCATAGTATGTGCACACATATATGTTGGAAAAAATATTTTGTTGCTATAATTTTTTGGCTCTCTATTAGAGAAAAAACCAGAAAGTTAAATGTGTTAAAGTGTAAAACTTACTTAGTATAATCTTTGGGTATGTTTTTGTATGTGTAGTGCTGCATTGCTTGCTATAATAAAATACTCCAAGGGACCAGGTGCAGTGGCTCACGTCTGTAATCCCAACACTTTGGGAGGCCGATACAGGCAGATCACCTGAGGTCAGGAGTTCAAGACTAGCCTGGCCAACATGGCAAAACCCCATCTCTGCTTAAAAATACAAAAATTAGCCGGGTGTGGTGGTGGATGCCTTTAATCCCAGCTACTCAGGAGGCTGATGCAAGGAGAATTGCTTGAACCTGGGAGTCAGAGGTTGCAGTGAGCCGAGATTGTACCATGGCACTCTAGCCTGAGCAACAGAGTGAGACTCCATCTCAAAATAAAATAAAATAAAATACTCCATATTTCATCACAGTAGCTGAGAATGCAAATAACCATTTGAAAGAATTTGGCTTGCTAATGATGCTATTGATACATATGATAAATTTTACGTACTGTATAATTGCACAGAGTATTTGTACATGTTCATATGAAAATGCAAAAAAACAAAAAAACAGAAAAACCAAAGAGCAGGTGCTATTTGCTGGAAGACATGTTTGCTATGATTTTTAGAATTTAATAAAAGAAAAAAAATAGCTAGCAAACTTTTGGAAATATGTTGGTTTAAAGTTGTCATTGATGAAATACTATGTGAAGGTGATAGGAGCAGGAGGCTGGGAAATTCTAGACAGAAAAGGGCGGGTCCTCAGCTAAAGCCCCACTCTCAAGCCAAATAGACTGAGACTGTGGCCCAAAGGGAGTACTTCTATCCCTGTTTTCCCACTCAAATGTTGCCTTTTTTGGCCTGCCCCACCCCTCATCCTATGCCCATAAAACCCCAGGCTCCACCGGTAGTGAGAAGTGGCTGAAGATCGAGAGGAGAAGCAGCTCAATGTTGTAGACTATGGTGGGACGTTGGAGAGAAGTGGCTTGACTTCAGAGGGACAGGTTGAAGGCGTGACTTTCGAGAAGAGTCTGGCTGGAGACAGCCGGACTTCAGGGGAAGATTACCTTCCTGCTTCACATTCCCTTTCCAGCTCCCCTTCCTGCTGAGAGTCACTTCCATCAAAATAAAATCTCCCTCATTTACCATTCTCCAATTCGGTTGTGCAACCTCATTTTTCTTGGAAGCTGGACAAGAGCTCAGGAGCCAGGAATGCAGATACGAAAAGTTGTTACACTGAACCTCTGCCCTTGCTGGCAAGAGGCAGCCGCCTCAAGCGAAAAGGCAAAGGGCCCACTGAGCTACTAACACTTAAGACGTCTGCAGATAGCAGAGCTAAAAGAGCACTGTAACACCCTCCCCCTCGAGGTTTCAGGGGTGCGGGCACCCCCCCAGATGCTGCTGCGGGGCCTGCACAGAATTTGTTCCTGCTGGCATCCAAAAGTGCTCCTGCACCTGTTCACCTGTGTGCTCCCTCCCATGAGGGCTGGGCGCAGTGGGTCCCAGCGAGTGGATTTCACCCCTGCCAGCCCTAAAGCAGCTGGCTGGTTCTAGCGTCAGTGAGCCCCAGTTCCCTCCCATGAAGGGGTAAGGGAAATGTCCTCCATCAAAGGTATTATTTCAGTCTAAGCCCTGATGCTGAGAATAATATGAGAATCATAAAGCCAGGAGAAAGAATAATTGTGTTATCCCATTACCCTGAATTGTAGCACTTAGAAAAATGAATGGTCACATTTATTAGCTAGCAGTCTACCTTGTAGCTATCATCATCATCTCTATCTACATCTATCCCATTAAATAATTTACTTTTTGAAATATGTACATTCATAAATTGGATAATGCCTACGTAATTTAAATAAAGAATATCATTATGGGCAAGTTACATTAGTAAACGGTAAAGTTCAAGTCAAGCTAAATACATTTAGATTTAGAAATTAAGTTTAGTTTAGTTTAAAATACATTGCTTAAGAAAATAGTTATTTATGGATGACCTTAAACTAATCCAAGGAACACTATAATAAACATTTAGTTTTTAACGTAAATACAATTCTTCAATCAGAGAGATAAACCATTTCATGATCAATCTATTATTTTTGTTTATTATTTTTATTATTTATTTATTTTTCTTTTGAGACGGAGTCTCGCTCTCTAGCCCAGGCTGGAGTGCAGTGGCTCCATCTCAGCTCATTGCAACCTCCGCCTCTTGGGTTCAAACGATTCTCCTGCCTCAGCCTCCTGAGTAGCTGAGATGACAGGCACGTGCCACCACACCCTAATCTCTTATTTTTAAAAAGAGGATTTTAGGACTAAACAAATCAAATGTAAGTTTCCCCTCACCTCTTTGATCTCTCACTTGAGTAATGATGCAGTTTGAAGGCAAAGAGCCCCATTTCTACATTATAAGCAAAATAAAAGTTAATTCATGGAATACAATGGTGTATTTGTAATTGAGGTACTATATTTTATTTATTGGAATGGCATTTTGAGATCCAGTGCTGTTCATTGAATTTCCCTGTAAGGAGAGTTTGTGGTTTGGACTCATCAAGCTGCTATGCCAAAAACAAAACAAAACAAAACAAAACAAAAAGCTAATCACATGAAATCAATTTCCTGTTTCTTCCAACTTGCAGGATAAGGCCTAGACGAAGCTTTTATTGTATTGTGTGACCCAAGTGTTGGGAAAAGTAGAAAATTGTTACCAGATGTGAAGAAACATTTAGGGGCTTGAAAAGCAGCATGGAGGTGGACCTAGGCTCTTTGCAATGTTCCACGTCTTGCCTTATTTGATGGTTACATGAGTGTTTATAATACATTGCTGTGTTTACCATTTTTATTTTGACTCATTTCTAAGTGTGCATTATAATTTTATTTGAAAATTATTTATTAGGAGAAGTGCACCATAAAAATTATTGATTACTCTGCTCATTATATACCTAGGAAAAAATTCACCATTTATATATCTTTACATACAACTCTAAGAGAGTTGAAGTGGGAACTTTATTTTAGTTACAACATGTAGAAATAAGAGAAGACGCTACCTGAAGTACCCAGATCTTTCCAAAGGTTTTTTTCTACTTTTTTTTTTTTTTTTTTTTTGAGACGGAGTCTTGCTCTGTCGCCCAGGCTGGAGTGCGGTGGCGCCATCTCCGCTCACTGCAAGCTCCGCCTCCGGGGTTCACACCATTCTCCTGCCTCAGCCTCCCAAGTAGCTGGGACTACAGGTGCCCGCCACCAGGCCTGGCTAATTTTTTGTATTTTTTGTAGAGACGGGGTTTCACCGTGTTAGCCAGGATGGTCTCGATCCCCTGATCTCTTGATCTGCCCACCTCAGCCTCCCAAAGTGCTGGGATTACAGGCGTGAGCCACCGCGCCCAGCCTCTACCTTTAATTATCTACCTTGCATGACAAAACTTTGCCATTCCTTATCTATTTTTCTTTTGGCTCCTCTATTCCTGACACAACAAGGGTGGACATATTTCCCACACGCTTGGTTTTGCAGAGTACCTATATCAGTTAGGTTTTTCTGCCAGAGAAACCTCTCCAACACTACATTACATATTGATATCTCACATGTCTTTGGATTCAGTTTTTCTAAGCTGGGTTTGCTGGATGGCTCTGGTGATATGAGATGGGCCAAGTTCTGCATCTTGGAATTAGTTAGAGTTTGGACAAAGTAGGCTGGATCAGGCAAGGACAAACTGACTCCATTATTTTCTCATTCTCCTTCTGGGAACAGAGTAGTAGCCAGGCAATGTTCTCATAATAAACAGAAAAGGAAAAGAAACTCCAATGTGGAAACCATCTCAAACCTCTGTGTGAAGTCTACCAATTTTCTGTTAATCAAAGCAAGCTATGTGAGTGTACTCAGAGTCCAGGGGCAAGGTAGTCACCCTGTGTGTGGTGGGAAAATACTGCAAGATTATATGTCAAATAATGGGATACTCAGGAATATTTACAAAAATGTTGAATATTTTAATGAAATAACAAATATTTAGACATTCAATAGACTTGAGAGTAACTTTACCAAGGGTCTAAGTATGAGAGATATGTTTAATATATTTTTATGGGCTGAAAACCCTGAGTGGGAAAATAGGACTAATTTCACCAGGATGACCTCCTGGAAATGCATTTTCCATTTTGGAAATTATTTTAAAAGTTCATTTTTTCTGGATGGGTATGTGTATGTGTGTGTGTCTGTCTATGTGTGTATGTTTTATGAGCTTGTTAACACTAATGTCATACAAAAGTACTGGTTAGCAGGAATAAGATTTTAAGGTGTATTGGCATTCCCATGGTTCCCAAGAAAATTTTCGATGACTTTGATTAAAAAGTTTGGATTTTGTCTATTTAAATCTAGCATAAAAATTGGTCATGGTGATGATCCTAGTTATAACTAATCTCCCTTTAAGATTTAGGCATTTACTGTGTGAAATATGTGGCACATTTTCCATAACAAACAGCTAAAGTTACTGAACACAAATTATGGAAAGGTGAAATGAGGAAAACATTGCAAAACACTGAAAGAGAATATGTCTTTATTTGCATGCTGGCAAATGAAAATTCCGGTTTCACTTCTACTTCAGTATCTAACAAGTCTCTAACAAGAACAGACATTGAATGAATGAATTAAGTTGAGCTGTTTGAAAATTAGAATGTTTTCCATAAATACATTATTGAACTATCAATTAGCATAAACTGCTACTTTCTTGTTTGACACTGGTCACAGTATTTGAAAGTAAAAAGAATGTTACTGCACATTCAGAAATCAGGTCCACATAAAATTTAAGGTCAGGATATTAAAGGATCACAGCCAGTGCTGTTAGGCCTTCATTTATTCTATCTTTTTGTCTGTTCAGACATGATAACTTTTCTACCCATCATTTTTTCCATTCTAGTAGTGGTTACATTTGTTCTTGGGAATTTTGCTAATGGCTTCATAGTGTTGGTAAATTCCATTGAGTGGGTCAAGAGACAAAAGATCTCCTTTGCTGACCAAATTCTCACTGCTCTGGCAGTCTCCAGAGTTGGTTTGCTCTGGGTAATATTATTACATTGGTATGCAACTGTTTTGAATCCAGGTTCATATAGTTTAGGAGTAAGAATTACTACTATTAATGCCTGGGCTGTAACCAACCATTTCAGCATCTGGGTTGCTACTAGCCTCAGCATATTTTATTTCCTCAAGATTGCCAATTTCTCCAACTTTATTTTTCTTCACTTAAAAAGGAGAATTAAGAGTGTCATTCCAGTGATACTATTGGGGTCTTTGTTATTTTTGGTTTGTCATCTTGTTGTGGTAAACATGGATGAGAGTATGTGGACAAAAGAATATGAAGGAAACGTGAGTTGGGAGATCAAATTGAGTGATCCGACGCACCTTTCAGATATGACTGTAACCACGCTTGCAAACTTAATACCCTTTACTCTGTCCCTGTTATCTTTTCTGCTCTTAATCTGTTCTTTGTGTAAACATCTCAAGAAGATGCAGTTCCATGGCAAAGGATCTCCAGATTCCAACACCAAGGTCCACATAAAAGCTTTGCAAACGGTGACCTCCTTCCTCTTGTTATTTGCTGTTTACTTTCTGTCCCTAATCACATCGATTTGGAATTTTAGGAGGAGGCTGTAGAACGAACCTGTCCTCATGCTCAGCCAAACTACTGCAATTATATACCCTTCATTTCATTCATTCATCCTAATTTGGGGAAGCAAGAAGCTGAAACAGACCTTTCTTTTGATTTTGTGTCAGATTAAGTGCTGAGTAAAAGACCTGAAACTCTCAAATTTCTAGATTCACAAGTGGGACATCGTGTGTCTCCAAGAGAAAACAAACTGATGTTGTCTGGAACATTTTATACTTTCCACTGGTTTTTCTGTATTGTATGTTTTTGAGTAATTTCCAAAAGTATATCTAGAAAAGTCTTTTACCTAAAGTTAGTCTAAAAAGTATCTATATATGCATGTGTATGTGTATATGAAACACTTAAGAGAGAGTGGCAATAACATAATCATTTTTTACAAACTGCCAAATTATAGAAAATATTGTAAGAAATTTTTCAGAATCATGAAGCCATGTGTATTCACAATACAGTTCATATTATCATGTTTCATTTGAAAAATTTATGATCTCTATTTATAATTGTTAAGAACTTACAGCTTATTTCACAAAATCATTGCTCTTTTCCACTGTTATTTGTACCATACGTATGTACCATAGTGTGCTTAAACGTGATTATTTGAACGTCTAGTTTTTTGGATGGTATGCGCATTCTAATCTAAATCAATAATGAAGTTTTATCTTTGGGGTAGTTTTTGTTGCATAATGAATTCTAATTTTATGTTTAATTTAAAGCAAACAATTATTGTTAGAAAACTATGCACAAAATAAAATTCAAGGATGAAAAATATATTTGGAATACATTTTGTATATGTCTACCATCATCAGTACTGAGGAATATTAGATTTTATACAAATATGTGAACAACTGAGAAAAAAGTCATATCTGTAATAGGGATGAAGAAAGAAACACAATGCTGACCTCTTAACTGCTGTCATAAGTCTCCATATACAGGTAGAAAAGTCATTTCTTCCAGTTTTTGAGGTAAAGAAAACCTTTTTTGAAATTGAGATCGGATACCAAATATTTCCGTTTCTTTCCTAAACTGCTTCAGAGCCCCTAAATTGCCGATTCTCTCCACTATCTTCCACATTTAAAAATCTTTTTAAAAATCACATAAATGAACTCAAATCTTTATTACTTGAAAAAATACTCCATGTAAAAATAGTATAGAAATTATGAAAATCATTTGAATTATACTTTCTGCAAATTCTAAAATGACGTCTATGACATCTATGTATTGATGATAGGAAATGACTTAAATATATGTTTTATTATAATCTAGTTGCAAATAATGCAGTGAGAGAAAGTGTGTTGACATATTCAGTGATAGCAAGTTCTATTATAGGAAAAAATGTATAACGTCATTAAACAAGTAAATTCTACAGACTGTATCAATTCTCGGAGTTATGAAATTTTAACAATGTTATCTAAACCTTGAGATAAATCATTTGATTTAGTTATTTGTTTGTTTATTATATATCTTTCCTGGTACAACGTAAGCACCATAAAAGCAGAGACCCTGGTCGGGGTCGGTGGCTCACGCCTATAATCCCAGCACTTTGAGAGGCCGAGGTGGGCGGATCACGAGGTCAGGAGATCAAGACCGTCCTGGCTAACGCTGTGAAACCCGGTCTCTGCTAAAAATACAAAAAAATTAGCAGGGCGTGGTGGCGGGAGCCTGTAGTCCCAGCTACTCGGGAGGCTGAGGCAGGAGAATGGCATGAACCCAGGAGGCGGAGCTTGCAGTGAGCCGAGATCGCGCCACTGCACTCCAGCCTGGGCGACAGAGCGAGACTCCGTCTCAAAAAACAACAACAACAAAAAACAGAGATCCTGCAGACCTTGCTTATTGTTGACTGCCAGGACCTAAAAGATCACATAAAAAATAGATAGCCAAAAATATTTTGAAGAACAAATGAGTTAGTGAATAGAGTAATAAATTACATGTCTTGGGGTGGTGAACCAGTGAAAATGAAGCATCACAAAATCTACAGTTGCATGAATTTGCCTATTCTGGTTTCTGGTTGAGATGACAGAATTATCTAAGAAGAAGCATTTTTCAGAGTAAAAGTGTGGTTATTCCATACTTGCAGGGGAAATATCGCTATATATAGCCTTGATGCAGCTATATCAGACTAAAAACATGGAGATAAGGTGGAACATCAAAATCACATGGCACCCACTACAATACCTTCAAAACAGCATATAAAAGACTTTTGGATATTTGTATATATTTTCTCGATTGTGAATGATATATTTGTATTCTGATATTTCTAGCTGGTTATTATGTAAAAAATGCATTTCAATTTTAAAAATTGAGTTAGTTATGAATTACCTTACTAAAATGTGATTTTTATATAATATTTTTAATATCCTTTCTAAATGAACATTTTAATTGCCATATTATAAAATCACAGAAAAGTGAGTGAAAAATAAATTATACCACTGAATGAATATCTTAGCTTTGGAGGTCTAGAACTAGAGCCAGTGTCTGATATTAAAGTGATAACATTTCTTTGGAAGGTAAGTCCAGGGCAGCAATGGCAGGGACGCGTGGAAATTGAGGCAAGAGCACGTGGAAAGTGAGGCAAGAGCAGATGTGAAAGAACGTGTTGGGATGTATTGTAACAATGTGTTGTGTGTATGTGACTCTGTTGTGGCAACTTCATTATAAGGTGAGAGAGACAGCATGGTGGTCATCAGATGCATGCACTTGGACCCCAGTACTTTTCCGGAAAGGCTACAAGGGGAATACCACAGCCAGCATTAGTCCATGGAAGCGAGAGAGGAGGGAGAATGTATCTGTTCAGCTGTCTTCTGTCTTCCATTTTCCATTGGCCAGGGTTTCCCTGAGGCGGAACTACCATCTCTGCTGTTCTGCTTTCCATCATCCAGTCCGTTGGTGGCTGTTATGAAAGACAGACCTCAGGCCCACAGTGTGGTGTTCCATTCAAGGAAGGATGGTAGGATGATCTGGATCAGGCAAGGTGCTGGCCTAGAGAATAAGTGACAGTTAAGGGAATCTGAGGAAGCACATGTTTAAGTCCAATACTGTCTACTCCTTGTACCACTCAGATTTGCTCATGTCTTCCAATCATGGCTGGCTTTATGGGCATATGATTTCCACTGTTGCACAGGGTCTTGTGCTTAGAGGCGCTCATGCTTAGAGGGGCAATCATTAGTCTTCCTGTTGCATGCTGTATTAGCAGCAATGAACCTGGTTTATTTGGGGGATGCTGCCATCTTCTGATTTTATCATTGTTCGCTGGGCACCTCTTCTCAATCTCCTTTGCTGGTTCTTTCTCTTGTCTCTAATCTTCTGCAACTGCTGTTTTGTTTTTGAGACAGAGGGCACTCCTCTGCTGAAGAGGGAATGGTCTTGCACTAATTCCCTAGGAGTTTTCTCTCCCCTCTCCTGTGGATTTGTCAGAGACTTGGACAGAGTCCTGTAATGCCCACTATGCATGCCTCTAGCATGTTTGAATTCTGCTGGATCATCTGGCACAACGGGCAGAGCAGCTTAGGCCAGACCCTATAGCTGTTATGGAACCCTTTTTTGTTCTGGTTTCCACTTGAGACCAATGGCCTTTGGAAACTCCATTAGTGAGTCAGAGCAATATCCTCAAATGAGGAATATGTTGACTCCAAAATCCCAATAGGCCCAAAAAACACTGTGCCTCTTTTTTAGTGAGAAGAATTATGTATCAGGAAACATGCCGTTTACTTTAAAAAGGATGTTTTGACACAAGGACCAGGAGCATGGACCTGTAAAAACACCATCTATGTTATAAGTTCCTGAATCTGCTGAGGTTTATGTCTCTCTTCTTCTGATATTTTACTTCTGTTCAAAGTAATACTATTTTACTATATTTAAGGAACTTGCCACTTCCTGCTTATGAATACCAATTAAAGTAATATTATTAATATATTGAGTTAGCATGATGTTTTGCAAAATGCCAATTAAACTGAAAACAGAAGTGACACAGCTCTGACATAAAACAGTGAAGCAGTGCTTTTGTTCTTACCCCAACAAACAAATTGTTTTGATTTTCTCTCACAAAGGGTGTAGATTTAAAAACATTCGCCAAATCAAAAGCCACATACAAAGTACCAGAAACCACGTTCTGCTCAGTGAAGGTACCACATCCTAGAGAGCATCTGCAAGTGCGATTTAAGTTTATGCTAATGTGCATTCATCTGATAATCCATCTGGTTTTGGCAGAGGCCAGATAGGTTAACTGAATAGGGATATAAAATGTACTACCACCCCCAGTGTTCATTATCAAGAGGACTTAAGCTTCCTTTCAGTCGTTTATCTCTGCTTCTGTGAATTGGCTCAGTCCTGAGAACTGGCTGAGGGTCTTTGATTTGTCATATCAGTGCCTGACCTCAGGACTCAGCTTTTTCAACTCTGTTTTCCTCTTGATTTATAGTTATTTAGCAAAGTATGAAGCCTCTTCAACTATTGGCCTATCAGCCCAATCCAATGAGGCTGTTGCTGTCACCACTTCATTAAATCTGACATTTGTTAAGATCACCAGTGAGTGCGTGTTGCCAATGGTTAGTCTTCATGTTGCATGCTCTATTAGCAACATTGGACATGGTTTACTGGGGGGATGCTGCCCTCTTCTGATTTTATTGTTGTTCACTGGGCACCTCTTCTCAATCTCCTTTGCTAGTTCTTTCTCTTGCCTCTAAACTGAAAATGTCACACTGCCGAAGGTCTCAATTCTTCAATCTTTAATCAATCAGACTTGTTTTGTTGGTGATCTCATGCAGTCTCCTTACTGATAATGTAGCCAAATGGTTCAATAGAGAGGAATAAGGCTGATTATTCATCTATATATTCATATATATCATTTTAATATAGCATTGCAGATATTGGCAGATTGATATGTGGGGAATTTTAATTATATGATGATCTATATATAATTAGATAATGATATAAGTGAAGAAATACATAGATAGAATTATGGTTTACTAACCCATTTTTGATTTCTTGCGTTTTGTACAATGTCTCAGTATCTGTTAGTATCTTATTTCTTAAGTTTTTTTCTCTATGATCAATTACTTATGAGTTAATTTTTGTGTACAGTATAAAATAAGGGTCTAAATTTACGTTTTTTTCCTTCTCTTTTAACTCCCACTTCTTAGGTAAGTTCATCTACTCATGGCCTTACTTATTTTCTGTGTGCTGATGATGCCAACATTTAATCTTTCAGCTGAGATCTCAACGCTGGTCTCCGAATCCTTTCTCTAATAGACTATTTGACATCTTCATTTGGATGCCTAACAGGAACTTGAACTAACATGTCCAAATCAAAATACTGCTCTTCCCCCAATTGTCAGATTTGTTTCTTCTACAGTCTTTCCCTCTTCTGCTAATGACCACTTCAGACTTTCAGATGCTTAGACTAAAAAAAAATGGAGTCAATATTTTCTCTCTTTCAGAACCTATCTTTAAGGCATCAGCAAATTTTGTTGACTCTACCCTCAAAAACCTACAGAATCCAATCCCTTGTCATCACTCTGCCATACTAGTCTAAACTGCTGCATATCTTGCCAGGATATTTGCCATGAGTTTCTAATTATTCTTTCTAGTTCTGCACATCCTTTTATCCTGATGTATTCTCAAGGTGGCAGCCAGAGAGAACCTGTAAAAACGCAAATTTGATCATGCCATTCTTCTCCTCCAGATTTTTCAGTGGCTTTCATCTAATTCAGAGTAAAGGCCAAATCCTTACGAAGTCTTATAATCATTTGAATGATCTGATTTTGTCTGCCTGTGTGCCCTAAAACACCTGGCTCATCCCATGCTAACAACACTGGCCTTTGTGTCACTTCTTGAATATGCCAAGCATTGCCTCAGGGACTTCATACTTGTGTCCCTTCTTCTTGGATTGCTCTTTCTCAGATATCAACACTGAACGTTATCACTCCTCAGATATCATTGAATCATTGAGGCCTCCAATACTACCTTATTTAAAGATAAATCTCATTTCACTTTGCAGTTTTTTTTTCTTTTTTTAGCTTTTATTTTAGATTCTGGGGTACATGTGCAGGTTTGTTATGTAACTAAATTGCATGTCTCAGGCACTTTGTGTACAGATTATTTTGTCACTCGGGTGGGAAGCAGAGTACCTGATAGGTATCTCTTTTATCTTCACTCTCCTCCTTCTCTCTGTTCACATAGACCGTGGTGTCTGTCGTTCCCTTCTTTGTGTCCATCTGTACTCAATGTTTAGCACCCACTTATAAGTGAGAACATGTGGTATTTGTTTTCTGTTTCCATGTTTATTGGCTTAGGATAATGGCCTCCAGCTCCACCCATATTGCTACATCATCTTGTTTTTTTCTAATGACTGCATAGTATTCCATGGTGTGTATGTACCATATTTTCTTTATCCAGTCTACTATTTATGGGCAGTTAGGTTTATTCCATGTCTTTGCTATTATGAATAGTTCTGTCATGAATATTTTCATGCATGTGTCTTTATGGTAGAACAATTTATATTTCTCTGGATATATATCCAATAATGGAATTGCTGGTTTGAATGGTAATTCTGTGTTAAGTTCTTTGGAAAATTGCCATGCTGATTTCCACAATGGCTGGACTAATTTACCTCCCCACCAGCAGTGTGAAAGCATTCCCTTTCACCACAATCTTGCCAGAATCTGTTGTTTTTTGGGGGTTTTAGTAATAGCTATTCTGACTGGTATGAGATAGTATCTCATTGTGGTTTTGAATCACATTTCTTTAATGATTAGTTATATTGAGCATTTTTTCATATGTTTGTTGGCTGAGTGTATGTCTTCACTTGAAAATTGTTCATGTCCTTTATCAAATTTTTAATGGTGGTATTTGTTTTTTGCTTGTAAATGTAAATTCCTTATATGTTCCGGATATTACGCCTTTGTCATTTGCATAGTTTACGAAATATTTTCTCCCATTCTGCAGGTTGTCTGTTTACTCTGTTGATAGTTTCTTTTCTTGTGCAGAAGCTCTTCAGTTTAATGAGGTTCCACTTTTCAATTTTTGTTTCTGTTGCAATTGATTTTGGTGTCTTTGCCATGAAATCTTTGCCAGGTCCTATGCAGGAATGGTGTTTACTAGGTTATTTTTCCGTTTTTTAAAAAAATAGTTTTAGGTTTTACATTTTATTATTTAACCCAGCTTGCATTGAGTTTTGTGTATGTATAAGAAAGGTGTCCAGTTTCCATCTTCTGCACATGGCTATCCAGTTATCCCAGCACCATTTATAGAGCAGGGAGTCTCTCCTCATGGCTTGTTTTTGTTAACTTTGTTGAAGATTAGATGGTTGTAGGTGGGTGGCATTATTTCTCGGGTCTCTATTCTGTTCCCTTGGTCTACGTGCCTGTTTTTGTACCACTACCATGCTGTTTTAGTCTCTGTATCCTTGTAGTATGGTTCAGTCAGGTAATGTTATACTTCCTGCTTTGTTCTTTTTGTTTGGTATTGCCTTGGCTATTTGGGCTTTTTTTTTTTCATTCCCAGTGAATTTTAAAATAGTTTGTTTCTAATTTTGTGAAGAATATCAATGATAATTTGACAGGAATAGCATTGAATCTATAAATTGGTTTGGGCAGTATGGGCATTTAAACAATATTGATTCTTCCCATCCATGCACCTGGAACGTTTTCCCGTTTGTCCATGTCTTATTGGATTTAATTGAACAGTCTCTTGTAATACTCTTTGTAGAGATATTTCACCTCCCTGGTCAGCTGTATTCCTATGTATTTTATTTTTTGGGACTATTGTGAAAGGGATTGCCTTCTTGATTTGTCTTTGCTTGAATTTTGTTGCTATAGGAATGCTACTAATTTTTGTACATTGATTTTGTATCCTGGGAATTTGCTGAGTTTGTTTATCAGACCAAGGAGATTTTGGCCAGAAACTGTGGGGATTTCTAGGTATAAAGTCACATTATCTGCGAACAGGGATAATTTGACTTCTTCTCTTCTATTGGGATGCCTTTTATTTATTTCTCTTCCTGATTGCTTTGACCAGGACTTCCAGTACTGTTGAATAAGAGTGGTGAGAGAGGACACCCTTGTCTTGTTCCTGTTTTCAAGGGGTAATGCTTCCAGTTTTGCCCATTTAGTATGATATTGGCTGTGGGTTTGTCATGGGTGGCTCTTATTATTGTGAAGTATATATCTTCAATGTCTAGTTTGTTGAGAGTTTTTAATATGAAGAGACATTGAATTTTATTGAAAGCCTTTTCTGCATCTATTGAGATAGTAATGTGGTTTTTGTTAGTTTCACTTATGTGATGAATCACATATATTGATTTACATGTGTTTAACCAAACTTGTATCCCAGTGATAAAGCCTGCTTGATTATGGTGGATTAGCTTTTTGATGTGCTGCTGGATTCAACTTGCTGGCATTTTGTGGAGTGTTTTTTTTAAATCTATGTTTATTGAGGTTGTTTTCTTTTATTGTTGTGTCTCTGCCTGGTTTTGGTATCAGGGTGATATTAGCCTTGTAGAATGAGTTAGCGTGGAGTTTCTTTTCCTCAGTTTTTTAGAGTAGGTTTAGTGTGAATAGTACCAGTTCTTTATACACATGGTGGAATTCTGCTGAGAATCTATCAGGTCCTAGGCTTTTTTTGTTTGTTTGTCTGGTAGGCTTTTTATTACTCTTTCAATTTGGAACTTGTTATTGGTTTGCTCAGGGATTCAATTTCTTACTGATTCAGTCTTGAAAGGTTGTACATATCCAGCAGTTTATCCATTTCTTCTAGGTTTTCTAGCTTGTGGGCATAGAGGTGTTGACAGTAGTTTGGGAGGATTGTTTGTATTTCAGTGGGGTCAGTGGTAATATCCACTTGGTCATTTTTGATTGGGTTTATTTGGATCTTCTCTCTTTTTTTTCTTTATTAGTCTGGTTAGGGGTCTATCATATTAATTTTTTAAAAACATCAAATCCTGGATTCACTGACCTTTTGTATGTTTTTTTTAATCACAATTTCCTTCAGTTCAGCTCTGATTTTGGTTATTTATTGTCTTTTGCTAGCTTTGGCATTGGTTTGCTCTTGTTTGTTTAGTTTCTCTTGTGAAGTTATGTTATTAATTTGAGATCATTCTAACTTTTTGATGTGAGTGTTTATTGCTACGAACTTTCCTCTTAACACTGCCTTATCCATATCCCAGAGATTCTGGTATGTTGTATCTTTGTTCTCATTATGTTCAAAAAATTTCTTGATTTCTGCCTTAATTTCAATATGTACCCAAAAGTCATTCAGGAGAGGGTTGTTTAATTTCTATGTAATTATATGGTTTTAAGGTATTTTCTTAGTATTTATTTATATTTTTATTGTGCTGTGGTCCAAGAATGTGGTTGGTATGGTTTTCTTTTTTTCATATTTGCTAGGAATTGTTTTATGTTAGGTTGTGTGGCTGATTTTAGATTATATGCCATGTGCAGATGAGAAGAATGTGTATTCTGTTGTTTTGGGGTGAACTGTTTTGTGGATGTCTATTAGGTTCATTTGGTTAAGTGTCTATTTCAGGTCCTGAATAACTTTGTTAGTTTTCTGCCTTGATGTTCTGTCTAGTGCTGTTGGTGGGGTGTTGAAATCTCTTGCTATTATTGTGTGATTTTCTAAATCTTTTAATAGGTCTCTGAGAACTTGCTTTCTGAATCTGGGTGTTCTTTTGTCAGGTGCATATACATTTAGAATAGTAATGTCTTCCTGGTGAATTGAGCCTTTTTCAATTATGCAATGCCCTTCTGTTTCTTCTTGATCTTTGCTGGTTAAAGACAGTTTTGTATGAAAGTAGATTATCAAGGTCAGGTGCCATGGCTCAGACTTGTAATACCAGCACTTCAGGAGGCTGAGGTGGGTGGATCACTTGACCCCAGGAGTTTGAGACCAGCCTGAGCAACATGGCAAAATCCTGTCTCTATCAAGAAAAAAACAAATACAAAAATTAGCCAGTCATGGTGGTGCACACATGTGGTCCCAGGTACTTGCAAGGCTGAGTTGGGAGGATTTCTTGAGACCAGGAGGTAGAGGTTGTGGTAGGCTGAGATTGCGCCACTGCACTATGGCCTGGGCAACAGAGTGAGACCCTGACTCAAAACAAACAAACAAACAAAAAGAAGTTAGAATAGCAACCCTGCTTCTATTTTCCATTTGCTTGGTAGATTTTTCTCCATCTTTTAAATTTGAGCTTATGGGTATCACTGCATGTAAGTGAGTCTCTTGAAGACACTATACCATTGCGTCTTGCTTCTTTATCCAAATTGCCTCTATGTGCCTTTTAGTTGGGGTGTTTAACCTGTTTACATTCGAGGTTAGTATTGATATGTGGGAATTTGATCCTTTCATTATGTTGTTAGCTGCTTATCATGCAGACTGGTTTCTGTGGTTACTTTATAGTATACTGGTCTATGGCCTTAAGTGTGATTTTGTTATGGCTGATAATGATCTTTCTTTTCTATGATTAGCAATCCATTCAGGACCTCTTGTGAGGTGGGTCTGGTGGTAATCAAATCCCTTAGCATTTGTTTGTCTGAAAAAGATCCTATTTCTCCTTCACTTATGAAGTTTAGTTTGGCTGGATATGAAATTCTTGGTCGGACATTCTTTTTCAAAAAATTTCTGAATATGAGCCCCCATCTCTTCCTGGTTGTAGAGTTTCTGCTAACAGGTCCACTGTTAGCTCAATGCTGTTCCCTTTGTAGGTGACCTGCCCTTTCTCTCTAGATGCCTATGGCACTTTTTCTTTCATTTTCGCCTTGGAGAATCTGATGACTATGTGTCTTGGGTATATTCTTCTTGTGTAGTATTTCGTAGGGGTTCTCTGCATTTCCTGAATTTGAATGCTGGCCTCTCTAACAAGGTTGAGGAAATTTTTATGGACTATATCCTGAAATAGGTTTTCCAAGTTGTTTGCCTTCTATTCCTGTATTTCATGGATGCCAATGAGTCATATATTTAGTCTGTTAACAAAATATTATATTTCTTGGAGGTTTTGTGCATTCTTCTTCATTATTTTTCTTTATTTTTGCCTGACTGAGTAATTTCAGAGGACTACTCTTGAGCTCTGAGATTCTTTCCCCAGCTTTGTTGATTCTGTTGTTAACACTTGCATTAGTATTCCAAAATTCGTGAAGTGATGTTTTCAGCTCTATCAGATCAGTTGGATTTTTTCTTAAAATGACCATTTTGTTTGTGTCTTCTGTATCATTTTATGGCGTTCCTCAGAATCTTTGGATTGTGTTTTGACTTTCTCCTGAATTTCATTGATCTTTGTTCCTATCCATGGTCTGAATCATATTTCTGCCTTTTCAGCATGGGAGGGAACTAGCGTGGTCATTTGGAGGTAAGAAGATACTCTGGCTTTTTGAGTTGCCACAGTTATTGTGCTGATTCTTTCTCATCTCTGTGGGCTGATATTCTTCAGTCTTCGAAGTTGCCATTCTTTGGATTTTTTTTTTTCTGTTTTTATCTTCTTTGACACACTTTGGGGTTTCACTGTGGATTCCATCAAATGAGTTTGTTTCTGGTAGATTTTAGGGGGGAAAAGATTTCTAACTCTAAGTCTGGGGTCTAGTTTTGGACACCGGACTTTGTTCTCTGGCACCTCAACATTGGGAATCTGCTGTGCTGGAAGGGACATTGTGTTCCTGAATTGCTGGCCACAACACTCTGAAGGATGGTACCAGCCAAAGCTCTTCATTGAATAGTGACAGTGTAACGCAAGCTTGTTAACACATGCCAGCAGCAGCAGTGTGGCAGGGTATAGGCTCTTGGACCGGGATGGGGTGCAGGCTGGCCCAAGGCTGCCAGCTTCCATGCGGGCATTGGCAGTAGCCTAAATTCATCTTTATGCATGTGGATATTTAATTTTCCCAGAATCATTTGTTGAGAAAAATGATTAATTCCTATTGAATTGCAATTGTATGATTTTAAAAATCAGCTGACCATGAATGTCATTACTAATTTCTGGACAGTCAATTGTGTTTCATTGTTCTTTTTGTCTCTCATAGTGCAATTACCACAGTGTCTTGATTTAGTCCAGTAAACTTGCAGTAAACTTTGAAATGAGAAACTAATCCTCCAACTTTGTATTTAAAAAAAAATTATTTTATTGGCCTAATCACTTGGCATTTCCAGGCATATTTTTGGAGTAGTTTTACATTTTCTGCAGAAAAAGCTTTCTGTGACGTGATGAGGGTTGCATTATAAATTGCTCTTCACACGTAAAGACTCGCCTTGTGCTGGATTTCATTTCAGGTGGTCCTTATTGCTTGCAAGCTCTTTGATGAATACAAACATAATTTTGGCCCCTTTATTTATCTTATGCTAGTTGTTGCAGAAGGACATCTTGCTTTCTTGAACCTATTACATCTATTCAAAAGTGGAAGTTTTCACAGGTAACCTCTCTGTATCAAGTAACACAAGATCAAATAAAACACGAGCAATCCTTGTTTCGTGCCTGAACCAGACAGGTGATATTGAAATCAGTTATACAAATGTGTACTAACTCTTCATAAAGACTATCCAAAGAGGGTATTATTATCATCTGCATTTAATAGATAGCTATCCTAAGGCTGTTGTAAAATAGATTCTCGGATCATACCTATATGAAGCAGAGAACTGGATTTCCTTTCCTGGCAGTCTGACTCCAAGATCCTTTCTTAGAAACAATTATACTGTAAAAACTGAGAATGAATAAAACCCAACATTGGAGACTGATTTTAACATCTGTTAATCTTAAACCATTAAATAATAAAAATAAGTTAAAATGAAAGAAAAATATCCAAATATTCATATACAGAGAAGTCAATATTCTTCAATCGAAAACACATTTTTTAAGTGCTCAAGGAATATTTACAAAAATGCTGAATATTTAATTAAATAATTCATATTTGTATATCAAATTGACTTAAGAGAATGACTTCCTTAAAAGCCTAAGGATGCGAGATCAGTTCGATAAATATTGAAAATGGGCTGAAAATTATGAGTAGGAAAATAGGGCCATTTCAACCTGCATGTGACATCCCTAAAATTTATTTTCCATTTTGGAAACTGTAGGACAAAAACTATTCCCATTCATGTGGGGTATATGTATATGTGTATGGGTGTATATGTCTTCCCAAGAAAATCTTGAATGCTTTTGATAGGAAAAATTTAGATTCTGTTTACATGTATCTGGTATTGAGAAAAATAAATTAACAGCAGTCATGATACAAGTTATGATCAAGCTTCCTTCAGAAATTTAGACATCCAATATATGATCTATGTATTGGGTTTAAAAATTTCCATAGCAAGTGATGTTGCTGAACACAAATTATGACTACACGAGGAAAATATTGCAAAACAGTGAAAGAGAATATGTCTTCATTTGCATGCTTGCAAATGAGAAATCAGCTTTTACTTCCAAATTATTATGAAAAAAGCCTATAGCAAGAAGAGACGTTGTTTAAATAGTAGGTAATTTGAGCCGTTTTGAAAATTACATTTTTTCCATAAAGGCAGCATTGAACTCATCCATTAGTATGCCCTAGCGCTTTCCTATTTGACATTGGTCCCAGAATTGAATTTAGAAGAACCAAGAATTTTACTGCACATTCAGAAATCAGGATCGCAGAGAGTTTAAGATCAAGACCTTAAAGGGGATCATGACCAGTGATACTGGGCTTGCCCTTTTTTAATGTGTGTTTGTTCAGACATGGGAAGTTTACTACCAATCTTTTTTTTTTCCAAACTAGTAATGATAGAATTTGTATTTTCCTATGATGCCTATATTAAATGTATAATCATTTTAATATTTTAACACTTTTTTAATGAGTTCTTTCAAGGGTTGTTAAACAATCTAAACAATCTAATTTTCCCTTACAATATGCTGATAGCTAATCATATTTTCTCAAAGTCATTTGACATAATGTTTGATTGAAGAAAATATCTCTGGTATGACTCTACTTGCTGATAACAAAAGAGAATTTGAAACTTCAAGAAAAAAGATTAGAAAAGTTAACAACATAATACAAATAAGTATATTAAATATATAATTTATTCTTAAGAAATGTATATGAAATCAGAGTCGTAGAATGAAAAAAGAGTAATATGTAATTTTTAAACTACAGTTACATTTCAAATGTGAATTTAAATTGTAAAATGTTAAGTTTAATAATATTTTATATAAATATAAAAGTGCAAAAATTATTCTTTGATGTTTCTAATTTTGAAAAGGGCATGAGGCACTGACAATTTTCAGACACTTCTCCTAGGATTATCAATTGAAAGAATTCCTTTGGCTGAGTATGACATAATCTGATTATGATGGAGGATCACCTCATAAGACCCAATATTTGTACTCCTACTGGAATACATATGAAAAAAGTGTGTATCACTGTGTTTTAATAGCTCAAGTTGAGAAGTCTCCCAAATGTCCATCAGTGATAAAATGATAAATAAATTATGGCATACTTATGCGGTAGAGTACTATACAGCAATTAAAAAGCAAACCAGAGTGACATGTTTACAAAGAATTTATATAACAAAGAAAATGAACAAATTTGAGCTAAATAGCTAATACAGATGTGAGAGGAATTATCAATATTGAAAAAATATTCAATATAATTCAATTTATATGAAGTTTGCAAAAATATATTTTAATACATTGTAATTTATTACATTGGTGGCAAAACTCTAAAACGAAACATATAAGTGATTATCATAACAACTGGGATATGTGGGAGGAAGAAAACTAAAGAGAAACAATATCAACAAGAAGGTATATATGGGGAGTGTCTGGATTTTTGGCAAATTTTATTTTTTGGCCAAGATGTAGTAAACATGGGAGATAAACTTATAATTTTTTCCCTAACTGTGTATTTAAGTTTTGTTACTTTTCATAACTATGTTATGTTCGACAATAGTAAAAATATTTAAAAATCAGAAAATAAAGTAAAATAATAAAAAATTAAGCCAAAACTACATATGTGCATAGATACAATGGTATTATAATTATCATGTTTTTCTTAACAAAGAAGCATAGTGCATTATGGTAGTAAGAAATACAAGTTAAAATTATAAGCTTTTCTTTAAATTAATTTTTAAAAGAAGGTATAATCTAGAAATGTAAATTTAAATTCTTAATGCTAATCTTGGACAAAGCCTCCAGGAGCAACTGAAAACCTCTCTGCCACTGGCCTCTGCAGTAGAACTGCCCTTGCCACTCTTGGACTAATGAAGGAGCAAAGATCCTAAGTGCCTTATCCATACCTCCAACAAGATGCAGTCAACCCAAGGAGAGAAACCCAGTTAGACTTCCATGGGTCCCACAAATGCACAAACCCTCCATCTTGGGCTGACTGCACTGAGTGTTTGCTGACCTGCATCTCTCTGGGATGGAACCCCCAGAGGTTGACTCTTGGCCACAACCACTACTAAGATCTCTTCAGTGCTACCTCTAAACTGGGAAAGGAATATAAACACTGAGATTCCACCAGGGCTGCAGTTGGCAGCTCAGGAATGCCAAGTTTTGAACTGTAGCCAGGACTGAAGGGCACAAGGAACCTACATCTTCAGAACACTGAGAGGGAACATGGCTGCAACTGTGAGGAAACATAGGGGAAACATATAATTGAGCAACAGTCTATCAACTGACCAATAAGCATAAGTGTCACCTGCTGGATTACACCCCAAAACTTCAACACCAAAAATGCCTCACTAACATAACCCCCTTTGAAGCCAGAGACACAAAGTCAGCTTCAAATAAATACCCTACACAAAGGCTCTCCCTGGTGAAAACATCCAGAAAGGAAGTCTATTTACTGTGCCTAATATACACTGCAGTTAAAGAAACACCCACATACAGAGATGAGAAAGAACAAATGCAATAACTCAAATGGCCAGAATATCATATTTCCTCCAAAAGACTACAGCAGTTTTCCAACAAGAGTTCTTAACAAGGTTGAACTGGCTAGAATGACAGAATACAGTATATGGCAGAAACAAAGATTATTGAGATTTGGGAGGAAGACAAAACCCAATCCAAGGAAAATAAGAATCACAATAATGTGATACAGGAGCTGAAGGATGAAATAACCAGTATTAGAAAGAATTTAATGGGTCTGACAGAGCTGAATAACGCAATACAAGAATCTCACAATGCAATCACAAGGATTATCAGCAGAATATACTAGTCTGAGGGAAGAGTTTCAGAACTTGAAGACTGGTTTTCTGAAATAATACAGTCAGACAAAAATAAAGAAAAAGCATAAAAAGAAATGAACAAAACCCCTGAGAAGTATGGGATTATAAAAAGAGGTTAAATCTGTAAATCACTGGAATCCCTGAAAGGGAGAGCCAGAAAGCAAACAACTTGGAAAGTATATTTCAGAATATCATTCATGAACTCTTTCCCAACCTTGCTAGAGAGGCCAACAGACATATTCAGGAAATACAGAGAACTCATGCAAGATTCTACACAAGATCATCTCCAAGATATATAATCATCAGATTTCCCAAGATTGAAATAAAAGAAAGAATGTTAAAGGCAGCCAGAGAGAAAGGGCAGGTCACGTACAAAGGGATTTCTATCACGGTAACAGCAGATCTGTCAGCTGAGTTCTTACAAATTAGAAGAGATTGGAGGCCTATATTCAACATTCTTAAAGAAAAAAATCTTCAGCCAAGAATTTCATATCCAACCAAATTAAGCTTTTTAAGTGAAGGAGAAGGAAGATTTTTTTCAGGTAAGCAAATGTTGAGGGAATTTATTATCACCAGAACTGCCTTACAAGAGATCTTGAAAGCGGCACTTAGTATAGAAAAGAACACCACTACCAGCTAATAAAAAAAACCCTGAAACACAGAGACCAGTGTCACTGTAAAGCAACAACACAAACAAGACAACATAATAACAAGCTAACAGCACAATGACAGGATCAAATCCACACATATCAATATTAATCTTGAATGTAAATGGGCTAAATGACACAATTAAATGGCACAGAATGGCAAGCAGGATAAAAAAGCAAGACCCAATGGTATTCTGTCTTCAAGAGACCCGTCTCAAATTTAATGACACTCATAGGCTCAAAATAAATAAATGGAGAAAAATCTACCAAGCAAATGGAAAACAGAAAAAAGGGGGGTTGCAATCCTAATTTCAGACAAAACAAGTTTCAAACAAATGAAAGTTTTTTAAAAAAAAGACAAGCAAGGATATAACATAATGGTAAAGTATTCAATTTAACAAGAAGACCTAACAATCCCAAATAGATATGCACCCAATACAGGAATGTCTGGATTCATGAGGCAAGTTCTTAGAGACCTACAAATAGACATACACTCCCACCCAATAATAGTGAGTGACATCAACACTCCACTGACAGTATTAGATCATACAGGCAGAAAATTAATGAAGATATTTAGGACCTAAACTTAGCATTGGACCAAATGGATCTGGTAGACCTTTACAGAAGTGTCCATCCCCAAATAAGAGAATATACATTCTTTTCATAGCCACATGGCACATACTCTATAATCAACCACATAATTGGATATAAAACAATCCTCAACAAATGTAAAATAACCAAAATCATACCAAACACACTCTCAGGCCACAGTGCAATAAAAATAAAAGTCAACACAATGAAAATTATTAAAGCATACAATTACATGGAAATTAAACATCATGCTCCTGGATGACTTTTAGATAAATTTAAGTCTGAAATCAAGAAGTTCTATAAAAATAATAAGAACAAAGATACAACAAACCAGAATCTCTGAGACACAACTAAGGCAGTAGTAAGAGGGAAATTCATAGCACTAAATGCCCACATCAAAAAGTTTGTAAGGCCTCAAATTAACAATCTAAATTCAAAATTGAAAGAATTAGAGAAAAAAGAACAAATCAACCCCGAAGCTAGCAGAAGATAAGGAATAACACAAATCAGAGCTGAACTGAAGGAAATTAAGACACAAAAAACCATTCAAAAGATCAATGAATTTGGGAGTTGGAATTAAAAATAATTATAAAATAGGCCACTAGGTAGACTAATTAAGAAGAAAAGAGAGAAGATCCAAATAAACACAATTAGAAATGATTTAAAGGAATGTTATTACTTACCCTACAGAAATGGAAACAGCCATCAGAACCACTGTAAACACCTCTGTGCAGACAAACTAGAAAACCTAGAAGAGATAGATAAATTCCTGGACACATACACCCTCCCTGCTGCTGGAAGTCAGAGACCCCAAACGGAGGGACCAGCTGAAGCCATGGCAGAAGAACATAAATTGTGAAGATTTCATGGACATTTATTAGTTCCCCAAATTAATACTTTTATAATTTCTTATGCCTGTCTTTACTGCAATCTCTGAACATAAATTGTGAAGATTTCATGGACACTTATCACTTCCCCAATCAATACCTTTGTGATTTCCTATGCCTGTCTTTACGTTAATCTCTTAATCCCATCATCTTCATAAGCTGAGGAGGATGTATGTTGCCTCAGGACCCTGTGATGATTGCATTAACTGCACAAATTGTAGAGCCTGTGTGTTTGAACAATATGAAATCTGGGCACCTTGAAAAAAGAACAGGATAACAGCAATGTTTAGGGAAAAAGGGAGATAACCTTAACCTCTGACTGCTGGTTAGCTAGGTGGAACAGAGCCATATTTCTCTTCTTTCAAAAGCAAATGGAGAAATATCACTGAATTCTTTTTCTCAGCAAGGAACATCCCTGAGAAAGAGAATGTGTCCCTGAGGGGAGGCCTCTGAAATGGCCGCTTTGGGGACGGCTGTCTTTTACAGTCTTAGCTGAGGGATGAAATAAGCTCTGGTCTCCCGTAGCACTCCCAGGCTTATTAGGATGAGGAAATTCCTGCCTAATAAATTTTGGTCAAACCGGTTGTCTGCTCTCAAACCCTGTCTCCTGATAAGATGTTATCCATGACAATTCATGCCCGAAACTTCATTAGCAATTTTAATTTTGCCCCGGTCTTGTGGTCCTGTGATCTCGCCCTGCCTCCATTTGCCTTTTGATATTTTATTACCTAGTGAAGCATGTGATCTCTGTGACCCACACCCTATTTGTACACTCCCTCCCCTTTTGAAAATCACTAATAAGAACTTGCTGGTTTTATGGCTTAGGGGGCATCACTGAACCTGCCAACATGTGATGTCTCCCCCAGACACCAGCTTTAAAATTTCTCTCTTTTGTACTCTGTCTTTTTATTTCTCAGACTGGCTGACACTTAGGGAAAATAGAAAAGAACCTAAGTGAAATATCGGGGGTGAATTTCACCCGATACTCCCAAGACTGAACCAGGAAGAAATTTGTTCCCTGCACAGACCAATAATGAACTCCAAAATTGAATCAGTAATAAATAGCCTATGAACCCAAAAAAGCCCAAGACCTGCTGGATTCACAGCCAAATTCTACCAGGTGTACAAAGAAGAGCTGTTACCATTTTTACAGAAACTAATCCAAAAAGTTTAGGAGGACTTCTCTTTAATTCATTGTATGAGGCCAGCATCATCTTGATACCAAAACCTGGCAGAGACACAACAGCAACAGAAAATTACAGACCAAAATCCTTGATGGACATCGATGCAAAAATCCTCAACAAAACCTTTGCAAACTGAATCCACAAGCCCATCAAAAAGCTAATCCACCATGATCAAATAGGCCTCATCCTGGCATGCAAAGTTAGTTCAACATACAAAAATCAATAAATATGATTCATCACATAAACAGAACTAAAGACAAAAACCACATGACTGTCTCAATAAATGCAGAAAAGGCTTTTGATAAAAATTCAACATCCCTTCATGTTAAACTATTTCAAAAAATTAGATATTGAAGGAACATACTAAAAATAATAAGAGCCATCTATGATAAACCCACACCCAACATCATACTGAATGGGCAAAAGCTGGAAGCATTCCTCTTGAAAACCAGCAACAGGAAACGATTCCCTCTGTCACCATTTCTTTTCAACATAGTATTGGAAGTCCTGGCCAGAGCAATCAGGTAAGAGAAAGAAATAAAGGACGCCCAAAAAACCATAGAGTATGTCAAACTGTTTGCAGTTGACATATTCTCTATCTACAAAACCCCATAGTCTTGGCTCAAAAGCTCCTTCATCTGATAAACAACTTCAGAAAAGTTGCAGGATACAAAATCAATGTACAAAAATCACTTGTATTCCTATAAACCAACAACAATCAAATCAGGAAGGCAATCCCATTCACAATTGCCACACACACAAAAAATACCTAGGAATACAGCAAACGAGGGAAGTGAAAAATTTACACAATAAGAATTATAAAAAAACTTCCCAAAAAGATCAGAGAAGACACAAACAAATGGGAAAACATCCCATGTTCATGGATACAAAGAATCAATTATTAAAATGGCTGTACTGCCCAAAGGAATGTACAGATTCAATGTTATTCCTATCAAACTACCAATGAGATTCTTCACAGAACTGGAAAAATTTATTTTACAATTTATATGGAACCAAAAAAGAGCCCTAATAGTTAAAGTAATACTAAGTGAAAACAACAGAGCTAACAAAGCTAGAGGAATCACATTACCCAACTTCAAACTATGTTACAGAGCTACAGTGACCAATATAGCATGGTACTGGCATAAAAACAGGTACATACACCAATGGAACAGAATAGAGATCCCAGAAATAAGGCCACACATTTATGACTATCTAATCTTTGACAAAACTGACAAAAACAAGCTATGGGAACAAGACTTCGTATTTAATAAATAGCACTGGGATAACTGGCTAGCTATCTGCAGAAGATCAAATCTGAAATTCTTCCCTGTACCATATAAAAAAATCAAGTCAAAATGGATTAAAGACCTAAATGTAAAAAGAAACCTGTAAAAGCCCTGGAAGACAACCTAGGCAATACCATCCTGGACCTAGGAATGAGCAAAGATTTCATGGCAAAGACATCAAAAGCAATCAAACAAAAACAAAAATTGACAAATGGGATCCTATTAAACTTAAGAGCCCCTGCACAAGAAAAGAAAATATCAACAGAGTAAATCGACAACCTACAGAATGAAAGAAAATATTTGCAAACAATGCATCTGACAAAGGCCTTATATCCAACATCTATAAGGAACTTGAATTTACAAGAGAAAAACAACCACATTAAAAAGTGGGCAAAAGACCTGAACAGACACTTCTCAAAAGAAGACGTACATGTGACCAAGAAGCATGTGAATAAAAACTTAACATCACTGATCATTAGAGAAATCCAAATCAAAACCACAATGAGGTACCATCTCACACCAGTCAGAATGGCTATTACTAAAATGTGAAAAACAATCAGCTCCATCATGGTGGATGGGAGGCAGGACTAAATTGCAGTTCTGACTTGGAAAGACAGAGGAGCTTGTGAAGGCTTGCATCATGAATTTTAGCTCCAGAAAGACTGCAGAAAAAAATCAGGAAATGCGAGAGGACCCACAGGTTTTCTGAAGAAAGTGGGCTGCTCCTGCAGAACCTGGGAGACACCCCAAATACTGTGAAGGCCCAAATTGCAGAAGTGGGAAAGGGAGATCCTCTGCCCCCAAACACAACCTCCCCTGGGAAAACTGAAGGTCTATTTTATGGGAAAAGATTACAACCTTACCTGGAGCTGAGTTAATTTAGAGAGCTGAGCAAAATACAGGAATAGAGGGAGCAGTAGAAAAGGCCCTGTGAGCTCGCTGGGTCCTCAAGCAGGCTATTCCTGTGTGGCATCACAAAGATCCTTTGGGAGGGTGACAAGAGGGAAATGCCACAGAGAGAAGGAAATCACCAGCTGAATTTTGGAACAATTTGAAGTCATCAAGAAGCCTCCTGGCCAGAACTGAGGGAAGAGTTCAAATCCATTGTGCAGACTAAATAGGCAGGGGAAGAACTAAAGTCCTACTTTCTTTCACAGCTAGGAGGTGGGTAGCCTGTGGCAAGTTCTCAGCCCTGCTTGCCGACTGTCTGGAAACAGACAGGGTGCCATTGGGGAGGCATGGTGGGAGTGAGACCAGCCCTTTGGATTGCATGGGAGCTGGGTCAGGCCTGTGACTGCCAGCGTTCTCTCACTTCCACGACAACCTGCATGACTCAGCAGAGGCAGCTTCCTTCTAGGTGCATAACTCCATTAACCTGGAAACCTCAGCCCCATCCCCCCTAGCAGCCACAGCAGGAGAGAGTGAGTCTGAGCTCAGACATGCTTAGCTCTGCCCCACCTGATGGTACTTCCCTACCCACCCTGGTATTCTGAGCACAAAGGGCATAAACTCTTGAGAGTTCTAGTGACTTACCCACTGCCGGTGCCTCTTCATACTATCACAGCTGATGCTCTCTAGAAAGAACTACCTCCTGGTAGGAGGCCAACCACACAAAAATAGAGCATTAAACTCCCAAAGCTAAGAACCCTCACAGAGTCCATTTCACCCCCCTGCCACCTCCACCAGAACAGGTGCTGGTATCCACAGTTGAGAGACCAACAGATGGTTTACATCACAGGACTCTGTGCAGACAACCCCAATATCAGCCTGGAGCCTGGTGGACTTTCTTGGTGACTAGATCCAGAAGAGAGATAACAATTACTACAGCTCAGCTGTCAGGAAGCCACATCCATAGGAAAAAAGGGAGAATACTACATCAAAGAAACACCCTCTGGAACAAAAAAGTCTAAACAACAGCCTTCAGCCCTAGATCTTTTCTCTGATAGAGCCTACCCAAATGAGGAGGAGCCAGAAAACCAACTCTGGTAATATGACAAAACAAGGCTCTTTAACACTCCCCAAACATCACACTAGCTCACCAGCAATGGATCCAAACCAAGAAGAAATCCCTGATTTACCTGAAAAAAAATTCAGGAGGTTAGTTATTAAGCTAATCAGAAAGGCACCAGAGAAAAGTGAAGCCCAATGCAAGGAAATCCAAAAATATGATACAAGAAGTGAAGGGAGAAATATTCAAATAAATTTTAATAATAAATAATAAATTTTAATAATAAATAAATAATAAATTTTAATAATAAATAAATTCAAACATTTGATACAGTTAGTACATAAATTTTGATGCATAAAAAAGTTAAAATGAAACACACTAATCTGTTCTGTATACACCTAAATGTAACTTTGACACTGAAATGGATTAAGACACTGCTCTTCTCTGAGGAACTGAGTTTTTATTCTAATTTCTGGATGTAGTGTGTGGGAATTATTATTTTTGCTGCTCTTTTTCTGAAAAAGATTGCCTTTCCCTAAGAGCTGTTGTTCCAATGAAAACCTAGTGTTTTCAACCCAGCATGAATGATGCAAGTGCTGAGGTCCTTTGGGCGAGACCCTCTGGGGTTATTGTAGCTCTCACTGGAGACGTGAGCTCTGCTCTCTTTTCAAAGTATCCATGAAGTCTCAACAGAACCCACCACACAACCCCCCACCCACCATGGTAGTTTGTCTTTCTCTTTGTCTTCTTTCCCAACCTCATCTTTATTGCCTGGATATAGCGAGGCCAGGGTAACCTTCTTGTCTCTATGTGGATAGTACGTTTGTACTTCTAGCCTTGGGATTTTTCCTTAATATTTGTCCATGCTAGCTGAGTTTGCCTTTTCAATAGCTCTCTTGACTAAATATACGGTAATTTCCAAGATATTTTGGTTTTATTTTATTTTATTTTTGCTTAGCTTTGCTTCAGGGGACTGAAGGTGAGGGATCAGTTCTTCATAGTGGAACACCTTACATCTTTCTCTGCCATCTTTGACGTTTATGAGGCATATTTTTCTACTTTGTTTGGTAGCTGTTGCTGAATTTGTTTCATTGGTGCTTTGCTCACTTTACTTACTTTTTTAGCTATTGAAGAAGAATGACTGTATCATGCTGCTGATTTCCCCGTCTTGGCTAGACAGTATGTCATCCTTTATCTACATTGGTCCCTGTAGTGAGGATCATGGAGTAGATGTTGCTGGGAGAGTGAGTATATGTGAAAAAAATGTGAAGGTATTTGGTGCTGATGAAGCAATATGCCCTACTGGGCAGGGGAGAGGCACAGAATAAGAATTCTTGCCATGTGGATGAACTCATTCAAACACAATGACTGCTTTATGAGACAATAGATAGATTTCTACCTCTTCTCACATGTACAGAGAAAATATTTCCAAAGTCTCCGGAATATTTACATGTATTACTATTTAATATAAACTTGCAAGTCTTTTTAAATGTGTTTAAAACTATCACAGTACTAAACATGAACTAGATGCATAATAAATGCTGAAAGTAAAAAGCCTGAATTATTTAAGTGAAAAGAGAAAAAGATTTAGATCCCAAATAAATGTATGCGTTTGTGTGTTTGTGTGTGTGCGCGCATGTTTGCTGGGCATGTACTTGTAAAAAGTAAAATAATAGAAAAGTATTATTCTTGGTACCCAGCATTCTAGGAATAATGTCTTCCACAAGATTATTAGAAAACTCTGCTACTTTGTAGGAGGAGCTTTGGATAACTATGAATAAGTCCCTTTACAGACTTAACTTTAAAAAACCATCTGATTTTTCTTTATTTTCTTTATTTTTATTGTAAATTGACATATTTTACTTGCATACATTTATGAGGTATCAGGTGTTGTTATGATTTATGACTACTATGTGGAATAATTAAATGAAACTAATTAACGTATTCAAATGATAATAAATATAACAGATAACAGGTAACAAATATTTTTTTATGGTGAGAATATTTGAAAGTTACTTTTTCAGCAATTTTGTAATGTACAATACACTATTATTAACCATATTCACAATGCTGTTCAATAGATCTCAGAAAAGCAGAACAAAACTTATTCCTCTTGTCTAACTGAGGTTCTGTAAACTTTCACCATCATCTCCCCATTTTTCTCCACCCAAACACGGAAGTATGTAAAAATTCTCAGTGCTTACAAAGTTTCATATACCAATTTTTGTAATGATACTTCCCCAGAACTCAATTTGACAGACTGAAGTATGTAGATAAGACAAAAAAAAAAAAAAAAAACACACAAACCAATGAAAATAAATATGTCCTTATTTGCATGTTTACAAATGAGAATTCAGTGTTTCCTTTCTCACCAGCTACAAAAGACTTCAGCCTACTGTGTATAAGGCACACAGCATCTGGATGAAGCTCAGCTGAGCTGTCTGGGGAAATACAGAGATTTTTATGAAGAGAGCTTTAAACCCAGCCATTAGCAAATCTGGATGGTTGCTGGTTTAACATTCCCTTTTTAAAGGGAATATATTATTGAATTTTCAAGAATCAGATATACATAGCATTTTAGATGAATGCATTAAGAAGTCTTCAGCAGTGATATTAGACATTGGGGCATGCTCTTACAGGCAATGGGTGGTGTCATAAAGAGCATATTTACATTCGTTTTAATTGTGGAATTTATAATTGGAAATTTAGGAAATAGTTTCATAGCACTGGTGAACTGTATTGACTGGGTCAAGGGAAGAAAGATCTCTTCGGTTGATCGGATCCTCACTGCTTTGGCAATCTCTCGAATTAGCCTGGTTTGGTTAATATTCGGAAGCTGGTGTGTGTCTGTGTTTTTCCCAGCTTTATTTGCCACTGAAAAAATGTTCAGAATGCTTACTAATATCTGGACAGTGATCAATCATTTTAGTGTCTGGTTAGCTACAGGCCTCGGTACTTTTTATTTTCTCAAGATAGCCAATTTTTCTAACTCTATTTTTCTCTACCTAAAGTGGAGGGTTAAAAAGGTGGTTTTGGTGCTGCTTCTTGTGACTTCGGTCTTCTTGTTTTTAAATATTGCACTGATAAACATCCATATAAATGCCAGTATCAATGGATACAGAAGAAACAAGACTTGCAGTTCTGATTCAAGTAACTTTACACGATTTTCCAGTCTTATTGTATTAACCAGCACTGTGTTCATTTTCATACCCTTTACTTTGTCCCTGGCAATGTTTCTTCTCCTCATCTTCTCCATGTGGAAACATCGCAAGAAGATGCAGCACACTGTCAAAATATCCGGAGACGCCAGCACCAAAGCCCACAGAGGAGTTAAAAGTGTGATCACTTTCTTCCTACTCTATGCCATTTTCTCTCTGTCTTTTTTCATATCAGTTTGGACCTCTGAAAGGTTGGAGGAAAATCTAATTATTCTTTCCCAGGTGATGGGAATGGCTTATCCTTCATGTCACTCATGTGTTCTGATTCTTGGAAACAAGAAGCTGAGACAGGCCTCTCTGTCAGTGCTACTGTGGCTGAGGTACATGTTCAAAGATGGGGAGCCCTCAGGTCACAAAGAATTTAGAGAATCATCTTGAATATATTAGAAAAAAAATAGCTCCTAAGAAATTCTTGTATGTTATATAAATTTATACTTCCTTAAGATTCTTTCATTGTGTATAACTTTGTGAATTTTACAAAGATATGCTTGGAATCAACACCATCCAAACATATCACAAATTAGGATATATGAAAGTATGTATATTACCATACAGAGAAGAATGCGAATACTATAAAGAGTTCTTATACAAACAGATAATATAGATTTTGTATCAATCATTCACCTTTTTTGAGATTTTTAAATGAGAAAACCTATAATGTATAAAATACATGTGTGTATGTATGTATGTGACACAGTTACTAAAAATAGGCTTCTTAAACTTACATCTCAATCTGGTAGATAAAGTACATAAAAGAATATGGAATTTTAGTACCTATATTAAGTGTTTTTAATTTTTGTATAATATTTAGTACCTGATTAGCGTGTATGCAAAAAAGTAATTTGCTTCGTTTGTTGAATTAGAAGCCAGCTGCCTTACTAAACTACCACATTTGCTTTGCTCATTCTCTTGGCTTTGCAGATAGAAAATTATATCATCTGCATATAGTGACTTATAATGATTATTTTACTTCTCCATTTTACTACTTGTAATTCTTTTTTGGTATCAGTTGTATAATGAAATGGTTTGAACATTCAAAGTGTTAAGTAATCCTGATCGTAACTGCTGTCTTTGCAAATGGAGTGTTTTCTAGTGTTTTAACAATAAACGTAATACTGACTCTAGCTTTGAGATAAATTCTTTTAAAAATATTCTTCAGGGAGAATATTTGTTTCCTATCTTCCTGTGTATAGTATTGTAATAAAATCTCTGTTAAAAACTATCAAATTTTTTGCTGTTTATTAAGATGATCATATTTTCCCTCTCCTCTGACCAATTAAAATAATGATACTTGTTAATGGTGGTACATAAAACAATGACATGTCTTCTAGTCTATGCATTCTAGATTTAATAAAATACAATATACATATTCATACACACGCACGCACACACACACACAGAGAGAGAGAGAGAGAGAGAGAGAGAGAAATAAAATTGCAACCTTAGAGGCAAATGGGAATTCAGAAAGCAGCTGCAAGGTAGTGAGAGGTAATCTCCAAAAGGGGAAGATAATCCCAGTTTGAATAACATGAAAAATTGTGTCAAAGAACTGTATGCCAGAAGACAGTTGATTCATTTTTTCAAGGGCTAAGGAATGTAACCGTAATCCTGAATTCTTTGCTAAAAATTTGTTCTGGGGTTTGAATTAAATAATAACATTCCCCTCTCCCCTTAAAAAAAGATGAGGGCTGTTTACTAAACATACGTCCTTACTGAAAATGCTAATAACCAATCTGCTTCAGAAAGACTGTTATGGACTGACTTGTTTGTCTCCAAAATCCATGTGTTGAAGCCCACACTCTCAATGTGACTGTATTTGGATATAAGGCTTTTAAGTAGGTAGTTAAGGTTAAATTAGGCCATACAGTGAGGCCGTAGTACAATAGGACTGGTGTCTTTATAAAAAGAGGAAGAAACAGGCATCTGTGGGCACAGAGAAAACACAATGATGTATGATTCCATTTATATACCATTCTAGAATATGGAAAGTAATCTATAGTGACTGAAAGCAGATCCATGGTTGCCTGGTAACTGGGGGTTTGATAAAGAATGGGCAGTGGTAAGTTGGAGGAATAACACAGGAACATAAAGGAAAGTTTTGGGGGTACTATATATGTTTGTTACCTGATTATAGTGATGGTTTCACATGTGATGAGTATCACATGGTGAGACACTCATGAAATTGTACACTTTATATCTGTACAACTTATTGCATGTCAAGTATACCTCAAGTGGCATATTAGAAACAACTCAGGAGGAAAACTGCACATAAGTATGCATTCTTAGAAAGCTTCTCTTTGCAACTTTGGAAGAATCAAATATTATTATTTCCTATTCTTATTTTTTGATCTTAGCCTGGGCCTTATGTTTACTGGAATAAAATATGTAGGAATTCTTGTTGTCTTATCTACCTTACTGGTTTGTCTTCCCCAGTAGTAAGTTTTTAAGGGAAGAAAGCTGCAGGGGTGTGTGTATGTGTGTGGGGGCGGGGTGGTGGGAGGGATAGGAGAGCAATAGCAGAGAGCTCCTCTGAAGTGAGTTCTAGCTTTCCTGGAGCCTAGGTTCTGCTTCATCATCGAATGCCCCATGAAAATTCAGTTTCAGAGCCTACTCCATTACCCCATTTTCATTCTTGTAGGAATTGGTGTGTTCCTCAGATTCAGCTCAATATCCTGGAAGATGCCAAGCCTGTAATGTCCATCCTACCTCTGCCTGGGTCATGTGTTGGCGCTCCTATCCTTGAAAGTTTTTTCTTAAAATTTCCCATTTTTGCCTGCTTAACTCCTCAATCTGGATCCCTCCAAATTCGAGGATCATATAGACAACATTACAGATCTTTGCTGATGTAGTTTATTGCTCTCTATTGATTTAAAAATTTTCTTGAAGAAATAAGAATATATTGGGATTTAACTCCACCGTGTTGTTTAGCAAACCTATACTTACTTACTTTGGAGTAAGATTTAACAGCCATAGAACAGATGTTGCTCAGCAGAGGTGTGGGGAAGCTGAATAAAACCCAACCTTTGATAACTCTAGGGGAGTGGGTATTACTGAGTAGAGGAGAAGTACAAAATGAGGACAATTCATGCTCTGCAGATGTTCCTCTGCATTCTCAATATTGTCCCTATCTGGCTTTAACAAAGAGGCTGCTGTGTGGGATTAATATAGAGTTCTATCAGTTTTCATAAGCCCTGTAAATGGTTCTCAAATGTTCCTGGATATTTTCAGTTAAGTATTAGAGAATATCAAGGGTAATTATGTTTTTAAAATATTTTGATATATAATATTTTTTAATGTCAGGATAAGCTTAATAAATATTAATGAAGGAAGCAAGAATTAATTATTAGAAAATCGAAGATTTTGAATCCATGTGATTTCCTGAGCCCTATATTCTTATTGCCAAAAAGACAGCAGTCATTCCTGGACAATAATCCTATAAGGTTATTCTGCAAAGTGTGTGTATACGGGAACTTGCAAACAATTAATTGATAAATAAATGTAAATTATCAGCACTCAGCATTCAGGAGTTATGGCTCCTCTGGATTCATTCAGTAAATTTCAATGCTTTGAATTATAAGAGCTTTGGATAAACTATGAAAATATCCCCTCAGTCTTCCCTCAGCATTCCTCAGTGGAGATGATTTTAGTGCTCAATATACTCCATCTACTAATTTACATATTTGCTATATGTTATACTTCTATCCATTGAATTTTAATGCAATTGATAACAATTAAAATTAATAAGCAAATTGTGAAGAGATTAGATAAAGCAAACATGCACAATGATGCAGAGAATTGTCTTTATTTGTTTATTAACAATGAGAATTCAGTTTTTTCTTTCATCATGAAGTATGAGAAATTTCACTTTATGTTAAGAACATACAGTATCTGGATCAGAATGCAGATAGCTGTCTGGGGCAAAATAATCTTTTTGTGAAAAAAGCTATGTGCCCATTCATTAGTACACCTTAGTGCTTTCTACTTTCATATTGAGCCTATAGTTTTTTTTTTAAAGGAAGAAATTAACTGCACATCCAATTAATAAGTATGTATAACAGGTACATGTGATAGATGAAGAAATTGTCAGCGTTGCATTTAGACATTGGAGCTCTCTCTTTGCAGCCATGCTAAATGCCTTGTATAGTATCCTCATTATAATAATAAATATATAATTCCTAATTGGAATTTTGGGGAATGGATTCATAACACTGGTGAACGGAATTGACTGGGTCAAGATGTGAAAGAGATCTTCGAATCCTCACAGCTTTGACTATCTCCAGAATTTGTCTGATTTCGGTAATAATGGTGAGATGGTTTATAGAGGAGCTGTAGTTATCTTTACAGATGAGCAGAAAGAAAGCCAGAGCTGCAAACTCTTGTGGTGAAGAGAATACATCACTAGGGGGAACCCATCCCTGGGAAAGAAGCTGTTCTTAAAATCAGAAGTGGAAATAACTTAGAGTAAAATAATCAGATGCTTGCTATCACAATGGCATTAAAAATTCGAAGACTAGGCCTTTTGGTTCCTTTGTGAATAATCATTTTCTTATTATATTTACTAGCTGGTCATTGTGTAATCACAAAGATTCTTTAGAAGTTGAATTAATAAACGGCTATTGTATTAAATTTTATTTTAATTACAATGGTTTTCCTTCCTTTCCTTTTTTACCTGAGTAGAATCTCTTGTTATTTTCTGGACAGAAAAACAGATCTGCATGTGGTGGTAATTTTACTCCTTCCATTTGAATATATGTATCTCTGTTATGTGCTTGTTTATCTAATATTAAATAAAATTATTCACTTTCTAATTATCCACAACATTGACAAGCTTTTTCTTTGTGCCTTTTTATTAGATAATTTTTCAGGGTGTTGCAGATACACATAAGGTTAGCAGCTACTTTGAGGTACACCATTTTAATCATGGTCAGAAGGCTAATCAAAAAAGTATTTTACAAGAATTGTTTTTTAAAAAATATATTAAATATTATCAAAGACAACGTTGGCATCTTTTGAGATGGTCATATTTTTTTTTCCTCTGCTGACTTCATTATCCAAAACAAATAATGAACATTCCTTAACATTCCTGGAATCAAGTCTGCTTGGTCATTTAACTCATATATCACTTTAATTTGTTTTAAATTATTTAAAGTGAGATTTATAGTTATTACTGTTAGAGTAGTCATATCAAAAAATTTTTTTTCAAGAACTTGGGGTATTTCTCTTCTTTTCAGCATTTTGTATAAATCAGCATACTAAAGGACTGCCTGTTAATGAGGAATCTTCCATGAAGGTGCTTTTGGGAGGAGTGAATTCTCTATTAAATTTCATCATATTTTACTTAGATATTAACTACTATAATGAGTTTAATATATTTTTAAGGTCATTTTGTATATAAGTCACTCCATATTGTATATCTGTAAAAACTGTGTTCAGTTTTTCATGTTTGCTTTTCAGAATGTAGGAAAAACTCATCTTTTAAAACACTTGTTTAAGCTTTACCTGATTACTCTGAAGATTATCTGTTTCCCTTATTCTTCCAGAATTTTCACAATCTTTTGCCAATTTTATTGGATTTTCAAGAAGTTATTACTGTTAGTTCAAAATTTATGAATCATTTCTTCTCATTCATTTAATCTTTTAAATTTTCATTAATTCTTATTTCTGTTCTCCCAAGTGTATTTTGTCTCTCTTTTTTAATTATTTGAGCTCATTGCTTACTTTTTTTTCAATACTCCTGGTTGCATTATAAAGTCATCAATTTCTAAAATGTTTTCTGACTATTGTGTAAATCAAGTCACATCAATTTTCACACGCAATTGCCCTTCAAATTATGCTGCCGCCTTGATGAAATCCATTCAGGTTTTCTTAAGAATGGTAAGAATCATAGGCAGGGACAGAACTGATCAGTGATAAAATAGGGGAAAATAGGTCTAGTGGCTTCTGGGGAATACAGGCATAGAACCATACTCACTTTCCTAGAAAACAAAATAAGTTACTCTCAAACTTGTTAAAGTTTCTCTCAGCTTCTGGGACTTTCTTTCATTGGTCCTGTTTTGCTTACATTCATAAGCTGACTAGACTATCAGGAAATGACCTGAAAATAATTGTGCAATTTAAATTCGAGCTAAGAAGACAGAGAAGGAAAGAAACAGTGGAACTCCTTCCCCAGGCAGATGACTTAATAAGGATAAGGAGGAAAGAAGCTTGCTGGAAACATCAAGGAGAAGGGGTCCTGGATGTTCTTACAATGTGAACATGGGTCTCAGATTCCAGAGTCCCAAACACTCAGAAGGAGATGCTATAATCAGAAATTGCAAGCTGATTATTTTATTGGTATATTGAAGTTAGAGCATGATCACATTATGTTTCAAGGCATTTGAAACACTGTCATCTTCTTATTCACTTCCTGAAAAAGACAAGGAAGATTATAGGCAAGACTTGACATGGCAGGAAATGTCTAATACCTCATTGGTTTACTGCGGTGAGGAAGATGCAAAACCATCCTTTTGCCCTCTATCCCTTCTACAGCCCCCCTCCTTAATATCATTTTCTTTGTTCACACTTTCTATGCCATTGCACGTAATGTGCTTTAAACTGTTGCTTAGATGAGGACGAAAAACGATTATTGTTAGGTTGTTCATGCTTTGTGGCTGTTGGATACGTTAAGGGTTATTTTCAGAAAGATGGGGACTGCAACATATCCTGTAATAGGGACAGTGTGAAAGCAGCCTTAATGTTCAGTGACAAGGATTGGTTAAGTAAATTATGGAAAAACCAAACAATAGCATCATATATAATTGTAAAAAAAAAAACTAACCAATAAACACTGAAGAGATCTAAATAAACTCATGTGAAAGCTAAGAAATAAATTTTTCCAATAAGTAAGACACAGAACTGAATATAAAGTGTGGTATTAGTGGTGGGAAAATTATATATAGTTATGTAGCAATAAATATTTCAAAGAGGAGTTTCCAAACAGTAAAAAGTGGGAGTTTTGGTAAGGGTAGAGGGGAGGAGAAATGAATTGCTATTTAGCTTGGTACATGTCTATTCAGTGAGATTAGTTTTTGTTAGCTTAAGCATGTATGACTTTAAATGTGAAATGTGTTTTAAAAAATGAGATACCATTTAACAGCTAAAAGTCCAAGGACCATTTAGCAGGAATACTGGACTTGAAATGCTAGTGTGAGGCAGGACTGAGCCTGTCCTGAACAAGGAGTGTTCAGGTAAAACTTTAAATAAATGGGAGTCTTTGAGTTTGAGGAAAGGAAACAGAGTGCCAAAGGGAGAACATGATTCTATGTCCTCATTCCCAACCCTATTTAAGAGAGGTAATTTGAAGATAGTGATTCTCAAAATTGGAATTGCCTTCAAGAGATTGTTTAAAAACAAGATCTTGCTACCTTATCCCAGAATATTTGAACAAAACTCATGAGAAATGTGTTCCAGGACACGGAAATATTAACAGCTTTTCAATAGATTCACTGGCACAATGAAGTTGGAGAACTGTAGCAGTTGGAGCCTTTGATGGATAATAAACTGGAATCATACCTATCATTGAATCCTAGATTACTGAGGAGACTGCCCCTGTGGAGGTCCTTGTGGGCGGCCCCCTTGGGGAGGTGGTCCCTGGGGCTTTCCAGGAGGAGGTGGGGGAGGACCTTGCTGATGGCCTCCCTGTTGGGGTGGTCCTTGTGGCCTTCCTCGAGGAGGACGGGGATGGCCTCCCTGTTGGGGTGGTCCTTGTGGCCTTCCTTGAGGAGGAGGGGGATGGCCTCCCTGTTGGGGTGGTCCTTGTGGCTTTCCCTGAGGAGGTGGTGGACCTTGTTGCTGCTGGCCTCCTTGTTGGGGTGGTCCCTGCTGAGGGCCATCATTCTGGTTCCCATCACCAGCAGAGGGTTGAGATTGCTGTCCTCCCAAAGGTGGTCCCTGACGCTCCTCATCTATGAACTGCTCAGAGTCTCCTCCATCTGTGTGAGTTGAAACAAGAAGAGCTGAGCTCATGCTGGAAAACCCTCCTGTCTTCATATCTCTCTGTCTTCACCACACGGCCGGCCCCTCTCTCCCTGACCTGCCTCTCAACTCCCAACCTCCCCCCTTCCCAAGGCTTCCTAATTAGAACTCCTCTTAATCCACATTAGGGTGGTGAAAAATCAAATTTCTTTACTCATGGTCCCCAGAATCAAGGTTGGGAGAAAACTGTTTATATCTCTGGGGCACTGATATTAGCCAATTCCTGACAAGGATGATAAGAAGACACTGGAGAACTGATCAATTTTTCAGGGAAAAATGGAGACAGAGTTTACTGAGAATTTATTGGGATTTACCTGATATTACCAAGGGAACGTCTTCTTGGCTGACATCTAGAAAAGAAGTACAGGATGATGGGAAAAGTTACTGCATGAATCATTCAGAGCTCATAGTGTTCTACGAGGATAAAGGACCTCTGATCACACCCTGTGCATCCCCTTTGAGATCTCATCAGCCACTCTCTGATGCTACCGGAAGTGGAAGAAGATGTAAGGGAAAGCAGGATTGTTACTACACTGAGCGTCAACCAGGAACTCAACATAGAAGGGCCCCTGTTTGTCCTCTCATGATTCCTTAAGCCTTAGTGCTTATTTAGTTAAAGGGCTCTTGAGTATTTCAATGAAATATTTGGGGATCCTTCTGCCCTCTTTCATCTGTAAATATGTTGTTTATGTTTGCAAGCTTTCTCAACAGGAGCCACCAGACATAGCCACTTAGATACAATCTTACAAATGCCCGTCCCAGCACATTAAAATACTACATGCAGGAGAGAAAAAAATGACAATATTTCACTCTGGTGATTCTCTAACTCTATGTAGACAGAGGCAAGTGTTTACCCAATTCTCTGCCTCAGCAATAGCTCTGACATGTGTTTATCTCCTTCATGGATACTCATCCACTGTCCAGCAAGGCCACCATCATCCCTGTCTACTGGGATCAGTATAGGATCTTCACAGCTGCACTTCCCTGAATCTGTCTTGCATTCTCCATATCCTTCCCAGCAGTCCCATGTCTCTATAAATGCAAATCTCACTCTCTCACTCCCCCGGTACAAATTCTTTATTGGGTTCTATTTGTGCAATCAATAAATTATGAGGTCTTGATGAGGAATGAAGGCACAACAGGTCTTCTGATCCTTGGCATGAGAACTCTTCAGTCCTATCTGTTTTCTCATCCTCCTCTCTTCCCTCCACTTTCCCCCTCTATAGCATTCGCCCGTAAACCCCAATCAGAGTCACAATATCTTCCCCCAATTCGGCTTACCTTCATCTAAGTCCTGAGCTGAGCTGAAGGCCAGCAGGGCCACTGACAGCAGAATCAGAAGCATCTTGCAGAAGGCTCTGGTGTCACTCCCAACTTTATGCTGGGAGAAACGTGTCAGCTCCCTTTATAAAGACAAGCAGGACAATGGCGCATTTGAGCTCCCTACCAGGTGGGCCTCCTCGCCTCAGAGACTGGGTTCTGCTTTGCTTACTTCAGGTCAAGTGTATCCCTCATTTCTTCTGGGACTCTAGCCTAGCAGGAAGGGTTGGGGAGGATGTTGTTTGTGGCTAATTTCTAAAAGGTACAACTATGACTTGGACAAATGTTTTGACGGAACTGTGTCCAAGCAATCAGCACAGTGTCAGGATTGAACTTTAGACATCATTTGTTTTTCAATCTGTTTGGAAAGACTGCTATTCTGCTTTCCACTGTGCTTTTCATTTGTGTGTATGTGAGTTTGTGTGGGTGTGTCAGGGGGTTGGGCAGCAATCCTACAGCTAACAGTGAAGACGGTCAATATGTCTGACTCTTTTGATAGCCTATTTCCATCTCTCATGATGTGTGTGCATGGATATTTGTATATTTAGCTAAATTTTTCATGTAATAGAGATGCTTTCTGCTTATCCGTGAGTTGTGTGAGGACAGCACACTGCTGGGTACACATAGATGACAGAAGGCTGCCCCGCAGCCTCCTCATGCTACAGGAAATTTCCAAACTCTGTGAATCTCACTACACTCAGGCAAGCGTTGGTGCTGTACAATACAGGAAAGCTAAAAAATTTGTATTTTAAAAAATATCTTTAGGGATTATTAAAGCAAAACTGAACACAGAAACCACCAAGGAATTTCTAGACCTAAACAAACTGAAACATGGTTCCCAAAGTGAGCCACACGATGTCATGTAGCTAAGACCTCCACTTTCTCCAGAATATTCTATAGAATTCATCATCTACTTTATTTCTTCTAACAAATACCGTAGTCTTCACCACTAATAACTAAGTGGCCATACTTATATATTCAACTTGATGATTTGTAATGCCTGTTCAAGCCTCAAATGCCTTGATTGGTCTTCTGTTTTTTACTCAGTATTTATGTCACCAGTTTCATCAGAGTTTTCTTTCACAAAGATGATTTTTTCTATGATATTCTAATACTAATTCTTTCTCATTCTCTTTCTTACATTCATTTGTTGATATTTTATATGCTGAGACTACCTTGTCGTTTGTAATTTTCTTCCTATATAGTTTTTTTCTCCCCACATGACTTGTGGGAGATGACATTTATTTAATCTTCTAAGCAATGGTGTATGGTACTCCTCACTATCTTTATTTTCATTTTTGTCTCTACAATTGGACAATAAACTATTAAGTTTCTGAAAAATCCTTCCAGGGTCCTGGATTGGTACTCCTCTTCTCAGCTGCTGATTGCTCTGTGATACCTAGAAATTCCCTGTTCCTCAATTCATAAAATATACTACTCGGTATCACCAGCTGCACTTTCCATTTCAGACCTTGTGTAGGCCTTGTGTAATTTTTCACTTTTTGTGCACGGCTAGTGTTTATTTGAGGATAGCTTGGTTGGAGGCATGGCTGAGAGGCCATGTGACAGAAAATCATAAAGACAAGGCCCTAGACAGATGTGCATGGGTGGATCCTGTACTGTGCATACGAGGGTCTGGTCTGGCCCTTCTGAAGAGTTGCAGATAACAAAACAAGAAGGCTTCCTAATAGATTAGATTTTTCTACAGACAACAATGTTCTCATAAGGGACCCAGGCAGACTGATATTTTCCCTGAAATAAATATAGACATATTTGAAGTGGGAATGCATTCTTAATTGGCAATTCTTCTCTGGCCCTGTGGAAACTGGATCAGTTTTAGCTGGGCTTGATGGGTTGTATCTTAGGCACAGGGTAGGTGCTTAAGCCAAGCAGCTCCCAGTGGGTTACTGGGATTATTTTCTTTGGTTTCACCAGATACTGTTTTCCATTAGACCTGGAGATGAGCAGTCCTGCCTTGGTGATTTCAGGTCAACCATCATGTCAAAAAGGAAGGCCAGAGAAAGGGAACAAAGAGGGGTGCCAGACAGATATTGCCTGATGATGTGGGTAACGGAGAAAGCTGCAAGCCTGGTGAAAGACAGATTTCTCCTTGGCAGCAGAGTACAGGAAAAGAACAGGAAATGCTCCTAAAGGTCGCTCAGCTCAGGTCCCTTCCATGACCTTCTCCAATGTCAACAATCAGCAAAAGAGACTAGCATATCAAGAAAGTATAAATACCAGCTATGCTCTCACCAGCCAAATCAAAAGAAGGGGTGATGGAAGAGCTGAAAGGGACACTGTCTGGGAGTGAGTGTGGGTGAAAGGGAGAAGTAGGACTGCTGCAGGAGCTTGGGCACCTAGAGTGGGTGGCAGCCGTCAACAACACAATTCCCTTCTACTATGGATGTTCACATTCTGAGGTCCTGAAGCATCAGTCTTCAACATATGAAATTTTAGGATTCATCTTTCATAACACATCCCAACTTTTTCTCTGTTACTCACAGGTGTTTACCTAGTGGTTCAAAAATCCTCACTCCCTCCAGGCACTACCCATTAGCTTATCTAATTTCTTCCACCTTCAAAATACATCTCAAATGTGTCCACTTGCATGATCTTTACTAGAAGCTTGTTGTTCGGCCCACAATGCTCTCTCCTGGAGGTCTTTAACAGCCTCGACCTGGTCCTGGTAACATTCTTCCCCCAGTACATCCCATATCAGTTCCCTCACGACAATCAGAGTGATCATTTAAAAGTAGAAATTAGATCATATCACCCTTGTGCTTCAAACCCCTTGTTTTTCCTTCTGGACTTACAATAAGGTCCAAATTTCATGACTCAGCTCTTTCACACCCACATGACTAAATCTTTTTTGAAGACCCGGAAGCTCTCTGAATGGAATATAAAGTAGGATCTTCTTCAACTTCACCTTGCTCTAGTTTGCCTGGAATACTGAAGGATGGTTTGCCAGGAAAGATGAACATTGGCAGAGGGGATAAACTTCTCCGAGAGTGAGTGAATTGCATTGAGTTGCTTGTCTGGCAGTTTATGTACATTGGAAGAATTATTGTATTCACTGTATCAACTAAGCAGTCTGATAATACAGTTAGCAAATAAACACAATGGTCTCTGAGACTTCAACTTTGCTTTGACTTGTCTAAAAACTTTGGTTTCACTATCATGGTAATCATCTATATTTTTTAATTTGATGTTGATGACCTATTAATATATATTATACATTTCACAATTAATTATCATATTTCTATTCTTTCCACCTATCCTAGCCAAATTGGTTATAATAGAAAACATTTTTAAACATTTACTATGTTCCACTTAATCATCAAAACCATTATATTAGGGACATATGATTGTTATCATTACCTTAGTTTTATAGATGACATGACTTAGGTACATAACAATGTTCTTATAAAGGTATTAAGTGGAATAGAAGGCAGTCAGTACTCAGAGTTTAGTGTGCACCACTACTCACTTGCTATTCATTTATTCATTTCATTATTACAATATGAGAAGGAATGAGGTTCAGAAAAGAAACATAAGTTCTGTTATTAGGAGATTATCAAGGTTAAGCTTTCCTAAGACTTTAACAGGTGAGGTGAAAAATATATTTTTCCTGAGGAAATAAGTTTGTTTTAAATCATAAGCACATTTACGTAGGCTTCCATTCACCTGTTTTCCTCCTTGCCTTCATATAAAGATACTCATACAAATTTATTCGTTTTTTGTGATTATGAAAACCCAGTCAATGTAGATCCTTTATGTGCTTTCTTAATACAAGCCACATGCATTTTTCTGCTGAGCCATATTAGCATTGGCAAAACTTGAGCCTGTCCTTTGAAATGAACCAAAAATGTTGATTCTCATCACAATGAATGTAAAATTTTAGAAGTCCAAGAGAGAGACTGGCCTGAGATTTGTGTATGAAGGGATAAATTTGTATACCACTTGCACAGATTTCAGTCTTCTGCCTGAGAGTGCCCCTGTGTCCTGGCCCCAGAGCTGGTGTTACCAAAACAGGTCCGGGTCATTGATATTATTACTAAGGTGTTATCTGAGCTCATGGTCTCATGACCAAGAAAATTAAGGAGTGTGGACACAAAAGGGTGAGGTTGGAGCAAAAGTTTAATAAGTGAAAGAAGAAAGCTCTCTGCAGTGGAGAGGGGAGTCAGAGTGGATTGCCACTTTTACAGTTGAATCCACAAGCTTTTATGAGAAACTGCTCTCCAACACATTCAAAAGCTAGCAGACAGCAAGAAACAACTAAGATCAGAGCAGAATTGAAGGAGATAGAGACACAAAACACCCTTCAAGAAATCCATGAATCCAGGAGTTGGTTTTTTTGAAAAGATCAACAAAATTGATAGACCAGTAGCAAGACTAATAAAGAAGAAAAGAGAGAAAAATCAAATAGACCCCCCAAAAAATGATAAAGGGGATATCACCACTGATTCCACAGAAATACAAACTACCATCAGAGAAAACTATAAACACCTCTATGCAAATAAACTAGAAAATCTAGAAGAAATGGATACATTCCTCGACACATACACCCTCCCAAGACTAAACCAGGAAGAATTTGAATCCCTGAGTATACCACTAACAGGCTCTGAAATTGAGGCAATAATTAATAGCCTACCAACCAAAAAAAGTCCAGGACCAGACGGAATCACAGCCGAATTCTACCAGAGTTACAAGGAGGAGCTGGTACCATTCCTTCTGAAACTATTCCAATCAGTAGAAAAAGAGGGAATCCTCCCTATGTCAGCCATTGAGTTGGATCATTGTAGATGTTCATCCCATTTGAGCCTTCAGATGACTGTGGTCCCATCCCTTATCTGATGGCAACTACATGAAATACCACAATGAGAGACTATCCACTAAGTCCAGGCAATTCACAGAATCGTGAGGAAAAAAGTAATAAACTGCTGTTTTAAGCCTGCAATTTGGGGAATGATTTGTTATATAAAAATAGAAACTTAGAATAGATGGAGAAATGAGGCTGGGCTCCGTGTCTCACGCCTGTAATCCCAGCACTTTGGGAGGCCGAGGCGGGTGGATCATGAGGTCAGGAGATGGAGACCATCCTGGCTAACACGGTGAAACCCCGTCTCTATTAAAAATACAAAAAATTAGCTGGGCGTGGTGGCAGGCGCCTGTAGTCCCAGCTACTCGGGAGGCTGAGGCAGGAGAATGGCGTGAACCCAGGAGGCGGAGCTTGCCGTGAGCTGAGATCGCACTCCAGCCTGGGCGACAGAGCGAGACTCCGTCTCAAAAAAAAAAAAAAAAAAAAAAACAGATGGAGAAATGAATAAAAAGAACTTATCACTTTAATCTCAAAGCAAAAAAAGAGTGAAAAGAGAGTGATAACTAGCAAAATTTTAATAAGACAGTAAAAGCAAGTTCAATGTTATCAGAAATGTTCATGAATTTAAATAAATTTGCTTGATCTATCAAAAGACAGAGAATAAATAAGAAAACAAAACACGACTATGTTCTGCTTTCAAGAGGCATACCTAAAGCAGAAAACCACAGTGACAGAAAATAAATGGGTAGAATCTACCACTAACTAATGAGCACAGTAACTGCTACTTATGCCTAATGTCTATTATCCTATCATTTGTTGGTGATAGAATCACACTATTCCCTTGGACAATTTGTGCCACAAAAACTTTCCTATGTATTTTTTAGTTATGTGAAAGATAGATGCTCTTCCACATGCATATATTCAATTGCTTGTTTATATTTGTCATATTTAACTGAATTATAACTAATAATCACATAACATTTAAAGTAAACAACAGTAACAGTTAAAGACAGGTGATTACAGAGTAGTAAGAATAAAACAATTCATCGAAGGCTGGGCATGTTGGCTCACGCCTGTAATTCCAGCACTTTGGGAGGCCAAGGCGGGCAGATCACCTGAGGTCAGGAGTTCAAGACCAGCCTGGCCAATGTGGTGAAACCCCCATCTCTACTAAAAATACAAAAAAATTAGCTGTGCATGGTGGCGTGTGCCTGTAATCCCAGCTACTCAGGAGACTGAGGAAGGAGAATTACTTGAACCTGGGAGGCAGAGGTGGCACTGAGCCAAGATCACACCATTGAACTCCAGCCTGGGCAACAAGAGCAAAACTCTGTCTCAAAAAAAAAAAAAAGGGCCGGGCGCGGTGGCTCACGCCTGTAATCCCAGCACTTTGGGAGGCCGAGGCGGGTGGATCATGAGGTCAGGAGATCGAGACCATCCTGGCTAACAAGGTGAAACCCCGTTTCTACTAAAAATACAAAAAATTAGCCGGGCGCGGTGGCGGGCGCCTGTAGTCCCAGCTACTCGGGAGGCTGAGGCAGGAGAATGGCGTGAACCCGGGAAGCGGAGCTTGCAGTGAGCCGAGATTGCGCCACTGCAGTCCGCAGTCCGGCCTGGGCGACAGAGCGAGACTCCGTCTCAAAAAAAAGAAAAAGAAAAAATTCATGGAAAAGATGCAATAATCATGAATTTGGACATACCTAACAATGCATTACGTAAATAGATAAAGCAGAAGCCTCACAAACAGAAACTGAAGAATCCACAAATAATAAGAATGTAAGACACACTTAATAAACTGCCATATCAAGCAGAAGAAAGAATGATATGGAATATTTTAAGAATGCAATTAGCAAAAATTAATTCAATACTTTTATGTAGAAATCTGTACTTGACAGAAATCTGGACACAAACATTCAAATACACATGAAACATTTACACACCTAAACCATGTACACTATAACAAAGAACAGATTCCATGGAATAAGTATTACGTAGAATGTAAAGTAGTAAAATGTTAAATCAATCAAAAAAGTTTGAAAATTGAACTATTCTCTATAACTGAGAAAAAGATGAACATTTCTACATAAAAGATAAATGTTTAGAACTCAGCAACGAAAAAGCTTTTCACAATCAAAATGAAAAAACCGGCTAAAGCTAAGAATCCATATCCATTAGTACATGTTTTATAAAAAAGTTTTCCAGATGAATGAGGCACATATTCACCTTCAGTTAAGAAAAATGAACAACAGAAAAATTTAAAGAAGGGTGAATAAGTTAAGAAGGAGCTAATATGTACCTTGCGCTTACTTAGTACATGGTACTGTTCTAGGTGGTTTAGGTGTGCTATTTATTTTATATTTATTCCTAAAAACAGTCTCATTCCCTTTGGTTTTTAAAGAATCAGAGGCATGACAGGGTGCTGTGGCACCTGCCTGTAATCCCCGAACATTGGGAGGTCAAGACAGGTGGATGCTTGAGTTCAGGAGTTCGAGACAAGCCTGGGCAATATGGTGAGACCCCACTGCCCTCTACAAACAATACAAAAATTAGCCGGGTATGGTGGTGCACCTTTGTAGTCCCAGCTACTAGGGAGGCTGAGGTGGAAGGATCACTTGAGCCTGCGAGGTCAAAACTACAGTGAGCCAAGATCGCACCACTGCACTCCAGCCCCGGGTGACAGCGTGAGACCTTGTCTCAAAAACTAAACAAACAAAAATCCAAGGGATAGCAAGGTTAAGTAAATTTCCCAAGTCATAGACTCAGCAAAAGGAAAAGTTAGAATTTGTCTGAAGGGCAGTAATTATGCTTTTGGATGTCAACCAAAATCAAAGTAGTAAATAAATAAATGAATGAATAAATAAATAGAAAATCAAAATATAATAGACAATGGTAGTACAACCAAAATCTTTTAAAGATTAGGAAATTCAAAAGTCTGATGGTACTGATCAAGAAATACGAGAAGCAGAAAAATTGATGAAATGTAGAAAATACTAAATAGCAGAGCTTTATATAATCAAAGTTCTAAATAATTTTATTCCAAAATTTAAAAACTCAGTTGAAATTGCCAAGTTTTTAAAAAGCATAGGTTAACAAAAATTTATATTAGTAGTAAAAAACTTTAATAAATCAACAATTTCAAAGATTTTGAATGGACTATCAAAATATACACAAGATATCAAATTCAGATGGATTTATAAAAAACTTTTACTAAGTTTAAAAATGTCATAATTTTTACCTTCTCCAAACTACTTCAGTGAACCTAAATGTTTTATTCTCATTTATTTTAAGAAGTTAAAAAATTATTCTCAAAGTGAGTAAAAACAGTAGAGGACAGCAAATAATGAGAAGGTAGGCAATTAGATACAGGCACAAAACTGCTAAAAAAAAGTGTAAAAGTAAATTAGTCTCATAATATATACTTAAAATATATTACAAATGAAAAGATTCATTCTAAGAATTTGAAGATAATTTAAAACTAGAAAGTAAATAATTTTAATTTACATAAAATTATCTCAACAGATGTTGCAAAAATGTTTAATCTAATTTAACTCCTAATCAAGATAAATACCCAAACCAAGTTTAAATAGAAGCAACATTTAATAACTTGTATGTCTACTAAACAAATACAGAAGCATAGTTATTAGTGTAACATAGAGCTTTTCATTTAATCAAGATTAAGACAAAGATACTTGTTTATTGACAATTTCGTTAGGTCATTTAACTAATACACTTTGACAAAAATATTGTTACATAGAAATTTGGATGGAAATTTAAAGAAATTATATACTAATAGTAGTAATTCCACCTAGATAATTTAAAAATCAACAGGAAAACTTTTGAAATAACACAAATTTGATAAGCTTGCTGAGTACAATATCAATATATATGGGCTAAAATTACACCTATTCACCAGCACTGGTCCATTAAAATGTGGAATTAAAAAAATTCCCTTTCTTATTACAAATAAGAACTATATTTTGATTATGACTAAGTCTCAGAAAAGTGTTTCATGATGTTATATATTGTGAAATTACATAACTATAATACTTTAGTGAAGGATTTGAACTATATAGATATGCAAAAATTAATTTTCAAAGACATTGATTATGCTCAAATTAATTCACATATTCAATATAATTCTAACCAGAATCTTAAAGAAATTTATTTTCAAATTGACAAAACAGTCCTAAATTACACATGAATTAAGTATTCAAAAATAATTCAGACAATTCTTGAAAAAGAAAATTAAGGTAGGGGTATCCAGTAGATAGCAAGACTTATTTAAATTATTTATTTAGTGGCTCATACTTGTAATCCCAGCATGTTGGGAGGCTGAGATGGGAAGATCACTTGAGTTAAGGCATTCAAGACCCACTTGAGCAACACAGTGAGACCTTGTCTCTAAAAGCATCAAAAAAGTAGCTGGGTATAGTGGCAACTGTAGTCTTAGCTACACAGAGAATCAAACAGGAGGATTGTTTGAGCCCAGGAGGTCAAGGCTGAAGTGAGCCTTAATTGAGCCACTCCAGCCTGGGCTACAGAGCAAGACTCTGTCAGGAAAAAAAAAAAAAAGATTAAAAAAATTTTTTTAATATTTTTTGAGACAGAGCAAGACCGTGTCTCAAAAAAATTATTAAAAAAATCAAAACAATGAAGGTTGTGACACAGAAATAAAATGTATATAATAAGTAATAGGTCAGCAGATCAAACTAAAGACAGGTCTGGTGAGACCAGATTGTTTATTCTTATCACATAGGAACCTCCGTACGTGATAGATTTGGCATTAGAAATCAACAAAAAAAAAACGTAGACTGTTCAACTAATGATATTGAGACCTCTGTCATTTAATATTGGGACAAAATTGTATTTCTAACTCACAACAAACAGAAAAACTACATTAGATGTACTATCACTTTAGATTTGAAAACAATTCTTTAAAACTTTTACAAGAAAATCAAAATAAGACTCTACTGCCTTTAATTTGAGGAAGCACATGTCATTAAGGAAAAGACTGATGAGTTCACATTTGCTGATAAAAATAATATAATCTGTCCATCCTAAGTTAGGTGTCCAACAAATAGTTACATGTCTATCCTCTCACCTTTCATGTCCTCCAACACTTCTCTTTAAAGAGTGGCATAGAATAACATCATGAAAGAATGAGGAAACTCCAGTGCAACAAAAAAATTATAGAGTTTATAAATATCTTTTTTTGTTTACAAATATATTGTGTGAGATAGATTTTTCCATCTTAAATATGTGAAGAAAAATTAACCCTGCAATAATTAGTATTGTAACAACAATATTGCAATTTGAAATAAGACAAATGTGTAACATACTTCTTCTTCCAAAGTAAATAAGAGGATTAAATATAGAATTGAAAAAGTAAACAATCAAACAGAGAAAATACCAAGAATTGTTTTGTAATCTTGAAAGTTGGGAAGACATGTTTAAACATGATATTAAAGGCAGAGTACATTTAAAATGAATGCATTTAATAGCATGACTGGAAGAATTTCTGAATGCCTCAAGAAAATAAATATAGAAAGGTAAATAATAGATTAAAAACTTTAAAGTCTATTTGCAATATAAACAGTAGAAAAAAATTTAATACTTTTACTGTTTTATAAAAAAGATAAAAATAATTTTAAAAACCAGATTATCATATATAAAAAATTCAGCCTCACATTTAAACAAAAACGTAAGTTTAGTATAGTACTATGGTAAAATGAATAACAAGTGCTCTATTTTGCATTTCAAATTGGCCACATTTTGCTTTTGTAAATTGTTACATAGAATTATAATGTGTGCAAAGTTACGAGCAGTCTCGTTTAATGCTAGTGAGAGCTTACATTGGTGCATGCATTTTGTAGGGGACTTTGTCAATATTAATAAAAGTCTTAAATGTTTATATAGATTATAACCTGCTTTTTGGACTTCACCCATTTCTACGACTTCATCTTACAAATAATTGGAGATTTCACCACAGAGTTTTGTCTTAGTCCATTTTATGTTGCTATAAAAGAATACCTGAAGTTGGATAATTTATTTTTTTTTGCATTTTTGATCATGTGGATCTTTTAAAAATGTATTATTTATTTATTTATTAAGTTCTGGGGTACATGTGCAGGATATGCAGGTTTGTTACATAGGTTAATGTGTGCCATGGTGGTTTGCTGCACCTATCAACCTATCACCTAGATATTAAGCCCAGCATGCATCAACTCTTTTCTCTAATGCTCTCCCACCCCCGTCCTGCCCCAACATGCCCGCTAAGTGTTGTTCCCCTCCCTGTGTCCATGTGATCTCATTGTTCACCTCCCAATTATAAGCGAGAACACGTGGTGTTTGGTTTTCTGTTCCTGCATTAGTTTGCTGAGGATAATGGCTTCCAGCTTCATCCATGTCCCTGCAAAGGACATGATCTTGTTCCTTTTTAAGGCTGCATAATATTGAAGCTGGACAATCTATAAAGACCTAATGTTTCTGCAGGCTGGGAAGTTCCAAAAGCAGGCACTGATATCTGCTCAGCTTCTGGTGAGGGCTTTCCAGCTGTATCTTGACATGGCAGAAGGTCAAAGGGGAAATGGACATGTGTGAAGAGGCAAAACCTGAGGAGCCTTCTGACACTGTGACCACTCAGTCTTGCAGAAACATTTCCATGAACACGAATTCAGTCAGAAGAGAACAAGAACTGACTCAGTACTGCTGGTTTTGAGTTCATTCCTGCTACTGAATTCAGAAATGTCCTGCCAATGCCATTCTTCAACATCCTGTTAGTCTCCTAATTGGGGACTGTAATGTGTACATAAATTGAAGTTTAGGGTGAAGCAACAAGTGAAAACAGTGAAAGGAAAACTGTCCGTAACTGCATCTGAGAACACTAGACTTCACTGGGTATTCTTTTGAATATGGAAAGTTATCACCTGTGGCTCTTATAAAAAACTAAAATATTTGTTAGTATGAAAATTGCCAGCTGAATCATTTGAAAAATGATTGCTCTGATTTCATAAAGATCAATATGACATGATCCTACAGAAGAACTGATTTTAATGTAATTAACAACAAATTAACAATGAGCAATGGAATTAATGGACATAGCAAGAGAGAAGTACTGAAACAATAAATATTAAATATTTAATCCCTTAATTATTGTATTAATCCCTTAGTTGAAAATAAAAAAAATTATAAAATTAGGAATTTTTCTCTCTGAAGAGAAGCCAGGTATAGAGGAGGACATTTTCATGGTGGTATTAACTATGGAATTCATCACTGACTTAATTGGCAAGGAACAGGATATCTGCTTCAATGACCTCATTCTCACCAGCTTATCTCATACGTACAAATATATACATATCTGTATATATGAGTCTCACCCATGTATACATATATTTAAATGTATACATATATATGAGTCTCACTGTCACCCAGGCTGACTGGCAGTGGCATAAGCATGGCTCACTGCAGCCTGGGCCTTCCGGGCTCAAGCAATCCTTCCATCTCAGCCTTCTAAGTAGCTGGGACTACAGATGTGCACCACCATGCCCAGCTATTTTTTTTATTTTATTTTATTTTATTTTATTTTATCTTATTTTATAGAGAGGTGGTCTTTTTATGTTGTTCAGGCTGGTCTCAAACTCCTGGGCTCAAGATATCTTCCCATTTTGGCCTCCCAAAATGCTGGGATTAGAGGTGTGAGCCACTGTGCCCGGCTCAAATATATTTGTTGATGATAACACTAATCCATTTCTGTGGCACTTTTTTTCAGGTATTTATAGCACCAGTAAAATGGGGAGAATGATAGTTTGCTTGGGTTTCTGAATGGTCCTTTTGCATATTTGTTTACCACCTACCTCTATTTTTCACTGTCTTGGTGAGAGCCCATTCCTTCCACCAACTCTTTTCATAGCTAACATGACAGTTTATGTGGTTGTTACTGTTATTTTCTATGGTTCTCTATCTGTGGCAGGTCTCCCTTAAAGACAAGGAAATGTTCTGAGTTGGGGGAAGAATATAAGTCTCATTAAAAAAGATGTAATTTTAGAACTAGGAAAAAAAGTGTAATCTTCAAGAGATTCTCATATTGTCTGTGAGCTCCCATTTGTCTCATAATATGTTAAACTGCATCTCTGGAACAGGGTTTGATATGGTTTTTCTGTGTCCCCATCCAAATCTCATCTTGAATTGTGGCTCCCGAGTAATTCCCATGTGTCATGGGGAGGAACTCAGTGGGAGGCAACTGAATCGTGGGCGGGTCTTTCCCATGTTGTTCTTATGATAATGAATAAGTAATTCTCATGAGATCTGATGGTTTTATAAAGGGGAGTTGCCTTGCAAACTCTCTCTTGTCTGCTGCCACGTAAGATGTCCCTTTCCTCTTTCTTTGTCTTCCACCATGATTGTGAGGCCTCCTCAGCCATGTAGAACTGTGAGTTCATTAAACCTCTTTCCTTTATAAATTACTTAGTCTTGTGTATGTCTTTATTAGCAACATGAGAACAGACTAATACAGGGTTTTAGCTCAACATGTGTTAATAAGGTCAACTAAGGCACACTAAAGTTTTTTAAAAGTTTATTTGCAAATGATGGTTCATAAATTGGAAAGCTCCAAACTGAGGTGGTTCCGGAGCTCTACCGAGGGAACGCGATGGGGATGCTTTTATAGGACAGACAAAGAAGAAAAGCAAAGACAGGACAGATGAAATAAGGTAACTTTATAGCTAACCAATCAAATGTTTGGCTATCCTGTTGGCTGTCTTTGATTGGTTGAGTTTAAGTTCTGTTTTTCTTTACTATAGGCATTTATAAAAAATAGCTCAAGTTAATTTTTGCTTACTTTTGTAAATCAATCAGTTTTAAGGTCATATGAGACCTAACTGGCTTTGTCTGCCTAGGGATTCTTCAGACCTGGCCTCCATTTTAATATACTTTGACACGTGTGACCTAGTTTGGGTTGGCATTTCTTTCAGAAGCACAATTTTTTAAGAAACTCAATTTTTTAGTCTACTTAATTCCTGTCAGCTTCACATACAAGCAAACAAGTCACAGTTTTTGTCTAGTCTGCTGCTTCTTATATTTGCTGTGTTTTGTTGCTTTTTCACCCCTCTGCTTTTCTCTCTGGATTTAATATCAGATACTTTGAGCATTGTAAGGCTTCATTCAGGAAACCAGATATTTAATCACTCTGCCTTGATATTACCTTGTCAAACTGAAAGAGCAGTAACTGTCAGTTGAACCTTTTTCTGTAAATATAATCTAGTCAGAATTTTTAACATGGATGTAACAACCATACCCTTGAGATAATCCTAGTCTTAAGGCTGAGTTTTTTTGTTTGTTTGTTTTTTGTTTTTTTGAGACGGAGTCTCACTCTGTGGCCCAGGCTGGAGTGCAGTGGCATGATCTTGGCTCACTGCAAGCTCTGCCTCCTGGGTTCACACCATTCTCCTGCCTCAGCCTCCCAAGTAGCTGGGACTACAGGTGCCCGCCACCATGCCAGGCTAATTGTTTGTATTAATAGTAGAGATGGGGTTTCACCGTGTTAGCCAGGGTGGTCTCGATCTCCTGACCTTGTGATGCACCTGCCTTAGCCTCCCAAAGTGCTGGGATTACAGGCGTGAGCCACCGTGCCCAGCCATGGCTGAGTTTTAACCAGGCTTAGAAACTCAAATACTATTCAGTGTTGAGAAGCAGTTGCCTCTTCCAGCTCTGCAAAATCTCAAGTTTCTAGACTCTTCTTTCTGATATATTTTTTTCCTGCTTGCAAAGTAGTATAAAATTGTCAGAATCAAAATGAAGTCACTTGTGTTAAAACTCTGACAAATGGAGCTGGAGAAGGCCATGAGGGGAGAGTTCTTAATGTAAATACGACTTATAACAAGAGCTACCAGAAAAGACTCTACAAAACAACAACATTGCACAAAGGCCACTGCAACCCTACACAAAAAGATACTTCTGCAAGGACATCTGCTCAGAACCTCCTTGTCTAACCTTAGACAGGTGTCACCCTTGTTCCTGATCCTTGGATCCAAGGTTAATTATCTCAAAACAATTATGTAATCTTCCTCTTTTAGAAATCCTTGTCTTTTCTAATGTCCCTGAATACACACATAATTTACTATGGCACATGTATTCTCATTGCAATATTACTCCCAAATAAATATCATTTTCTTTTAGAGCATCTCCCTCTGTTTGCTATTTAGCTAGACAGTAGGCAATTATTTTCTAAAGTCAATTTTTTTAATTGTCAAATGAACCATTAATATATTCAATTATATTTTTTTTCTAGAGTTACAAAACTTTCAAATATGTGATTTACCTCCCACATAACCACAGGTGACTGCTATCGAATGTTTTGCCACTCCCTATCTTGTTTTACAGTAAACAGTAATGTTTTTTCTTGCCACTCACTGCCAATGAATCAAGTATTAAGCCAGTGTCACATAAGTTAGGTGTTTTGTTTTAGTAACATACCAGTTCAAGAGGCCAGTCTCATACTTGCCAAGATAGCTTAGTCTATGCTGTACTAACAAGATCCCCAAAGCTCAGGGACTCCACGTAGGAGAAGTTTTTGTTGTTTGTTTTTGTTTTTGATTTCTGTTACATGTCCTGTGCTCATAGTGGTCACAAAAGAATCCAGGCTGATAGATGGTTTATTGACCCTTGTTTGAGTGTCAAGGCAAGAAGATGAGAAATTTGCAGTCTTATAGTGGTGAGTAAATGCTCTCACTCTGAAGCAACATGTCATTTCCACAATATTTTATTGACCAAAAATTTACATAATATACAACTTCAAGGGGGAGAGGGGACTCCTACAAGACTACATTTCTTATCCTACAAGGAATAAAATGTTAGCATATAGCTCTAGGTCCCATTTTACGACCTCTATGCTATGTACAAGATATATATCTAAATCCTAATAACAAAGAGAAGTTAAAAGTAAAATTTAGAAAAATCACACCATAAAACACTAACAAAAATAAGCTAATGTAATCATTTTAATATATACTAAATAGATTTTTTTTTTTTGAGACGGAGTCTCGCTTTGTCACCCACACTGGAGTGCAGTGGTGTGATCTTGGCTCACTGCAAGCTCCACCTCCCAGGTTCCTGCCATTCTCTTGCCTCTGCCTCCCGAGTAGCTGGGACTACAGGTGCCTGCCACCATGCCCGGCTAATTTTTTGTAGTTTTAGTAGAGACTTGGTTTCACCATGTGTTAGCCATGCTGGTCTCGATCTCCTGACCTCATGATCCACCCGCCTCGGCCTCCCAAAGTGCTGGGATTTCAGGCGTGAGGCTAAATAGATTTTAAGGAAAAAGACATTAGAATAGATAATGTCACCTCATGTGAGTAGAGGTTATATTTGCCATGAAGATACTACAATTCTAACGCTCTATGCACTCATCAGCATGGCATCAAAATATGTAAAGTAAAAGTTGACAGGACTTCTAAAAGACATAGATAAACCTATACTCATAGCAGGATAGTTTAACATTAAATCTCAAGAAATAATAGAATAAAAAGACAAAACTCAGAAAAGGTAAATAGGATTTAAATAACATGATTACAAATAGATCTAGTGGATGTATGAAACACTGCACCCCAAAGCTACAGGATACACATTATTTTCAGCAAACACAAAACATTTATCAAAATTGACCATATATGCATAACATAAATTTTAGCAGAGAAAATTTTATGTAAATGGAAACTCGAACATATATTTTAAAAATAGTCTATGGTGGAAGAAAAATCACAATAAATTTAGAAAATATTTAAAATTAAGTATAATAAAATATAGTAAAACCTTGTGAGAAATGCTGAAAAATTCTAAGAGGAAAACGTATGCCAGGAATATAACAGCAAACATACTCAACGGAAGTAAAAATAATTAAATAACAATATAAGAGATGAAATTAATGAAAAATAATACATCTGAAAAGATCGACCAAGACAGACTTGAATAGACTAACAAAATAGGCAAACTTCTGGTAAGATAAATCATGAAAAGAAAAGCAAATAATATGAAGAATTTAAAGGATATATTCTGTTGGTATTAAAAATTTAATAAGATGATATTATAATCAAAATTACATGAAAACATAAATAATTGAAACTGACAAATATCTAGAAAGTCGTAACTGCCAAAACAAGACCAGAAGAAATAGGCAACGGAATGGTTCCAGATCAAGATCATAGAAATGTATGCTCATGTACTCAATAATAAGTTACATGTTAAAGAATGTTCGTAGCATCATCATCATCATAGTCTCCAAACTCAAAATAAACCAACTTTGTGTTTCCACTAGACTAGATAAATTTTGAATTGTCATTCCATTAATACTATACAGCAATTGAATAAATGATCTATCTCTATATGCAACATGATTAATTTTAGAAACATAATATTGATCAAAAATAGTTAAATTCAAAAATATTGTGTACAGTATTATTCCATTCATGTGCAATCCAAAACCAGGCAAAACCAAGCTAGTGCTTAGGGATACATATTCAAATTAAAATATACAAAGTTAAACAATAACGTGATTTGAATTGCAGATAGTTGTTACTTCTGGAATGAAGATAGGGGTTGTGATTAGAAAGGAGCAAATAAGGTGTTATGGGGTTTACAAAGTTCTCTTTCTTGCCATGGGAGGCTTTTAAATTAGTGTGCACTTTATACTATAGCATTTAAACTTCATTAAATGTTCTATATTTGTTATATGTAACAATAATAGGCAGCAAAAATGAAAAAGAGAAAAGAAATATTTCTAAACAAATGATATGAGGTTAGCTAAATCTTAATACCAAATTCTCATAGGCACAATATGAGAAATGAAAATTAAATGTCAATATTCCTTAAAAACATAGCTGCAAATATCCTAACACAACGTTGGCAAACTGCATCCATCAGTGACTTAAAAAATACTTTACATACTCAAACCTTTCATTGTTTCCTCTTCCTGCCCTTTGCCTCATTTTCCTTTTCAGTTCAGACTGCTGAAAAAGTTTTTCTGTGATGCTCCCTAGCATCTATTCTCTTTCTCTTATAGAAGTGAGAGACTACATCTCTTTGATTAAATTTATATTTTTAAATGTTTTCTCTTATGGAAACACACCAGGAAAATGCAGCTCAGAACCGCAAGCCTGTTATCCATTCTCTATGTCTTTGTCATGTGTTATATCACAAGTTCTAAAAACTGTGGTATTTTTTCATATACCAGCAAGTACAGTACCATTCCTCAGGCCTATTTGTACAGATTTGGGGTATTATCAAGTTGTGACCGGCATCCCCAAACCCTTTTCTCTAGATAGGTAGGAAGAACACCCTAAAATGAAAAAGTATAAAAGATCTCTTCAGCCCTGGGTCAAGAATGCAAATGGAAGACCACATGCCACATAGCTACATATTTAAAGGTCATAAATATACAAACCTAACAAACTGTTAAAGGAGACATTTTCTATTCTATCTTGACAAATATACCATTATAACAACAAAATAGAAAATATCTACCTATTTTAAGTTATAATTGAAACTTGCAAATCATTAAAGATGATGCAATTATTTTGTAAATTTTTTAGTACTCTGTAGATCACCCAATAAAGATTGCATGAGTAATAAAATACAAACATTCATAATTCACAAATTATATCTTTATTAAATAAAAATAGCTTTGTATTCATCTAGCTAAATGGCTACTTATTATCTTATAATCAAGATAAAGTGTTTTATTTATATTAATTTTGAATTAGACAATCTTTCTTGAGTCTCCACGTTTTCAGAATTTTGGTAATCCACTTTTTTTCGGTAGTTTTTGAAAGAGTGGGGCGGGGTGAGGAACCTTGACTCTTCACAATGAACACATTAGTCCCCGCTTATCTGCAGTTTCAGTGACCCAAGGTCAACCACAGTCCAAAAATAGGTGTGTACAGTACAGTAAGGTATCTTGAGAGAGTGAGAGACACCACACTATATATTTTAACACATTTTTTTACTTTTTATTTTTTTAATTTTTATTTATTTTAGATACAGGGTCTCCCTATGTTGCCCAGGCCGGTCTCAAACTTTTGGGCTCGAGCGGTCCTCCCGCCTCAATCTCCCAAATTGCTAGGATTACAGGGATGAGCCACAACCCCTGGCAACTTTTATTATAGTATATTGTTTTAATTGTTCTATTTTATTATTAGTTATTTTTGTAATCTTTTACTGTGCTTGATTTACAAATTAAACTTTATCATAGGTAGGTGAATACAGGAAAAAAATATATTGTATATAGAGTTTGGTACTATCTGCTGTTTTAGGCATCCACTGGGGGTCTTGGGACATAGGCCTCATGGATAAGGGGAACTAGTGTATCTATTTCTTTGCTTGGTTTTCAGTTTTGCAAGTTATGATGTAATATAGTACTGCTTTCTTTGGTAGCTGTTGCTGATTTTGTAAAATTTGTTTTTTTATCACTTTTAAGTTTAAAAAAGAAATATGAGGGGAAAAGCGGATAAAATGTGAAGGCATTTGGTGCCTATGGAGGGATGGTGGTGAGCACTGCTAAGTAGTGATGAGGCAGGGAATGAGAAAGATGGATGCTTTGTAAACGAGTTTCTCTTTAGTCACAGTATTGACCAGATCCAGCTTTAGCTCCACAAGAAATTGAGCACTCTTTTGAAATAGCATAGGTAAGTCTTTGCATATTTTATAAAGCTTCATTGGCTATGCTATTAGCCATAAAAGCTTCATTTAGCTACATATTCTATGAATCAGATTTTTATAATATTTGTACCTCAGAACTCAAGCTGGTTGAATCTAATTTTCTATGCTCAGACAAGGCAAAAAAGTACAAAACAATGAAAGAGAATATATCTTTATTTGCATGGTTGCAAATGTGAGTTTAACTTTGCTGCATAATCATCTATGAAATATTTCTGCCCATGGTGAAGACATAAATATCTTAGCTAGGGCTCAGCAGAGAAATTGAAGAAAAATAAAGATATCACCAGAACAGTTATGTGAAGATCGATCAGCAAACTTTAGAGATTTCTGCTTTGACGTTGAGCCAACAATGAAAGAAGGAGCAGAAAAAGGAGAAGGAAGAAGAACTCCACTGGACACTCAAGGATGTGAATAGCATTTTAGATCAGTGAATAACCAGCAGTGACATTAGACATTGAACTTTCTCTGTTCTGACATGGAAAGTGCCCTGCCGAGTATCTTCACTCTTGTAATAATTGCAGAATTCATAATTGGGAATTTGAGCAATGGATTTATAGTACTGATCAACTGCATTGACTGGGTCAGTAAAAGAGAGCTGTCCTCAGTCGATAAACTCCTCATTATCTTGGCAATCTCCAGAATTGGGCTGATCTGGGAAATATTAGTAAGTTGGTTTTTAGCTCTGCATTATCTAGCCATATTTGTGTCTGGAACAGGATTAAGAATTATGATTTTTAGCTGGATAGTTTCTAATCACTTCAATCTCTGGCTTGCTACAATCTTCAGCATCTTTTATTTGCTCAAAATAGCGAGTTTCTCTAGCCCTGCTTTTCTCTATTTGAAGTGGAGAGTAAACAAAGTGATTCTGATGATACTGCTAGGAACCTTGGTCTTCTTATTTTTAAATCTGATACAAATAAACATGCATATAAAAGACTGGCTGGACCGATATGAAAGAAACACAACTTGGAATTTCAGTATGAGTGACTTTGAAACATTTTCAGTGTCGGTCAAATTCACTATGACTATGTTCAGTCTAACACCATTTACTGTGGCCTTCATCTCTTTTCTCCTGTTAATTTTCTCCCTGCAGAAACATCTCCAGAAAATGCAACTCAATTACAAAGGACACAGAGACCCCAGGACCAAGGTCCATACAAATGCCTTGAAAATTGTGATCTCATTCCTTTTATTCTATGCTAGTTTCTTTCTATGTGTTCTCATATCATGGATTTCTGAGCTGTATCAGAACACAGTGATCTACATGCTTTGTGAGACGATTGGAGTCTTCTCTCCTTCAAGCCACTCCTTTCTTCTGATTCTAGGAAACGCTAAGTTAAGACAGGCCTTTCTTTTGGTGGCAGCTAAGGTATGGGCTAAACGATGAGAAACTCACAATTTCATAAGCCATTCAGACCACAGATTATTGAATATTGCAGACAGAAACAGGAGTCTACAAGGAGTTTAAAAGATATTTTATGCTTCCCCTGGTTTCTTTTATTGTGAAGGTCACTGTAAATGTTTTAAATTCTTCTCTATAATAGCATCTTACCTAAGAATATTATGTATTTATGACATGTATTTCTACATTATTAGGAATTTGAAACTTATTTGAGGAAATTATTGGCAGATTCTATTGTAAATTAAAAACATATACTACAGCATACTTAGATGTTAATTGTAAATCTACAATCTTTTGTTTGGCAATGGCTCTTCAATTCTAAATCATTCATTGAGATGGGTGATTTAGGTAATTATTTTATTATCTCAAGTACTCCTATTTAAATGGTGAGCTACAGATAATTAGAACAGTTATTTGGAATAGAATTAGGGAAGTTTGGACTTGCCACTATTACTATACTGATGTGTTGAGAGAATTGAGAGGGTTAAAAAGTTTAATATGAGTAACTGCCACATAAAAAGATAACGGTTTTTTAGTAATTATATTGTATGTATGTGTACATACATATTTTACATTATGCCTTTTAAAGTAAATATTATTGAGGTATAATTTACATATAATAAAATGCAACATGTTAGTCCACATTTCAGTTAGAGTTTTGACAATGTATACACTTGTGTGACCACAATGTCAGTGCCCTTTGCAGTTTACCCTCTCCCCTCCAGCCCTTTTTCCCAAGCAACTACTTATCTGCTTTTGGTAACAATAAGAGAGTTTTTGATTTCTAGAATTTTATGCATCTATATATCTATAGATATAGATATATAGATGCCATATATACACACACACACACACACATACAGTTATAGAGTGTGTATTGTTATATGTGAGGCTTCTTTAACTCAGCATAATGTTTTTGAAGTTCTTCTGTTTTGTTGTATTAATCAGTAGTTTGTTCCTGAGCAGTGTTCCTGAGTAGTGTTGGATATACCACATTAAAAAATTTCTCTTTCCTGTTAATGAACATTCAAATGGTTTTCAATTATTGGCCATTATAAATAAAACTGATATCAACATTCATGTATTTCTCTTCTTCTGGATATACAATTTCCTCACTCTTGAGTAAATACCTATGAGTAAAAATGTCAAATCATATGATAAGTGTATGTTTAACTTAAGAAAAAACTGCCAGAGTTCTATAGAGTGGTTGCACCATTTCATACTATTGCCAGCAATATACGAGTGTTTCAGTTATTTCACATTCTGGCCAACAGTTGGTAGGTACTCTGTTTTGTTTTCTATTTTGGCCATTCTAGTCAGAATGTAATGGCATCTCATCATAGTTTTAATTCACATTTTCCTAATGGCTAGTGAGGCTGATGATTTTTTCATATGCTTTGGGTCATTCATACAACCTCTTTTTATGAAATGTTTGTTTAAACCTTTTGCCAACTACTTAGCTTGATTCATTGCTTTCTGTTTTTATTACTGAGTTGTAAATGTTCTTTATATAGTCTCTGTATTAGTCCATTTTCATGCTGCTGATAAAGACATACTCAAGACTGGGTAACTTATAAAGAAAAAGAGGTTTAATTGACTGACAGTTCCACATGGCTGGAAAGGCCTCACAATAATGGCAGAGACAAAAGTCACGTCTTACATGGTGGCAGTGAAGAGAGAATGACAGCCAAGCGAAAGGGGAAACCCCTTATAAAAACATCAAGTTTCATGAGACTTATTCACTACCATGAGAACAGTATGGGGGAAACCACCCCCATCATTCAATTATCTCCCACTGAGTCCCTCCCATAACACATGGGAATTATGGGAGCTACAATTCAAGATGAGATTTGGGTGGGGACACAGCCAGACCATATCATTCTGAATATAAGTTCTTTATCAGACATATGTTTTATAAATATTTTCTGCCAGCCAGAGGCTTGTCATTTCATTTTCTTTACAGTGTCTTTCAAAGAGAGGACATTAAAAACTTTTAATGAAGTTCAATAATCAACTATTTTCCTGTAAGAAAATTATTTTTAACTTTTTTTGCTTTCAAAACTCAAAGATATTTTATGGAACAGTTGGAATAAATATTTGCAATAAGGCACAGTTATCCTTGAGTATAAGGACAGAAAGCCTAATTTCATTTTCTCTGCTGTCAGAACAGGTTCTTTGGTGATACCACATGCATTTTTAGTAACCTGTTTCAATAGTACTATCTACTTGAGCATTCTCATTTTCTCTCTTTTATTTTCTTTTTAGAAAGGACCTCCCAAATGGGTTTGCTTAAAAGTTAGGTAAGTGAGAGGAGTAGTATGATCATTTTTATCATTAATTTCTCTGAACTCTCTTGTAGTTTATTTACCCAATAGCATCTTTCAATATCTGTCAGTATTTTCACCTCTGCACTCATATGGTCCCCACAAAAAACACTATAATAGTTAAGGACTGAGTCTGGAGTCAGAGGTACAATTCTCAATTCTATCACTTAGTAGTGTTAGTTAAAATTGTATAGTTCCTATTTATAAGTGAAACATGCAGTATTTGGTTTTCTGTTTCTGCATTAATTCACTCAGGACAATGGCCTTTAGCTGCATCCGTGCTGCTGCAAAGGACATGATTTCATTTTTTTTTAATGGCTACATAGTATTCTATGGTCTATATATACCACACTTTTTTGGTCTAATCCATTTTTTTTTCTTTGAGACAGAATCTTACTCTGTTTCTCAGGCTGAAGTGCAGTGACATGATCTCAGCTCACTGCTGCCTCCACCTCCCAGGTTCAAGCGATTCTTCTGCCTCAGCCTCCCAAGTAGCTGGGATTACAGGCAGGTGCCAGGACGCCCGGCTAATTTTTGTATTTTTAGTAGAGACAGAGTTTCACCATGTTGGCCAGGCTGGTCTTGAACTGCTGACCACAGGTATCTGCCCACCTTGACCTCCCAAAGTGCTGGGATTACAGGCATGAGCCACTGTGCCTGGCCTGTAATCCATTGTTGATGGGCACGTAGGTTGATTCCCATGCCTTTGCTATTGTGAATAGTGTTCCAATGAAATTGTGAGAGTACATGTGTCTTTCTGGTAGAATGATTTATTTTCTTGTGAACAGAGTGAGAGGACAACAGAGTGAAACTCTGTCTCAAAAAAAAAAAAATGGATTAGACCAAAAAAGTGTGGCGTGCATACACCATACTGAGTAATGGGATGACTAGGTTGAATGGTAGTTTATTTTAAGTTCTTTGAGAAATCTCCAAACTGCTTTCTACAGTGGCTGACGTAATTTGCATGCCCACCAACAGGGTACAAGCGTTCCCATTGCTCCACAGCTTCACTAGCATCTGTTTTTTTTTTTTTAACTTTTTGATAGTAGCTATTCTGACTGGTGTGAGATGGTATCTCTTTGTGGTTTTGATTTGCGTGTCTCTAATGATTAGTGATGTTGAGCCTTTTAAAATATTTGTTGGCTGCTCGTATGTCTTCTTTTGAAAAGTGCCTGTTCATGTCTTTTGCTCGTTTTTAAAGGGGTTATTTGTTTTCTGCTTGTTCAATTGTTTCCATTCCTTATAGATTTGGGATATTAGACCCTTGTTGCATGCATAGTTTGCAAATCTTACATTCTATAGGTTGTCTGTTTACTCTGTTGATAGTTTATACAATGTGTGCAGAAATTCTTTAGTTTAATTAGGTCCCACTTGTCAATTTTTGTTTTTTGTTGCAATTGCTTTTGGGGACTTAGTCATAAATTCTTTCCCAAGGCCAATGTTTAGAATGGTGTTTCCTAAGTTTTCTTCCAGGATTATTGTAGTATAAAGTCTTACATTTAAATTTTTGACCCATCCTGAGTTAATTTTTGTATATGGTGAAAGGTAAAGGTTCAGTTTAATTATTTTGCTTATGGCTAGCCAGATATCCCAGCACCATTTACTGAATACAGAGTCCTTTCCCCATTGTTTATTTTTGTCAGTTTTGTCAAACATCAGATGGCTGTAGTTGTGTGTCTTTATTTCTGGGTTCTCTATTCTGTTCCATTGGTCTATGTGTCTGTTTTTATAATATTACCATGCTGTTTTGGTTACTGTAGCTTTATAGTATAGTTTGAAGTCAGGTAATGTGATTCCTCTGGCTTTTTTCTTTTTGCTTAGGGTTGCTTTTGCTATTTGGGCTCTTTTTTTGGTTTTATATGAATTTTAAAATAGTTTTTTTTTTCTAGTTCTGTGCAAAATGACATTGGTAGCTTGATAGGAATAGAGTTGAATCTGTAAATTGCTTTGGGCCGTACAACCATTTTAACAATATTCATTCTTCCTATCCATGAGCATGGAATACTTTTCCATTTGTTTGTGTCATCTATGATTTCTTTCAGCAGTGTTTCACAGTTCTCTTTCACCTCCTTGGTTAGCTGTAGTCCTAGTTGTTTTTTTTTTTTTTTTTTTTTTTGAGGCTATTGTAAATGGGATTGCATTCTTGATTTGGCTCTCAGCTTGAAGATTTTTATTGTATAGAAATGCTACTGATTTTTGTGAATTGATTTGTATCCTGAAACTTTACAGAAGTCCTTTATCTGTGCCAGGAGCCTTTTGGCAGAGTCTTTAGGGTTTTGTATGTATGGATTCACATCAGCAAAGAGATATAGTTTGACTATGGCTTTTATTTTTCTATTTGGATGCCTTTTTTTTTCTTGCCTGATTGTCCTGGCTAGGACTTTCAATACTATGTTGAATAGGAGTGATGGGAGTGGGGACCCTTTTCTTGTTCCAGTTCTCAAGGGGAATGCTTTCAGTTTTTGCATGTTCAGTGTAATGTTAGCTGTAGTTTTGTCATAGATGGCTCTTATTATTTTGAGGTATGTTCCTTCAATGCCTAATTATTTGAGCGTTTTTTCAAGAGTCCAGAATTTCCTTGTTAGTTTTCTGCCTCAATGATCTGTCCAATCTTCTCAGTGGGGTGTTGAAGTCCCCCAATATTATTGAGTGGGTATCTAAATCTTTTTATAGGTTTGGAGGTACTTGTTTCATGAATCTTGGTGCTCCAATGCTGAGTGCATGTATATTTGGGGCAGTTAAGTCTTCTTGTTGAATTGAACACTTTATTATTATGTAGTGCCTTTCTGTGTCATTTTTTTACTGTTGTTGGTTTAAAATCTGTTTTATCTTATATAGGAATAGTGATTCTTTCTTTTTTTCTTTTCTATTTGTGTTACAGATCCTTCTACAACCCTTTACTTTGAGCCTAACAGTAACATTACATGTGAGATGGGTCTCTTGAAGACAGCAGACCGATGACTTTTGTTTTTTATTGAATTTGTCACTCTGTGACTTTTAAGTGAGGGTATTTAGACCATTTACATTCAAGGCTAATATTGCTATGTGAGGTTTTGATTCTATTTTGAAGTTGTTAGCTGGGTGCTTTGTAGTTTCTATTGTGTGGTTTCTTTATAGGGTCTTGGGCTATGTGCTTAGGTGTGCTATTTTGGTAGCAGATTTTCATGTTTAGAACTCCCTTAAGGATCTCTTGTAAGACTGGTCCAGTGGTAATAAATTCCTTTACCCTTTGCTTGTCTATAAAAGATTTTATTTCTCCTTCAGTTATAAAGGTTAGTTTGATGGAATATACAATTATTGGTTGGAAAATTTTCTTTCCTTTAAGAATGCTGAAAGTAGGCCTCCAATCTCTCCTGGCTTGTAAGGTTTCTGCTGAGCTATATACTTGGCCTTATGGGGTTCCCTTTGTATGTGATCTGATCTTTTTCTCTAGCTGCCTTTAAGATTTTTTTCTTTAGTGTAGACCTTGGATAGTCTGGCGACTATATGCTTTGGTGATGTTCATTTCCTATAGCATCAGTCAGGTGTCCTCTTGATTTCTTGTATCTGTATGTCTACCTCTCTAGCAAGATTAGGGAAATTTTCTTAAATTATTTCCTCAAATATGTTTTCCAGGTTATTAACTATTTCTCCTTCTTTCTCAGGAATGCCAGCAGTTTATGAGTTTGGTTGCTTCACATAATCCCATATTGCTCTAAGACTGTATTCATATTTTTAAATTATTTTTAATTTTTTTTTCTGGGTTAGTTCAAAAGACCAGTTTTCAAGGTCTGAAACTCTTCTGCTTGGTCCAGTCTATGAGAGATTGTACTTTATATGAATTCAATTGTACTTTATAATTCCTTAAGTAAGTTTCTCAATTCCAGAAGCTCTGATTGATTTCTTTGTAAGATGTTTATGTCTTCCTTCATTTCCTGGATTGCTTTAGAAATCTCTCTGTATTCATTTTCAGCCTTGTCTTGCATCTCATTGAGCTTCCTTGCAATCTATACTTTGAATTTTTTATCTGTCATATCTGAGCTTTTGTTTTGGTTAGGGACCATTGCTGGAGAGGTACTGTGCTCCTTTGATGGTGTTGATTTCATTACATTCACTTTTTTTATGGTGGTAGAATTCTTGTTCTCTTTCCTCCTCCTCTGGCAATACTGGCACTTCTAATTTTTGTAATTATTTCCATAAGGTAGGATTTTTTTCTTTATTTCCCTATAATATTATTGTTCTTTTTTCTTTCCCTTTCCATTCCCCCTCCCTCCTTAGGAGGTATGACTTTAGAGAATTCTGGGTAGGTCTTTTGCCCAGCTTCTATAGCCTTATGCACTTACAGGTTGCAGGTTTTATATTAGACTGTGCGGTTCAACCTACAAGCCAGTAGATGGCACTTATAGGTAAGAGCCAGTTTTGGACAATGTGATGGTTATATATTTGATCCTTGTTTACTGGAAGAAACTCTCTGTTGCTGCAGATAATGGTCTGACTCATGGAGTACACAGTGGTGTGAACTCCCTGCTCAGCCTTGGGGGTTGTGGGGAGCAAGGTGGGTGGGGCCAGACAAGGCAGGTCCACCTATAGGTCTTCCAATGGCAGACACAAGCACCAACACTGAGGGAGAATCTACTGAGTGGCTACCAAGTGACCAGAGTTCTGTCTAGGGGTGGAGCTAGGTAACCCCCTCGGCTCCAAGTTCTTTGCACAGGGATATTGGAGAGATTGGCCTAAACTCTTAATCCAGGAGAGTGGGGGCTCTGAATACCTGGAAATCTGCCTGCTTGTGGAGCAGAACCCACCCCCACCAACCAAGATTTCTGCACAGGGTAAATGGGGTGACTCAGGCTTCTTAACTAGGCAGGCAGGTGCTCTTAATGCTTGGATATTTGCCTGGGCATAAAACAGAGAGGATCAGCCCAGTACATGGATCTGTGAACGGGAAGGGTGAGGCAGCACAGGTTGCCAGTCTGTGTGAGCAGGTGCTTTGAATGCTAGGGTATGCAGCAGAGAGGACCTCCCTGCATCAAAATCTCTGCACAGGAAGGGTAGGGGAGGATAGGCTGCTGAGCCAGGTGAATGGGTGCTTCAGATATCTAGAGTTCTGCCTGGCTGTGGAGCAGAGAGGGCCCCATTGCACCATGACCTACGTCAAGGAAGGTTAGGTGGTTCAGGGTGCTGAACCTTGCTAGCAGGTGCTCCAAAATCCTGGGATCTGCCTAGGCATGAAGCAGAGAGGGCCTCCCTATTCTAGGATCTCTGCACAAGAAGGGTGGAGCAGATGAAGCTGCTGAACCAGGTGAATGAGTGATCCAAATGCCCAGATTTCTGCCTAGAGGTAGAGTGGAGGAGAGTCTGCTGCACCACAATCACAGGGGAACAGGGTGGGGTACCCAGCAATGACACACACAGACTAGTTCCAAGTAGCTAAGCTGCCTGGTTGCAAGTCTCATCACATAGGATAAACTGGCTGTAGCAGCTCCCCTCCTGCCCCAGGCCTGTGATGGGGGATAGCACAGTTTCAGTGTTTGCTGCTAAGGTTTTTTTTCCCCACAATTCTGGCCATGGAGGTCCCCACCCTGCTCTAAAGCAGGTGCTCCAATATCTGGCCCAAGACTAAAATGCCTGCACAGCTACGCTGCTTAGTTACCAAAGAATGATTGACTTTGTGGCATCTGAATTAAAAATGGTATCCTGCTCTCAGTCCTGGGTCTGAGAAAAGGCCTGAACCTTTTCCCAGTGTCTTTCCCTTACAATGTCTCTAAGCCTTTCTCCAAGTTATCTCCAGGGCTTTGGAGAAACAAGGTACTCTTCCCTCTGAGCACTGGGTTGCTCAGATCCCCAGTGGAAAGGTGAGTCACAGAGGGAGGCTCTCTGCCTCTCTCACCTACTGGAGCTTCATTCACTTTTTTAACTGGGTGCCATCATGGGGGCTGTTTGCCCATGTTCCCCTCCCTGGGATCTGTGTGTCCTTATGATTCTGGTAGATTCCCACTTTCCTTCTTGAAATAAAGCTCACAGAGTTAACCTTTATGAGACTTTGTTGAAAAATTTATGTAGGTTGGTATTTTTTTCTTCTTAAATATGTGATGAAAATAAACATTCAGGTCATCCCTTGCTTTGTGTGAAAGTTTTAAATTAAGAATTCAATTTTTAAAAATAGACACTAAGATTTTCTATTTCTTTGTGTGCCTGATTCAGTAATTTCTTTCAGGGAATTTGTCCATTTTATCTAATTTAATTCACTGAAATAATTTTATAAATATTATTCCTCAATTTCTTGGTCTGTTTGTGTTGGTATAAAGGAATACCTGAAGCTGAGTAATTTATAAATAAAAGAGGTTTATTTAGTTCATGGTTCCGCAGGCTGTACAAGAAGCATGGCATTAGCATCTGCTTAGTTTCTGCTGAGAGCTTTTGTGCTGGGTCAAACCATGGTGGAGAAGGTCAAAGCAGAAGCGGGCACATGTGAAGAGAGAATAAACCAAAGGGGCATCCTGGCTTTATAACAATTCACTCTCATGAAAAACAACTCATTCCCCTAGAACAAATTCAGTCTTGTGAGAGTGAGAACTCACTCACTACATTGAAAATGGTACCAAGGCATTCATGAGGGAACCAACCCTATGACTCAAACACTTCTCACTAAGCTCAACCTCCCAACACCACTACTTTGGGGATCAAATCCCAATATGAGTTCTGATGGGGACAAACAAACCGTGTACAAACCATAGCATTCTGACTTGGTCCCCTGAAAACTCGTGTCCTTCTCACATAAAAAAAAATGTAATCTTTCCATCCCAACAATAGTCCCCCAATTCTTAACACGTTGCTGCATCAATTCAAATGTCTGAAGTCCAAAGTCTCATTTGAGACTGGAAGTCAAGTTCCTTCCAGCTATGAGCCTGTGAAATAAAAAACAATTTATTTCCTTCCAAGATACAGTTGTTGTACAGGCATTGGATAGACATTCTCATTCCAAAAGGGAGAAATCAGCCACAAGAGAGGAGCAGTAGGCACCACGCAAGTACAAAACACAGCAGGGCAGGCGTTAAATATTAACGTTCTAAAATAATCTCTTTTGACTGTATGTGCTGCCTTCTGGGCACATGCCTCTTCTTTCTGAGACTTCACTCTTAGTGGTCTCACTCTCTCATCTCCGCAACAGTCACACTGCTTTCCTTGTTCTTCCTCAGACACACTAGGTACATCCAATGTTAGCACACTGATAATGCTGTTCCGTGTGTCTGGAATGTACTTTACCCAGACAAAACATGGATAATTTCTTTACCTACTTTAGGTCTTTGTTCAGACATCACCTTCTCAATGAGTCCTTCCCTAAGCACCTTATTTAAAATTTCAACCCCTCTTCTGACATGCTTTCTATTGACCCTCTCTACTTATATTTGCAACTTCTTATAAACTATATTTTATATCTGTATGATATATATTTTATTAGTTATATGTTTAGAGTTCATCTTTTCAGAATGTCAACTTATTAAGGGCATTTAAAAATAGTTGTATTTAATGCTTCATCCCACCTCCTAGAGGGCTGGAACAAAGAAGATATTCAATAAGACAAATAAAATAACCCTTTTTCAGCATATAATATTTTCCTGAATTTCCCTTTGTTTATTTCAGTTTCAGTTTTGTTTGCATTTCATGTTTGCCTATCACAATTAGCCTTTCTTTTAGTCATGGAGTTTTCTTTGTGAATTTACCTAGGGTGTATCTTTTGGTGGGCTGTCCAACTCATTCATTTCTTTGACTCCTCTTAGGCCTATATTATATCTCCATTGGTTTTGAATGTCACTAAATTTTGGACTAGCTACTTTGGGAGGGAAATGCAGCAGTTGCATTACACAAAGAACATGACTAATTGGCCTTTCCTGGTTTGACCTCATCAGAATTAAGATTAAGTTCAGCTCAACGTATGAAAAAATTATAGAAAATTTATACAAGTTCCCCTTACACTGAGGAAAATAAAGATGCTATGGATACCTTTATTTGGGATAGAAGAGAAAAACAGACATGGAAATTAGAAATGACAAAATATTGATACCATTCATATGCTAAATAATTCTATTCTGATGCTCTATTGCTGCATAATAAAATCACCCAGAAACTTCATGGTGTAAAATAACAGCCATTTTATTGTGCTTGTTGATATGGTTTGAATTTCTGTCCTCGCCCAAATCTCATATTGAATTGTAACCCCTAATGTTGGAGGTGGGGCCTGGTGGGAGGTGATTGGATTATGGGGGGCAGTTTCCCCCTTGGTGGTGGTGTGGCAATAGTGAGTGAGTGAGTTATCACAAGATTTGGTTGTTTGAAAGTGTAAGGCACCTCCCCCATCTTTCTCTTCCTCCTGCTCCAACCATGTGAAGATGTATCTGATTTCCCCATTGCCTTCCGCCATCTTTATACATTTCCTGAGGCCTCCCCAGAAACAGATGCCGCCATGCTTCCTGTACAGCCTGTGAAGCCATGAGCCAATTAAACCTCTTACAGAAACCCAGTTTCAGGTGTTTCTTTATAGCAATGCAAGAATAGACTAATTCACTTAAAGATTCTGTAGGTTAGGGTTTTGTTCAAGACATAGCAGGGATGGCTTCTTTTTGTTCCAGAATGTCTAAGCCTTTAGCCAGAAAGTTATGAACAACTGGGGGCAATTCAAGTGACCAGGGGCTGAACTTATCTAAGGCGGAGCTGAGAAATACATAGAAATGTCAATGATAGGCAATGATAGAAATATCCCCTATGTATGTTGGCTATAAAATAGTCACACGTGGCTAGTGAGCATTTGAAATATGGTTAGTAATACTGAGGCTCTGTACTTTTAATCTTATTTAATTTTTATTAATGTGAATTTAAAAAGCCACGTGTGACATGTGGCTAGTATCTACCGTATCAGACAGGTCAAATATCGCTTTCTTGGCTCATAGGTTTAGTACCTGGGGTAAAAGGACGTAAAAGCTGGGCTCACGTGGGATAATGAGCCAGAGGGCCTGCACATGGCCTCTGCATGTGGGTTTGGACATTGTGACCTCAGAGTAGTTGGACTACTTACATGTGGCTTAGGACTCCAAGAGTAAATATTGCAGTGATTAAGAAAAAACTGCATGGCTTTTCATGATTTAGCTTTAGAATTATTATAGCATTTTTATTAGTTGAATTAGTCACAAACCATTCTAGATTTAAGGACAGAGTACACAGACTCCTAAGATATCAATAGAAGAAGTGCCAAAGTATGTATCGTATGTTTTAAAACTTGCATACTCTCTCTCTCTTTTTTTTTTTTTTTTGAGACGGATCTCACTCTGTCACCCAGGCTGGAGTGCAGTAGTGTGATCTCGGCTCACTGCAACATCTGCCTCCTGGGTTCAAGCGATTCTCCTGCCTCAGCCTCCCGAGTAACTGGGATTACAGGAGCATGCCACCAAGCCCAGCTAATTTTTGTATTTTTAGTAGAGACAGGGTTTCACCATGTTGGCCAGGCTGGTCTCGAACTCCTGACCTCAGGTGATCCACCTGCCTTGGCCTTCCAAAGTGCTGGGATTACAGGCGTGAGCCACCGTGCCTGGCCAAAAACTTCCATACTCTCTAAAAGATTTGGTATTATATCAGAGAGCAGTTTTCTCCATTTTCTTAAACTTTGCATATTTTATAAATAATCTGCATTAGTGAGGTTGATAATGAAGAAATATGCTGATCATAAACTCTAAATATATACTGCATTTTTCTATATGGGGGCTTAGAATTTCTAGCCCAGGGTGGTAGATGAATCAAAGGGATACATCATACAAATGAATAACCTTTAAGCAAAAGATGGCATTGTAAAACTATAAAGGAGAATCTACTTCAATTTTGCATGTTAACAAATGAGGGTTCAAATTTGAATGCAGAACTTTCCATGTAAAATACAACCAGAGTCAATAGTAGCAGGGAATATAATATTTGCCTTGAAAATCACTAGCTGATACCCTCAAGGGAAAAAAACTTGTATATTTTACAATTTAGTTGAAATCTAATTTTAGAACACACCTTGGATCTCTCCAGACTACACCAATGGCCATCAATAAAACAGAAAGAAGTCACTCCTTTGGATATATAAATCTATAACAGTGCAGCTAGGATCAATCAGCCAATGGTGTATTGAAGGCAGAGATTCACTATGTAGAGGCATGTCAAGCATTTGGGAGACACTGTTTATAAGAATTCTTGTAGTGTAATTCATAATGGGGACTGTGGGAAATTGATTCATTGTATTGGTTAATATCATTGACTGAATCAGGAACTGAAAGGTCTCCCTGATTGATTTTATTCTCAACTGCTTGGCCATCTCCAGGATATGTTTCCTGTAGATAACAATTTTAGCTACCTCTTTCAATATAGGCTATGAGAAAATGCCTGATTCTAAGAATCTTGCAGTAAGTTTTGACATTCTCTGGACAGGATCCAGCTATTTCTGCCTGTCCTGTACCACTTGCCTCAGTGTCTTCTATTTCCTCAAGGTAGCCAACTTCTCCAATCCCATTTTCCTCTGGATGAAATGGAAAATTCACAAGGTGCTTCTCTTTATTGTACTAGAGGCAACGATCTCTTTCTGCACAACTTCCATTCTGAAGGAAATAATAATTAATAGTTTAATCTAAGAACGGGTAACAATAAAAGGCAACTTGACATTTAATTATATGGATACCATGCATGATTTCACTTCTCTGTTTCTCCTTCAGATGATGTTCATCCTTCCTTTTGTGGAAACACTGGCTTCCATTCTTCTCTTAATCCTCTCCTTATGGAGCCACACCAGGCAGATGAAGCTACATGGTATTTATTCCAGGGATCCCAGCACAGAAGCCCATGTAAAACCTATAAAAGCTATAATTTCATTTCTACTCCTCTTTATTGTGCATTATTTCATCAGTATCATACTAACATTGGCCTGTCCTCTTCTAGACTTCGTTGCGGCAAGGACTTTTAGTAGTGTGCTGGTATTTTTCCATCCATCTGGCCATTCATTTCTTCTAATTTTACGGGACAGCAAACTGAAGCAAGCTTCTCTCTGTGTCCTGAAGAAGATGAAGTATGCCAAAAAGGACATAATCTCTCATTTTTATAAACATGCCTGATATGAGTGATGATATTCTCAGAAAGAAAAAAAGGAAGAAGAACAGGAGGGCTACACATTTGTTTCTTTCACCTACCTCTTATTTTCTCATTATGTTCTATGATATATTGAGCATTATTGAAAATACTTGCTGATTTAAATTAAGCAGAACAGATTGCTACCTTGTTTGCACCATATATGGAGATTATGTATTTAATAGTAAAATTCTAATATATTGAAAATGCATTTTTCATTAGGCACTGTGATCAATATAATAGATTACTCTATCTTTAAATTTTATTAATATGTTGCATAAGCATTAGAATAGAATAGAAATACATCAAGAATTATAATATCTATGTATGTGTATAGAGTGTATATAAAATCAGATTTATATGTACAAACACATAGGGATTTAGTTCCTATCCTAAAAATGATGATCAATTGATAATTTAAAACTAGAAAGGAAAACTCAAATGAAAATAGTTAGTAGAGTCTACAGCTTAGTGAAAACTTTGAGGATATGAAACAAAGTCAATTGAAATGTACATCACTAAGAGTTATTTCCAAATATAAGCCCTATTCTGTTAATATTTTCAGTCATTTTCAGTTAAAAACACTAAGCAACTTTGACCATCAAAAATGTTACAATCTTGACCATCTACAACAGACTTGTACTGTAGAATCTGAATCTTTGGACTAACAATAAAATTTTACTCAATTGGTTAACTGTGTAAGGAAGGCAAGGACACGTATTAAAAAATCAGTAAGATTTTAAGTAAGCAAAATTGGAGGACTGCTGCTGGCATCTAGTGTAGAGTTACCAGGTTTAGTAAATAAAAATATAGAAGACCAAGACGATAGTAACAAATACAGGATCTCATTTGATGAAAGTCACTGTGTAAAGAAAGAAAAATAAATAAAGTTTTGAAAAGAAAAACAAATCAGGGATAACCAATCAGTTTACAGAATTGAATTTAATAAGAACGTCTCCTCTTAAAAATGTAATGAGAAAGCATGTAAAAATAGCAGGTTAAATAAAAGAACACAATCGCAAGTTTAAGGTAACAGTAATAAATATTTAAAATGAAATAATTGGAAGCAGATTTTGAAGAACAATTACGTTCTCTCTAAGAAAAAAAAGAACATATTGCAAGCAAATAATATAATTTTCAGCAGTAAAGACAAAAGACAAATTTTCAACATTGCAGAAAGTATTTTAAAAAGTTAATTATATGGTAATCGATAGAACAAAAAGTAAACCCTAGAAAAATAACCTGGACATTGCAGGCCTAAAACGAAATTTTAAATGTGTGAATAAAATTAAAATATCCAGAGAATAGACCACGAGATTTCCATGTGCAAAGGATGAAATCCCTTTAGGACAGTGGTTCTCCACACAGGGCAATTTTGCCCCCCTAGGGGACATTTAATAATGCCTGGAGACATTTCAGTTAAAATTGGACGGATGCTGCTGGCATCTATTGTAATGTTAACAGATTAAGCAAATAAAAATATAGGAGGCCTAGTTAAATTTACATTTCAGACAAAAGAAAAAACAACAAGAATAAATTTATAAATAAGTATTACTTGTGATAACCATAATATGAGTTTACATCATAATGTAAGTGTGCTATGGAGGACCAATTACAGACCTGCAGCATTGATAATTGGATACACAGACAATGACAATTATTTGTTGCTTATTTGAAATTCAAATTGAACTGACACACTCTGTATTTTACCTGATAACTGTACGAGGACAAGGATGCTGCTCAATATCTCACAATGCACATGACAGTCCCTCACAACAGAATTATCCAGCATAAAATGTAAATTGTTCTAAAGTTAAAAATCATGCTTTGTGAAGATGTAATAATGAAAAGCACAAATTCCATAATAGCAATTAGGACTGAAAAAATAAAATCAGTTATTGATATAAGATTTCACACACACCAGCTGCCTTCCTTATCTCTGAAATGTCCAGCTTACCATACTTAGGCTCTGATTTCTGCACATACATCCCCAGTTCACACTTGCTTACAAGCAGGCCTTACTTTGAGACAGGAATGATTTGGGCTGCTTTAGTCCTTCACCAATTGCTGATTAATGAGCTGTGATGGCTTCCAGTTAAAATAATTTGTGGGTGAAAAATTCACAAAATATACTTCATTTTTAAAAATTAGAGTATAGAAATTCTCAAAGCTGTGTTCTTGTTTATAGGGTACTGTGAATTCCTAAGCCCCATAATTCTGTAGATAGCTTGTTTATGGCAGTCTTCTATTTACCTCCATAACAATTTTAGATTTTACTTCTTTTTCTTCCTCCTATCATGATATGGGATATTCTGATAATGATTTTAGCAATTTTGCTAAGTGATAATCACAGACTTAATTTGAATCATAAAATGACATACCCCTTATGAAATAAGATTATTCACTTTCAATCCTTTCTAACTGCTCCAGTGCTCTCAAAGGGTAGTGTCATCCCTGATGTCACAGTTCTCCTGTCCCCCTTACCTCTGGACTCATCTCTTAATCTAAAATAAAAACAAATTGTATGCAAAAGAAAGAAACATTTTTTAAAAAAGTTACTTCTGATGGATTTAGTTCTGTCCAGGAAGAAAATAGATGATATATTCAGAATACTCTACAATCTTTGGCAACTGTGTAACCTTGATCTTGGGAATGGATGTTGGGAAAAAAATTCTCCATGAATGTATTGCACTTCTGCATGGTCTAGCTCTTATCTTGTGAGCAAACAGTATGTTTGATGAGCAAACAGAAGGGCCTCAACTAGGATCAGGTGAGCAAGGCATGCAGGGTGCAAAGTTTGAGGAGCCACTTGGTTTTAGGGCCCTGCAACCTATTGAATGCCTTTTTACGTTTTGTGCCCTAGGAGTCTCGTTCACTTTGCCCAAGACCAGGTCATGGCAAAGAGCCTTGGGATTTAGAAATAGGGTATCCCTCTTGGTCAGAAGGCAGATTTGTTTAAAGATAAAGACTCTTCTCTTCTTCTTCTTCTCTCCAGAGATATTTGCTTACATTCCAGTGTAAAGCTTCTTCTTCAGAAGGCAAGATGGACAGGTTACTCACAGTGATCAAAGTTTTTAAGACTGGAGTTTCCTAATTTTGAGATTTCTCTTTTGATAGACACCACTACTTGCACATGTAACATCAGTTTCTCATCTTATCCCTGTGAGGGGACTGAAGCTTGAAGAAATAGTACGATGATATTCCTCTGACTACTGCTAGTACTTCAGTGAATAATAAACCATCTTTTGCCTTCTGCAAGTACAACAAGTGACAAGCTAAGTTGTTAGCTTATAATAATTTTGGCAACGAGGATGGAACACAGCCCAAAGACCTGGCCTTCTGAGGAGAAAGTGAAGGATCCTACAAGCTGATTAATAGGATTTGCTGAAAGTCCATGGGAACTGGTAGCTAACATGTTGACTAAAATGTTTGTAATTGGTAAATAAATATTCTTCTATTATGTTGCTCATTAATGAGGAGGATTGGGAAGTGGTTGAAAATTGAGTACCACTGGTAGAACTGAAACAGACTTCCAAATGACACTTTTAGATTTAGCTGTCTTCTCCAGATAACATTAGGTAGACAGATTAAAGATCTCCCAAAGTTGTTACAGGCCTTTGGTGGAAAGGTGAAAAGATTAAGGATCTCCCAAAGTTGTTACATTCAGATGCTTATTCAGTTAACCACCGAGTAGTGGCAATAATGCTTATTTGAAAGTAAATGTGTCTTGCATACTGGCCTGAAGACACTTTCTCTATATTTCCCTGATAACTTCTTTACCTCTATTCTGATGTCAATTGCTTTAGGGATTCGGGCTGGGCCTGAGATCTTCCTGACCCAAGGGACACCAAAGACCCTACAGAACCATCCCAACATATTGCAAAGCTTCAAGGAGAGTAGGGACTCAAATTAGTATAGCCCTGTTGGATATATGTGCACAAATCACCATTCTACTTGGTTCTGGGGGTTGGGGGAAGGGGTGCTGAGGGATGGAGGACAATAGCATGTGAGGAAATACAAAAGAGACCCTACTGGGAGGTGCACTAGAAAGAAGGGCAAGAAGCCAAGAGGAAAAAAAAAAAGCCAACCCTCCCCTCCCCTCCCATCCCCTCCTCTTTCCTTCCCTTCTTTTCCTCCCACCTCAGCCACCCAAATGACTAGGACAACAGGCACACACCATCATGCCTGGATAATTTTTTAGTGTTTTGTAAAGACAGAGGAGTCTCACTATGTCACCCAGGCTGGTCTAGAACTCCTGGCCTTAAGCAGTCCTCCCACCTCTGCCTCTCCAAGTACTGATATTACAGGCATGAGCCACTGCACCGGGGAGGCCTACAGTCGTTCTTTATAGTTTACCCTCTTTTTTCCTGCATTCTATAAATACTCAAATAGAAGATAGCAGGGCCTTCTGGCTACTGTGACAGCCTCTAACAAGCAGGTTTAGAAAGAAAAAGGAAAAAGAAGTGCCTGAGTTCAACTGATGAGGATTGAACAAACAGTGCACACACACACACACAAACACACACACACACACACCAAAGTTAGGAAGACTTTGTGGATAGGGCCCTTTGGACCCATTCGATGCACTGCTTTTTATTGTCTTTATATCTGTATGTATGGTGTGATATTAAATACTTAAAATATTATCTCATAAGTGCCAGAGAGATTGACCCAGGGAAAACCACCAAAAATGTTAGTGGGACAAACTCCCTGGCCATTTGAGCCAGTTGGTGGAGCATAATTTACCATGAGTGCCTTCACCCTCCAATGTCCGAACCTACCCTTATTGGGCTTTTTGTGTATTGCAAAAAGAGAAAATCCCTCTGTGCAAGATAAAACAGAAAATTACTCAATGTACTCAAAACAACTCACAAAAAATCGACCATTTCTCAAGGAATGAAACAATCAAGAAATTACAACCTTGAAATTACTTAGATATTAAAATGACCAAAGACTTTACAGGAGCTGTTGTACCCATCCTTCATGAGGTCAAGGTAGACACTCAAAATGAATGGAAAGGAAAAACTTGTCAGCAGAAAAATAGGAATTATAAATTATAAATTAAGAAAACAGATATTTTAGAAATGAAAAATATAATGTCTTAAAAAACCTTTATTGGGCATGATAAATAGCATAAAGAAAATGATGGAGGAAAGACAGTGTTCTTGAGGTTGGATCAATAGAAATTATATACTCTAAACAATACAGGGTAAAATAATTGAAAAAATTATACATCATATCATGAATATGAAAGGCTATAACAAATGATGTACTATTCATGCATTCTGAGTTTCAGAAAAGCAGAAGAGGTTGATGTTGAAAAAGGACTCAGAGAAATAATGATCAAAAATTTTCCAAACACAGCAAAGAGCATAAACCTACAGATTCAAGAAGCTGAGCAAATCCCAACCAGAATACAACCAATGAAATCCATTCCAGGAAAATTCATTGTCCAATTTCTGAAAATTAAAGACAAAATATTGAAAGCAGAAAGAAGGAAATGACATCATAGTTATAGGGAAAATGCAATATAAATAATAGTGGTTATTATCACCAGAAACCAGAAATAACAGTAGAAAGGAGCACAAATATTTAAAGTGCTCAAAAGTAGAAATGGTCTACCAGATGTTTATGTTCAATAAAAATATCCTTCATTAATGTAAAGGAAATCCAGGCATTCTAAGAAAAAAAGAAAAGCTAGAAACCTAGGAGAATTTCTTTCCAACAAACCTATCTTTAAATAATAGCCAAATGAAGTTCTCTAAACATAAAGGAAAGAATAGAAGAGAAATTTGTGGAACATCAAGAATGAAGTAAAAATAAGAGAAAGGGGGAAAGTGGGCAAACACAATATATCTTCCTTTTTCACTTGAGTTTTCTTCATATGTTTTAACCAGCCATTGCTAGCATTGAAGATGGAAGAGAGACAGGAAATGTGGAAAAATGACATTCTTCTCTAGAGCCTCTAGGAGGAAACTCAGCCTTGACACATGGATTTAACTCAGTGAACCTCAGTTCAGATTTCTGACCTACAAAACTGAAAAATAATAAATTCATTTTGACCTAAAAATTATAAAGGGATGTAAGGTTTCCATACTTCACTAAAACTGGTAAAAAGTGTACACCACTAGATTATAAGCTATGTACATGTAAAGTAAAACATAGAAGAATCACTAAAAACACTGTTCAGAGAGATACACTCAAAAATTATACGGATCAACTAAAATAGAATTATAAAACACTTTCAGTGGCCCCATAGGAGATCAGGAAAAAGAAAACAATCAAAAGTAGTATAAATAAAAAACAAAAAATATGACAGCTCTAAAATATCAAAAAATGCATTAAGTGTCAATGGTTATTGAAAGTAAATTTTTGCCATCTCAGTTTGTGATTTACGCTTTTGCATAGATATATACTTTAAGTCACAAATATTTGTATAACAACTAATTATACATAAACTCATTCATATTCTCATGCAAATATCTGGAAGAAGCCTGGGTGAGTCTCTCCAACTCTCACTGAGCCAAACCAGGTCTAGATGGGTAAGGTGTCCATCCTGTGTGTTCTATGAAGATTAACAGTCTCCCAAAGTCACACACTTCCTAATTCTCAGACAAGTGAATATATTAACTTACATGACAAAGGGAAATTACATTTGCGAATCAATTGACCTGAATTTAGAAAGGTTATCCTGGATTATCTAGGTGGACTCAATGTAACCATAAGGTCATTAACTGCAGAAGAGGGAGGCAGAAGAGTCAGTGCAAGGGCGACGTGATGCTATGTGATGGGAGGCTCAAGTGGCTATTGCTGGCATTGAAGATGGAAGAAGGCCAAGGAATGTGGACAAAAAATGGGTGCTTCTCTAGAGACTCCAGAAAGGGACTCAGCCTTGACAGGTGGATCTAACTGAGTAAGACCTATTATACATACTATGCTTCTCTAGTTTGCCACAATTACTTAATTTCCTGTAATTTAGTGTTAGCCTTGTTCTAAAATAAGCGCCTTCTTAGAAAGTGGTGGATAGCAGAGTGATACTCATGGCTAATGAACAATTTGCTATATTTTCTAAATTGAAAACAACATCGACAACATCCGGTTAAACTGGAATTACAAAGAGAAGAGAAAATCAACTTAATTTTTCCTCATTTACTACAGTGACCCTAGCCATGTGACTTAATTTCTTTAGATATAATTTTTTTTTTGTATTTTTAGTAGAGATGGGAAAAAATTAGTCAGTCATGGTGGCGAGGGACCTGTAATCCCAGCTACTTGGGAGGCTGAGGCAGGAGAATTGCTTGAACCCGGGAGGTGGAAGTTGCAGTGAGCTGAGATCATGCCACTGCACCCCAACCTGGGTGACAGAGCAAGACACCATCTCAAAAAAAAAAAAAAGAAATATGCTAAATTAATTGTGAAATATATATATTTATGGACCACTAACATCAAATTTAAAAATATAGAAGATATTTTTAATAGTTAATTGGCCATAATAGTGTCACCAAACTTTTTAGACAAGTCAAAGCAAGTTGAAGTCTCAGAGACTATTGTGTTTATTTGCTAACTGTATTATCAGAATGCTTAGTTGGTGCAATTAATAGAATAATTCTGCCAATTCATAACACTGCCAGACCACAGCGACCCAATGAAACTCACTGACTCTCAGAGAAGTTTATTCCCTCTGTCAATGTTCATCTTTCCTGGCAAACCATCTTTAGTGTTCCAGGCAAACTAGAGCATGGTGAAGTCGAAGAAGATTCTACTTTCTGTTCCATTCAGAGAGCTTCCTGGTTTTCAAAAAAGAGTGAGGCATGTGGGTGTGAAAGAGCTGAGGCATGAAATTTGGATCTTATCACAAGTGCAGAAGAAAAAACAGGAGATTTGAAGCACAAATGTGATATAACCTAATTTCTACTTTTAAATGATCACTCTGATTGTTGTGAGGGAACTGATATGGGATGAGCTGGGGGAAGAACATTACCAAGACCAGCTGGAGGCTGGTAAAGTCCTCCAGGAGAGAGCATCATGGCTGAACAATCACCTTCTAGTAAAGATCAGGCAAGTGGTCATATTTGGGACGTATTTTGAAAGTGGAGGCAATTAGATCGGCTAATGCATAAGTTCCTGGAGGGAGCGAGGATTTTTGAACCACTAGGTAAACACCTGTCAGTGACCGAGAAAATGTTGGGATGTGTTATGAGAGATGAATCCTAAAATTTCATATGTTGAAGACTGGCCCTTCAGGGCCTCAGAATATGAACATCTATAGTAGAAGGCAAGTGTGGTGCTGAGGGCTGCCACCCACCTCTAGGTACCCAAGCTCCTGCAGCAGTCCTGCGTCTCCCTTTCACCCACCTTCACTCACAGACAGTGTCCCTTTCAGCTCTTCCATTACCTCTGTTTTTGATGTGTCTAGTGAGAGCATAGCTGATATTTATGCTTTCCTGATACACTAGTCTCTCGCTGATTGCTGACATTGGAGCAGGTTAGGGAGCAGGCCTGAGCTGAGTGACCTTTAGGAGGATTTCCTGTTCTTTTCCTGTACTCTGCTGCCAAGGAGAAACCTGTCTTGCACCAGGCCTGCAGCTTCCTCAGTCCCCCACATCATCAGGCAATATCTGCCTGGCACTCCTCTTTGTTCCTTTTCTCTGACCTTCCTTTTTGACATGATGGTTGACCTGAAGTCACCGAGGCAGGACTGCTCATCTCCAGGTCCTATGGGAAACAGTACCTGGTGAAACCAGAGACAATAATCTCCATAACGCATTGGGAGCTGCTGGGCTCAAGCAACTACTCTGTGCCTGAGATACAACTCATACGGCCCAGCTAGAGCTGATCTACTTCCCACAGGGCCAGAGAAGAATTGCCAATTAAGAATGCATTCCCCCCTGAAATAGGTCTATATTTATTCCAGGGAAAATACCAATCTGCCTGGGTCCCTTACAAGAACAATGTCGTCTGTAGCAAAATCTAATCTACTAGGAAGCCTTCTTGTATTATTATCTGCAACTTTTCAGAAGAGCCATACCAGACCCTCATATGCCCAGCACAGGATCCACTCATGCACACCTGTCTAGGGCCTTGTCTTTATGATTTTCTGTCACCTGGCTTCTCAGCCATGCCTCCAACCAAGCTATCCTCAAATAAAGACTAACCATGCACAAAAAGTGAAAAATTACACAAGACCTACTCAAGGTCTGAAATGGAAAGTGCAGCTGGTGATTCTGAGTAGTATATTTTATGAATTGATGAGCAGGGAATTTCTAGGTATCACAGAGCAATCAGCAGCTGAGGAGAGAGCGACAAAACCAGGACTCTGACAGGGCTTTTTGGAAACTTAATTTTTGGAGCAATCAGCAGCTGAGGAGAGAGCTACCAAACCAGGACCCTGACAGGGCTTTTTGGAAACTTAATTTTTTATTGTCAAATTATACAGACAAAAATGAAAGTAAAGGTAGTGAGGAGTACCACACACCTTTACTTAGAAGGATAAATAAAGGACACCTTTGTAGGGAGAAAAAAAAAGATATAGGACGAAAAGTAAACATGGCAAGGTAGACTCAGAATACAAAATTTCAACAAATAAGTGCGAGAAAAAGAATGAGAAAGAATGAGTATTGGAATATTACAGATAAAAATCCTTGGTGAGAAAGAACACTCTGATGAAACAGGTGACATAATTACTGAGTAAAAGCAGAAGACCAATCAAGGCAATTGAGGCTTGGACAGGTATTACAAATTATCTTAGATGAATGTATAATTGTGGCCATTTAATTATCAGTGATGACAATTACAATATTTATTAGAAGAAATAAAGTAGAGGATGAATTCTATGGAATATTCTGGAGAAAGTGGAGGTCTTAGCTATATGACATCGTGTGGCTCACTTAGGGAACCATATATTCAGTTTGTTCAGGTCTAGAAATTCCTTGGTGGTTTCTGAGTTCAGTTTTGCTTTAATAAACCCTAAAGATATTTTTAAAATACAAATATTTTAGCTTGCCTGTGTTGTATAGCACCAAGGCTTGCCTGAGTGTAGTGAGATTCACAGAAGTTTGGACAATTCTTGTAGCCTGAGCAGGCTGCCAGCACCTTTCTCTCATATATGTGTGCCTGGGAGTGTGCTGTCCTCACACATCTCACAGATAAGCAAGACCATCTCTGTTACATGAAAAATTTAGCTAAATGTGAAAATATCCACGCACACACATCATGAGAGATGGAAAGAGGCTATCAAAACAGTCAGAGATATTGACCATCTTCACTGTTAGCTGTAGGATCAGTGTCCACCCCCCGACACACCCACACAAACTCACATACACAGAAATGAAAAGCACAGTGAAAAGCAGAATAGCAGTCTTTCCAAACAGATTGAAAACCAAAAGATGTCTAAAGTTCAATCCTGACACTGTGCCGACTGCTTGGACACAGTTCCGTCAAAACATTTGTCCAAGTCATAGTTGTGCCTTTTAGGAATTAGACACAAACAATATCCTACCCAACCCTTCCTGCTGAGCTAGAGTCCCAAAAGAAATGAGGGATACACTTGACCTGAAGTAAGCAAAGCAGAAGCCAGTCTCTGAGGCGAGGAGGCCCACCTGGTAGGGAGCTCAAATGCACCATTGTCCTGCTTGTCTTTATAAAGGGAGCTGACACGTTTCTCCCAGCACAAAGTTGGGAGTGACACCAGAGCCTCCTGCAAGATGCTTCTGATTCTGCTGTCAGTGGCCCTGCTGGCCTTCAGCTCAGCTCAGGATTTAAATGAAGGTAAGATGAATTGGGGGAAGATATTGTGACTCTGATTGGGGTTTACAGGCAAATGCTATAGAGGAGGAAAGTGGAGGGAAGAGAGGAGGATGAGAAAACAGATGGGACTGCAGAGTTCTCATGCTGAGGATCAGAAGATCTATTGTACCTCCATTCCTCATCAAGGCCTCATAGTTTATTTGTTGCACAAATAGAATCCAATAAAGAATTCGTACTAGGGGTGTGAGAGAGTGAGATTTGCATTATATAGAGACATGGGACTGCTGTGAAGGATGTGGAGAATGCAAGACAGATTCAGGGAAGTACAGCTGTGAAGATCCTGTACTGATCCCAGTAGACAGGGATGATGGTGGCCTTGCTGTACAGTGGATGAGCATTAATGAAGGAGATAAACACATGTCAGAGCTACTGCCGAGGCAGAGAATTGGGTAAACACTTGTCTCTGTCTACATAGAGTTAGAGAATAACCAGAGTGAAACATTGTCATTTTTCTGTCTCCTGAATGTAGTATTTCAATGTGCTGGGAATGGCATGCGTAAGATTATATCCAAGTGGCTATGTCTGGTGGCTCCTGTTGAGAAGGCTTGCAAACATAAACAACATATTTACAGATGAAAGAGGGCAGAAGAATCCCCAAATATGTCATTGAAATACTCAGAGCAGTTTAACTAAATAAGCGCTAAGGGTTTACAGGCAAATGCTATAGAGGAGGAAAGTGGAGGGAAGAGAGGAGGATGAGAAAACAGATGGGACTGCAGAATTTTCATGCCGAGGATCAGAAGACCTATTGTATCTTCATTCCTCATCAAGGCTTGGGGAATCAAAAGAGGACAAACAGGGGCCCTTCTATGTTGAGTTCCTGGTTGACGCTCAGTGTAGTAACAATACTGCTTTCCCTTACATCTTCTTCCACTTCCAGTAGCATCAGAGAGTGGCTGATGAGATCACAAAGGGGATGCACAGGGTGTGATCAGAGGTCCTTTATCCTCGTAGAACACTATGAGCCTTGAATGATTCAGGAAGTAACTTTTCCCATCATCCTGTACTTCTTTTCTAGATGTCAGCCAGGAAGATGTTCCCCTCGTAATATCAGGTAAATCCCAATAAATTCTCAGTAAACTCTGTCTCCATTTTTCCCTGAAAAATTGATGAGTTCTCCAGTGTCTTCTTATCACCATTTTCTTGTCAGGAATTGGCTAATACCAATGCCCCAAAGATACAAACAGTTTTCTCCCAACCTTGATTCTGGGGACCATGAGTAAAGAAATTCAATTTTTCATCACCCTTATGTGGATTAAGAGGAGTTCTAATTAGGAAGCCTTGGGAAGGGGGGAGGTTGGGAGTTGAGAGGCAGGTCAGGCAGAGAGGGGCCGGCCGTGTGGTGAAGACAGAGAGGTATGAAGACAGGAGGGTTTTCCAGCATGAGCTCAGCTCTTCTTGTTTCAACTCACACAGATGGAGGAGACTCTGAGCAGTTCCTAGATGAGGAGCGTCAGGGACCACCTTTGGGAGGACAGCAATCTCAACCCTCTGCTGGTGATGGGAACCAGGATGATGGCCCTCAGCAGGGACCACCCCAACAAGGAGGCCAGCAGCAACAAGGTCCACCACCTCCTCAGGGAAAGCCACAAGGACCACCCCAACAAGGAGGCCAGCAGCAACAAGGTCCACCACCTCCTCAGGGAAAGCCACAAGGACCACCCCAACAGGGAGGCCATCCCCCTCCTCCTCAAGGAAGGCCACAAGGACCACCCCAACAGGGAGGCCATCCCCGTCCTCCTCGAGGAAGGCCACAAGGACCACCCCAACAGGGAGGCCATCAGCAAGGTCCTCCCCCACCTCCTCCTGGAAAGCCCCAGGGACCACCTCCCCAAGGGGGCCGCCCACAAGGACCTCCACAGGGGCAGTCTCCTCAGTAATCTAGGATTCAATGACAGGTACGATTCCAGTTTATTATCCATCAAAGGCTCCAACTGCTACAGTTCTCCAACTTCATTGTGCCAATGAATCCTCTGAAAACCTGTTAATATTGCCCTGTCCTGGAACACATTTCTAAAAATTGTTATTCAGATATTCTTGTATAGAGTATCAAGACCCTGTGACCCTGTGTTTTACAGAAGCTCTTGAAGGCAATTCTGATTTTGAGAATCACTATCTTCAAATTACATGTCTTAAGTAGGGTTGACAATGAGGACATAGAACCATGTTCCCCCTTTGGCTCTCTCTATTTTCTTTCCTCAAACTCAGACTCCCATTTAAAGTTTTCACCTGAACATGCTTTGCTCAGTCCTGCCTCACATCAGGCTTTCAGGTCCAGTATTCCTGCTAAGTGGTCCTTGAACTTTCAGTTGTAAAATGGTATCTCATTTTTAGTATACTTACATTTAAAGTCATACATGCTTAAGCTAACAAAAACTAATCTCACTGAACCGAAATGTACAGAGCTAAATAGTAAGAGCCTAACTCATCTTTCCTCCCTTCTATCCTTCTCAAAACCCCCACCTTTTACTCTTTGGAATCTACTTTTTGAAATATATATTGCTACATAAATATATATAATGCTTTTATTACAAGCACTTATACCATACTGTATATTCAGATTTGTGTCTTACTCACTGGAAAAATTTATTGTTTAGAAAACTTTCTCATGAGTTCATTTAGATCTCTTCAGTGTTTATTGGTTAGTTTGTTTTTACAATTGTATACTATTCTATTGTTTGGTTGTTCCGTAATCTATTTAACCAATCCCTGTCACTGGATATTAAGGCTGGATTCACATTCTCACTATTATATGATATGTTGCAGTGCCCATCTTTGTAAAAATAGCCCTTACATAACCAACAGCAGCAAAGCATGAACACATAACAATAATTGTTTCTCTTTCTCATCTAAGCAACACTTTAAATCACATTATGTGCAATGGCTTAAAGAGTGAACAAAGAAAATATTACTAAGGAGAAGGGGGCTGTAGAAGGGATAGAGGGCAAGAGTAGGGGCTTGCATCTCCATCACTGCAGTAACCCCCAGTGAGGGATTAGACATTTCCTGCCATGTCAAGTGTTGTCTGTAATCTTCCTTGTTTGCTTGTCTTTTTCAGGAAGTGAATAAGAAGATAACAGTGTTTCAAATGCCGTGAAACATGGCATCATGCTCTAACTTCAGTATACCAATAAAACAATCAGCTTGCAATTTCTGCTGGTGGTGTCTCTTTCTGAGTGTTTGGGACTCTAGAATCTGAGACCCATGTTCACATTGTAAGAATATCCAGGACCCCTTCTCCTTGATGTTTCCAGCAAGCTTCTCTCCTCCTTATCCTTATTAAGTCATCCACCTGGGGAAGGAGTTCCACTGTTTCTTTCCTTCTCTGTCTTCTATAGCTCGAATTTAAGTTGTACAATTATTTTCAGGTCATTTCTTGATATTCTAGTCAGCTTATGAATGTAAGCAAAACAATACCAATGAAAGAAAATCCCAGAAGCTGAGAGAAATTTTAACAAGTTCAAAAGTAACCGATTTTGTTTTCTAGGGAAATGAGTATGGTTCTATGCCTCTATTCCCCAGAAGCCACTAGACCTATTTTCCCATATTTTATCACTGATCAGTTCTGTCCCTGCCTATGAGTCTTACTATTCTTAAGAAAACCTAAATGGATTTCATCAGAGGCAGCCTGACTTGAATGGGCAAAGAATTTGGAATCTCTCAGATTGCAGTTTAAGAACTATGTCTTGCTAACTCTGGACTCATAGGAAGCTACTTAAGTCTCAGAGCCTAAGTTTCCTCTTCTAAATTTTTGAATAATCAAAATGGCTCCCCTAAAGGATGAAGACTAAGCAGATCACATACATGAAACACTAGTGGATATAGTCATGTCTGCTTCACAATAATGATTTTAGGAAAGAACAGCAGACATGAAATTGTGAGGAATTAAATGTTCCCGAGTTAAAAATCTTAAGATTTCTTTGTCCAAAAAATCTAAGTAGAATAGTCTCTGATATTGTTTTTTTCTAGGCTTTCAAACAAAATAGGAACACACTGAGTATTCATATTTTTTTTAGCATTTTCTTTCTTATCAGACCCGTAAAATTCTAATTAGGTTTTTTTTAAAAAAAATAGTATCTGCTTATGGAAATTTAATTATGACAATTAGAAATGCAGGCTCTTTCTTCCTCCTCCTCCTCCTCTTCCTTCTTTTTTATTTCTCCTACTCCATCTCCCTCTTTTTCTTTTTTGAAAAAATATGCTTAAATTTGCCTTCAATTATATTTATTTATTTATTTATTTATTTATTTATTTATTTATTTTGAGATGGAGTCTCATTCTGTCACCCAGGCTGGCCTGCAGTGGCAAGATATCGGCTCACTGCAACCTCCGCCTCCCAGGTTCAAGCGATTCTCCTGCCTCAGCCTCCTGAGTAGCTGGGATTACAAGCATGCACCACCATGCCTGGCTAATTTTTGTATTTTTAGTTAAGACGGGGTTTCACCATGTTGGTCAGGCTGGTATCGAACTCCTGACCTCGTGTTCCATCCGCCTCGGCATCCCAAAGTGCTGTGATTACAGGCGTGAGCCACCGCACCCGGTCACCCTCAATTTATTTTTAAACTTTATTTTTATAAATATATGTGGTTCAAAGATAATTTTGTTACATGTATACATTGCATAATGGTTAAATCATGGCCTTAGGGTTTCCATAACAAGAATAACAAATATTGCATTTACTAATTAATGTCTAACTCTTAATTCCCTCCCACCCACTCACTCTTCCAAGGCTTCAGTGTCTATAGTTCTCCCCTCTATATCTATGTAAACACATTTTAGCACCTACTTATTAGTGACAACATGTTATACTTGACTTTCTGTATCTGGCCTTTGTCACATAGCATATTATCTGTCACATCCAGTTCCATTCGTATTGCTACAAAAGGAGTGATTTCGTTCCTTCTTTTTTTTTTTTTTTTTTTTTTTTGCAGAGTAGTATTGCATTGTGTATATATCACGATTTCTTTACCTACAAACCCATTAGTATCCATTGATGGTTACTTAGGTTGATGCCATATCTTTGCTGTTGTGTATGGTGTTTCAATAAACATAGAAGTGCAGATTTATTTTTCATATACTGATTTCATTTCCTCTGCATAGATACAGTAGTAAGATTGCTAGATTGAATAGTAATCGAGTTTTAGTTCTTTGAGAAATCATACTGTTTTCCATAGAGTTTATACTATTTACTTTCCAATCAGGGTGTATAAGAGCTCTCCTTTCTCCACATCCATCCCAACATCTGTTTTGTTTGTTTGTTTGTTTTAATCATAGCCATTCTGAATAGGGTAAGGTGATAGTGTGGTTTTGATTTTTATTTCTCTGATGATTAGTGATATAGAGTATTTTTCACATACTGTTGATTATTTGTATGTCTTATTTGAAAAGATGTCCATTTCTATCTCTTGTTCACTTTTTAATGGACTATTTTGTTGTTTTTGAGTTGTTTGTTTGTATATTCTGGTTATTATTCTCTGCCAGTCCTATGCTCAGTAGGGTTATCATTGGGAGCTGTGTAGACATTGCCACTAGTCCAAACTCAGAAGTGAGGCATAGGGGAGCATAACATGCCTGGCAGGGGCTCTCGAAGCTTGGGCAGATCAGTCCTGGGCTCCAGCCCAACGTCTAGTGTGCTTCTCTAGCAGACAGCCCTGTGCCCCCCTCCTCCCACCTCTCAGATTGCGGGGTCAGGATTGTTACAGGGAAACACAGACACCTTTAGTCTCTATGCCAGCTTATATGAGCAATCTCCAAGCAACAGGCTGAAGGACTTACATGGAAATGTGATCTAAACCTAGAGTCTAGCTTGCTTTATAATGTGTGATTATTAAGAGTTGGAGTATGTTAGCCACTAATTGTCTTCTTGCACTGAGCCCTGAAAATGTTAAATTTGGGCTTTTGGATAATCATTGGGCCCTTTCGATATGGAGAATTAACCTTTAGTTCTGGGAAATGTATTGTTTCATTGATGTGTTTCTCAATATATTCTGGTTTCTTGGTCTGAAATTAATGATTGTTGATATTAAAGAGAACAGGTTATAGAAGGTGGAAATCAAGATTCTACTTGGTACACGGTATGTTTACATTCATTTTAAATGACAGGTGGATTGCTGAGGTCCTTGACTCCTGTACAGATGCCTAAGCGCCTGCTGCAGTCCTGCTCCTGGCTTTGACTCCATTCTAAGTCAGTCACAGTGTCTCCTTCAGCTCTTTGGTAATCTCTGTTTTGGTTGTCTGGTAGGTTGATACCCAATATTTATTCTTGCCTGAAACACAAATCTCTCTCACTCATTTCTGACATTAGAGAGGGTCAGGAATAGGGTGTGAGTTGAGTGATATATGGAAGCATCACCTGTTCTCTTCCTGGACTCAGGAGACAAGGAGAAGCCTGCCTCCCACCAGGACTGGAACTTCCTCAGCTACCCACTCAAAGAGGCACATCTGACTGGCATTCACCTCTGCTCATTCTCTCTGACCTTCCTTACCTACTTGAAGGTCTACTGTAAGCTACCTAGGCAAAACTGCTCATGTCCAGTAACTCTTTTGAAGTAATGTTTGGTGAAACCAGAGACAATCATCCTGTTAACATCAGGGTACCTGCTAGGCCCAAGCAGCTACTCTATGACTCCCTTAAAGCATGTGACACTTAGTTGCAACTGTTTGACTTTCCACATAGCTGCAGAATATTTGACCACTGGTATTATATTCCTTCTCAACCCACATCACTATTTATGTCAGCAGAAAAACAGAAAGTTAATCTGCCTAATCAACTAGAAAATTCAATGTTACCTGTAGCAATTCTTATATTATTGAAAGGCCTTCCTGTAATGTAGTAGGTCTTTAAAAAGTTCATGAAAATGTATGTTATATTAAGAAATACCATAAAAGGATTCCACATTTTTTGGCATCAAAATGAACCTAAACTGATATGCTGTAAGATGTCTGAATAGGAGCTATTTCAAGGAATAATGAAAAATAAGACAGGAGTTTCAAAACATCCCCTATAAGAGCAAAATACATTTTTCTAAAATTAAAGTGAAAACAAAGAGAAAATTTATGGTTAAGCTTGCATGAAAGAAGGTAAAACCACTGATGCTTTCTGAAAAGTTCATATGGATAATGGCTGAAGAAATCAGCAGTTCACAAGTAGATATGTTATTTCAAGAAGGGATGAAATGGTGCTGAACCTCAAGTCTACGGTGACAGAGTATTCATATCAAATGTATCTTGTTGATACCATGATAGAAGAGGAATGAAGATTAAGAGTACAAACAATAGCCAACCCTTCATGTTTTTTAATTGGTTCATCTTACATGATTCTAACTGAAAAATTAATGTTGAGCAAATTTTTCACTCTGTGGATGCCAAAACTATGGCAACCAGAGCAGCTACAGACAAGAGAAGAAGCTTCCCTGAAAATTTAAATAAGGGGATAAAGATCCTGAAGCATTTCATCAAAGAATTGTGACAGCAGATATAACATGGCTTTATCAGTACAATCATGAAACAAAGCACAATCAAAGCAATGGCTACCAAGAGGTGGAAGTGGTCCAGTCAAAGAAGAGTGGATGAGGAAAGTGCAAAGGTAATTGTAAGAGTTTATTGGGAAGCTCAAGGCATTTTGCTTATTGACTTTCTGAAGGGCCAGAGAAGGACAATATATGCTTATTCTGAGAATATTTTGAGAAAGCCAGAACTCTAGTAGAGAAATGCCTGGGGGAGCTTCAGCAGAGTCCTTCACCACGACAGAGCTCCTGCTCATTTCTCTCATCAGACAGGGCAATTGGTGAGAGTTCTGATAGAAAACCATTAGGCATCCACATTACACCCTAATTTAGATCCTTTGGATGCTTTTTGTTTTGTAATCTCGTAACATCTGTAAAGACTATTTATTATTCTTCAGTTAATGTAAAAAGGACACACCAATAGCTGGTATGTTGACCAAAATGTATGAAAATTTCCCTTATGCTGTTCATTAATGAGTAGGATAGGGAAATGGTTGAAAACTGAGTATCTGATGGTAGAATTGAAACAAACTTACCAAATGACACCTTTACATTTGCTTTTTTCCATAGAGAACAAGAGGTAGAAGAATTAAAGATACTCCATCACTGTTGTAGACCTTTGGGGAGACCTAAAATTCAAATGTTTATTCAATTGGTTTTGAGCAATGTCTGCACTGCTTGAATTTGAAATTAAATGTGTCTTGTTTACTTGCATGAAGACACTTTATACATATCTCCCTTATCACTTCTATTCCTCTACTCTGATCTCAGTTCCTTTAAGGATTTGAGCTGGGCCTGAGATATCCCTGACTCAAATGAGACAAAAGCTTAACAGATCCATCCCAAAATTTTGTAAAGCATCAAGGAGGGTAGGGATTAAAATTGCTTATATGTGTTCAAATCACTATTCTACTTGGCTCTGTGGGAAATGGGGAAGGAGTGCTGAAGGATATAGGATGGAGCCACTTGTGATACCGAGGCAAGAAAGGAAGAGACTCCAAGTCTGTAGACTCCCTAGACACTGGGAGGTGCACTTTAAAAAGGTAAACCCTGGAGCAAGAAGTCAAGTGAAAAAGAAAGCCTTTTTGGTGGCCCTAGTCTTTTTTGTTTTTTGGGTGGTTTTCATTGTTGTTTTTTCAGACTTTGACTTGCTCTCTCTCTTAGGCTGGAGTGCAGTGGCGTAATCATGGCTCACAGTAGCCTTGCTCTCCCAGGCTCAATCTATACTCCCAGCTCACCCTCCCAAATAGCTGAGTCTACAGGTGCAAACCACCGAGCCAGGATCCTTTTGTAATTTTTTTATAAAGACTGGGTCTTACTATGTTGCCCAAGCATATCTCAAATTCCTTGTGTCAAGGAATTCTCCCACTTCTGCCCTTGAAAGTAGTTGGATTACAGGCATGAGCCATTTCGCCAGGCCTGTAGTCGTTGATTTTACCTCAGCCGTATTATCCACTTTCTATAAATCCCCAGTCAGAAGACAGCAGGCCTACCCGGGTACTGTAATAGACTCTAATTAAGCAGGTGTTAAACTGTGTTGTTACTGTAGGGAAGAAAGGAAAATGAAGTCCTCAAATTCAATTGAGATTTGAGCAAATGATGCACAAAAGAAAACTAAAAAAGACTTTGTGAATAGGAATTTTTTGGGACCCCTTCAGTGCACACTATGTATGCTATGATGTTAAATATACTTATAGTTTTATCTCGTAAGAGCCATAAAGGATCATCCAGGCAGAAGCTCCAAGTAGAAAAATGTTAGTGGGACAAAATCCCCTGCTATCTGAACCAGTGAGTGGATCTCAATTAAGCAAGAAGGCCTCTACCCTCCAATGTCCAAAACTTCCTTCATTGAACTTATTGTGTACTGTAAACAGAGAAAGTCCTGTGTGTGGGATAAAATAGAAAATTACTCAACATACTTTATAAAATCAGAAACAATCGACCAATTCTCAAGGAGTTAAATAATCAAGAGATGATAACCTTGAAACAATCTGGATATTAAAACGGTGAGATTTTCAATCTCACTGAAGCAGGTGTTACAAACATCCATTATGAGGTCAATGTGTACACTCTCAATTTAAATGGAAAAAAAATTCCCAGCAGAAAAAAGAAACTATATAATATAATGACATAGAAATTTTGATACTGAGATATGTAGTGTAAAAAATTAAATAAAATATTATTTGGTGTGATCACTAACAGAAAGGAAATGATGGAGGAAAGAGTCAGTATTCTTGAGGCTGGATTAATAGAAACTGTATACTCGAACACAGGGTAAAATTTTAAATACTGTTATGAACAAGAAAGGTTATAACAAATAATGTGATAATGATAAAATCTGAGCTTCAGAAGGGAAGAACAATGAGGATGCTATTGAGAGAGAACTCAAAGACATAATGGCTGAAAATTCTCCAAACTTGCAATGGGCATAAACCTACAGATGCAAGAAGATGAGCAACTGCCAACCAGAATATACCCAAGAAAATCCATGCAAGCAACACTGTAGTCAAATTTCTAAAAACTAAAAAAAATGTTTTGAAAGCAGCAAGAAACAAATGACACCATAGCTATAGGGAAAACACAATGTGAGTAACAGTGGTGTTATTACCAGAGAGCAGAATAACCAATAGGATGTAGCTAAAATATTCAAAGTGCTGAAAGAAAAAAAATGTCAACCAGATGTTTATGTCCAATATAACTACTCATCAATAAAGAGAAAATACAGGCATTCTTAGAAGACAGAAAAAAAAATCTAAGAGAATTTCTTTCCAACAGACCTATCTTATAAAATGGTTCTATGAAGGTCACTAATCATAAAGGAAAAAATAGAATAGGATTTTTCTGGAACATCAAGAATGAGCAACAACAACAAGAATGAGCAACAACAACAACAATGACAACAAGCCAAAAACAAAAATTGGAAATACAAAGTAGGTAAACACAAAATATCTTTCTTCTCACGTTTTCTGCATGAGTTTCAAATGGCTCAACTGGCCATTGCTAGCTTTAAAGATGGAAGAGGGCCAAGGAATGTGGCAAGATAATGAGCTTTTCTTCTAGAGACTCCAGGAAGGAACTCAGCCTTGAGACATGGATTTAACGCAGTGAGACCCAGTTCAGATTTCTGAGCTGCAAACCTGGAAGACAATAAATTTATGTCAAAGCAAAAATGACAAAATTTACTGTGGCACTAAATGCACATAGACATATATTTAATATGATTCTGTTACAAACAGTGGGAAAGGGGGAGCAGTTAAAAAGACAGGAAAGCAAGGTTTCCATATTTTACTGAATAGGGTAAAATGTGCACAGCACTAGGCTGTGAAAAGCTATGTATGCATAATGTAACACGGAGCAACCACTAACAATGCTGTACAGAGAGTCACGCAAAAAATTTACAGATCAACTAAAATGGAATCAAAAAACATTTTCAAGGAATCCATAGATCAGGAAAAAGAAAAACAATCAAAAGTAGTATAAATATGAAAAACAAAAATGGCTCAAAAATACCAATAATTACATTAAATGTAAATGGTTATTAAAAGTAGATTTCTGCCATTTCAGTTTCTGACTTACACTATTGCATAGATACTATGCAATACTAATAATACTAATAATGTTTTATACCATTAGCTCTTTTATTCCTATGGTAGCCCTTTAATAATTCCTTGCATTATGTTTACTCTTCAGATGAAAAAACAAAAGCTCAATATGATTGCCTGACATTTTCAGTCATATAGCTGGTAAACATCAGTCTGCTTGCTTAAATGTATTACTGAGTAATTAATTTTTTATAGCTTTGTAAAGGGAATTTCATAGCTGATTTTTCATTCCTGCTGGGTTATTGCTAGTATATAGAAATGCTACTAATTTTTGCATATTGATATTTTATCCTGCAATGTTATTGAATAGTCCTAAATTTTTTTGGTGGAGTTTAGATTTTTCTTTTTTTATGTTAACAATTTTTTTAACTTTTATTCTAAGTTCAGACGTACAACTGTATGTTTGTCACATAGGTAAACTTGTGTCATGGGGGTTTGTCGTACAGATTATTTCATCACCCAGGTATCAAGCCTAGTACCATTAGTTATTTTTCTTGATCCTCTTTCTCCTTCCACCCTCTACCCTCTGAAAGGCCCCAGTGTGTTTTTCCTAATATAAGACTATGTCGTCTGCAAACAGGAACAATTTAACTTCCTCTTTTCCAATTTGGATGGCTTTTATTTTTTTTGCTTGCCTGATTCTTCTCGCTAGGACATGACATAAAGTAAAATGTTGACTGAGTGGTGTCTTATTTCAGTTTTTAGAGAAATGGCTTTCAGTTTTCCCCATTCTGTATGTTAGGTGTGAGTTCGTCACATGTGGTTACATTATATAGAGGTATATTCCTTCTTTGTGTAGTTCGTTGGGAACTTTTATCATAAATGGATGCTAACTTTTATCAAATGCTTTTTCCTACATCTATTCATATGCTTATTTGGTTTTGTCTTTATTCTGTTAATGTGATGTACCACATTTATCGATTCATGTATGCTGAACCATTCTTGCATCCCTGGGATAAATACCACTTGATTATTGCTAATTATCTTTCTGATGTGTTCTTAGATTTGGTTTGCTAACATTTTCTTGAGGATTTTTGTGTCTGTGTTCATCAGAAATACTGACCTCTAATTTTTGTTATAGTTATTGTTGTTGTGTTCGTGTATGTTTTTAGCATTGGGGTATTCCTGGCATTGTAAAATTAGTTAGGAAGTATTCTCTTCTCTGAATTTGTTGGAATTGTTTGATGAGGAATGCTTTTCCTTTTTCCTTATAAGTTTGGTAGAATTCATCAGTGAAACCATCTAGGCCTGGACTTTGCTTTGTTGGGAGATTTCGTTTTTATTACTGATTCTATTTCTTTACTCATTATTAGTCTGTTCAGGTTTACCCTTCTTTCCTGGCTCATTTTGTGTGAGTTGTATATGTCAGGGAATTAATCTTTTTCCATGGTGTTCAATTATAGTGTATACTTGTTCAAAACATACGGTTTCATTAGTGTATTATTGTCCAAAATATACAGTTGTATTTCTATGATATAAGTTGTAATATCTTCTTTTTAGTTTCTGATTTTGTTTCATTCAGTTTTTTCTGTCTATATATATATTTTTATATATGTATAGATACACAATATCTATACTATATATATAGTATAGCATATATATATATACGTGTGTGTGTGTGTATATATATATATACACACACATATATAGTATAGCCTAGCTAGACACTTAGGAATTTTATTTATTGTTTCAATAAACCAACTTTTCATTACATTGAGTTTGGGTTTGTTTTTTTTTAGTTTCTAGTTGTTTGGTTCTGCTCTTATTTTTACTATATTTTTCCTTTCACTAATTTGGGGTTCAGTTTGTTTTTAGTTTTCTAGTTCCCTCAGGTGGATCACTGGGTTGTTTAATTGAAATCTCTCTACTTTTGGATGAAAGAATTTATTCAGAGCATCTCCCCTCTTAGCACTATTTGTGCTGTATGTTGTGTTTACATTGTCATATTTCAAAAACATTTTAATTTTCTTCTAAATTTCTTCATTGAACCAGTGGTTGCTCAGGAGCATGTTGTTTAATTTCCATGTATTCTTACAATTTCCAAAGTTCCTCTTAATATTGATTTTTAGTTTTATCCATTGTGGTATATGAAAATAAAGTATACTGCTTTTTCAAAATGTACTGAGACTTGTTTTGTGGCCTAACATACGGTCTGTATTAGAAAATCTTCCACAGGCTAATAAGAAAAATGGTATGTTTTGCCACTGTTAAATAAAAATGTCTATAATGTATATTGGGTCCCCTTATTCTTAAGATTAAGTCCAATATTTCTTTGTAGATTTTCTGTCTAAATAATCTGTTTAATGCTGAGAGTCAGGTGTTAAAGTTTACACTACTATTGTATTGGAATCTATTTATCCTTTTAGATGTCATAATGATAGCTTTATGTATCTAGGTATACTCTAGTGTTGGGGGAATATATTTAGTTTTGTTATATCCTCATGCTAAATTGATCTTTCTATTCTTAAATAATAACCTTCTTTTTCTCTCATTACTGTTTTTGACATAGAGTCTATTTTATCTGATGTTAATATACCTATTTCGACTTGTTTTTGTTTCTGTTTACATGGGATATTTTCTTCTATCCCTTCATTTTCAGTCTATATGTGTCTTATTAGGTGAAGTCAGTTTCTTGTAAGCAGCATATAGTTAGGATATTTTTTAAAAATTCACTCAGCCAGTCTATGTCTTTCAAGTGGAGAATTTAATCAATTTTCAATCAAGATTATTATTCATATGTGAGAAATTACTTCATTTTGTTATTTGTTTTTGTTTGTTTTACATATACTTTGTTTCTTTTTCTCTCACTTTTTATTATTGTGGTTTAGTATTTTTCTATAATAGTAAAATTTAAATCATTTCAAGTCTTCATTTGTCTGCTGTACTAGGGAGTATTTTAAATTTTTTGTGTTTTCATGACGGTAGATATTGTACTTTTGCTTTCAGGAGCAGAATTCCCTTAAGCATATCTTGTGGGGCAGTCATTGTGGTGATGAATTCTCTGTTTTTGCTTTTCAGGGAAAAACTTTATTGTTACTTCATTTTGAAGTTCGCCTGTGCTGAAGATAGTGCTCTTGGCTGGCAGATTTTTTTTCTTTGAACACTTTAAATATATGATTTTATCTCTCTTTCACAGTTTATACAGTGAAAATCACTGTTAATCTGATGAGGGTTCCATTATCATGACTCGATGCTTTTATCTTACTGTTTTTAGAATTAACGACTTTTGGCTTTTGACAGTTTGACCACTGTATGCCTTGGAGAAGGACTTCTGGGGTTGTGTCAATTTGAGTATCATTGAGGTCCTCTATTTGAATGTCTAAATCTCTTGCTAGACTTGACTTGACAAATTTTCAGCTATTATTTTTTTTTCTTTTTTTATTTTATTTTATTATTATTATACTTTAAGTTTTAGGGTACATGTGCTTAGTTTAAAATTTTTGTCATGCCTCTGCCCATCTCTTCTTCTTGAGTATTCTGGAATACTCAGAATCAAACCTTTGGTAACTACATGGTATGTTATATTGAATACTGGCTTTATTTAGATGATTTATTATATTTTCTATCTGGTTTATTTCAGAAATCTAGTCCTCAAGTGGTGAATTTTTTTCTTCTGCCTTACCTAGTCTATCGTTGAAGCTTTTGAAAATATTTTTTTTTTTTTACTTTATTCATTGAATTCTTTACTACCAAGATATCTGTTTGGTCTTTCTCATGACATCTAGGTATCTGGTGAATTTCTTATTCATATTCTGATTTTTTTCAGATTTTTGTATTGATTATCTTTGCTCTATTATATTTAACTAAGCTTCTATGATATCATATTTATGAATTTTTTAGAAGTTCATAGATTTTATTTTTGTTGCAATCTCCTGCTGAAGAATAATTGTGGTCCTGTAGGGGTGTCATGTTTTCTAGCATCTTCATGTTTATTGAGTCCCTATATTAGTATATGCACGTCTGGAGTAACAGCCTCTTCTTGATTGGCTTTCATAGGGGAACACTATTTTTTCTATAGATATATCTGTAGTGTTGGTTGCATACAGCACTTTAGCTTTGATTCTGGGTGTATACACTAGCATAATATCTGTATGGTTTCTTTGTCTCTAGTCGGGATCAGTGGTCTGTGATTTCCTCAGTTGCTAAGACTGAGGTTGTTAGTAAAAGTTTTTGTGAGGTTTTGATGGGAACAGGGGTACTAGATGGGCCAGTCTGCAACACATGTTAGTGGCAGCAGTGGAATGAGCATGCCGGTCTTTGAGCCTCCAGACAACAAACATTGACACCAATATCCACAGTTTCAGTTGGGTAAATTATTGTACCTCCAGGGAGTTTCCTGTGGTGCTGGAAGTTGCAGTGGTGGGCCTGGTGAGTGAGTGGTTCTTGAGACTTTGTGCAATGTGCCTGGCATGGGTGATAGCAATAGCAGTAGCAAGACAACCCTCAGGCTTCCAGGTTGAATGTGCTGGTGGTAATGGTGATGGCAATGGCCTATGTAGGCCAGTCCTAAGAATCCAAGGTGTCACATGCAGGTACGTACTGGCAATGGTCTTGGCACAGGCTGTGTAGGTTTGTCCTCAGACCCATCAGAGAAGTACATGGGTGCCAGCAGTGCTGGATGGAATGGGATGAACCCAGACCAGCTCCAAAGTGTCGGCAGTGATTATTATTCTTGCAGGTCAGGAAGAGGGAGGAATTTTCTGAAGGGTCAGTGTGGTTTCAGAGATAGCATATGGTTGTCTCAACAAAATAGCTACCCACTAGTTCCAAAGTGTTGCTGTAGAGGCAAGCTGACTTACTACCCCAACAAACAGAATACCAAAAACAAATATAGAGCTTTGAGATCTATGTCAGGAAAAATACATAGCTCAAGTATGAAAATGAGATGGTTCTCAGGGCCAAAGAGAAGTGGAAAATCATCAAGAAGACAGTAGGAGATGGGACTTCCACCTCCATGATGTCCCTCCTTCCTATTCTTCCTGGCACCACACATGCAGAGAATCTCCCCCAATTCATGGATTTTAGAGTGAATAAAGTGAAATTGATGTTCTCAAACAGATTATTTACCACCTTGGATTCCCTGGCAAGAAACTTGTTCTTCCTTAGCCCATGAGATGCATTATGACTCCCTTAGGGAAGATGAATATTCTCTGTCCTCAGGGAGGAATATTCCTGAAGAGAGCAAGAGACAAAATAGGGAGGAGGGAAGATCATCTCCAGTTCTGGACACTGTTCATAACTTGGCCAAAGGAGAAGCCAAATCAGGGTAGATGTTCAATAGCACCATGCTTTAGGAGGTACATTCCTTAGGTCACCAGACCATAACCCCTAGCCAAGTTTCTCATACTTCCAGGGTAATTCCTTTGGGACATTTCCCATTTCGGACAGTTAATACTCCAACCGTTTACTAAAGACAAGGTAAAAGTGAGGTTGAGACACCACCTAGAGTCAAAAGGGAGGCAACAGCCCAGCAGTGAGGATTTGCCAAGCAAATAGACTCAATAACAACAAACACAACCCAGACCTGAAAAACTGGAATTAATTAATAACCCTTCTATGGAAAGACATAGAAGTATACCCACAGGAAACAACAGCAAGCAAAGAGCCATGGCCTTCCCAAAAGGACAAAGGTACCAAACTAGTTACTGACCCCAATGACATGACAGTTGGTTAGCTCTCTGATCAAGAATTCAAAATAACAATTTTAAGGAAATCAGATATCTGCAAGATAGCATAGGAAAGCAATTTATTGATTTATCAGAGAATTTTAACAGAGATTGAAATAATTTTGAAAAATCAAACAGAAATCTGGGGACTGGTAACTAGATTTGCTGAACTGAAAACTCATTAGAGGCTCTCCATACTTTCCCACCTCTCAGCTTGCAGGATCAGTCAGGGTTGGTGCAGGGAAACACATGATTCTTCTGTCTCTTGGCCAGGTCAGTGCTGGGCCTCATCTCAGCTCCTGCCCACTGCTCCAGCAGACAGCCCTGCCACTCCGTATTTTCCCACCTCTCAGCTTGCAGGATCAGTCAGTGTTGGTGCAGGGAAACACATGATTCTTCTGTCTCTAGGCCAGGTTAGAAGGGCAGTCTCCAAGGGACAGGCTTCAGGACTTGGATGGAAACCTAACCTGAACCTAGGGTCGATTTTACTTTATAATGTATGGTTATTCAGAGATAGAGTATGTGAGCCTCCATTTGTCTTCCTGCACTGGGGCCTGAAAATGTTAAATCTGGTCTTTTAGATAATCAATGGCTTTTTTCATTATGGAGAGAATTATCCATAAGTTCTGGGTAATGTATGGCAGTATTTAATTGATAATGTCTTTCCCAATATATACTCTGTTTTCTTTTTCTAAAATTCATGTTGGGTGAATTTTTTAATTGTCTTCACATTATGGACCATATCTTTGCCTTTTTGCCCTACCTCATAGGGGATTTCCTTAACTTTACATTTTATTGAACTTATCAATTTAATTTACAATTGCTCATATTCTTTTGTGTTCTCTGGTCAATCTTCTATTTGATAGCATCCTTTTATGTTTTATGGTTATATCAGAATATATTAATTATAGTCTTGTAAACGTTTCTTCTGCTGTTTATCTTACCTCTTTTCCTTCAGAATTACACTTTGTTCTGATTCTTTGAGTCTCATTTGATGGAGAATTTCTTCAATTGTCTGGTCAACCTTTGATTCAATTCATACTTAAGAGTAGGCACTAAAACGATCAGAAAGCTCTATGCGTGTTGGAAAAGGTCTGGAGAATCATGCATTTCACAGTAGAGGGATTGGATGCCCAGGTAGCTATTTTGTTCAGATCTCCAGTTGCTGCCCCTGACACAGTGATGATCCTTCTGAAGAACCCTTCATTTTCCTGATCTGAGAATGTCATCTTCATTATTGGTGTTGGGAAGATTTAGGGTCTTATTTTAATAGAGAAAGCTGGGCTTTGCAAGTGGTTGTCCTGCTGTAAGTGGCAGAGTTAGAATGAAATCTACAGCTTCTCATTCCCAAGTCTGCACAACACTCCAAAGAAGTGACTGCCCCAACTTACAAATGCAGCCAACCTCAAGGTAAATTTGTACCACTTAGTTTTGTCACTTAAACTATTGCATATACATATTGCACAGTATAAATACATGCAATACTATCAAATTTTATATAAACTCATACATATCCTTTTGCAAAAGTCTAGTTTAAACATTACCAAATCAGGGATAGCTGTCTCCATACACAACTGAAACAAATTTGAGAGATGTAAGATTACCTGTTCTCTCTGCAGGAGGAAAATATAGGCCTCACAAAGATGTTTACATCTTAATTCCCAGAACCTGTGTTTTATGTTAAATTACATGGCGAAGGGCAATTAAGTTTGCTAATAATTTGGCCTAAAAATAGAGAGAGTTTCCTGGATCTAATATCAAGGTAAATGACAGGAAATGGCACATAGAGCTTTCTATCTTATAATGTGCTTTTGTATCTCAATGCCTTTTTCCCCTTTCAGAGCATACATTACTCAAAGACGGAAAATATGTGTGTGCTTTTTTTATTTCTGTGAAGTATGCTGATTGGTATTTTGTTTGGGATTGCATTAAATCTGAAGATCATTTTGATTAGTATGGCCACTTCCACAATATTAATTGTTCCAATCCATAAACATAGAGTATCTTTTCATTTATTTGCATCTTTTTCAATTTCTTTTATCAATGTTTCATAGTTTGCAGTATTAGAGATCTTTTATCTCCTTGGTTAAGTTTATTCCTAAGTATTTTATTCTTTTTTGGTTATTGTAAATGAAATTGTTTTCTGAATTATTTTTCATATAGTTCACCATTAGCATACAGAAATGCTACTAATTTTTGTACATTGATTTTCTATTCTGCAACTTTACCAGATTTATTCTAACAGTTTTTTGTTGAAGTCTTTAGAGTTTTCTATAAATAAGATCATGTCATCCGAAAAGATGAACAATTGACTTCCTTCTATTCAATTTCAATTTGTTTAGTTTCTATCTCTTGCCTAGTATATCTAGCTAATACTTTTAATACTATGTTGAATAGGAGTGATGAAAGTGAACATCCTTATCTTTATCCTAATCTTAGAGGAAATCTTTCACCTTTCCTTATTCTGCATGATGTTACTTGTGGGTTTGTCATATATGGCCTTTTTGTGTTGAGGTACATATCTTGTGTGTCTAATTTCTTGTGAGCTTTTCTTATGCAGGGATATTGAATTTTATAAAATACTTTCTCTGTGTCTATAGAGATGATCATATGGCCTTTGTCCTTCATTTTGTTAATAGGGTGCATCACATTTATTGATTTGTATATGTTGAATAAAACCCACTTGATCATAGTGAATGATCGTTTTCATGTGCTGCTGCGTTCACTTTGCTAAAATCTTGTTGAATTTTTGCATTGATATTCATCAGGGATGTTGGCTTGTGGCTTTTTTATTTGTTGTATCTTTGGTTTTGGAATCAGGGTAATGCTGGCTTTGTAAAATGCGTTTGGAAGTATTACTTCCTCTGCAATATCTGGAATTGTTTCAGGATAATTAGTATCAATTCCTCTTTAAATGTCTGGTAGAATTCAGCAGTAAAGCTATCAATCCTGATTTTTAAAAATTGATACATAATGTTTGTACATATTTATGGGACACATGATATTTTGTTATAAGCATATAGAATGTATAATGATCAAGTTAGGGTATCTGTCATCTTGAGTATTTATCATTTCTATGTTTGGGGAACTGTTCAAGTCCTTTCTTCTAGCTATTTTGAAATATTGTTAAACATAGTCACCCTAATCTGTTATCAAATATTTGAATTTATTCCTTCTAACTGTATGTTTGAACCCATTAATGAACCTCTCTTCATACTTGTCCTCCTGCCTCACAAACACTGGTCCATCTCTTGTAGCCATTATTCTATTCTCTACCTCTGTGTGATCAACATAAGTGAGAACATGCACTGTTTGTTTTTCTGTGCCTGGCTTATTTCCCTTAACATAATGCCCTCCAGTTCCATCCATGTTGCTACAAATTACATGATTTTATTCTTTTTTTATGGCTGAATAGTATTACATTGTGTATATATACCACTGTTTTTTTTTAATCCATTTGTCCACTGACGGACACTTAGGTTGATTCCATATCTTTGCTATGGTGAATAGTGCTGCAGTCAACATTTGAATATAGGTATCCCTTTGATGTCCTCATTTCTGTTTCTTTGGATAAATAGCCAGAAGTGAAATTGCTGGATCATATGGTCATTCCATTTTTAGTTATTTTGAGAAATCTCCATATTGTTTCCATAGTGACTGTACTAATTTACATTCCCACCAACGGTATGTAAGAGTTTTTCCTTGAATCCTCACCAGCATCTGTTTTTTTTTTCTTTTTAATAATACCCATTCTAACTGGAGAAGGATGATATTGTGTTTTTAATTTGCATTTCCCTGATGATGAGTGATGTTGAGCATTTTTTATATACCTACTGGACATTCGTATACTTTTTTTTGAGACATGTCTAAAGTGCAGTTAAAATCCAATGTTTATTTCTTAATTTTCACTCTGGATTATGTGTCTAAGGCTGAGAATGGGGCATTGAAGTCCCTCACTATTATTCTGTTGGAATCTATCTCCCCCTTTATGTCTAATAATATTTGCCTTATATATCTGGGTGCTCCAGTGTTGTTTGAATATTTAGAATTGTATTATCCCTCTTGCTGAATTGATCCCTTTATCTTACATGATGACCTTTTTTGTGTCTTTTTGCTGTTTGCAAATTAAAAATTAAAATCTGTTTTATCTGATACAAGTATAGTACTTCTCACTTTTTGTTTCTATTTGCATAGAATATCATTTTTCATCCCTTCACTTTAAGTCCATGTGTCTTTACAGAGAAATTTACTTTATTATTGGCAGCATATACTTGTGTCACGCTTTTTAAAATCCATTAAGCCAGTCTATATCTTTAAACTGAAAATTTTAGTTCATTTACCATCAAGCTTATTACTACCGGAGGATTTATTCTTGTCATTTTATTAATTGTTTTCTGGTTATTTCATATGTCCTTTTACCTTTCTATATTTTTTATTGTTTATAATTGTCATTTGTTGATTTTATGTAGTGGTAAAATTTGAATCCTTTCTCTTTTTCATTTGTGTATTTGGTTTACCAGTGAGTTTTATACTTGTGTGTGTTTTTGTGATGGACCATATTGTCTTTTTGCTTTAAAGTATAGAATTTCCTTCAGGATTTCTTGTAGGACCAGTGTAGTAGTGATGAATTTCCAGTTTTTCTTGTTTAGGAACGCCATTATTTCTACTTCATTTTTGAAGAATAGCTTTGCTGGAAATAGTATTCTTGGCTGATAAGATTTTTTTTGTTTCAATACTTTGAATATGTCATCTCATTCTCTCCTGGCCTGTAAGGTTTCTTCTGACAAATTCGTTGTTAATCTAATGGAGGTTCCCTTTTATATGACTTATATATCTTTTAAATGGGGAATTTAATTTGTTTACCTCAGGGTTATTATTCACATGTGAGGTTTTGGTTTTTCTATATTGCTCATTGTTTCCTGGTTGTTTTATATGTCCCTTTCTTCCTTTCTTCCTCTCTTATTGTTTATCATTTCTTTTAGTTTTCTGAAATAATAAGGCTTGATTCTCTTTATTCTTTGTGTGTCTTCTCTAACAGTGAGTATTTATGTATTTTCAAAATAGTGATTATCATCTGTTTGCTTCTAGATGTAGAACTCCCTTGAGCACTTGTTGTAAGGTTAGTCTAAAGCTTTTGCTTATCTGTGAAAGATTTTATTTCCTCTTTATTTATGAAGGATAACATTTCTGAGTATAGTATGTATGACTGAAAGTGTTTCTTCCAGAACTTTGAATATTCCATACTATTCTCTCCTAGCCTATAAACTTTCTGTTGATAAATTCTCTTTTGATCTGGTGATAGTTCCCTTACATATGACTGGATGCTTTTCTCTTTTTAATAATTTTTATCTTTGAAGTTTTTTTTTAATTTTAATTTTGCTTTAGTTGCCAGTGCTTGTGAGGTATTACTCAAGAAATCTTTGCCCACTATGGTGTTCTGGAGAGTTTCCCCAAAGTTTTCTTGTTGTAATGTTGTAGTTTTGCCAACGGACCCAGATAGCAGTCTCTTATTGTCTGAGATAATATCTGAAGTTCTTTGTCCTACGTCCAAGATGATTGAGAAGCACAGACACAATGTGAGGTTAAAGCATAAGTTTAACAAACAAAAGAAGAAAGCTCTCTGCCAGCGGAAAGAGGGACCCAAATGGATTGCCCTCTATGAGGCTGGGGTCCAGGGTGTTTATGGACTGGGAAGGGGAAGGAATGCACTTAGTCCATGGGCTGTCTTGGAGAACTTGTGACTCAGCTTGGCCCAGGGCCTTGGCTCTGGACCAATCAGGAGCTGAAACGATGGTTCATAGAGGCCAGGCTCACAGTCCAAACATGTCTGTTTCTATGCCAGTGTCATGCCATTTTGGTTACCATAGTTCTGTAGTATTTAAGACAATTTAAAGTCAGGTAATGTGATTCCTCCAAATTTGTTCTTTTTGCTTAGGACAGCTTTGGCTATTCTGAGTCTTTTGTGGTACCATATGAATTTTAGAATTGTATTTTCTGTTTCTGTGAAGAATGTCATTGATACTTTGATAGGGATTGCATTGAATCTGCAGAGTGCTTTGGGTAGTATGGACATTTTAACAAAACTGATTCTTCCAATCCGTGAACATAGAATGTCTTTCCATTTTAGTGTGTTATCTTCAATTTCTTGCACCAATGTTTTATACTTTTATACTTTTCATCTTTCACTTCTTTGGTTAATTCCTAGGTATTTTATCTTACTTGTAGCTATTGTAAATAAGAATACTTTCTTGATCTTTTTCAGACTGTTCCCTGTGGGCATATAAAAATGTTACTGAATTTTGTATGTTGATTTTGTATCCTGAAATTTTACTGAATGTTTCTATCAGTTCTAATACATTTTTGTGGAGTCTTTATTTTTTTCCAAACATAAAGTTTCATCATCTGCAAACAAAGATAATTTGACTCCTTCCTTTCCATTTTGGATGCTCTCTTTTCTTTTCCCTCCCCTCCCCTCCCCTCCCCTCCCCTCCCCTCCCCTGCCCTCCCCTGCCCTCCCCTCCCCTTCCCTCCCCTTCCCTCCCTTTCCCTTCCCTTCCCTTCCCTTCCCTTCCGTTCTCTTTTCTTTCATCTGATTGCTGTAGTTAGAACTTCCAGTACTATGCTGAATAACAATGATGACAGTGAGCATCCTTGTCATGTTCCAGATCTTAGAGGAAAGCTTTCAGTTTTTCCCCATTCAGTATGATATTAGGTGTGGGTCTGTCATATATGGTTTTAATAATGTTGATGCATTTTCCTTCTATGCCCAGTTTTTGATGATTTTTATCATGATGGAATGTTGAATTTTATCAAATGATTTTCATTATCTATTGCAATGCATATTAGTTTTGTCCTTCCTTCTGTTTATATGATTTATCAACATTCATTGGTTTGCACATGTTGAATTATTCTTGCATCCATGGGATAAATGCCACATAGTAATGATGAATTGTATTTTTAATGGGCTGTTGCATTCTGTTTGCTAGCATTTTGTTGAGAATTTTTGTATCAATGTTCATCCAAAATATTGGCCTGTATTTTTTTTAATGTGTCTTTGTCTAGTTTTCATATTAGGGTAATATTCACCTCACCAAATGAGTTTGAAAGTATTCCTTCCCTTTCTATTTTTCAGAATAGTTTGAGAAGGATCAGTATTAGTTCTTCTTTAGATATTTGGTAAAATTTAGCATTGAAGTCATCAGGTCCTGGTCTTTTGTTTGCTAGGACAGTTTTTATTATGGCTTTGATCTCATCACTTGTTATTTGTCTATTCAGGTTTTTGGATTTCTGTATAGTTCAATCTTGGCAGGTTACATTTGTCTAGGAATTTATCAGTTTCTTCAATTTATTAGCATATAGTTGCTCACAGTAGTCTCTAATAATCCCCTGAATTTCTGTGGTGTAGGTTGTAATATCTCCTTTTTCATCTCTAATTTTATTTATTTGGGTTTTCTCTCTTGTTTTCCTGGTTAGTCTGTCAAAAGGTTTGTCAATTTTGTTCATCTTCTCAAAAAACAAACTTTTTGTTTCATTCTTCTGTTGTATTTTTTAATTTTAATTTCATTTATTTATGCTCTAGTCTTTATTTCTTTTTTCTACTAATTTCGGGTTTGGTTTGCTCTTGCTTTTCTAGTTCTTTAAGATGCATCATTAGATTGTTTATGTGAAGTTTTTTTATTTTTTGATGTAGGCACATATAGCAATAATCTTCCTTCTTAGTACTGCTTTGGGGCTTACGGATAGGCTTATGTGCTTCTCTTCATAGCAGCAAGATCCCTTAGCTCCAGGCAGGTCCAAAAATGCTGTCCAGGAGCCACGGACCAGAGTCCAAAACTTTGGAAATTTACCTTGTGTTCTATTGTACTGCTGTTAAGCTGGCACTCAAACCAGTAGATGCAATTCTTCCCATTCTAATCTTCCCTTTTCATATGCAGGCACCTTGCCCCCTGGCCACCATCACCACAAGCCTATGGGAATATTCTCAGGCTACCACTGATGCTCACTTAAGGACCAAGGGCTCTTCATTCAGCCTGTGGTGAATAATGCTGCCAGATCTAGGACTCACCTTTTATAGTGGTGGGCTCCCCGTCTGGACCAGAGCAGGTCCATAAATGCTGTCCAAGAGCCAGGGCCTGGAATTGGGGACCTCAAGAGCCCACTTGGTGTTATACTTCTCTGTGGCTGACCTGGTACCTAAGGTTCAAGACAAAGTCCCCTTTACTTTTTCTCTCTGCTTTTCTCAGGCAGGAGGAATCTCTGACCATACCCACCACAGCTAGGAATGTGTTGGGTCTCACTGGAAACCAGCACATCTCAGAGTCTCACTCAAGGCCCACAGCATACTACCTGGATATCACCGCTTGTTATTCAAGGCCCAAGTGCTCTTTAATCAGCAGGTGATTGGTTCTTTCATTACTTGGCTCTTCCTTTCAATGCAGTAGGTTTCCTTCCAGCCCAGTGTGTGTCTAGAAATGTCATCTGGGAGCTAGAGTCTGAAATCAGGGCTTCATGACTCTGACCAGAGCTCTATCCTACTGAGGCTAAGCTGGTATCCAAGATGCCAGACAAAGTCCTCCTCACTCTTCCTTCTCCTCTCCTCATGTGGAAGGAAGTGGTCTCTTTTGGAGCCATAAGCTGTGTAGCTGGGGGTTGAGGGAGGGATGGCCCAAGTACTGCTTTAGCCACCCCAGCTGATGTTTCAGTAGGTCATGTACCCACCGCCCCCACCAGTCTACTTGCCCTGAGCCCAGCTGAGCACTAGGACTCACCTAGGATTTGTAGTCCTTGTGGCCTAGACTGCCTTTCAAATTTATTTAGAGACCCAGACTACTTTAGCCTACAGTGACAAGGCTTGCCAGAACTCAAGTTCTGGCTGCTGGAATGTACAGTTCTCTTCTGGCTAGGGCTGGTCTATATGCTCCCTCTGTGGGTGGACATCAGCTGAGTTCACCCCGGTTTTGCCTTCCATTGTCACAAGGCAGCACTGATTTCAATGCGAAGTTTCAAAATCACCACACTTTCCCTCCCCAAGTCTACAGATTCTCCATTCTATGTAGTTGCTGCTGGGTTAAGACAAGGGTGGCGATGGCAATTCAAGACTGTCTTTCCTACCCTCTTCAGTACCTCTTTCAGTAATATGAAGTTAAAAGCAGGTACTTTGAGTGATCACCTGATTTTTGGTTCTTATGGAAGTGCTTTGATTATGTAGGCAGTTGTTAAATTTGGTGTTCCTGTGGGTGGGATGATTGGTGGAGCCTTCTATTCCACCATATTGCTCTGCCACTTCTATAGTGTTTTTCTCTTTGACTTTTGACAGTTTGAGTATAATGTGACATGAAGAAAATATTTTTGGGTTGTATCTATCTAAGCTTCCTGTATCTAGGTGTTTAACTCTCTTGCTAGACTTGAGAGGTTTTCTTCTATTATTTCATTATATAGGTTTTTTATGTTTTTGCCTTTCATTTTGCCTTTGGGAAAAACCCAAATTCAAAAATTTGGTTGCTTTATGGCATCCCATATGTCATGTAGGATTTGTTCATCTTTTTCACATTTTATCCCTCTTTTTTTGTCTGACTGGGTTATTTAAAATATTTGTTTTCAAGTTCTGATATTCTTTCTTCTCACTGACCTATTCTATTTTTGAAGCTTTCAGATGTATTTTTCTTTCATTTATTGATTTATTTATCTCCAGCGTTTCTGTTTGATTCTTTTTTATGATATCCATTTCATTGTTGAATTTCTCTTTAATATCCTGAAATGGTTTTCTGGTTTCTTTCTATTTTTTACCTGTGTTCTCTTCTATCTCACTGAGCTCCATTAGTATCATTTTTTAAATATTTTCCCCAACATTACATAAATTTCTTTTTCATTGGAATCTACTGCTGGAGGAGTATTGTGTTGATTTGGAGGTGTCATATTTTCTTGCTTTTTCATGTTTCCTGTGTCCTTACATTGATGTCTGCGCATCTGGTGAAATAGTTGCTTCTTCTGTTTTTTAAATTGGCTTTCATAGGGGAAGATTTTTGTATCAGTCCATTCTCACATTGCTATAAAGAAATACCTGAGAGTGAGTAATTTATTTTTCAAAAAAAGGTTTAATTGGCTCATGGTTCCGCAGGCTGTACAGGAAGCATAGAAGCATATGCTTCTGGGGAAACCTTAAGGAGCTTTTACTTGTGGCAAAAGGCAAAGCTGGAGCAGGAGTCTTACATGGCAGGATCAGGACCAAGTGGGGGCGAGATGCAACACACTTTTAAACAACAAGATCTCATGAGAACTTACTCACCATCATGAGAACAGCAGTGAGAGAATAGTACTAAACCAGTTATGAAGAATCTGCCCTCATGATCCAGTCACCTCCCAACATGCCAGTCTTCCCCAACACTGGGGATTACAATTCAACATGAGATTTGGGTGGGGACACAGATCCAAACCATGTCATTCAGCCCATCACTACTCCCAAATCTCATGTCCTTCTCACATTTCAAAATACAATCATGCCTTCCCAAGAGTCCCCCAAAGTCTTAAATCATTTCAGCATTAGCTCAAAAGTCGAAAGTCCAAAGGCTGATCTCAGACAAGGCTAGTCTCTTTCACCTATGAGCCTGTAAATTCAAAAAACAGTTACTTCCAAGATACAAGGGGAGTACAAGCATTGGGTAAACACTCCTGTTCCAAAAAAGAGAAAGCTGTAAAAAGAAAGGGGCTACAGACCCCATGCAAATCTGAAACCAGCAGGGAAGTCATTAAATCTTAAAGCTGCAAAATAACCTCATTTGACTTTCTATGTTTCACAACCAGGCATACTGATGGAAGGGGTGGGTTCCCAAGGCCTTTTCAGTTCCACCCCTGTAGCTTTGCAGGGTTCATTTCCCACAGCTTCTCTCAAGGGCTGACATTGAGTGCCTGCAGCTTTTCCAGGTGCATGGTGCAAGCTGCCAGAGGATCTGTCATTCTGGGGTCTGCATGATGACAGCTCTCTTCTCACAGCTCCACTAGGCAGTGCCCCAGTGGGGACTCTGTGTAGGGGTTCCAACTCCACATTTTCCCTTTGCACTGCCCTAGTAGAGGTTCTCTGTGAGGGCACTGCCTCTGCAGCAGGCTTCTGCCTGGACATTTAGGCTTTTCTGTAGATCCTCTGAAATCAAAAGAGAGGCTCCCAAACCTCAACTCTTGCACTCTGCACACTCACAGACTTAACACCACATGGAAGCTGCCAAAGCTTATGGCTGGCATCCTCTGAAGCAGCAGCCCAAGTTGCAGCTGGACCCCTTTGAGCCACAGCTGGAGCTGGAGCAGCTGGGATGCAGGAAACAGTGTTTGGAGGCTGTGCAGGTCAGTGGGGCCCTGCGCCTGGACCAGGAAACCATTCTGCCCTCCTAGGACTCCAGGCCTGTGATGTGGGTGTGGCTACGAAAGTCTCTGAAATGCCTTCAATGTCTTTCTCCCATTGTCTTGGCTGTTAACATTTGGTTATTCTTTACTCATGCAAATTTCTGCAGCTAGGGTAAATTCTTCTCTAGAAAATGGGAATTTTTTTTCTACCACATGGCCAGGCTGCAAGTTTTCCAAACTTTTACACTCTGCTTCCCTTTTTAATACAAATTTGAGTTTTAGCTCATTTCTTTGCTTAGGCATATGAGCTTAGGTTGTTAGAAGCAGCCAGGTCATATTTTGAACACTTTGCTGCTTAGAAATTTCTTCCACCAGATACCCTAAATCATCACTCACAAGTTCAAAGTTCCACAAGTCCCTAAAGGAGGGGAACAATGCACCCAGGCTCTGTGCTAAAGCATAACAAAAGTGACTGCTCCAGTTGTTCCCAATAAGTTCCTTATTTTTATCTGAGATCTCCTCAGCCCAGACTTCATTTTCCATATCAGTATTAGCATTTTGGTCACAATTTACAAGTTTTTAGGAAGTTCCAAATTTTCCCTTATCTTCCTGTCTTCTGAGTCCTCCAAACTCTTCTAACCTCTGCTCATTACCCATCTCCAAAATCGCTTCCACATTTTTAGTATCTTTATAGCAATGCCCTACTCTTCGGTACCAATTTTCTGTATCAGTTCATTCTCACATTGCTATAAAGAAGTACCTGAGAGTGGGTAATTTATGAAGAAAAGAGGTTTAATTGGCTCACAGTTTCATAGGTTGTACAGGAAGCATAGTGACATCTGCTTCTGGGGAGGCCTCAGGGAGCTTTTGCTCATGGCAAATGGCAAAGCAGGAGCAGGCATCTTACATAGCAGGAGAAGGACTGGGTGGGGGGGAGGTGACACACACTTTTAAACAAGCAAATCTCATGAGAACTCACTCATTGTCATAAGAATAGTACGCAGGGGATGGTGCTAAACCATTCATGAAGGATCCACCCCCATGATCCAATTACCTCCAATGAAGCCCCTCCCCCAACATTGGAGATTATAATTCAACATGAGATTTGGGCAGTGACATAGATCCAAAACATTAACTTTTCTTTCTGAAGATGTATCTGTGGTGTTGATTCAGTAGGACACTTTGGCTTTGATTCTGTGTGTGTACAGTAAGGTGGTCTTATATTATTCCTTCAGCTATTAACAGCATAAGTGGTGTCTGTGACTTCCTCAGTGGCTTAGGCTGTAGTTGTGATTGGAGGCTGTAGTGAGGTTTTCCTGGGGACAGAGATTTTAGGTGGGCCAGTTCTTGGGCCCCAGTAGGGGTAACAGTGGGCTGAGAGTGCCTATATTTGGCACCTAGGCAACATATGTTTGTACCAGTTTTAGCAGCTTTAAGCAGAACAATTCTGGGGGCTTTAAGTAGCTTACCTGGGTACTAGCAGTTGCAATGGTAGGCTGAAAGGGTGGGTGGGCCTTTAGGCCTCTGGGAATGTGCTTGCCATGGGCAATTTCTGTAGCTTGGTTGGACAACCCTCAGATTCTCAAGTTGCAAGCTCTGGTGTTAGAGGTGGTTGTGATGGGCTGGGGGCCAGTCTCCAGACCTTCAGATGTTGCATGCATATTGTTTCTGGCTACAGTGCTACTGTCAGGCTGGTTGGGCCCATTCTCAGTCCTCCTAAAGGAATGTGCAAATGCCAGTGGTGGTGGACAAAGCAGGATGATTGCCACACCCCTGGGTAGTGTGCCTGGGCACTGGGATGATGGAACCAGGCTTGGCAGGCCTGTCCTCAGTCCCCCTAGTTATGTACATGGATGTTGGCTGTGGTAAGTTGGATGGGGTAATCCTTGGATCTCCCAATAGCAGGAGCAATACCTGAAGAAAGCCTGTCCTCGAGGCACATGCAAATTTGCTGCAGCTGTGCTGCTAGGGCAGGGTGTGGTTATTGTCAGTGGCAGCAGCCACTAGCAGGCAGCTCTCTGGCAATGTGGAGCACACTTTGGCTTCTGGCAGCAGCATAAGCCAGTCCTCAGGGTACGTGCAAGTTCACAGTGGCTCTGCTGCTGGTGGAAGTCAGGTCACTGCCAGTGGCACATGCTCTGGCCCCCAGCTGCATCAGCAGACTCAGCAGCAGATGGAGAGGGCCTGTCCCCAGGTTGCATGCAAGTGTGCAGCATCTCTGCTGCTGTGTTGCGGGGGTGACATTGCTGTCTGTGTCAGCAGCCACAGGGAGGCAGCTCTCTGGTTCTGGAAAGCATGTGCTTTGGCTCCCTATGTCTGGTTCACAGCCTTTCCAGTGCCTGAGGTGCAGAACACTGCATATGCTAGAATGCTGAGGATCCTGCCACTTTGCTGGGTCCAACTGGCATTTCACTGCTGCAGCCCCCGGTGGTGACAGCAGCAACTGTGCCACCAGCAGCAGTGGGAAGAGCCTTTTCTCAAGGTGTGTGCACTTACATGCACTGCTGTCTTCCTGCTGGGTGGGCGGGTTGCTGTCAGTGCTCACAGGTGTAGCAGGGCCATCCATCTCTGCAGAGTCCCATCTGAGGAGGCAGGGTCACTGCAGGACCAATTATTAGACCATGCACAAACTCAGAGTTGTTGTGGCCCAAGCAGGCTGTAGTCCTGGGGGTGGGCCCACCACAGGACCAGTTTTCAGGCTGGGCACCAGCATGCACAGGCTCAGCAGACTAGCTGGTTGTGAGGTGTGGGTGCATGTGGGTGTCGTGGCTAGTAGGCAGATGGGTGGCTTCCCTGCTGTTCACTTCTTCCCTGGATTGGTGGTGCACCACATGGGTTCGGATGCCGGGGTCTTGATTAGTTTATCTGGCTAGGCTCTGGGAAGCTAGGGTCATGGTGCTGCAGATACCTGTATGAATGTGTTGGAATGATGGTGGGGCCTCAAGTGATAGAGAGCCAGGTGCTACTGATGCTCAAAGCAAGACACACTCTCTATGTAGGTTCAGTTTGGAGATGGCACTGAGCCATAGCACCTTACATTGCAGGGGCAGAGGGTGCTCAAGGTGGTCTCTTACTATGTAAGGCAATGCAGTTTGGAAATCCCAACTGCTCTCCAGACTGGTTTTTGTGCCAGTGAGAACAGTGGGGCAAAGATTGTTGACATTTTTTATGGCAATGTGGACCACTGGGGAACTACAGCTTACTTTTTCCTGTAGAATGGAGTTACTGATGACCCTGAGCCAACCTTGACTGAAGAGAGAGTATGTCAGAGGCAGGATGCTATATTGAGTTTCTGTACTTCACAGAGGTGTTTCTGTTCCCCTGGTGGTCTCCAGCATACTTTTTAAATCACACTGGCTGACATAAAATTGTTTGTTTTCTTGATTTCTTTTTGTGGGGAAATGAGTGCCAGGGAACTCTAGTCAGCCATCTTGCTGATGTTCTAAATTCTATTTTTAAAAGATCACTCTGGCTGTTGTAAGGAGAACTGCTTGGGATGTGGTGAGGGGCAGGAATGTCACCAAGATCAGCTGGAGACTGTTGAAAGTCCTCCAGGAGGGAGAATCATGGCTTGACTCAGGACCTTCTGATAGAGATTATGAAACTGATCATATATGGGATATCTTTTGAAGGTAGAACCAATTGGATTTGCTAAGGGCAGTACACGGAGGAGACTAAACAATCAAGAGTGACACTTATGTTTTTGAATGGTTGAGTGAAACAAATGTCATGAACTGAGAAAAGATTGTGAGGTGTTATCAGCTAAATTGTGTTCCCTCCAAACTCTCATGTTGAATCCCTTACCCCCGATACCACTGAATGTGACTCTATTTGCAGCATGGCCTTTAAAGAGGTGATTAGGTTAAAATGAAGCTGATAGGGTTGGTGCTAATCCCATCTGACACCTGTCCTCATAAGAAAAGAACATTAGCACAGACCACAGAGGGGTACCAGGGATGCACGTCTACAGATAAAACCCCATGTGAAGATACAGCAAGAACCGGCCATCTAGAAGTGAAGGAGACAGGGCCTCAGAAGACACCAAACCTGTTGACACCTTAATCTTGTACTTCAAGCTCCAGAACTATGAGAAAGTAAATTTCTGTTGTTTAAGCCACTTGTGGGGCATTTTTTTAGGGTAGCCATAACAAATTAGTATGAAGGAGAGCAGGTTTTAGGAAGTAGAAATCAAGAATTATATTAGGGGTATGTTAAGTTTTCATCTGTTGTAAAAGGCAAGTGGATTGCTGAGAGTGTCCACTCACCTACAAGTGCCTAAGCTCCTGCTGCAGTCCTGCTTCTCGATTTGACCCCACCCTCACTCACTGACAGTGTCTGTTTCAGCTCCTCCGTCACCTCTGTTGTGGTTGTGTGTGGTGAGATCATAGCTGATGTTTATTATTTCCTGATACATTAATCTCTTTCTCTCATTGCTTACACTGGAGAATGTCAGGGTAAGGGTCTGAGCTGAGTGATATTTGCAGGCATCACCTGTTGTCTTCCTGCACTCACCAGCCAAGGAGAAGCCTGCCTTCCACCAGGACTGCAGTTTCCTCAGCCACCCACACAGTGAATCATGTCTGCATGGCACGCCCCTCTGCTCCTTCTCGCTGACCTTCCTTTCCTACCTGATGGTCTACCATAAGCCACCTAGGCAGAACTACTTATCTCCACTTCCCATGTTAAACAGTGTCTGGTGAAATCAGAGGCAGCAATCCTAGTAACACAGCTGGGTCTGTAGGCCCAAACAACTACTCTCTCTCACCCATAAAACCCTAAAGCACAGCTAGAACTCTTCTGCTTCCCACATAGAGAAGAATTGCTAACTCATAATATATTTCACCTTCAAAATATGTCCATAATTATGCCAGAGAAAATATTTATTTTTTGGTCACTTTGCCAAAGTAAAGTTATCCATAACAAACACCATTGATTAGAAAATCTTCCTGTAATATTACCTCCAACCCTTCAGAATTGCCAGACCAGACCTTCATCTGCACAGCACAGGATCCACTTATCCACAATGGTCAAGAGGCCTGTCTTTAAGATTTCCAGTCACATTCCCCCGACCCTGTCATACTTCCAACCAAGCTATCCTCAAATTATCACCAGCCCTGTACAAAAATGTAACAATAATACGAGACCTATACAATGCCTGTAATGAAAAGTGGCAGCTGGTGATACTGATTGATCTAGGGGTTCCATGAAAATATAAGCAGAAAACTACTAGATAGGACAGAAAAATCAGCAGGTGAAGATTAAGCTACCAACTCAGGACCCTACCAAACTTTTCAGAAACACAAAACCTTGGTGCCAAATTTTAAAAACAAAAAAGAAGAAAGCAAGCAAAGAGAAGTACAGAACCTTGTTTAGAAAATCAAATAAAGATTTCTCCCAGAACGCATGAAGAAAGCAGTAAGATATAAAACATAGACATAGGGAGGATTGATTCACAATATAACATATCAACAAGTAAGGTTCAGCACAAGAGTGAAGAAGAATGAGTATAAGAATATTGCAGAGAAAATAATCTTTGGTAAAGGCAATCTGAGAAGCAAATAGAATGGAAACTAATTAAAAAATAGAAAATCAATGTAATACTTGAGGCTTTCAACAGGCTATCATACTATCTAATTAGATTGTATTATTGTGTCCACTCAATAACCAGTGTGATTAAAATATTTGGTACAAGAAGTAAGACCTAAACTGAATCATATAGAACATTCTAGAAAAGAGAAAGATCATGGAAGAAGTCTTAGGGACATAAAATAGCATGGCTTGTTCAAGGAACTGTGTATTCACACTGTTCTGATGCAGAAATCTAATGGTGCTTTCTGTGGCCAATTTTGCCTTACTAACCTCCAGGGTATTAATAAAGATAGAATGTTTTAATACCTGTGTTCTACAACAATAAAGTATCTCTGGTTAATGCTAGATTAGGAGAATCTTAATCTCTTTGGGCCAGAGTAGCCTGAGGGTAAAACTTCTGTCATCCACGTGTGCCCAAGTGTGTGTTGTCCTCACACAACTCAACATTAAACAGAAATGATCTCTATATTATTATGAAATTAAGCTACATATCATCCATATAGGTATATATGCTATAAAAATGGAATTTATGCTACACTAATAGCTAGAGATATTAATCATTTTCACTTCTGGCTATAAGATCACTGCTGACAAACATATACAAACGTAAGCACGTGTGCACACAGACAACCAATGAAGGGGAAAGACTAACTGTCTAACCCAATTGAAAATCAAATGATGACCAAACTTCAATTGTAGTATTTGTGCTGATTGCTTGGATACTGTTTCTTCAGAAACTATGCTCAAGTCACAGTTTGTACCTAACCACATCCTACCACCACATCCTGCTGGGCTAAAATCCCAAAAAGTAATAAGAGACGCATTCAACTTTATGAGAGGAAAGCAAAACCTAATCTTTCAGGTGGTGAGGTCCACCCAGTATGGAGCTCAAAGGTGCCATTGTTCTGCTCATGTTTATAAAGGGAGCTGCCATGTTTCTCTCAACGCAGAGTTGGGAGCAACTCCAGAGCCTCCTTCAAGATGCTGCTGGTCCTGCTCTCAGTGGTCCTTCTGGCTCTGAGCTCAGCTCAGAGCACAGATAATGGTAAAAAAATTATTTTTTTAAAAAAGGAGATGGGGAGTGGGATGAGGGGCCATGACTCTTCTAGGGCCTCAGGGGTTCACCCTACACCACTGCAGCGGAAGAGCAGGAGGGGAGGAAGGAGGTTGAGAAGAAGGGTAGGGCTTTGGAGCTCTCATTCCAAGGATGACATCTGTTGTGCCCTCATTCCATGCCAAGGCCTTATACTTTATTTGATATACACTTGGAACCCAATAGAGAATTTCAATTAGAGGAATGACAAAGTAAGATTTGTATTTTTAGAAAGACCTGGCTGTGCTGTGAAGGATGCAGTGGAGAATGCAAGACTGATCCAGGGAAGTCCAGCTATGAAGATGCTACAGTAATCTCAGTGGACAGCGATGATGGTGTCCTTGCTGTACAGGGGATGCAGAATCAATGAAAGAGATAAACAAACATCAGAGTACTGTCAGACATAGAGGACTGGATAATACATTTGTGTCTTTCTACATAGTGGTATAGAAATATCAGGTCCCCAAATTCCCATTTTTCTTCCAATCACATTTAAAATTTCAATATGTTGCAGGCAGCATGTGTAAGATTATATCCAAATATTTACTCCTGGTTGCTCCTCTTGGGCAAGCTTGTGAATATGATCAAAATATTTAAAGAAGGAAGAAGGTAAAGATCTAAAATATGACATGAAAATACCCAGAGAAGTGTGCCTAAATTAGCATTAGGGTTTGAGGGATCCTAAGGATGACAAAAAGGGACTCTTCTATTGAATTCGTGGTTGATGCTCAGCGATAGTAACAATCCTGCCTCCCCTAACATCTTCCTCCCCTTCCAGCAGCTTCACAGAACATGGTTGATGAGGTAACTTAGGGGATGCACAGGGTGTGGCCAGAAGACCCCTTTCCCTATAGACCACTATGAGCCCTGAAAGATTTATGAGGTAATGTTCACTTCATCCTGTGCTTCTTTTCCTAGATGTGAACTATGAAGACTTTACTTTCACCATACCAGGTAAATCCCAATGATCCTCAATCCAATTCTTTTCTTTCTTTTTCCACTAGAATTTCTTTTTAGTTTCCTTCAGTGTCTTCTTCTCATCATTTTTTTGGGAGGAGGTGGTAAGAGGGGTCAGGCATTGATTAATATTAGTGCCCCTAAATATATAGGCAATTCTTACCCATCTTTGATTCTGGGGACCATGAGCCAGGCCACCAACTTGAATACAGAGATGCCTGGCTTTGAGGACAATAGGAGTGGGCAGGCTTTTTTCCCAGGCTGGAATGACTGCTGAGAGATGATGAACAAATGAGAAGTGTTCTCATTCTGACTCCTCCATCCTTAACTGCTTCTTTCTTCCCCCAGTGTTCCCCCGCACGGTTATGTGGCTTCAGGGAGTAACACAAAACAAAACAAAAAAATCACTGCATGAATGTCTTTTCTCTGTGTTGACCCACTCAGCTGTGTCACTACAGATGATAAATAGTTGCCACAGCTGTTTAGTGATCATGTGCAGGCTTTCACATTGTCTTTCTCTTCTGTCTCTTAGTATTTCTCTACTTGGTTCCAGGAGCCTGGGAAATCAGCTCTAGTTTCCACATAGGGCTTAGGTGCCCAGAGATGGAGTCACAGTTTGTAAGTCATTACAGCAACCAAAAAATAAAAATAAAAAATAACCAGTAACATAACTGAAAGCTATAATGCTTTTGCTTTTTTTTTTTTTTCTGTCCTTGGAGACATCCTCTGGCAACTCTAAGATATGCAAGAACCCCTCTTTTCATTTAAGGAAACATACTTGTCACAGGAGCAAATAAATGAGACTTTCCATATCACTCTTACATGGATTAAGTTGAGAGCTGCATAAAAAGAAAAAAAAAACAGTGGGCACAAAAGAAGTTGACAGTCAAGCAGCAGGTTTGGGGAGAACAGGGCTGTGTGGTAAGGTGAGAGAAGTATAAAGAGAGGAGAGTTTTTCTTCACTGAGCTCATGCATTCTTGTCCATTAATTACTCACACAGATGTAGAGGACTCAAGTCAGAGACCAGATCAGGGACCCCAGAGACCTCCTCCTGAAGGACTCCTACCTAGACCCCCTGGTGATAGTGGTAACCAAGATGATGGTCCTCAGCAGAGACCACCAAAACCAGGAGGCCATCACCGCCATCCTCCCCCACCTCCTTTTCAAAATCAGCAACGACCACCCCGACGAGGACACCGTCAACTCTCTCTACCCCGATTTCCTTCTGTCAGCCTGCAGGAAGCATCATCATTCTTCCAGAGGGACAGACCAGCAAGACATCCCCAGGAGCAACCACTCTGGTAATCTAGAATTCAGTGGCAGGTATGATTCCAGTTCATTCTCCATTAAATGCCCAAACTGCTACCATTCCCAAACTTTATCGTGTTCACAAATCAATTGGAAATATGTTGAAATTACATAATCCTGGACCCCATTTCTAAAGATTTGTATTCAGATATTCTTGGATAAGGTTGCAAGTCCTTGTATTTTTAACAAGTGGTTCAAAGAATTCTTATCTTTTGAAATACTGACCTCCCCAACTTTTTTCTTAAGATGACTTGTCTCATTAAAATGAGTTGGTAATGAGGAAGTGGGGTGTGCTCTCCCTTTGGTGCTCTGCCTCCTGTCTTTGAGTCTGCCTTCTCAAACCCAAGGACTCTCCATCTCAGGTTTCTCTCAGGTTTCCGCCAGAGGACTCTTTGCTCAGTCCTGCCTCACACTAGCCTCTCAGGTCCAGTGTCCCTGCTAAATGATACTTGAACTTGATGCTCTTATATCTTATTTAATTTTTAAAATACTTATTTTGAAATTAGTACATGCTCAAGGAAAAAAAAATCTAACTGAACAGAATGGTATGAAGCTAAATCTTAAAGTGACGCCTTATCCTACTTACCCACACCCTTCACCAAAAGTCACCACCCTTAATTTTTTGAACATCCTCCTGGAAATATTTATATGTATATAAGCATACGTCATTATTTTTCCCACAAATGACATATTATTTTATATGCAGATCTGTATTTGCTTATTTCAAATAATACATGTCTTAGACAACTTTATCATTTCACGGAGACCTATAGATCTTCTTGGTGATTTATTTGTACATTTTTCTTTTGTTGTTACAATTGTATACTATTCTCTTGTGTGACTGTACCATGATTTCCTCAGTCAACCACTGTTAATTGATATGTAGGCTTGTATTAGTTTTTCACTACTACAGGTTCAAGTTGCAGTCATTTTCATAAATATAACCTTGAATGTTTTGAACAGTAACCAAAACATAAACACCATAAAAAAATCTGTTTTCTTAATCTTGAAAGCAATAATTTACTTCAGTAATATCATCAAGGAATTAGATAAGTTTTGCCATGTTGTATGTTGTGTATAAATTTCCTTGGTTTTTTTTTTTGTTTCAGAAAATAAATAAGAAGATAACTTCCTTCAGAAAGCCATGACATTGAAATAATGTGGTCATAACTCTTTCTTCAGTATACCAATAAAATATTAATAGCATGCAATTTCTGATTGTTGCTTCTCTTTGTGGGTGTTTCTGAGTCTAGAATTTGAGGGCCATTAATACAATCTAAGAATATCTGGGACTCTTGCTCATTGATGCTTCCAGCAGGCTTCCCTCCTCCTTTATCTTAATAAAGCCAGCTGCCAAGGAGAAAGAGTTCCATTGTTCCCCTTCTGTCCTAGATTGCATAGCACAAATGCAAATTCTTAAAATTATTTTTACATCTTTCATTGATATTCTTGTAACTCTAGGAAAACAAGGAATATATAACAAATGAGAGGGAGTTGCAAGTGCTGGGGAATTCTTAAAATTTCCAAAACTATTAATCCTGGTTTCTAGGGGCATAAATGTAGTTCTAGATCTCTTCTCTATAAAACTCACTATGCTCTTTTCTCCTCTTTTTTCATTGCTCAGCTCTCTTCCTCCCTAAGTCGTTCACCATTCTTTTTAAAAACTTGAGTGGATTTCATAAAGGGTGCAGCATAATGTACTTTAAAGGGCAAGAAATTTGAGTAAAACTCTGTTCTGATTGTAAAAATTCCAGCAATATCAGTATTATTGTCAGATAATATAGACTACCAAATTTAACTCAAGTTGCTGAGGCAAAGTTGAATAGAAAATAACCCTAAGAAGCAAAAGAATTTGATATGTAACTGTCTCCAGCTACCTCTCATTATCACCTCCAATGTCGCTGAATACAGAAAATTTTAATATCTAATCTTTATCATTAAAAAGCACATAATTCTTTTTTAGATTTTTTAAGTACAGGAAACAACAAGTTTCTGAATTCATTCTGAGTTTCATTAAACAAAATATATAGGACAGCAAGGATACTCTGTTAGGGAAACTATTCAATAGTACATAAACAAACGAACAGTATGCTAAAAGAATAATAAACCACGTTGAAAGAGGATGAGGATGTTAAAGATGGTTCAATATTAGAAAATTGGCCACACCATATCTGATTTTGATGATATTTAGATAAGACTTTGGATTTAGATTTTAAAGTGGATGCTGGAATGAGTTAAGACTTTGGGATTTGGGAGATGAAATAAATGTACTTAGTATGTGAGAAGACCATATATTTCGGGGGATGACCAGGGACAGAATGCTATAGTTTGAATGTTTATGTCTCTACAAAATAAATTTATGTTGAAACTTAATTCCCTATGCAATAGTATTAAGAGATGGAGTCTTTGGGGGAAGTGACTAAGTCGTGTGGACTCTGCTTTCATGAATGGGATCAATTTCCCTACAAAAAGAAGCTCCCAAAGGCTGCTGAGCTGTTCCATCTCTTTTGACATGTAGGGACTCAATGTTCATGTTTCTTTCATACTTCTGCCTCATGAGAGAGAAGCCAGGAGAAATTGTCTGTTTGGAATGGGCTCTCACTCAACCCCAAATCTGGTACCATCTCAATCTTCAACTTTCCAGCCTCCAGAGCTATGACAAATCCATTTATATTATTTATAAATTACCCAAGATAAGATATTTTGTTAATAGCAGCTCGAACTGGCTAAGGCAGAGGGCTACTTACAAGAATTAAATGCATAATATATATAAAATTACCTTATAAAATGTATATAAAATTACCCTACAAGATGTATATAAAATTACACGATTTAAGTCTTGTAAAATGCAACATGTATACAAAATTACCCTACATGACATACAACAATAAAAGTTCAATACATTTAAATTTATTTATTCTTTTATTAAAAAAGACTCGTTTTGTTCTTTCTAATAATGAATTACCTTCTAATAATAAATTATCTTTCTAATAATGAATTAACTTCTAATAATGAATTATCTAAAAAATAGATTATTTGATAAACACTTGCTTTCTTTAGCATTAAAGCCATTCAAAAAAGAAGCAGAAAGGCCATCTAAAAGGTATGTTGATGAACAAACGCACTGTTGCATGTCATCAGGTGGCTGGTTAACGTGAATAAAAACTAAGTCTCCTTCCTCATTTAAATTCCAATGATTCTGCTCCTTAACATTTAATATTCAGCCTATTCTCTACCTATACAGAGAGTAATGCCACCTGTAGGTCTATCGTTGCTCAGTTGTTATCTGAGAAGTAAAGCCCAGTTCCTCTTGAAAAGGCAGAGAATTTAGACAGAAATTCACCAACTGCTTTCTTACAGAAAGTAAACCAATTTCTGCTTCCAGAAAAATGGAGTAAATGTATTTTGCCCTATTCCTTCTACTAAGAAAAACTATAAACCCTGAACATTATATATAAAATATATGAAAACTCAGACCTGGAGAGACCAAGGCAGATGTGGTAGGGACTTAATAAATTGTATAGTGATGAATCCTCTAAGTTTTCTTTTCTGCTTTATAATTTGCAGACTTTTAGCTGAAAATGCCATCAACATAGAAATACTAACAGGCACATATGAGAATTTCCCAACAAAAGCCTATTATTTTAGGCAAAGGTCAAGGAAATAGTCTACCAAGGCAGAAAACATTTCGACAATAACCACTCTACTGTAGTCAAGTACCACAGAAAACACTATTACCTCAAGTGAAGAGCTTAGATCTTTAGATCTTCATACCAGCCAGGCTGTGACAAGGTGTCCCAACCCTCCTCCAGAATAGTATCTCAGAATAGCAGAAGTTGGAACTTTCATCCCCAACTTGTGGTAATAAGCCCCTCACTCTCCTTCCACACCTTGATATGACTGGAGAGCAAATGGGGAGCTGGATCTACTCTAAAAGCAGCAATGAAGAAGCACCCTCCTTTCCATACCAGGTGGTGCTTGTGGAGGCCATGTGGGAAACAGTAACAAGTCACTTCTTCCTCCGAGACAGGCTATCAGTGGAGGCCCAGTGGTGACCCAGAATCCACCCTCCAGCCAGCAGTAATGAGGAACCTCCGCCTGCCTAGGTGTCAACAGAGATTGAGAGGAAACCTTTATTTCTATCATCACCTGGCAGTAATGCAGTGTCCCTCCCTCACTCCCTTGCCTTGCTGGAGTAGTGTCTGAGGAAGCTAGCTAAGACAGAAAAGGTAAATAAGTTCTAGAGTCTCATAATGCCTAAAATGTCCTGGTTCATTTAGAAATCATTTGGTATACAAAGAACCAGGAAAAATCTCAACTTGAATGTAAAAGGTAATTAGAAGATTCCAGAACAAAAATGACAAAGATGTTGGAATTATTCAGAAAATATTTTAAAGCAGTCATCATAAAAATGCTTCCAGTATATTGCTTACAAACATATATGAAACAAATTTAAAAATTATCTCAGCCAAAAAATTAAAATATATGAAAGAACTGAATGGACATTTTAGAACTGAAACTTACAATAACCACATAAAAAATTCATGAAGGTAAGCAGGAAAAAACTATAAACACAGCCTCAGGGACCTGTAGTATTATAACTGAAGGCCTAATTTTTGTGTTATCAGAGTCCCAGAAGGAGAGAAGAAATGGGCAACTTTGAGAAAGGTCTCAAAGACTGAAAACTTCCTTAATTTGGCAATAGGCAAAAACCCACAGATTCCTAAATTCAAGCAAACCCAAAATCTCTTAGCCATTTTAGGCTACTGTATCAGAATACCATAGAATGGGTGGTTTATAAAAACAAAAATGTGTTGCTCACAATACTGGAGGCTGGAAGACCGTGATCAGAATGCCAGCACAGATGAGTTCTGCTGAAGACATTTTTTGGCTATAGATGGACATCATCTCATTGTATCCTCACATGTTGGAGAAAAGAAAAAGATATCTCTTGTCTCCTTCTCCCTCTCTCTCTCTCTTTTTTTTTTTTATAAGGCCTCTGATCTCAACATGAGGGCCCCACCCTCATGACTTAATCTAACCCTAATTACCTCCCAAAGGCCTAACCTCCAAATAACATCACATTGAATTTAGGATGTCTACATATGAATTTTGAGGGGACACAAACTTTCAGTGCATAAAACTAACCAAGACAAACACAAAGAATCCAAACTAAGGTATACCATGGTAAAATATCTGAAAATTAAAAGAAAGAACAAATTTTGAAAGCAGCTAGAGGAAATAGCTCATCTATAGGAGAGAAAACAATACAAATGGAAGCAGGAAACATCAGAAATAGATGAAAGCCATAGAAAAGTGGCACAACACTGTCTATGTGATGAAATAAAATAACTTTCAATTCTGGTTTTTATATCTGGTATATTTGTCTTTTAGGAATGGAAGGGCTATAAAGACATTTGATGAAAGAAAGCTGAGAGGATTTGTCACCAGAAGGTCTACCTTTTAAAAAGGGGCTCAAGAAAATTCTCTATCCAGGAAAAAAAAAAAGAAAAAAGATTAAAAAAGAAACTTTAAAACACCAAAATTAAAGAAAACACAATGGAAAGGGAAAAAATGAATAACTTCATCTTCCTTTTCCTCTTCAGTTTGGTAAATTTATTTGACAGCTGAAGTTAAAATTATGACATTATCAGATGCGATTTTAAGTGTATATAGGTAAATATTTAAGACAACTATATAAGGAACAGAGGAGGGTAAAGAGACATATAGGGAATCAAGGAATAAGGTTTCCGTACATCTTTCAAAGTACTAAAATTTTGACCCTATTAAACCATGATAAGTTATTACATGTGCTGTAAAACCTACAGCATCCACTAAGATGTCTGCACACAGAGATATACTCAAAAATACCACAGATAAACCTCAATGGAATTCTAAAAAAAGAAAATTAAAGTAACACACATGAAAGCAAGGCGTACAAAACAACAATTACAAAAAAAGAAAAAAAAACGGATAAGCAGAAATCATAAAGTAAAATGGCAGGTTTGTGACCCAACATATCAATAATTACAAATAAAAGTGGTCTAATGTGAACAAAGTTGCTGAGTATTGAAGAGTGTCTATATTATAGAAATAAAATAGCATATGCTATTATCAAATTTTATGGGATATTTATATTTTTATATACATTGTACAAATGTTATGTTAAATATTTTAATATTTTGTACAATTAATTTTTGGTACAAAGTAATTATTTTGTACTATTAATATTATTGTATAAAACATGTATATTTTGTAAGTAACCCATATAAAGCTCTCAGCTCCATCCATGCTTGGCACAGGGAAGCTGATATGGTTTGGATGTTTGTCCCCTGAAAACCTCATGTTGAAATGTGATTCTCGATGTTGTGATAGCACCTGGTAGGAGGTGATTGGATCATGGGGCAGATTCCTCATGAATGGTGTAGCAGAAGCTTGTCCAACACATGGCCAGCATTCTGCATGCAGCCCAGAATGGCTTTGAATATGACCCAATACAAATTCATAAACTTTCTTAAAACATTGAGTTTTTTGGCAATTTGTTTTAGCTCATCACCCATCGTTAGTATATTTTTTTGTATGGCCCAAGACAATTCTTTTTCTTCCGGCGTGGCCTAGGGAAGCCAAAAGATTGGACACTCCTGGTTTAACACCATTCTCTCGGTGATTAGTGAGTTCTTGCTCTGAGTTCATGCAAGATCTGGTTGTTTGAATGTGTGTGGCGCCTCCTCTACTTGCTCCCACTCTCACCATGTGACACGCCTCCTCCCCCTTTGCCTCTTGCCATGATTGTAAGCTTCCAGAGGCCTCATCAGAAGCTAATCAGATACTAGTGCCATGCCTGTACACCCTGCAGAACTATGAGCTAATTAAATCTCTTTTATTAATTACCTTTATTTTTTATTTTTTTATTTTTTTTGAGATGGAGTCTCGCTCTGTCATCAGGCTGGAGTGCAGTGGCGCGATCTTGGCTCACTGCAACCTCCACCTCCCGGCTTCAAGTGATTCTCCTGCCTCTGCCTGCTGAGTAGGTGGGACTACAGGCACCCGCCACCACGCCCGGCTAATTTTTTGTATTTTTAGTAGAGACAGGGTTTCACCGTGTTGGCCAGGATGGTCTCAATCTCCTGACTTCGTGATCCGCCCGCCTCTGCCTCTCAAAGTGCTGGGATTACAGGTGTGAGCCACCATGCAGGGCCCCTCTATTTCTTTATGGCAACACAAGAATGGCCTAATACAGAAGCCTTCACTGAGAGCTGCTAGAGTGAAGACAGTCACTGGGTGGGGCTCCCCATCGCTTGCTTGCTATGTCGAGTTCCCACATGGCTGTCTCAGAGGTCTTACTTGTCCTGATATCTACACTATTCCTAAGTGACCTTGTCTAAGCCCATGGCTTCAAATGTTACTGAAATCAAGTTTACAATCACAGCTGATAATGTCATAATTGTAACTTCAACTGTCAAATACATTTACCAAACTGAAGAAGAAAAGGAAGATGAATTTATTCATTCTTCCTTTCCATTGTGTTTTCTTTAATCTTTTTGTTTGAAACTTTCTTTTTTATTTTTCTTGGCTAGAGAATTTTCTTTAGCCCCCTTTTAAAAGGTAGATGTTCTGGTGACAAATCCTCTTAGTTTTCTTTCATCAAATATCTCTATAGCCCTTCCATTCCTAAAAGATAAATTCACCAGTTTCAGTGGCATTTGAAGCCATGGGCTTAGATAAGGTCACTTATCTAAGTTATAGCATGGCACAGGTGCTATAACGCCTTCAATGAACCCAGGTTTGGCACCCACCTCATTATTCTCTAGGCAGCTACTTTCATTCATCAGTTGAAATTTGAAAAAAAAAAAAAAAGAAAGAAAAAAACCAACAACACTTAAAAAATCTGGACAGATAGTTTGAGTGCCTATTTTGAATCCACTAATATTTATTCCTGGCTAAATTGTGCACATCAGACTAGTGGACCATCACAAAATTTCATACTGAAATGTATTGGATATAAAAAGAAAATAGAAAAAGTGAAAACATATTAACTGGCAGAAGAGAAATACTACAGTCTTAAAATGAATCAGGACGAGCCTTCAGACTACTTTTCTATTTAGAAGAAAAGTCCTGAGACAATGGGTTTTATCAAGCCAGGATAAAGAAACATAAAATCTGACGAGTTAATGGGTGCAGCACACCAACATGGCACATGTATACATATGTAACAAACCTGCACGTTGTGCACATGTACCCTAGAACTTAAAGTATAATAATAATGAAATGAAAATAATAATAACAATAAAGGGGGCTGAGAATAAAAGAAAAGAGCACTTAAAGACTGAAAAAAAAAGATTAGGATTATCTTTTCAACTAATCATTTTGGAACAGTTGAATATTCATATGTAAAAGAAGGCTCTTCGTGTCTCTTTTCTTCCTAAGTGAGGGACTTGAAAGACACATGTTTAGTGTTAGATACTCCACTAGCTTGTATTCCTGAGAGACTACATGAAAACTATCCTCACCTCACTCTGCATTTTTAAATTCAATTAGTCATGTAATGTGAACCGAGAAATGAACCTTTCATGAAACTTACATTGTAGATGCTACAGCATAGCCTATCCTATCATGTCTCATCCAAAGAGTAAAAAGTTTCTCAATAAGTAATAGTCAACAAAAGTGAAATGATGTAAAGCTTTTGGTATTTTATTTATACCTCACCAGAATTAAAGATGACTGAGCTAATAGTGTTACTACAAGGTATAATAAAATTATGAAAAATATACACAGATGTTACATATTCTATAAGGAAAAATGTCATATGTAACTTGTTTTTGCCTTAAATGCTTTAATTGAGATATAGTTCACATAATATACAATTCACTCATTTAGTGTTCAATTAAATGATTTTTAATATATTCCACAGACATGTGCAACCATCACCACTGTCAATTGTAGAACATTTTATCACTTCAAAAAGAAACCCCATATCCATTAGATATCACCTCCCTATTCCCCCATCATCCCACCTTTCTCCCCACCCCAGCCTAAGCATCTATTAATCTTCTTCCTGCATCTGTATATTTTCCTATTCTGGACTTTCGACTGAATGGCATTATATAATATGGGATCTTTTGTGATTGGTTTCTTTTACTTAGCATAATTTCAAGACTCATACATGTTGTACGTATCAGTACTTTATTCCCTTTAATAGTTAAATAATATTTGATTACATGACTAAACCACCTTTTGTCTATTTATTTATTCATTGATGAACATTTGGGTTTTTTTCTATCTTTTGGCTACTATAAATAATGATGCTAAGAAAATAAAAACTAAGCTAGTAAAAGACTTTCCTTATGTATGTGCTAAATAATTCTATTTTAGTTATGCATTGATCTTTAAAACACCCTGAGTCCAAAACTCAGAGATACAAAACAACAATATTTTATTTTATTTTATTTTGTGTATTTTTTCTTCAACTTTTAAGTTCTGAAGTACATGTGCAGAATGTGCGGTTACATTGGTAAACATGTGCCATGGTGGTCTGATGCACAGATCAGCCCATCACCTAGGTATTAAGCCCAACATCTACTAGCTATTCTTCCTGATGTTCCTCCTCCCCCAACCCCCACCCCAATAGGCCCTAGTGGGTGTAAAACAACAGTACTTTATTATGCTTCCAGATTCTGTGGGTCAGTAATTCAGACAGGGCACTATGAGAAGGCTTGTCTCTTCTTCAAAATGTCTAGACCTTCACCTTAGAATATGTAGACAGCGGACTATGACTCAAGTGGCAGGGGCTGCAATAACCAAGCAGACCTTTACTCTCATGTCTATCACTGGACTTGGATGATCAGAAGTACGGGCTCATTTGAAATGGTTGACTATATTGCCTACATGTGGCCTCCTCGTGTGGCTTGAGCTTCCTCACAGCATGCTGGTCTCAACTTTGTCAGACTTCTTATGAAGTGGTTCAGGATTGTAAGAGGAAACTTTCCAGTGAGTAACGGAAAAGCCATACAGTTTTTCTTGATAGCCTTAGAAAGTATATGATGTCGTTTCCACCACACGTCATTGTTTAAAGCAGTTACAAGCCCACTCAGTTTTAAGAGGAAGGTCTGCAGACCCTAGGCCTCAAAAGGAAGAGGATCAAAGAGTTTGCAGCCATGTTTCAAAACTGCCACAGACTCTAAGCGATCCTGATATAGTATCAGAAAGCAGATTTTGTGTATTTACTTAAACCTTGGGTACTTTATACATAATATGTATTGGCGAGGTGAGTAAGAAGATAAACTGTCATTTTAGACATTTGTGGCATGTGATAGGAATGTGCCTCTGAAATCTCTGTCCTGAGGGAGCACAATTAGCTGCAGAAGGGCAAATACACACTAAAAATAAAGAAGCTTAATCATCTCTTTTACAAATAAGCACCCTTATCTCTCAGTTTCTGCTGGGAGCAGGAGCCTAACTTCAATGGCCACCAGGCTCCAAATGGCAAGACTATCTCCTACATAAAGATCTGTGTTTATTTGTCCTTTGTTTAAAGTCTGTTAACTAACACAGATGGCCACCCCAATTTCCAGGTAAATTTAAGATAAACTATGCGTAATAAATAATGCTGCCAAGTCCTCTCTCTTGGGGATTAGTTATCACTTAACTTGAGAAAATGTATATATTGGGTCATATGCATATATTGGCTATATAAAAACGGGTGAGATCTCTTTCTGTCTTTGCAGTCTCTTAGTAGGTTGCCTGTAATGTATATCAGATTCTGGTTTAATATTTATTTAATAAGAAAACTATTTTCTTTCTCTATTACATTTGTGGAGAGACTTTCTGGGTTGGGAGGAGACTTTGTTTTTAATCGTATTTCCCCAACAGCTAACAAGCATGGCACCTATGCTATGAAATCTATCACCCCATTCACTTCCATGAGCCGCTTTCAGCCAAAGACAGAGAAGGGGGCAGATTCAATGGTCAGGCCTGCTCCTGGGAGACTCAGGACTCCTCTAATTTGCACCTTGGGCTTGATAACTCCCTACTGGACATCTTGAAATGTTCTCAGGACTGCACTGCTGCCTAAGACCTTCCTTCTTTCCCTCTCTCTCTCCTTCACAGGGGTCAAAGTTATATCCTAGTACAATAGCTCTGTTCACCTTTCGCTCTCTCCTTGCTTTCTCATATAGGCATTTATCCCAATGACTGCCTTGCTTCTCAGGAGATCCATGAAGACACCATATTTTAATGTTTCTAGCTTATAACTAAGGTGAATGAATAAAAAACATTTAAATCTTAAGGAAAAAAAGATGCAAAAAATATTTTAAAATCTCTATTTTGTATTTTAACAAATCAGAATTCAAATCCTAGTTGATAGCTTTACAAGGAAATTATAAACAGTGTCACAACAGCAGGTAATATAATATCTGCCTTGAAAATCACTAGCTGAAATTCTGAGAAAAATAAAGGTAGTTTTCGTTTTTCAAAGACAACTAGGACTTTGTCTGGGAGCACACTGGAGGCATTCCATTCTTTTCCAGTGTCAATCAACAGCACAGGATAAAGAAACATATTGAACACTAAAGCTTTGGATACACAAATTTATAACATCTTATTTATAAATCAGTGGTGTACAGAAAGCAGAGATCCCATAATCAAGCATGGCAAACATGTTGAAGAATATGCTTACAATGATTTCTGCTATAGATTTCATAATGGGGATTCAGAGAAGTAGAGTTATGGTGCTGGTTCACTGCATTGATTGGATCAGGCGCTGGAAACTCTCCCTGATAGATTTTATTCTCACCTGTTGGGCAATTTCCAGAATATTCTGCTGTAATTTTACATGTGGGCTTAAATGTAAACTGAGGAAATTTTGTACAATAAGAATGCAAGGATAAGTTTGACATCCCCTAATATCTATAATTTCATTCCTGCTCCTCTTTATTATATACTATTTGAGCAATACGATTATAAAGCGAAATTATTTTAATCTAGATAGCATTGTGGCACAGATTTTTGCTCTTGAGTTAGCATTTTTCTATCTATTCAGTCATTCATTTTTTTCTGATTTTATGGAACAGCAAACTGAAACAGGCTTCTCTCTGTGTCCTGAGGAACCTTCGGTGTTACATGAATATAAGGAAATCTAAATCCTCATAAACACACCTGAATTGATTGGTAATTCTCTCAAAAATGAAGACAACAAATAACTCAGCACACATCCCTTTCATTTAATCCAACTTCTTTTATTATGTTTGGTGATAGATCATTGAGCCTCATTGATGAAATTATCTGCCTGAAATAAGTTAAAAGAAAGTGATTTCACTGTTTCCATCAGAATTGCAACTATATAATCAATGGCAAAATTAAAATTATAGTATTATATAATAGTAACAATAAAATTAGATGAATAATGCATTTT